>NC_000019.10:29740874-30365874 GCF_000001405.40 Homo sapiens
AGACACTATGTCCTGGGCAAGGAGTTTTGTTGTGGAAGTTCCAGCTCTGGAGCACTCCAGCCTTTAGAGGTCTGGTTAAGGAGAAGCCCAAGAGGTGGGAGGAAGACAGGAGGGTGGAGAGTCACTGAGACTGGTGCACAGTGTCTCCAGAAGCACGGAGCACCCCCTTTCAATGGCAACCTGGCTTTGTAGGACTTTTGACACGCTTACCCCCACCGGCTTTCCCCGCGCCTGCATGGCCTCTCTAACCATCCACATCCATGGTGAGGGTCCCTCCCTTGCCTGCCATTGCTCCATCCACCCAGTCCCCAACTCGGTAGATTTGTATTGTGTCCATCCTTTGAGGCTCTCCTCCACTCCCCCAGCTCCTGTCTCAGAGTCCCCCAGCCTCTTGGGTCCCCCTCTGTGTCTTGTGTAAGAGCTGAGTGTGCTCTTGTCTGTTTCCCAGGAGGTGAGCTCCTCACGTACAGGGGTCGCGCTGCCTCCTCCTCTGACTCCCTGGCTCTGAGCGAAGGCTCTGGCATCTGTAGCCATGAGAGGAATGTTTGCCGAGTGACCCCATGAGCGAGTGATGCCAGCATAAAGGCCAGTGCACCCAAGGCTGGCCCAAAATATCCTCTGGCAACCAGAGCCGCCCCGCCGGGGGATGCATTCTGCCTTTGAAAGTAGTGAGTAGCACATCCTTACAGGTACCCAAGAGGAGAAGGATTGGACACTATTCAGGGTGGAAATGGATGAGGGGATCCCTGCGATGGGGGAGAGGGTCTGACTACCCATCCCCTAAGGACAGTCCCTGGTCTGGGGCCTCCCAGCCTGAGAACGAGGCAGGAGCCACCACCATCGGAAGCTGTCAGATTCACAGTCATAATTCCAGAGTGTGACACTTAGTTAATCTGAAAATATTTGCTAACCTATTATGAATAACAATATTTGCAGCTTAAAATGCTTACCCTCCATAGCTCCAGAGTGTGAAGATGTGCTTCTACCCAGACAAAGATGTACTCACTACTATCCGAGCAAATTGACACAGGGAGCTTATGAGCCTAATTGTTGGCATCTCAGGCTGATTTGCGTCCCCTGGGGCCACTCTGATAACTTGGCTAAACAAATACAGGAGGTGCTGTAGGGACAGGCTCACAGGGCCAGAGGGCTCCATGGAGCCGGATGACGGGGAAGTATTTCAGGCCTCTCACCAGAACCTCCTGCTATGCTCTGAATGTCTGTGTCCTCCCAAAATTCATATGTTGAAATCCTAATTCCCTACGTGAGGGTATTAGGAGGTGGGGCCTTTGAAGGTGATTAGGTCATGAGAGCAGAGCCCACAGTAATGGGGTGAGTGCCCTTATATAAAGGACCCCAGGCTGGTTGTGGTGGCTCATGCCTGTAATCCCAGCACTTTGGGAGGCTGAGGCGGGAGGATCACTTGAGGCCAGGAGTTCAAGACCAGCCTGAGCAACATAGCAAGACCTCATCTTTAAAAATATATATATAAATAAATAAGTAAAAAGGATATCAGAGAGCTCTTTGCCCCTTTTCTGCCATGTGAAGATACAATATGAAGTCTGCAATCTGTAACCTGAGAGATGGGGTTTCACCATGTTGGCCAGGATGATCTTGAACTCCTGACCTCAAGTGATCCACCTGTCTCGTCCTCCCAAAGTACTGAGATTACAGGTGTGAGCCACCACTAAATTTCTGTTTCTGATAAGCCACTCAGTCTACGGTACTTTGTCAAAATAGCCTGAACAGACTAAGGTACCCCCCTCACCCCATCTCATCACAGAGTCTCTGGACTTTTTTTCTTGGCTGCCTATATGGTTCTTAGGGTCATCTTCACAGTCAGCTACGGGGTGTGGCCAGGCCCCGTGGGTATGTGGTTAAGGTCATTGGCTAACATGGATGACCAAGGCCATTGCAGTTCCCAGACACTGAGAGGCTCCACACACTTGTGGATGGGGGTCTGTCTTTCCTGAGGAAGGGTCAATGGCCAGCTCGAGGCTGTGTCCACAGATAAAGATGTTTGCACAGAATGTGGAGCCCAGAGGAGACAAGGATCTATCAAGGGCCTCCCAGGAGCTTGTGCCAGAATGTGCAACTCAAGCCAGTGTTGGCATGAAGGAAACTTGGCGTAACTGCAGAGACCACGGCTTCTTCAGAGCCTCACATCTCCTGTGTTGGTGCCATCGCAGCTGCACAGCCCCCAGCCCTAACACCCAGGACACCTGAAGCAAGAGCCCTTTCCTGTGGCTCCAGCTGAAATCCAGGGGCCCCTTTCTCTCCCTAGCCCAATTCATGCCCCCTCTAAACCTTTGCTGTGGCCAGGGTTTAGAGGGGGCATTGCTGGCCCCACCCAAGAGGCAAGGTCTGAAAGTGGAGAAAGACGGATTCCCCAAGACTAGCTGGGATGCTCTTACAAGAATGACAGAAAAGAGATGCTGGGGCTGGATGCAGTGGCTCACACCTGTAATCCCAGCATTTTGGGAGGCCAAGATGGGTGGATCACCTGAGGTCAGGAGTTCGAGACCAGCCTGGTCAACATGGTGAAACCCCATCTCTACTAAAAATACAAAAATTAGTCGGGTCTGATGGCAGGCGCCTGTAATCACAGCTACTTGGGAGGCTGAGGCACGAGAATCACTTGAACCCGGGAAGTGGAGGTTGCAGTGAGCTGAGATAGTGCCACTGTACTCCCACTGGGGCAACAGAGTGAGACTCCGTCGAAGAAAGAAAAAAAAAAGAAAAGAAAAAAGAAAAAAGAGATGCTGGGCAGGAGAAAAGCCTCCCTTGAGGGAAAAGAGAAGGAAAGGACCAACTGCCTTGGCCCATTCAGTGATCTGGCCATGAAACCAGGGGCTGGCTGAAATGTCATTGTCCAAGAAAAGGTGCTGGCTGTGCACAGTAGCTCATACCTGTAATCTCTGCACTTTGGGAGGTTGAGGCAGGCAGATTGCTTAAGCCCAGGAGTTTGAGACAAGTCTGGGCAACATAGCAAGACTCTGTCTCTACAAAAAATAAAAAAAAGTAGCTGGGTGTGATGGTGCACACCTGTTGTCTCAGCTACTCCAAAGGCTGGGGTAGGAAGATCACTCAAGCCCAGGATATTGAGACTGCAGTGAGCTATGATTGCACCACTGCACTCCAGCCTGGGCAACAGAACAAGACCCTGACTCTTAAAAAAAATTTTTTTTAAAAAAGAGAGGTGCTGGTGACCATGATAGACAGCGATTCAGAGCAGAGAGAGAGGAGGCCCAAATAGCTTAGTCCTGTCCACAGTGGCAGAGGAAATGGGAGAATTAAGGCAATTTCAATGAAAACAACAATTTTAAAAAAAATGCCCCACCCAATGCTTATACCTCAATTATCTAGATTTGCTCAAGCAGGAATTATCAGAATAACTTAGGAAAAGCTTCTTTTGGGAGTAAGGACAAGAGGGCAATCGTGGCCAGGCACGGCAGCTCATGCCTGTAATCCTAGTACTTTGGGAGGCTAAGGTGGGTGGATCACTTGAGATCCAATCATTTGAGATGAGGAGTTCAAGACCAGCCTGGGCAATAGGGTGAGACACTGTCTCTACTAAAAATACAAACAATTCTCCAGGCATGGTGGCACATGCCTGTAGTTCCAGCTACTGGGGAGCCTGAGGCACGAGAATCACTTGAATCTAAGAGCCTAGATGGTGCCACTGCACTCCAGCTTGGGTGACAGAGCAAGATCTGTCTCAAACAAACAAACAAACAAAAAAAACCAAAGGATGACTGACCTGTGTCAACATCCAGAGTTCCCATCTCAGCTATGTGCACAGGAAGGGCCAGTCTTTCTCCTTTACTCTCATTCACTCTACAGATGCCTACCGGGTACCTGCCAGGTGGGCCAGGCCCTGTTCTCACCACTGCTCTGAATGGTCACCACAGAGAATGGTCTCCCTCCTCTCAGGGAGCCCATGTTCTGCTTGGGGAAGGCAGCCAACAAGATCTAAAGCGTCGCTGAGTGACAGGGACATGTCCTGTGAAATGCATGGAGAGGTGATGTTGTCATTGTGTGGACGTCACAGAGTGCACTACACAAACCTGGATGGGGTTGCCTACTGCACATCTAGACTGCATGGTGTGGCCTGTGGCTCCTAGACCACAGACCCAGACAGCACGTTACTGCGCTGAATGCCGCAGGCAGCTGGAACCCAGTGGTTAAGTATCTGTGTACCTAAACAAATCTCAACTTAGAAAAGGTACAGTAAAAATATAGTATTATCATTGATGGGACCACTGTCACCACTGCACACTGCCTTTGACCCAAACATTATTCGGTGCATGGCCATCGATGATGGAGATTGCGATTCGTGTACTGGAGAAAATAAAGCGAGGTGGGCTGAGAGTGGGAGGCCCGCAGGGCAGGGCACTTTGGATCAGGTTGTCAGGAAATGCCTCCCCGAAGAGGGCGCATTTGCAATTAAAGCCAAGTGACAAGAAAAAACTGCCATGCACAGATCTGGGGTCTAGAGGGTGGGGCAGGAGGGACAACAAGAGCAAAGGCACTGGGGACGGAAGGGCTTCATGGGCAGTGGGAGCCCCACGGGAGCCCCCTAGGTCTGGCTTGCAAGCTCTCTGGCCCTCTGCTGGACACCCCAGAGCAAGCCAGCCCCTGCCTGGGACTCCCTGAACACACTGCCCCCAGAGAACCACAGGCAGAGGGACTGGCTCACCTGAGTTCCACAGGAAAGACAGACTGTCCTGAGAACAGACACTCGCTCATTTTCATCACTGTTCCTCAAACAAGTAGATTTTGTTTTAAAGCAAACAAATAAACAGCGTTGTCAAGTTGGTCAAGTTTGTTGTTTCTTACCCAAACTTCCCCTTTAAATCTTCGGCAGGACAGAGGAGGACCCTGGGCTTCTTGTCAATTCTCTGACTTCAAGGAAGAGTCTGATCAACCCAGGCTCACTCGCAGGCTTGAAAGGGGCCTCTAGCGAGGCCAGGGTGGGAGCAGAGACCGTAACAAGGCCTTTTTTTGTTGTTGTTTTTTGAGGCAGCATCTCACTCCGTCACCCAGGCTCAAGTGCAGTGGCACAGTCTCGGCTCACTGCAACCTCCGCCTCCCAGGTTCAAGAGATTCTCTTGCCTCAGCCTCCTGAGTAGGTGGGACTACAGGCCCATGCCACCACACCTGGCTGATTTTTGTATTTTTAGTAGAGACGGAGTTTCACCACGTTGGCCAGGCTGCTCTCAATCTCCTCACCTCAAGTGATCCACCCACCTCGGCCCCCCAAGGTCCTGGGATTATAGGCGTGAGCCACCGCGCCTGGCCATGTATCTTTTTTGTTATTTGTAATTGTCACTTGTCTAGTGTTTTGGTGCGCACATTTACAGAACGAAGCCTGCTGAAAAGCTTTAAAGTACAGCACACTAATGATTCCTGAGATATAGGTATAGGTCTCTCTCTCTCCCCGTTTGTCTGTCTGTCTATCTATCTATCTATCTATCTATCTATCTATCTATCATCTATCTATCTAATCTGTCATCGAGAGAGTGATTGTAGATAGAGGCACAGATACAGATACAGAAACTGGAAGCTATTTTCTGAAAATAGAGTGGCATCCACCACTGTGGTCCATGGTGATGCAGCCCTGCGGGTGGGTCTGGGGACATTAGCAGGCAGGGCAGGAAGAGTCTGGGAGCCAGGGAGCCTTCCCCAGACCTCTAGCATCCACCCCCAGGCTTTTCCACTGCACTGTCGACACTGAAGGTCAAGTTATGCCCCAGACTCCTACTGCTGGAGGGGCTTGGGCCATATTCCCAGGGCCAGTGAGGCCAGGAAGCCAGTACTTCCGTTAGCTAAGAAGTCACCAGGCACAGGACCCCAAGGCTCAGGGGCACTCGCCAGTGATGGCTGCAGGGAAGGTAGGAGACGCACAGCAGCAGGCCACTGGGCCGGGCTCCTATACCACCTGGAGGAGATGTGACAGCCTCACTTCCAGGAGCCTGGCCCTGGCCAGCAGCGTCTGTGGTCCTTTGGCAGGCAGCTAGATGTGGCCACTTTGCAGGTGGCCTTTCATAGCACCTAGAATGCCCCTGCTCACTCATCTGTGAAGCAAGGACGCCACTCTCACTCTGCCTGTCTTGCTGTCACTCAACACTCAACAGGCATTGGGCACGGTGGCTTACACCTGTAATCCTGGCGCTTTGGGAGGCCAAGTCAGGAGGATCTCTTGAGGTCAGGAGGTCAAGACCAGCCTGGGCAACGCAGTGAGACGCCATCTCTACCAAAAAATAAAAGTAAAATTAGCCTGGTGTGGTGGTGCACACCTGTAGCCCCAGCTGCTCAGGAGGCTGAAGTGGGAGGATTGCTTGAGCCCAGAAGGTTAAGGCTGCAGTGAGCTACTATCACGCCACTGCACTCCAGCCTGGGGACACAGTCCGATCCTGTCTCAAATAAATAAATTAATTAAATAAAAGAAAAAATAGGCCAGACATGGGGCTCATGCTTGTAATCCCAGCACTTTGGGAGGCTGAGGTGAGTGGATCAGGCACCCGTCACCTGAGGCCCAGGCATGAGGCACCCATCACCACGCCCAGCTAATTTTCTATTTTTAGTAGAGATGGGGTTTCACCATGTTGGTGGTGGGCTACGTTCCCAGGGCCAGAACTCCTCACCTGAGGTCATGAGTTCTACACCAGCCTAGCCTGGGGTCAGATTGCTTGAGTTTGAGAGAGCCTGGGCAACGTGGTCAGACCCTGTCTCAAATTTAAAAAAATAAAAATAAAAAACATTCAACATATATGTTTGGAGCACCTACTATGTGCCAGGCCTCAAGGTCATGAGAAACAAAGGTGGATGAATGATTCGAAGACCCGCCTCTGGCCTCCCCAGCACTGACAGGGTGGGCTTATGAAAGGGCTTCTAGACTGCTCACCGGCCTGCACGTGGGACACGGAACCTCCTCTGGGACATGGAGCCTACTCTGAGGGCAGAGATTGAGCATGGTTTACAGCAGGTGTGCCACCCTCCAAGCCAGAACAGGGCCTAATGAAAATCCCATGCTGAAATATTTCTGTATTTTGTAAGGAATATTCAGTGTCACAAGAATGTGAGGCTGTGGGGTCAGATCGTTTCATCCAGCTTCTGGCACAATTCAGTGTTCTTGGGGGAGACCCGGGAGGTTTAGGAATAGAAAATGGATGGGACTGGCTGGGCGCAGTGGCTCACACCTGTAATCTCAGCATTCTGGGAGGCTGAGGCAGGTGCATCACCTGAGGTCAGGAGTTCGAGACCAGCCTAGCCAACATGGTGAAACCCCAACTCTACTAAAAATAGAAAAGTAGCTGGGTGTGGTGATGGGTGCCTGTAATCCCAACTACTCAGGAGGCTAAGGCAGGAGAATCACTTGAACCTGGGAGGTGGAAGTTGCAGTGAGCTGAGATTGTGACATTGCACTCCAGCCTGGGCTACAAGAGCAAAACTCCATTTCAAAAGAAAGAAAGAAAGGAAGAAAGGAAGAAAGAAAGAAAGAAAGAAAGAAAGAAAGAAAGAAAGAAAGAAAGAAAGAAAGAAAGAAGGAAAGAAAAAGAGAGAGAAAGAAAGGAAAGAAAAGAAAGAAAAGAAAGAAGGGAAGAAAGAAAGAAAGAGAGAGAAAGAAAGAAAGAAAAAGAAAGAAAGAAAAAGAAAGAAAGAAAGAAAAAAGAAAGAAAGAAAGAAGGAAAGAAAAAGAGAAAGAAAGGAAAGAAAAGAAAGAAAAGAAAGAAGGGAAGAAAGAAAGAAAGAGAGAGAAAGAAAGAAAGAAAAAGAAAAGAAAGAAAGAAAGAAAGAAAGAAAGAAAGAAAGAAAGAAAGAAAGAAAGAAAGAAAAGAAAGAAAATGGATAGGACTAAACCAACTTAAAGGTCTTTTTGGAGTCCAAAGATTCTCCAAGTCTCACCCTTCTTTCCCTGTCCAGAAAGGCTGATTCCAGCCAGGTGTGGTGGCTCATGCCTGTAATCCCAGCACTTTGGGAGGCTAAGGTGGGAGGATTGCTTGAGCCCAGGAGTTGAAGACCAACCTGGGCAACATAGGGATACCCCATCTCTATGATTTAAAAGATAAAAATAAAAATGCTGGTTCCTGATGGCCCAACCTTGCCTGTTCACACCAGCTCTGGGCCTGTCCCCCATGGACCAAGCTCTGGATTCCTTGAAGGCCACCAGTCTCCAGCCTCCAGTCCAGGGTCACTGTTCCTAAGGGCGTGCCCAGCCTGACCAGATCCTCATGTGAGGGAGGCACAGGGACAATGTTCCAGGATGGGCCCTTATGCCTGCTGGTGATGTCAGTGACAAGCCCAGGGCTCAGCCTGCCTCTGTGTCCTTCTCCAGGTGGGTTTGGGCAGCCTGGACCAGAGGGTGCAATGAGCTTGTCTGACCCCATCTGTGCCGGGAGGGCGGGGGCCTGCATTGTAAGTCTGGCCGTGGGGGCCCTCAGTTTCTGTCCTGTATTTTTACATTCTAATTATTTCATATATGGCCTTCTGATGGACTCATTTACTGGGAAGCTAAAGATACCCTTCAATGTCTAAAAATAAACCTGAACTGCTAAAAATTCAGCATTTCTCTCCCTCGCTTCCACCAGCTGGGCCTGTCTGCTTTTACTCCAACACCATCAGGAGCTACAAACAAGATTTACAAAAGCCAGCAAGTTTACACGGGCCTGAATAGCAGATTCTCTTTTATCTTCAATTTGACAAAACATTTTGGGGTTGTTATTATTGAGGCTTTCTTTTCTTTTCTTTCTTTCTGTCCTTTGTTTCCTTCCTTCCTTCCTTTTTCTTTCTTTCTTTTCTTTCTTTCTTTCTTTCTTTCTTCCTCTTCCTCTTCTTTCTTCCTTTTTCTTTCTTTCTCTTTCTTTTCTTTCTTTCCTTTCTTCTTCCCTTTATTCTTTTTTTCTATCACTTCTTCTGCTCCTTTAGTCTAGTATTTAGGAAAACTTTCGTCCAAATGCAAGCTTCCAAGATGTTCTCCCTCTGGTCTGCCACACCTCCTTTTCTTACTTCAATTATTTTAAGACACTCTCCCAATTTCTATGAGTACCATGCGGATGGCCTGAAGGCCAGTTAAGAATAAACCTGCTAAACCAATAAATTACATTCACTCTTATTTCCAGAGGAACGCTTTTACATAAATATCTGCCATAGAAATAAATCAGATAAATTAATAAGAACTCCCTCCTCTCCTCAAACCAAACAGTGAACAGTAATGGTTATCAGACCAGTTAAAAGAATAAACCTATTAAATAAATAAATTTGCTCTACGCCAATTTATGTCACCAATGTACTTAAGGGGAAACCTTTTAAAAGAGTAGATTTACAGTGCACACACAGATCTCCACTGGGTATGTGTAATTATGCATAAGAAAGACATTACTTTTAAAGTGGATGAATGGGCGATACTTTTTTGATTTACTGCTAGAAACAGAAAAATGGTAATGGCATGAAATAAGCGTTTGCAAACCCATTTCGGAAGACAGGAAATGCTTGATTTACCTAGGGCACCCATCAGGTTCTGTATTTCAGATCAAAGTAGATAAATGGTAAGGCAAATGGATATTTGGGGGGAAATCTATAGCCTTTCTGTCAACTCTGCAAGTTAAATGTTTGGAATAAAAACGCAGAGAGTGTCTATATGCAAGGAAGAAGTCATGATTTATTAGCAATCGGGCAAATGGAAGTGGGCAGTGCTTACCTGGAAGGTGAGGATTTCTCAGATACGAGGGCTGTGGGCTGTGTCCACAATTCCTGATGTTTTTAGCTATGAAATCTGGTGGCCAGCTGGTCCTTCTCACCCACCCCAAGCCACCTAACAGCTGCCCTGAATGCTGTTCTTGTTCTAACCTCTTACTTGCACTTTATTTTATTTTATATTTATTTTTATTTTTTGAGACAGAGTCTCGCTCTGTCGCCCAGGCTAGAGTGCAATGGAGTGATCTCGGCTCACTACAACCTCTGCCTCCCAGGTTCAAGCAATTCTCTTGCCTCAGCCTCCCAAGTAGCTGGGATTACAGGCATCTGCCACCACACCTAGCTAATTTTTTTTTATTTTTAGTAGAGACGGAGTTTCACCATGTTGGCCAGGCTGGTCTCAAACTCCTGACCTCAAGTGATCTGCCTGTCTCAGCTTCCCAAAGTGTTGGGATTACAGGTGTGAGCCACTGCACCCAGCCTCTTACTTGCACTTTAAAACCCTGCCTGCGACACCACCCATCAAAAGAAAAAGATGGACGCTATTTAAGGTGGTTGGACATTGTTTTCATGGAGGCTACATGGAGCTACGGGCCCTAGTCAATGTCATGTCTGAGCCTTTGTTGAACACCAACTGTACATTAACCTGTGTTGGTTATGGCTCACAGTGTTCTACAAGATCTTCATACAAGTCAGTATCTTCCAAAGCAGAGAGTAATGTCTACACACAAATTTACCCAGTATTCCAGGAGCCACATCTACACTCAAATAGAGAATTGAAAGTGGAGCCCAAGGCTGGGCACAGTGGCTCACGCCCGTAATCCCAGCACTTTGAGAGCCTGAGGCGGGTGGATCACTTGAGGTCAGGAGTTCGAGACCAGCCTGGCCAATACGGTGAAACCCATTCTCTACTAAAAATACAAAAATTAGCCAGGCGTGGTGGTGTGCGCCTGTAGCTCCAGCTACTTGGGAGGCTGAGGCAGAAGAATCACTTGAACCCAGGAAGCAGAGGTTGCAGTGAGCTGAGATCACACCACTGAACTCCAGCCTGGGTGACAGAGTGAGACTCTGTCTAAAAAAAACACAAAACAAAACAAACAAACAAAACAAAGACAGTGGATCACAAATCTTGCGTTCCTAAATGCAACCCTCCCTTCCTGAATTAACTAAGCCATCTTAGCAACTATATCCTCTGTGGGTTTTACCTGTTTGGACACAGGGACATGTGCCCAGAGTCAAAGTTAAACAGGTTGGGATCATGGCCCCAATTTTTTTTTTTTTTTTTGAGACAGGGTCTCACCCTGTCACTCAGGCTGGAGTGCAGCGGCACGATCTCCGCTTACTGCAATCCCCACCTCCCGGGCTCAAGCAATCCTCCTGCCTCAGCCTCCTGAGTAGCTAGGACTACAGGCGTGCACCACATGCCCAGCTATATGGGCCAGATTTCCATCTCAGCTCTGTTAGTCTCTAGCTAGATCACACTTTCTCTCCAAGTCTCAGTTTCCACATCTCCCAAATTGGTATAATCATCTCTGAGCCTGTGATGGTTAAATGAGATAATATATTTAAAAAACTTAACAATGTTGCACAGTCAGTAAATAGTGACAATTACCGTGTTGCTTTTTTTTTTCATCATCAGGGAGAAATGCAAAGAGTGCTGACCAGGTGACGGGCTAGGTGCCCAGCCCTGTGCTAGGTGCTCTGAGGACTGAGAGATGGAAACCACAGGGCTCTGCCTCAGGGAAATTACATTTGCTCTTGTACACGAGAAATAGGAAACACTAGGTGGTATCCATTATTGCCACAGCAGCTCAGCGAGAAGGGATGTGAGTTGAGCCTTGACTTGCAAGGAGAGTTAGGATAGGCAGAGAGAGGACATTCCAGGTGTAGGAACTGCATAGGCAGAGGGCTGGGGGCAGCCTCTGGGAGGTGGAAGGGAGAAGTGTCTCTGGAGGTGAAGATGTGGGGAGGGTCAGAGAGCTACGGCCAGAACACGAGGAGCCCCGGGGACTGCCCCTCAGAAGGTGCTCTCATAACAGCCAACATGTGGCCCACTCTGCCACCATTAGGAGCCTAGCTTGTCCAACTGGTCCAGCCTCCACTGAGCAGTCAGGTCCTGCTGGCCTCTCTTTCTACTTTCCCAGCCCCAGGGACCACTCTCTGTGCGAAGGTTTTCCCTGATGGGGCCAGACCAACCCCGCCTTTCACCCGTATGACTCAGTCATCAGGCAGATACCCCCACCACTGCTCAGGGTCATGAACACCCATGCCCGGCTCTGGCTGGCTCGACTGGCTTGCTCATGCCCACATAGGAGGGCATGCCGGGAGCATGAAGGAATTCAGGAGTTGGCAGATTTACACAGTCAGAACGCACTAATATCTTTTGACCAGCTTAAGAATAAATATGGCCCAACAAATTGTCGTTTTTATGGGTATTTACAGCCAAGGCACTTTGTAAACCCAAGAACTAGTATTTCCCAGAGGAAATCTGGCTCTCGATTCTTGATAAATTATTGGAAAGTCAGACCAGCCCCAGCTCAGGGGTTTCTCTCTCTTATTAGTGGTTCCAGAGGTGTGGCCTGAGCCAGAATTAGGCTTGTCTGGGCTGAAGTCTCTGAAGGGGGTGAGCAGCCCCCAGGCACCTAATGATGATACCAATAGTAATAATCACAAGCATGTGCCTAGCAATTACTTGGTCCCGGGACACTCTTTCAAACCCTTCCCAAGTATTAACTCATTTAATCATCAAAACAGCCTTACAGCGTAGGTACTATTATTATTCCCATTTTATAGATGAGGAAACGGAGGCACAGAGGATTCCAGTAAGATTCAGGAATTTCTCCAGGGTAAAAGGGAATCCAACCCGGGTAATACTCGGAATGCTTTCTGTTGCAAGTTTAAAAGCTCAAATGAAACTAACATTTAAGCAAAAACAACAATGTATTAGCTCATGCACATAAAAAGTGCACGGGGGTAGCGGGGAGGGGGGCAGGAGCTCCTCCACCTGTGTCATCAGTTTCCTAATATTTCCCAGTTCCTGATCCTTTGCTCCTCGGTCATCCTCACAAGGTGCTCCTTTCTCGCAGGGGACCCAGACTTTAAAACGCAACCCATGCAAATGAAGCAAGAAGGCAGAAGTCAAGCCCCTGGACTCGGCTGTTTTCATTGGTCAGATTAGATCACATGCACTCTAGCCATGACCCACTCAGAGAGGCCAGAGAATGCCGTTTGCTGATTGGCTGAGCGTGGGAGCGAGGACCCCGCTTTGTTCAAGGCTGGGCTGGACCTGGCACTGTGCTCCACCTGCGAAGTCCCCCTCCCTGGGTCAAAGGACCCAGAGTGCAGTCACCACCCCAGGGGCCTGCCACCCTCCTGGCAGTTCAGTTACCCTCCAGTGCAGGGATGCTGTGCCTCTTCCCCAGGTCAGAGACCAACAGTAGGCCCTGCTTCAGTTTCCTCATCCTCTAGAATCAAGGAGGACCCACGACTGCCTCCAGTTCACCCTTGAGGCTTCTGGGGCTTTCCTGAGGCTGAGTTGCCCTCAGCGGCCAGACTACCTGCAGGGAGTTTGCAGGCGCTGGGGCCCGAGTTTGCAGGTGCGGGGCCCAGGGTCCTCCCTCAGTTTCACACCTGCCTGGCCCTGGGACCTTGCACCAAGAAGTCATTTCCATGGCAGAATGCATCTTACATCAACGTGTACCGGGTTTTACTTCTTGTATTCTCTCAAATCTGATACTGTCAAACATCTGCTTTACAAATCATGACACACTGTGTCACTCAAGCCCAGTTGCCACCCGGGGCAGGGAGAGTCAAGACAAGTGCAGCAGCCAAGAGGAGACAGCAGTGGCGAGGCTGTGTCCCCAGATCAAGCTTTGCCTGCAGGCGGCTTAGCGGATTTGATGAGAAACAGTCCTAGGCTCCACATTCTGCCGGTTCACTGTGTCCCAGTCATGAGGTCCAGATGCTTCAGGCACTGGGTCCCCCAAGCCCACCGGTGTGTGTCTTTATAATCTCTGCTGGACAGCCCTGCAGCGCACTGCCCGCCATGCTGGCTGCACAGAACAGGCATCTCCATCCCTCTTCAGTGTTGCTCAAGAGAATAACATTCCAACACAAACATCCAAACTCAACAAACATACTTTTTTGACAGCTTGAACATTTTTTTAAAAAGCCAACAAATGTTGCATCAAAGCAAAGCCCTCTCCCCACTGTGCTCACAGTGTGGGGACTCCCCCTGTCGCTGGTGGAGGCCATGGGAGCCTCAGGCCTCTGAGTCCCTCCCCTCCCGTTGGCAGCCCCCACGGGCCTGAGTCCTGGGGGGATGACACAGAGTAGGGAAGGTCCCAATGCTGGAGCTCTCCCTGCTGCAAGTGAGAGGCAGAGATGGCTGGGTTGGGGGCAAGGGCTCATCAGGATCCTGGGATGGGTACTGAAGTGACCCAGGTGACATCCACAGGTCCGGGGGACTGACTGGATGTGGGGGATGAGGGTGGAATCAAGATGCTGCCTGGGACCAGGCATGGTGGTTCACACCTCTAACCCAAGCACTTTGGGAGGCTGAGGTGGGAGGGTTGCTTGAGGCCAGGAGTTCGAGGCTAGCCTGGGCAACATGGGGAGATCACATCTGTACAAGAAATATAAAAATTAGCCGGGCAGCATGCCCTTGTAGTCCCAGTTACTCCACAGGCAGAGGCAGGAGGGTTGCTTGAGCCTGGAATGTCGAGGCTGCAGTGAGCCATCATCATACCACTGCACTCCAGCTTATGTCACAAAGTAAGACACTGACTCAAAAAATTAAGAATTAGACAGGTGCAGTGGCTCATGCCTATAATACCAACACTTTGGGAGCTGAGATGGGAGGATCCATCACTTGAGGCCAGGAGTTCGAGACCAGCCTGGTCAACATAGTGAGACACCCCCATCTCTAATAATAATAATAATTCTTAAAAATTAAAAATTAGGCTGGGTGCGGTGGCTCACACCTGTAATCCTAGTACTTTGGAAGGCTGAGGTGGGCGGATCACTTGAGGTCAGGAGTTCGAGACTAACCTGGCCAACATGGTGAAACCCCCCCATCTCTACTAAAAATACA
The DNA here is from genome assembly GCF_000001405.40 of Homo sapiens. NCBI lineage: Eukaryota > Metazoa > Chordata > Mammalia > Primates > Hominidae > Homo > Homo sapiens. Next base: position 29,755,663 of record NC_000019.10, read on the forward strand.
AAAATTATCTGGGTGTAGTAGTGTGTGCCTGTAATCCCAGCTACTTGGGAGGCTGAGGCAGGAGAATCGCTTGAACCTGGGAGGCGGAGCTTGCAGTGAGCTGAGATCGCGACACCGCACTCCAGCCTGGGGGACAAGAGGAAAACTCTGTCTCAAAAAGGAAAAAAAATTAAAAATCAAATAAAGGATGCTGCTTGGGTTCTGGGGACAGAAACATGACAGGAGTGAATTCACAAGAAGAGGGCCCAATCCCTCCTGCTGCTGAGGACACATGGAGGGCCCACCCCATGTTCAGGATAGGCTGAGGTCCTACCAGAGGCACCGGGATGTGCTGAGCAGCTCCCGATGGTGGGGCTCCCTCTCTGAACACCTGGAAGGACATTCCTCACCTGGGTCCTGAACCTGGAACTGGCTTCAGGGGATTCAGAGACTCCATCAAGAAGGCCTGAAGGTGTGCACTCCACTCCATACTTCCTGCTCTCATCTCACCAGCAAGGCCCAGAACTCTGAGCGGGCCTCCCGGGCTGCTCAGCTATCAGTAAAGGAGTTAGTTCCCGGTGCCCATGTGCTCTGTACCCCACTGCATAGGGGAGAGGGCAGGCGCCAGGCATCCTTCCATCCTTGTCCTTGATGTCACTTTAACACCATGGGAACCTTGACATCCTTCACACATCCTTCTATAGACAGTGCTGGGGCTTCAGCTGTGTTTGGGGGAGCACAGAGAGGAGACAGGGTGTGTCTGTTTGTTTGTTTTTGAGACAGAGTCTCGCTCTGTCGCCCAGGCTGGAGTGCAGTGGCACGATCTCAGCTGGGATCTGCCTCCCAGGTTCTACCAATTCTCCCGCGTCAGCCTCTCAAGTAGCTGGGATTACAGGTGCCCACCACCACGCCCAGATTTTTGTATTTTCAGTAGAGATGGGGTTTCACCATGTTGGCCAGGCTAGTCTTGAACTCCTGACCTCAGGTGATCCACCCGCCTCGGCCTCCCAAAGTACTGGGATTACAGGCATGAGCCGCCATGCCTGGCCTACCAGATTTTAAAATAATGATTCTGACCAGGCACGGTGGCTTATGCTTGTAATCCCAGCACTTTGGAAGACCGAAGCGGGCAGATCACTTGAGGTCAAGAGTTTGAGACCAGCTTGGCCAAAATGGTGAAACCCCGTTTCTACTAAAAATACAAAAAATTAGCCAGGCGTAGTGATGTGCATCTGTAATCTCAGCTCTCAGGAGACTGAGGCAGGAGAATCACTTGAACCCAGGAGGTAGAGGTTGTGGTGAGCCGAGATCATGCCACTGCACTCCAGGACTGGGGTCGGAGCAAGACTCCGTCTCAAAAAAATGAATAAATAAAATAAAATAAAATAATGAATTTGAAATCCAAGGCAGGGGTGACCATATAATTGCTCATCCAAACCAGGACACTTCCAAGGGCGAAAGGGCAACAGGCATGAGCCAGAATGCTCCAGGGCAAACCATAATGCATGTTCATTCTGTCCCAAGGTGACTTGTGAGGGTTCCTTTTGGCTTAAGTGTCATTATAAAGTCACAGCTTTGAGCATATTTCCTTTGTTTCAGTTCGTTGTAGCCATTCTTCTTACTAATATTTAAATTGTGCCATCTTTGGCCTGTAGGAAAATCAACACTTTGAATCACCTATCCTCATCCTAAGACCGTGAAGTCACAGTCCTGATGCGCTACTCTTTTCTGAGTGCATGTGCGCACCTCTTGGAACTGTTAAAATAAGCAGCGTTCATCCTTGCCCTTCCAAAGTGTCCTGGGCACCGGTGGAGGCCATGCAGTGCCTGGGGGACGTGCTGAAGGAGCCAGGGGCATCAGTAAAGACAGGAGACCACTTAGAGATGGCCCAGGGGACTGCAAAGACCCCATGGGCAGTCAGGAAGGAGGAAGCCATTTACGCTGGTACCTGGCAGGCTGCTGGCGGGGGATGCACTTGTGCTGTGTTTGGAAGCTCTTTGAACTGATCAAAGCTGGGCCACACCACGAGGGAGCTGGATGCCCCCACGGGCTCCCTGGAGCTATGGGTATGCATGTAGACAGGGCAGCCATCCAGCAGCCTTCCTCAGGCCAGCCCCTCCCCACAAGGGAATGTGACAACCGCCCCCCCGCACAGCCTGGGCCCCCTTCGTGACCACCTGCTGGGTACCTGGCACCCCAGAATGCCCTGTTCTAATGGCCCTGGACGGTGTACCCCTAGGTCAGTGGTTCTGAAAGCAGGGGAGGCGATTTTGCACCCTGGAAGACATTTGGCAAGGTCTGGAGACATTTCTGGTTTTTACAGCAGGGGGTACAAGCTAAGGAGGCTGCTGAATAGCCTACGATGCACAGGATGGCCTCATAATAAACAGCGATGGGGCCCAAAATGTCAATGGGGCTGAGGTTGAAAAGCCCTGCCCTAGGCCCCAGGGGTGGCAGAGGGGCTGTGTGTGTGGGAGGTAGGGACAGAGCCTGGACACGCAGCCTGCGGTGTCCTCCCACATAAGGGGCAATTCTGGGTAGTGTGTGGAAGGCAAGTGGAGAGGCCAGGGCTGCTGTGTTCCACACTGGAACTCCCAGAGCCTGAGATTTCCAAAATTAAACCTGGCCTTCTAGGTCTTTTTGAAGTTATATTGGTTAGGGCAGGGGAAAAGAACATATTTTATTTAAGCATTTGTTGGCTTGATTTGTAACTGTTAGATACGTAGATATAGGTTATGTGGGCTGAGCGTGGTGGCTCACACCTGTAATCCTAGCACTTTGGGAGGCCGAGGCAGGAGAATTGCTTAAGCTCACAAGTTTGAGACCAGTTTGGGCAATACAGCAAAGCCCTGTCTCTACAAAAAATACAAAAATTAGCCGGGCATGATGGCACTCGTCTGTGGTCCCAGCTACTTGGGAGGCTGAGGCGGGAGAATCGCTTGAGCCTGGGAGGTGAAGGTTGCAGTGAGCTGAGATTATACCATTGCACTCCAGCCTGGGTGACAGAGTGAGACCCTGTGTCAAATTTTTTTAAAAAGGATATGTGGGTCAGGTGTGGTGGCTCATGCCTGTAATCCCAGCACTTTGGGAGGCTGAGACAGGCAGATCACTTGAGGTCAGGAGTTTGAGACCAGCCTGGCCAACATGGCAAAACCTTGTCTCTACTAATAATACAAAAATTAGCTGAGTGTGGTGGTGCACACCTGTAATCCCAGCTACTGCGGAGGCTGAGGCAGGAGAATCGCTTGAACCCAGGAGGCAGAGGTTGCAGTGAGCCGAGATGGCACCACTACACTCCAGCTTGGGCGACAGAGTGAGACTCTTTCAAAAAAAAAAAAAATGTGGCCTCTGCTTATCGCTTTGCCTCAGGTGGGGACCTAGGAAACACTCGTGCACAATCTGTGCTCAGACAGAGACCCAGGAGGGAGGCATGGAGGCTGCAAGGAGCCCATGAGTCCTGCAGGAAGGGGCCTGGCTGGGATGGTTGTTAGATTCCACCCAGGCATTCCCCACTCATGCAGATATCTGCAGAACCCCAGCTGTGTGCAGGCAACTGGCTGAGTGCCGGGGATGCTCACCCTCTAAGACAAGAGGACAAGAAACCACCAATGATGAAAGAGACAGTGGTGTGCTACGAGATCCCCAGGCTGGGGCTCAGGGCTCTGGGGCAAATACTCCATGGAGTTCCCGGCTGCCTTCTTCCTGGGTCCTTACCTTGGGTCATGTGGGTCTTCACACGTCCCCTCCCCCCGACCACCACACTTGTGCCTGCAGTTGAATTCTCCTTTTCAGAGCATCTGGGCACTGCCAGGACCACCCTAGGGAGGGGTGTCCACTGGAATCTGAGTCCAGAGCCACCATGCAGGGACCTCTGAGATCACCAATGCACCCATTTCACAGATTAGAAAACTGAGACATCTCAACTTGTACAAGGCCATGCAGGGAGGGATGGTAGGGTCTGGCTAGTGGGTTAACCAGCTCCCATGGCACTCTGCCACCTGCCAGATGCCCTTCCCACCGGGCTGCTCCCGGGACTTCGGTGGGGAGGGCTTTCACACATGTCAGCATTCTTGAATCCCAGAGGTCTCCTCCTGGTTCTGATGTACTGGACTAAAGAAGAGGCCAGGTGCAGCAGCTCACACTGTAATCTCAGCACTTTGGGAGGTCAAGGTAGGAGGATGGCTTGAGCCCAGGAGTTTGAGACCAGCTTGGTCAACATAGTGAAACCTCACCTCTCCAAAAAATAAAAAAAAAATTAGCCAGGTGTGGTGGTGCGTGCCTGCAGTTCCATCTACTCGGGAGGCTGAGCTTGAGCCCAGGAGGTCAAGGCTGCAGCGAGCTGAGATCAGGCCACTGCACCCACCCCAGCCTGGGCAACAGAGCGTGACCCTGTCTTAAAAAAACAAAAAAAGTTGCCATTGTGGTCCCCCTTTCTCCAGCCTGGCCTGTGCTGTGTGAGGGATGGCCCTAACCCTCAGAGGGAATGGAAACTTCGTTCCTCGGTGGGCAGCGCTGGTAACCATGAGTAAGAGGAGGAAGTGTCCGGGCCTGACAGGGTCCAGGGCCCAGCTCTCCTGCCCAAGGGCAAGACTGGCTGCGTGGCCGCCACTGGCCAGCAGAGGGCGCGGCCTGAGGCGCCCAAGGAGGGCAGCAGGAGGCAGGCGGCGGGGCTGTCCCGCTCCGAGAGCGGCGGGAAGCGCCAGCCAGGCCGGCCCTCCCTTCCCTCCGGACAGCCCGGAACCCCGCCACACACCTATGGCTGATGGGTGCTGTCACTTCTGTTTGCTATGCTTTCTGCCATCACTATTGTTATGTTAAACTCCCCTGACTAGGTCTCCACTTTCTGTCCCATTTTGCACATTTTGCATTTTGTTTTGTTTTGTTTTGTTTATTTGAGACGGAGTCTCGCTCTGTCGCCCAGGCTGGAGTGCAGTGGCGCGATCTGGGCTCCCTGCAACCTCCACCTGCCGGATTCAAGTGATCCTCCTGCCTCAGCCTCCCTAGTAGCTGGGATTACAGGTTACCCCTGCCCAGCTAATTTTTGTATTTTTGGTAGAGACGGGGTTTCCCTATGTTGGCCAAGCTGGTCTCGAACTCCTGGGTCCTTACCTTGGGTCACCTGGGTCTTCACACGCCCCCACCCCCCGACCACCACACTTGTGCCTGCAGTTGAATTCTCCTTTTCAGAGCACCTGGGCACTGCCAGGACCATCCTAGGAAGGGGTGTCCACTGGAATCTGAGTCCAGAGCCACCATGCAGGGACCTCTGAAATCACCAATGCACCCATTTCACAGATTAGGAAACTGAGACATCTTAACTTGTACAGCTAATTTTTGTATTTTTGGTAGAGACGGGGTTTCGCTATGTTGGCCAAGCTGGTCTCGAACTCCTGGCCTCACTTGATCTGGGCCCCGCCCCCCCTCCTCGGCCTCCCAAAGTGCTGGGATTACAGGTGTAAGCCACTTTGTAAAAATAAAAATTAGATCCCTCACACAGAGTCCAGGGAGGGAGAGTTCCGTGGGCTGGGAGCTGAGAGGTGGGGAGATGGGCTCTCTGCACCCACACTTCCCTGCTGTGTGGCCCCAGGCAGGTTACTTCATCTCTCTGTGCCTTGGTTTCACCTCCTCCTGTAAGATGCGGCACTGGGACTGCCTCTCAGGAGAGTCCCGCAGAGCAGTCTGGGGAGGTGCTTGGCATGGCTGCCGGCACCTGCTCACCGTCATCACACGGGGACTTAGTCTTAAGAAAAGGGGACTGGAGGTCGGGCACGGTGGCTCACACCTATAATCCCAGCACTTTGGGAGGCGGAGGCAGGTGGATCACCTGAGGTCAGGAGTTTGAGACCAACCTGGCCAACATGGTGAAACCTGTCTCTCCTAAAAATACAAAAATTAGCTGGGTGTGGTGGTGCATGCCTGTAATCCCAGCTACTCAGGAGGCTGAAGCTGTAGAATCGCTTGAACCCAGGAGGCAGAGGTTGCAATGAGCCGAGATCCAGCTACTGCACTTCAGGCTGGGCAACAGACCGAGACTCTATCTCAAGGAAAAAAAAAAAAAGAAAGAAAGAAAAGAAAGGAAAAAAGAAAAGGGGATTGGAAGCTTACAGCCGGAAGGGGAGGCACAGGCTGGGTGAAGTGGGCCAGGTGTCACCAGGAGACAGGGCAAGGGCTTCAGAGCGGGAGATGGGGCTGCGCTTCAGAACCCTGGGCTCTCTTGGGCAGTGGGGGCCTCACACCACAATCCCCAGCACTGGCCCCAAACAGGCGGCTTCTATTTCTTTCTGCTTTTTTAGAGAAGGAAAACTCATCCTGCTTCAGTATGCAGCAGCCAATAAAAACACGTTAATCTTTAACGTGTTAGCAAAACAGCCTCCAATTTGAATATCGGCTCTTCCTCCCATCTGTGGCAGTTTGCACAGATTTTTTTTTAGAGTGGCAGAATGCCTCATCTATGCACCAGCCGGTGGCAGGCGCCATTCACTGCCACAGAGCCTCCCCCAGGGCCGTGAAGGGCCCCCATCCCAGACCATGGCATGGAGTCCCGGCAGAGGGGCTCATCTAAGCTCTACCTTAGCACAAGAGGGCCCCAGATTTGAGGATTTTGCAGATCAGTAAAATTACACCCAAACCAACTGGGAAGGAACATAGGGATACCAGCTCATGATTTTGCCCAGGAAAGCCATTTGAGAGAAAAAATAGATGGTCATCCAAGAACCTCTTCAATTCACTGGAGAAATAAAATTTTGACATCAAAAGGGGGAGGCAGACAGAATGAAAGAATAACAGGTCTTCAAACTGAGCAAATTTAGGGAGACCTACCGTGTTGACTTTATTTTTATCATTTGGACGTTTAAAATAACCCTGGGGGGGTCAGGCATGGTGGCTCACACCTGTAGTCCCCACACTTTGGGAGGCCAAGGTGGGAGGATCACTTGAGGCCAGGAGTTCAAGACCAGCCTGAGCAACATAGCAAGACCCCCCCCCCCCGTCTCTAAAAGAAATTTTTATTTATTCATTTTTAATTAATTTATTTTATTATTAGTTGTTTTTTTCTGGAGACACAGTTTCACCCTGTCGCCCAGGCTGGAGTTCAATGGCATCATCTCAGCTCACTGCAACCTCCTTCTCCCGGGTTCAAATAATTCTTGTGCCTCAGCCTCATGAGTAGCTGGGATTACAGGTGCCCGCCACCACGCCTGGCTAATTTTTGTATTTTTAGTAGAGATGGGGTTGGCCAGGCTGGTCTTGAACTCCTGGCCTCAGATGATCTGCCTGCCTCAGCCTCCCAAAGTGCTGGGATTACAGGCGTGAGCCACCGTGCCTGGCCTCTAAAAGAAATTTTTAGATTAAAAAAAGAAGAAGAAGAAGAAAGCCCTGGGGAATCTGCAGACCTACCCAAGGGGGACAGTGAGTTTAGTATGCTAGGAGTGCCCAGCTAGATCCCCAGCCCGAGCTATTCTGGGCTCGCCTGCCCCCAGCCTGCTGCCCCCTCAAGAGAACCGTGACCAGAAACTTAGTCCTTGGGAAATATGCGCTACTGCAGAACTTGTCAAATGGCAAAGAATCAAGGAAGGAATAAATAGCAATATTTTATAAGTTTTAAAATGCTATTTTAACACAAATACCAGAGCAACTATAGCATAAATCAACAGAGACACCCAAAAGTATGTTTGTACAAGAAATGTAATAAGCTGGTATGAAAAACAGTGTCAACTGGTACAGATGGCAGAAAAAGCCAATATTCAAATGTATGCTGTTTTACTAACACATTAAAGATCAACATTTTGGTACCTGCTGCTCACGATAGCAGGATTAAAAAAACACACAACACACACATATCCTCACGCGTGATATTCTAACCCAGAGAATGCAAGATTCTTAAAGAAATTGTCAAGCACTTTCTATACTTCATCTGGTGGTTTTAAAGCTTCCGTGGTTCAGAGGAAAATTTGCATCTGAAAATGCGGCTTTTCCCCTAGCTGCCTGATGTTGGAGAAAATTAGAAAAGCAGGATGAGAAAATATCAGGGTTGTAGTCCTTAGAAGTCTCCTTCCAGATTAGTAATGGGAACAGAATTATCCCAAGTGAATGACTCTGGTGGTGCCTCTCCTCTCTGAGTACAGGACAGGCTATTTTTGTTTGTTTGTTTGTTTGTTTGTTTGTTTTTGAGACAGAGTTTCACTCTGTCACCCAGGCTGGAGTTCAGTGGCGCGATCTTGGCTCACCGCAACCTCTGCCTGTCAGGTTCAAGCGATTCTCCTGCCTCAGCCACCTGAGTAGCTGAGATTACAGGCGTGCGCCACCACACCTGCCTAATTTTGTATTTTTTTAGTGGAGACGGGATTTCACCATGTTGGCCAGGCTGGTCTCAAACTCCCGACCTCAAGTGATCCACCCATTTCGGCCTCCCAAAGTGCTAAGATTACACGCATGAACCATCATGCCCTGCCAGCACGGGCTATTTTTAAGATGCTTTCAGGCATTGCAGCTCTGGGGGCCCAAAAGAGCCCTCTGAGGTGTGCAGGCCAGGGAGCACTACCCGTACACTACAAATGGGCAAACTGAGGCTCAGACGTGGTGTACAGCTGACCAGAGATCACAGGGCCTAAAGGAAGCGTGATGGGCGTGCAGACCAGGCACACAATTGAGCAAAAAGCCCCCAGGAAACTCTCAACTGCCTCTTGTGGTGTCACCTCGTAAGCCCATGGGCCTGGGAATTGGGCAGCCCGAGTTCCAATCTTCACTCCCACCAGGCCCGACCTTAGGCAAGTGACCTCACCTCTGAGCCCCTACTGAGACACAAGATCGACAAAAACCTCCCCACAGCGCTGGCATGAGGATCGAAGGAGATGCAGTGGGTGAGCGTGGCCAGTGTGCATGGCAACTGTGATGTCATGCTCTGTCCAGAACAGAGACAGCCAGCCGCAGATGCTTTACTTGGCTTACCTAGTGTTTTTAAAAGTCTTTTGATTTGAGATGAAGTCCCATTCTGTTGCCCAGGCTGGAGGGCAGAGGCAAGATCTCGGCTCACTGCAACCTCCAGTTTCTGTCTCAAATAAACAAAACAAAACAAAATGCAAAATGTGCAAAATGGGACAGAAAGTGGAGACCTGCCTCAGCCTCCCAAGTAGCTGGAATTACAGGCACGCGCCACCACACCTGGCTAATTTTTGTATTTTTAGTAGAGATAGGGTTTCACAATGTTGTCCAGGCTGGTCTCAAACTCCTGACCTCAAGTGATTCACCCGCCTCAGCCTCCCAAAGTGCTGGGATAACAGGCGTGAGCCACCACGCCAGCCTTTGTAAAGTCTTGATTAAAGCCGGGCATGGTGGCCCATGCCTGTCATCCCAGCACCTTGGGAGGCAGGAGGATTCCTTGAGCCCAAGAGTTTGAGATCAGCCTAGGCAACAGAGTGAGGCCCCATCTCTACAAAAAATAAACAATATTAGCTGGGCGTGGTGGCACACACCTGTAGTCCTAGCTACTTGGGAACTGAAGTGGGAGGATTGCTTGAGCCCAGGAGTTTGAGGCTGCAGTGAGCTATGATCATGCCAGTGCACCCCAGCCTGGGTGACAGAGATCCTGTCTCTAAAAAAAGTAAGATACCCATGCAAGGAAGTAGTATGTGGCAGTGAAGAAGAGTGGGGTACACCTATCTGTACAACGTAACTGTTGGGCTGGAAGAGAATGCCATGCACGTTCCAACACCTTATTTTTGTTTTTTAGGAAAGCCACCCCACAAAGTCATACTCCAATCACATGGGCAGTGGCTCACAACCAGGAGCAATTCTGCCCCCCAGGGCACATGTGACAATGTCTGGAGACATTTTTGATTGTCACACCCAGGTAGGGGGTGCTAGTTGTGTGTCTGGTGGGTAAGAAGCCAGGGCTGTGGCTGAACGTCCTGTAATCATGGGATGGCCCCCACAACACAGAGAAGTCCAGCCCCATGGCCAGGCGCGATGGCTCACACGTGTAATCCCAGCACTTTGGGAGGCCGAGGCAGGTGGATCACCTGAGGTCAGGGGTTTGAGACCAGCCTGGCCAATATGGTGAAACCCCATCTCTATTAATAATACAAAAATTAGCCAGGTATGTTGGCGGGCACCTGTAATCCCAGCTACTCAGGAGGCTGAGGCAGGAGAATCACTTGAACCCGGGAGGCGAAGGTTGCAGTGAGCTGAGATCATGCCATTGTACTCCAGCCTGGGTGAAAAGAGCGAAACTCAGTCTCCTCAAAAAAAAAAAAAAAACACACACACAGAGAAGTCCAGCCCCAAATGCTAACCGTGCCAAGGCTGAGAAACCTTGCTCCAAATGCAGGACAATATCTGGAAGGCAACAAGTCCAGTTGATGACAGAGGCTACCTCTGCGGAGGGTACTGGGTGATGCTGATCAAAGAGAACTTTAAACCCATGGGTAATGTCTTTACTTTCTGGAAGAATACATTTGTGTGCTGTTGAATTGGTAAAATCACCAAGGATAGAAGGAAGGAGAGAGGGTCAGAGTGGACCACTGTAGACTTGGCCCTGCCCCACATCTTCAGGGCAGCAGAGGGTTTGGGAGGGGTGGGAGCCCCAGGGCTCATGTAGTCACTGCTGTCCTCACACACCCGCCTGGAGGGTCCCTCCTCCCTGCAGTGACACTCCCTGGAGTCTCTGTGACTGCTCTCACAGACACCGGCAGCAGATTAGGTTTTCACCTTTCCCTAATGAATGTGACTTTTAGCAACTGTGCCGAGTGTTTTTTTAAAACAGCCTCTTTCACCAAAGCATCATTACCAGCAAATTTGTTACAGCTTCCAGACCAACTCCATCAAATCACCTGCAGCCCATGGTTTCTCCTTCTCCTTTTCCTCCTCCTCCTTCTTCCTTCTTCTTTTTTTGAGACAAAGTTTCACTCTTGTTGCCCAGTCTGGAGTGCAATGGCGCAATCTCAGCTCACTGCAACCTCTGCCCTCTGCTGCCTCCCAGGTTCAAGCAATTCTCCTGCCTCACGTAGCTGGGATGCCCAGCTAACTTTTTGTGTTTTTAGTAGAGATGGGATTTCACCATGTTGGCCAGGCTGGTCTTGAACTCCTGACCTCAGGTGATCCACCCTCCTAGGCCTCCCAAAGTGCTGGGATTACAGGCGTGAGCCACCATGCCTGGCCTGCACCTCCATCTTCACGGGCCTGGACAGAATTCTCCAATTAACTGAGACCTGGTGACATTTGTGGTACTATGCGATGCTCACAGCACAGATGCACGCTCCCTCTTCTGATTCCAGCAGGCACCAAGACCCAGGCCCAGGGAGGGCCAGTATGCGTCAGCATTGCCTGTGCACCCTGGTGACACCTGGACCTCCTTCTACCAAACAAAGACACTGCAGTAAGGTGGAAGCCTCCTTTGACCCCTCTCCAAGAGACGACCACTATCACCCAGTATGAGTAATCACTATTGCCCAGCCCAGGTAGCTGGGGTCACTACCAGACTTGTATCCTAAATTTTATACAGATGATAGATAGATAGATAGATAGATAGATAGATAGATAGATAGATAGATAGACAGACAGATAGATAGACAGATGATAGATAGATAATTGATAGAGGTAGATGCTGGATATGATAGATTATAGGTAGAAAGAGACGGATAGGTGGATAGCTGATTGATAAATAAGAGATATGATAGATAAATAGATTATAAATAGAGATTATTTAGAGAGATGGATAGACAGATGACTGATGGATAGAGGCATAGATACATAATACATTTACAGCCACACACATTTTACTGTCGTCTGGGGCTTTGGTGCCCCCATACCTGGTACTGAATCACACATGTTCTTCCTTTTCTTGCCTTTTCCCCCAAGGCGCTCACTGGAGCTCTTTCTTTGCCCATTACATTCTACTAATACCCTCATGTCCTAAAGCAAGGAGGCAGCAGGGATGGGGGCTGACGTGGCCTCCCGTACTCACCAGACATGGCTGTGTCAGCCAGCAGTGGGGACACCCCTTGGCCATAATTCAGCTGCCCAGAGGGGATGACTTTCCGGGATCCACACGGGTGCTGAAGGGGCTGGTGGAGATGACAGCTGGCTGATCCCAAGGACAAGCAGGGACTGCACTGGGACTTAAACTCTTAGGGGTGTTTCCGGTTGTTCGTGGTGCACAATTCCACCACGAGCAGCCTTGTCCTTGCTTCCTTGGGAAGCTGCGTCTCCAGGTGGGAGCTCTCTGAGCCACCTGGAGCAGTCACAATCAGAGACCAGACCTATTTATTTACTTATGTTTTTGAGACAGGGTCTTGCTCTGTTGCTCAGGCTGGAGTGCAGTGGTGTGATCATAGCTCACTGCAGCCTCGCTCTCCTGAGCCAAGGGATCATCCTTTCTCAGCCTCCCAAGTAGCTGGGACTACAGGTGTGCACCACCATACCTGGCTATATCTTTTTTTGTAAAGATGAGGTTTCGCTGTGTTGCCCAGGCTGGTCTTGAACTCCCGCCTCAGCCTCCAACGTGCTGGGATTATAGGTGTGAGCCACCACGCCCAGACTAACTGGATCTTCTTTGAGCCTCCCCCACCCTGTGGGGAGGGCAGCCTGGGGATTATAATTCATAAATGACAGAATCGGGTCCTGGGCCCAGATGAACCTTTCCTGAGGTCCCCTGGTGAGTGAGTGACCAAAGAGCTGGCCCTGATGCTCTGGGAAAACGCCTGGGGCCAAGGACAGCCTCTGAGCAGCAGCCGGGCCCTCCTTTCCACCACAGTTTCCAGCCAGAGACCCTGCATGCTTCTGCGCATGGCCACACCCGACCCAGTGGGCCCTTTCACTGCCCAAGGCCGATGCCGCCCATCCGTCCACCACCCGTGTCACACTCACTGGACACATAATTCCTGAGTCCCTACAATGCACAGGTGCTGTTCTAGGCAATGGGGAGAGAGCAGTGAATGAAATAGTCTGGATCCCTGAATCCAGGGAGCTGGACTTCTAGGTGCAGGGAGGCCAATGGGTCCTATGAAGACAGCAAAACAAGTGACGTGATGCACAGGGAGGGGAGAGAAAGGCTTAGTGGAGAGTGACGCCTCTGCACATGGAGAAGAGAGCAGTCATGTACACATCTGGAGGAAGGGAGTTCCAGGCAGGGAACAGCATGTGGAAAGGCCTGGAGTCAGGAAGTGCTCAGCTGGGAATGGCCTGAAAGGCCAGTGGCTGAGGTGCCCTGAGGGAGAGGACCATCCCGAGGAGCATCCTGAGCTCTCCCAGGCTTGGGAAAATCTCCCTTCCTCTCCCTGCTCTGTTATTCCAATTCCCCAGGACGCCAGAAACTCAGACACCTTTGTGCAAGGGCCTCCCTGAGCAGGAGCCCGGCCGGAAAGTGTCAGGGTGACAGTGACTCCCAGTGCCGCCTCTTCAGGGCCATCCTGTGGCCTCCTCCAGCTGGACCCACGAAGCCCACTTCACCCTCAGTCTCCAGAAGTGTCCAAGCTCTGGGGGCTCCACTTGGCCCAGAGAGGTCTGGCCCCACTCCTCACCCCCACCAATCTTCTCTGGGCCCCTTTGACAGAATATGGGGCCACTGCTCTGAAAACACAACAGTGACAACAGAAAGTCTGTGATCAGGGCCCCAAACTGCTGCCCCCAAAGTGGCCTTGACCAGACCACTTACATGACCATTCCTAAGGAGCGGGGTGGCTGGTGGGTGAGCCAGGTGTTGTGCTGGGTCCCACCTCTGCCACCAACTCCCTGTGCACCCTCAAGCCAGCCACCTCCCTCTCCAGCCTCAGTTTCCTCCTGGGTATGGGGAAGGACATAACAATATTAACACCCCCCAGGGTGCACTTGTGAGCTCCTTAGGGCAAATCCAGAATCCCAGGCCCCCGTGCTCTACACAAACCATCTCTGAGACAAGGGAGGGCCTGCTTCATACCCTGTTTCACTCCCCACCAAAAATCCCCTTGACTCCTCTGGATTTAAATTCCTCCCCCAGGAGCTCAAACCGAGTCAAGGCTGCAAATAATCTGCTTTATTTATTTATTTATTTATTTTTGAGACGGAGTCTCACTCTGTCACCCAGGCAGGAGGGCCGTGGTGTGATCTCAGCTCACTGCAACCTCCGCCTCCCAGGTTTCAGCGATTCTCCTGCCTCAGCCTCCTGAACAGCTGGGATACAGGCGTGTGCCACCACCTCCAGCTAATTTTTTTTTGTAATTTTAGTAGAGATGGAGTTTTGCCATGTTGGCCAGGCTTGTCTCGAACTCCTGACCTCAGGTATTCTGCCTGCCTTAGCCTCCCAAAGTGCTGGGATTACAGCCTTGCACCACCATACCTGGCTAATTTTTGTGTTTTTAGTAGAGACAGGGTTTCCCCATGTTGACCAGGCTGATCTCGAACTGACCTCAAGTGATCCGCCCGCCTTGGCCTCCCAAAGTACTGGGATTACAGGAATGAGCCACCATGCCCGGCCTAAGAAGGCGAAATTTGGACCCACACAGGCACCAGGGCTGTGCACGCAGAGAGCAGGCCATGTGAGGACAAGGTGAGCAGGTGGTTGCTGGAGCCTAGGACAGTGGCCTCGGGGGAAAGGGAACCTGCTGGCGCCTTGATGCTGGACCTCCAGCCTCCAGCTTCTGCTGTTCAATCTACACAACCCCCATGGACACATACACCAGCCCCAACACTGACTTCATGTACACACCCCCACACACACTGACCCCAGACTCCCACTGACCCTTACACATGCCCCCCACACCCATGCCCTGCCTTATTTTAACCTGGAGTGCAACGGCACGATCTCGCCTTACTGCAACCTCCCCCTCCAGGGTTCAAGTGATTCTCCTACCTCAGCCTCCCGAGTAGCTAGGATTATAGGCATGCGCCACCACGCCCGGCTAATTTTGTATTTTTAGTGGAGACAGGGTTTCTCCATGTTGGTCAGGCTGGTCTCGAACTCCCGACCTCAGGTGATCCACCTGCCTCAGCCTCCCAAAGTGTTGAGATTACGGGTGTGAGCCACTGCGCCCTGCCACAGTCCATATTCTTGATTATTTATAGTTGGATCAATTCCCTTGTCACAACTTAATCAATGTATCGAATATGCCATCATTCGTCAAATAGGAACCAAGCTAAGATCCCTTCAAGTAATCAACCGTGATTTGTTATCCTGCAGGGTTGCTCATACCAAGAGTGCAGTTCATGACCACGCTTCCTGCACACGTTTCGCTGAAGGAGTGGTTCCATGGTGGATGTGGCTATTTAGATTAAAACAAACACCCAGTTAGTACCATCACCACGGGCACAAGATTGTATGACTGCTTTTCAAAAAGCACTAGTGATGTGGTTATAGTCAATAATGGTTTGTATCACTTTTTGGCTTTTTTTTGAAACAAGGTCTTGCTCTGTTGCCCAGGCTGGAGTGCAGTGGTGTGATCATAGCTCACTGCAACCTCAACTTCCTGCGCTCAAGCGATCCTCCTGTCTCAGCCTCCCAAGTGGCTGTGACTACAGGTGTGTGCCCACTCGCCTAGCTAATTTATTTTTATTTTTTGTAGAGACGAGGTCTCACTATGTTGTCCAGGTTGGTCTCAAACTCCTGGGCTCAAGCAATTCTCCCACCTCAGCCTCTTGAGTAGCTGGGACTACAGGCGCACACCACCATGCCTGGCTTTTTATTTTTATTTTTAGTTTTTGTAGGGATCTCACCATGTTGACCAGGTTGGTCTCCGACTCTTGGGCTCAAGTGGTCCTCCCGCCTTGGCCTCCCAAGTTGCAGCAATTACAAGGCGTGATCCCCTGTGCCTTGCCAATTTTCCATTTTAGTGGATCCTGCTCACTTGGGTTTCTATGGCAGTCATAGCTTCACTCAGTTAAGATTGAGGCATGCCCTGCCTCCTACCTGGACCCCATGGAAGGCCTCCGGGATGAGACTTGTGGGTTGAAGTGTGTCCTCCAGAAAGACATATGGAAGTCCTGACCCCCAGTACCTGTGACTGTGGCCTTATGTGGAAATAGCGTCTTTGCAGATGTAATCAAGATGCAGTGGGGTCATACTTGATTAGGGTGCTTTCTAAATCCAATGACCGGTGGATTGGATTGAGGGGAATTATAGTTCGATCAACTCCTATGGAGAGGGGGATTTGGTTAGAGACACAGAGACACGCAAACAGGGAAGAAGGCCTTGTGAAGACAGAGGCAGAAAGTGGAATGACGCAGCTACAGCAGAGGAAGGCCAGGGATCCCCGGAGCCACCAGAAGCTGGAGGAGGAGAGGAGGGATTCCTCCCTGGAGCCTCCAGGGGGAGCACGACCCTGCCGGCACCTTGATTTCGGGCTCAGCCTCCAGAAGCATGGGAGAACAAATATCTGCTGTTTTAAAGCCACCACGTCTGTGACAATTTGTTACGGTGACCACAGGAAAATAATCCAGGGACTGCATCTAGAATTTACCATGTGCCTCATGCCACTATCACTGGCACAGGCTGAAGCCTTTCTCCTTTTTCCTCTGGAGAAGACCATCTTCTCCTCCAGTAGTCTAAGCAGTTCTCAGCCCAGGGATTCCAGCAAGTGTCTCAAAGCCACACACTCGGAGAGACGACGGCCACATGACCTGGCTCAGCAGGTGGCTCTGCTGCCTTTCACAGGAGTTTGCCTCTCTGTTCAGGGTGCCACACAGGGACAGCCTTGGGGCAGACACTCTGCTGTTTATTATTATTATTATTATTGAGACATAGTCTCACTCTATCACCCAGGCTAGAGGGCAGTGGCATGATCTCGGCTCACTGCAACCTCCGCCTCCTGGGTTCAAGCAAGTCTCCTGCCTCAGCCTCCCGAGGAGCTGGGATTACAGGTGTGCACCACCACGTCCACTAATTTTTGTATTTTTAGCAGAGACGGGGTTTTGCCATGTTGGCCAGGCTAGTCTCGAACTCCTGGCCTCAAGTGATCCACCCGCCTCAGCCTCCTAAAGTGCTGAGATTACAGGAGTGAGCCACTGTGCCGAGCCTAGCTGTTTATTATTATTACATTTTTTAAGAGATAGGATCTTGCTATGCTGCTCAGACTGGTCTCAAACTCCTGGGCTCAAGTGATCCTCCTACCTTGGCCTCCCAAAGTGCTGGCATAACAGGCATGAGCCACCGTGCCCAGGCAGCCTTGCTAAGCACACCTTGCACTCCTGCTGCACTACTCCTGTGTGAGGCCATGGAGACATCTGCTACATTGTAGATACTATTGGATACTTTTCAAGTATCACACAGCCTACAATTTCCAACAGTGCACTCCATTCAGCTCCCATGGGACGGATGAGTGTCACAGGGCAGCTCCACACGCAGATCAGGGAGAGGGTGGATATCACCCCCATCTTCCTGTGGCTCTGAGAAAAGGGGTGGGTGCCCGGCGTCAGGGCAGCTGACTTCACCCAGGAGGGGCCACCTGCCCAGTTACTCGGGCCTCCACTTCCCTGCACTCAGGGCACTTTGTTGGAAGAGGGCTTGTCTGGCCATGAATGGCCTGAAAGCTGCGAGAATGGCTTAACACACCTGAAGAAGGGACATGTATATGCTGGGGGCTGGCACTCTCCCACATTAGCTCTTTTGCACCATTGTCATGGGGATCTTGGGGCTCAGAGAGGAAAGTGACCTGCATGAGCTCATGCAGAGGCATGTGGCAGGACCATCGCTTGAACCTGGCACTGGAGGGCCCTGGGCTCAGCACCTCGGGCACCTAGAGTGAGGGCATCCCCAAGGTCCATGTGACCCAGAGCACGGCTCCGGCCACTCCCTCCCGGAAATGGATCGGTGAACAGAGAGGCTGAGGACCTCTTGCAATGCTGCCCAGACTGCATGGAGAAGCCCGTGGAGACATCTGCTACGTTGTAGATACTACTGGACATTTTTCTTTTTTTTTCTTTTCTTTTTTTTTTTTTTTTGAGATGGAGTCTCGCTCTGTCACCCAGGCTAGAGTGCAGTGGAGCGATCTCGGCTCACTGCAAGCTCTGCTTCCCGGGTTCACGCCATTCTCCTGCCTCAGCCTCCCGAGTAGCTGGGACTACAGGCGCCCGCCACCACACCCGGCTAATTTTTTTTTTTGTATTTTTAGTAGAGATGGGGTTTCACCGTGTTAGCCAGGATGGTCTCGATCTCCTGACCTCGTGATCCACCCATCTCGGCCTCCCAAAGTGCTGGGATTACAGGCGTAAGCCACCGCACCCGGCCTACTACTGGACATTTTTCAAGTATCACACAGCCTATAATTTCCAACAGTGCATTCCATTCAGCTCCCATGGGGCGGATGGGTGTCACAGGGCAGCCCCACATGCAGATCATGGAGAGGGTGGATATCATCCCATCTTCCTGTGGCTCTGAGAAGCTTCAGAAGCCTCAGAAGCACCCCCTGTAGCGCCAGAGAGCTCAGACAGCTTGAGGGCCTGCAGCCCAGCCAGCCCCTGCCCCACAGGCCAGGCTCCAGCCTGGCCCTTGCAGGGGTGTGCTGTTTCCAATGGGTGCCATGCTGTGCACATCCACGGGGCAGGAGGGAAAGCTGGGGGTTGCCATGGGCTGCCTGGGTTGGAGGGGAGCTGGGATTCTATGGTCACCCTCTTTCACATCTTCTGACGCATCCTCTCTCTGGACCCTCAGGCAGTCCCTGTCCTCAGATAAGCCCCGCTCACTGAGACGGTGATGCTTAACTCAGGTATGTGTCTAATGACAGGGTCTTGCAGAAGGGACCAGCCTGAGGGACTAGGACTGCCTCACCTTTGCAAGTCCTCAATTGTCCAAGGCTGGCCTCCTGGAATGGGAAGGAAGCAAGGTCCCCCGAGGCATTCATACCCTTATTTCTCACAAAAAAAAAAGTCAAGTCTCTTGTTCCATCGGGTGCCCTCTGGGACCAAGTGACTGTCTCAGGGGCAGGGTGAGACAGTTTAAATGATCATGGCCTCTGCCTGACCCATGTGGCTGAAGTGAGGGAGGGGTGGCTTCCCCAAGCATCCATATGTGTGGGGGGTGCTGTTTCCAGAAGGACGGTGGGGGTCCCAGGCCGAGCTTAGGAGTTCACTGCAGCCTCAAGAGGAAGGGCTTGGGGAGGTGGCATTTGCATGGGCTTTGAAGAATAGGCACCACCTGCATGCACAGAGAGAGAGGAGCACCATAGCGAGAAGGAATGGTGCAGACACAGGCCCTGCGGTACTTTTGGGTAGGGGGTGTAACAGAGTGCGGCTGCTGTGTGGGGAGTGTGCTCTGGGGTTCAGAACACCAGAACCATGTCCCTGCCAGCTGGCAAGGTGCCCTCAGGAAAAGGTGCCCTTCTGGCCTGCTACAGTCCCCAAAAGGTACACAGTATGGTAAATGGAGCACAGAATGGCTTATGGCCAGACGCTCTTGTGCAGTGCACAACATGCACAACTGTGTGTAGTGGCCTGACCAGGATATCAACACTGGACTGGGAAGACATGGCGCCTCCTCTCTGGGCTGAATAGTGTGTGTGTGTGTGTGTGTGTGTGTGTGTGTGTGTGTGTGTGTATGTGTGTGTACACCCCACAGTGCTTCACTGGGATCCAGCCTCCAGCAGCAACAAGACACAAATGGAACAAGGGTGACTGCCCCCAGCTGACAGGTGAGAGGTTGAGAGCCAGCAGCCAGCTCTGCAAGCCTGCTGCACGCTCAGGAGCGAGCACTCCTCCAAGCAGGCACCTCCCAGAGCAACAGGAAGCAATTCATCAGCAGCTGAGGCCCTGCTCCCAGGCCCTGCAGCCTGTGGGGACTCTGCAGCCCAATGGACAGGCCTCCGATCCCCCCACCCCTAGCCCACAAAGAGGCCAGAGGCAGCGCCACGCGCCAATTACAGGAGCCAATTAATTCACACTTAACAGGGGTATTTTCTTTTACTGCGCAGAACCGAGGGGCATAAAACCCTGATTCGTCTTCTGTGGCTGGGTTTGCTCTCTGCGTGCTCATATCCTTTAATCACTCCTGCCACAGACCAGGGGCCAAACCCTCGCCAGCGAGGGGAGCCACGCGGGCGATTCCCCATTAACAATCTGGTGGGGAGGCCACGCCGGCTGTGCTGTTTACAGTTCCGTTTCCCCTCGGCTGCTCCCAGAAGTTTCCATAAAAACAGATGTAAGGTAATCAAAGACTTCCCAGCCCCGGGCCTCTCTGCTCCTGAAGGCTTCCATGGAGCCGGCTCCCTCTGCTGGGGTTTGTGCTTCCAAAAGACTCTTAAAGCAGCCCTAAAATCTCTCCCCAGACAGGCAGACTCTTCTCTGGCAGACTCTGCAATCATTTGTCAAGTATTTTATGGTCAATAATAATAGTAATAACACCTTTGCTGAGCTTGGTGCCTTTTTCAATGACTCTCAGAGCCATGCCGTGAGATCCCGGTGGCATCGCAATGGCTGATGACAGGTGTCTTATTCCCATTTTGCAGATGGAAAGGAGAAGGCAGTTTGGGGAAGAAACCAGCCTCAGCACCATCTCCCCTGGGTCTAACATTCCAGGAGAAAGGTGGGCACTGTCCGGCTCCTTGGTGGCAGGCCTGCTGCTGGCCTTGTCCCTCTCTTCTTATTCACTGGGCCTCTGTCCAGGGCCAAGGAACCTGAAGCCCAGTGTTGGGGGTAGGGACGTGGCCAGAACACCAGGTGGTATGGCTGGGCACGGTGGCTCACTCCTGTAATCCTAGCACGTTGTGAGGCCGAGGTGGAGCATCACTTGAGCCCAGGAGTCTGAGGCTGCAGTGAGCTATGATCGTGCAACTGTACTCTAGCCTGGGCCATAGAGTGAGACCCTGTCTCTAAACAAATAAATAAATAGGCTGGGTGTGGTGGCTCACGCCTATAATCCCAGCACTTTGGGAGGCCGAGGCAGGCGGATCACCTGAGGTCAGGAGTTCGAGACCAGCCTGGCCAACATGGTGAAATCCCGCCTCTAGTAAAAATACAAAAATTAGCCGGGTATGGTGGTGGGTGCCTGTAATCTCACCTGCTTGGGAGGCTGAGGCAGGAGAATCACTTGAACCCAGGAGGCGGAGGTTGCAGTGAGCCGAGATCATGCCACTTCACTCCAGCCTGAGCGACCGAGTGACTCCGTCTCAAAAATAAACAAACAGGATAGACAGCGTAAACCCTGATGAACACTAGAATTTCAGACAATCCTACTGCCCTGAAGGCTGGGCCCAACAGACACATTTCACAGATGGAAATCTTGGGAAGGGCCAAAGCAAGAACCCCTGGCCACCCCCTGGAAGACCTAAGCCTTAAAGCCCCTGGCCCATACCCTCTGCACCTCACCACATTGATGTCAGCCTAAGCTGACATCAGTGGATGAAAAAGTGATGAAAAAGTGACTTTTAGGCTGGGCGCGGTGGGTCATGCCTGTAATCTCAGCACTTTGGGAGGCTGAGGTGCATGGATCACCAGAGGTCAGAAGTTCGAGACTAGCCTGGCCAACAAGGTGAAACCCTGTCTCTAGTAAAAATGCAAAATTTAGCCGGGTGTGGTGGTGTGCACCTGTAATCCCAGCTACTCGAGAGGCTGAGACAGGAGAATCACTAGAACCTCAGAGGTGGAGGCTGCAGTGAGCCATGAAATGCACCACTGCCCTCCAGCGTGGGCGACAGAGTGAGACTCTGTCTCAAAAGAAAATTTTTAAAAAGGACTTTAAAATCAAACAGCCTAGATTGCACATGTGTGATATTGGTGGGTCTCCAGCCCCTGCCTCCATCCTGAGAAGCATCCTTTTTGGGGAATTTCCTGATGGGTAGAGTCTTGGCAGGAGGGCGATCCCCCTTGCCTCCCTCTCACTGCCCTTTCACACGACAAAGACCAGGGTGGGCTCCAACCTGACTCTGCCACTGCCTGGTCTACCACATGGCAGGGGTGAGAGCAGGGCCCAGCCAATCCGATGCCTGCTTCCAGGGCTGCAGGTCTTAAGCCAGAGATGCCAGGAGGAAGGGAACCTCTCCTGGGAGGTTGGGTTTCTCTGGTTTATCATAACTCTTGAGGCTCAGAGAGGAAAGTGACCTGTGTGAGCTCACACAGAGGCATGTGGCAGGGCCATCGCTTGAAGCTGGCACTGGAAGGCCCTGGACTCAGCACCTCGGGCACCTACAGCGAGGGCATCACGAATGTCCATGTGACCCAGAGCACGGCTCCAGCCACTCCCTCCTGGAGGCAAAACAGAGAACAGAGAGGCTGAGTACCCCTTGGCTGCAAGGTGTCCCTGTCTCAGAAGCATCAGGGGCAGCCCCAAACCCCCACCCCCGAGTTGGCTCAGTCAGCTCCAGGACAGATCTCAGAGGTCCTCACTCTGCAGCTCAGCCAGCCCTTGCCTGATGGGCCCCGCGCCAGTCCAGCCCTTGCAAAGGGAAAGCCGGAACATATTTTAGTGTGAGCCCCTTGTTGAGATGAGGGCTGACCACAGGCCCTGGGAATTCCTGAGAAGATTCCTCTGGGCTCTTTCCAATGGGAAGCCCTTTTTGTTTGAGATGGCTGGAGTTAGTTCTTGTCACCTGCAACCAAAACCCAGACTGGCATGACTTCAGGATCAGCTGTGCCCAGGATGATCGTGGTTAACATGTCAGCAGCATCTGCTACACGCTAGATGCCCTCCACATTCCTTAGTTAGTTCCCACAAGAGCCCTGGTATTATGTCTCCCACTGCACAGCCAAGGTTATTGAGGCACAGAGAGGTTAAGAAATGTGTCCAGTGTCACACAGCTAGCAACTCCAGCCATCTGTCCCCAGAGCCTCCATACTTGAGGAGTAAGCTGGTCTTGCTTGAGAGAGCACTGTGGTTTCTTGGATCTAAGAGTGGAAGTGGGATGGAAGCTCTGGGTGTGTGCTTTATGGGGAGGTGCATGAAGTGAACCCCTCTGCTATGGGGGTGTGTGGGCCTTGGAGGAATCCTGGTCCCGGGTGAGGCAGGAGTGTGTCTTGCTTCTAGGACCACTCCAGGCAGGGCCTCCCTGGATGCCGCAAGTGCAGTGGGTCTGCCCTGGCCCAGGCCCTCATCACAGCTGAGAAAGCTCTGCAGGGTCACTGTGGGTGCTAGAACAGGCAGCTGGAATGCTGCAGTGGGGGAAACAGGGACCACAGGGGTGAGCTCCAGTTTTCCACTGCTTTTTTCAGGGGCCAACTGGTGAGTCCAAGGAGGAGAAGCCAGTGAGCAGAGGGGCTTCCCCCAGTCCCAGCCAAAGCAGCTCCCCTGGGCCTGCTTTACCTCCTCAACTTCCACAGAGGATCCCATTTGAGCAAAGGACTCTCCTTAGCTGGCAGGAGGTTAAGTCTGCAGTGGCTGATGGCATCTCTACCACCACTCAGGGACCACCTGCCAGAGAAGGAAGCCACAGCAGAGGAGAACAGAGACCAAGAAAGGACCTGTCAATACTATTTAAGCCCCTGGATCCAGCCAGGACTGAAGTCCCTGGACTTGCTGATAGCAAGAACCAATCACTTCCTAATGTTATTTCAGTTGCACTTGAGCTGGTTGATTCATGTTTCTCTTGTTTGTCTCTGAATGGGTCTTGAGGAACATGGGTCTCATACCAGAATAAGTTCCAGCTTCCCCTGTCTTAAAGAGTCTGCTATGGCCGGGTGCAGTGGCTCACGCCTGTAATCCCAGCACTTTGGGAGGCTGAGGCAGGCGTATAGCCTGAGGTCAGGAGTTCCAGACCACCCTGGCCAACATGGTGAAATCCCTTCTCTACTAAACATACAGAAAATTAGCCAGGCATGGCGGCTCAGGCCTGTAATTCCACCTACTCAGGAAGCTAAGGCAGGAGAATCACTTGAATTTAGGAGGTGGAGGTTGCAGTGAGCTGAGCCTGGGCGACAGAGTGAGACTCCATCTAAAAAAAAAAAGAAAAAAAAAAAAAAGAGCTGGGAGTGGTGGCTCACGCCTGTAATCCCAGCACTTTGGGAGGCCAAGATGGGTGGATCACCTGAGGTCGGGAGTTTGAGACCAGCCTGACCAACATGGCGAAACCCCATCTCTAATAAAAATACAAAAATTAGCCGGGCGTGGTGGGGTGCATCTGTAATCCCAGCTACTCAGGAGACTGAGGCAGGAGAATCGCTTGAATCCAGGAGGCGGAGATTGCAGTGAGCCGAGAGCGCGCCACTACACTCCAGCCTGGGCGACAGAGCGAGATTTCGTCTCAAAAAAAAAAGAAAAAGAAAAAGAAGAAAGTCTGCTGCTATCATACTAGACAGAGAAATTCCAACACCTCTGGAGGGGCTGCCCTTCCTTAGTCCGATTAGGAGAAGAAATGGCAGCTGGCACTCAACCACCACACTCCCCTGAGGCTACTCCAGGGGCAGATGTCAAGGACCAGAGGCCACCGGTTCTGCGAGGGGCAGGGTGGAGGGTGTGGGTGGAGGTATGAACCACCATGAATCTCAGAACTCTGCAGTCGGGGCCGCGGCAGCACCACTCTTGTTCTCCCAGCCTGGGGGTCCTCTCCCACCGCAGCACCTCCTCCTGTTGTTCTCCACCCAGCAGCCTGGGGGAGCTGCCAACAGAAGCCAACCCCATCTC
Source organism: Homo sapiens (assembly GCF_000001405.40). Taxonomy (NCBI): domain Eukaryota; kingdom Metazoa; phylum Chordata; class Mammalia; order Primates; family Hominidae; genus Homo; species Homo sapiens. Next base: position 29,780,150 of record NC_000019.10, read on the forward strand.
TCCTTGCTCAGAACCAGCCAGCAGCTTCTCGTGCACCTTAGGTGTGTGTGCCTCGGCCCCAGCCTGGCCTCTCCACTCTCCCCTCTGCCCTCAGCTCCAGCCTCTCTGGCCTTTTCTCTCATTGTAGGACAAGCCTGGCTTGCTCTGCCCAAAACTTGCAGTGCACGAGGGCTGCTGGCCCCTCTTCTTCCTCCAGGCTCAGCCCCAAAGTCACCTCCCCCAGACCAGCCCTTCCTCTCCCTTTGCAGCAACAACGACCTCTCCCTTTATTACCTGCTTTTCCCCACTGGAAGGGAAGACCTGGGCCGGGCATAGTGGGTCATGCCCATAATCCCAACACTTTGGGAGGCCGAGATGGGCAGATCACCTGAGGTCAGGAGTTTGAGACCAGCCTAGCCAACATGGTGAAACCCCATCTCTAGTAAAAATACAAAAATTATCCAGGTGTGGTGGTGGGTGCCTGTAATCCCACCTACTCAAGAGGCTGAGGCAGGAGAATCACTTGAACCCAGGAGGCAGAGGTTGCAGTGAGCCAAGATTGTGCTACTGCACTCCAGCCTGAGCGACAGAGAGAGACTCCATCTTAAAAAAAAAAAAAAGAAAAAAGCTGGGTATGGTGAGGAGCACCTATAGTTCCAGCTACTCAAAAGGCTGAAGCAGGAGGATCACTTGAGCCCAGGAGTTTGAGGCTGCAGTGAGCTATGATGGTGCCAGTCCACTCCAGCCTTGGTGAAAGAGTGAGACCAAAGAGAGAGAAAGAAAGAGAGAGAAAGAGAAGACCTTAGCACTGCTATGACCCTGGTCTGTGGAAGAGGATCCTATACAGTGTCCACTCAACAAACACTTGTGGAATGAATGAATGAGGGAGTGAAGGAATGAATGAATGAATAATAATGGGCATGGCCTCTAATGTCTTGCCAATGAATTCCCTCCCCTCCTGGCCACCCACACCTCATCTCCACCACACAAAACTCACCCTCTTCATCCTTCTTCCAGAAAATGTCCAGCACCCATGATCGGGGGCCTTTCTTACTTCCCCAAAGTGCTCTCTGCTCACGCCAGAAATCATCCCAGGAGGACCAGCCCCAGCCCGTCCTGGCTGCCCCAAGTGATGCCGGGCTCCAGCAGGTGCTGTTCCAAGGAGCGGTGGCCCAGCAGAATGGTGGGTTTGTTGTTTTTTTGTTTTTTTTTTTTTCATATGAGGGAAAAATTAGCCTTCCTTACCAGACAAGAATGACAATTTACAGAAAACTATGCCTTGAATTCATAATCTGTAATGAGCGGAAATGGTATTCCATAGTAATCCATCCCAACTGACTCGCTATTGTACACGCACCTGCTAACATTTTTTAAGCTGGGACTTTATGGAAAGGACATTTTGATTGCTTCTGAAGTTTGCTGAGCAATTCCCCCTCTCTCTCAGGCATACGGTCTTTGTGCTGGAAATTTCCCTCGTGGCTCCATGCGCGGACTGGCAGACGGGCACGTGGGCCCACACGCGGGCAGCACACACGCAGCCGCAGCCCCCTCATTGGCATGGCTCTAGTGGGGGCCTCTGCAGGTGCCGGGCTACAGAGATGGAAGCGGGGAGAGTGGAATCACAGTTGGCACCTGTGCCGAGCTTGCCTGAGGAGCTGCACACTGCGGTGCCTGGCGGAATCGGAGATGCTTTCCAGCACTGGAGGGCAGGGACGGAGCACGGGACCGGGAAGGACAAGGGCTTGGGTTGGGTCGCCCCTGGGGCCATTGGGGCCTGGCTTGTGGCACCCGAGCACCAGGATGTGGGAAGGCTGGGTGTGCAAGGACAGGTCTCACGCCCACCCCCTCAAACGCCTGGGTTTTGCTCATACGGAAGTCACTCTAGGCCCCAATTGGCAGCCGCCCCACTCAGTCCCCAGCTCGGGCCTCCAGCCCAGCACTGACACAAACAGGTGGTGGACAGCTTGCTCTGCATGGCCCCTACAGACTGAGAGCCCCCTGAGGCAGGACCAAGGCTGCCAACGTGCGCCTGGGCCTTGCCCAGCTCTGGCATGCAGTAGGTGAAGGCAGTGCCTCCAGTCGGAGCCAGGGTCCTGGTGGAGGCTCTGCCTCCAGGCAGTGGGTCCGGCACACTGATACTCAGCCCCTGCAGCCTGTGGCTCCCCAGGGCATGTTCTCGTGGCCTCACAGACACTGAGGTTCAGAGATCACGGAGCCGTGAGTCTTTCTTTCCACTGCAGGACCTGTTGTGGTCCACGCCATCAGGAAAGTGGTAGTCAGGGCAGTCTATAACCCAGCAACGACACGGGGATACGAGAAGCTGGGCACGTGACGTCCACTGAGGCTGTCTCTGTGGGAACGAGTATTTAGGAACATTCAAAGTGGCAAGCAGTAGGGTGGTGACTCAAGAAGCTGTGGAGGCCGGGCGCGGTGGCTCAAGTCTGTAATCCCAGCACTTTGGGAGGCCGAGGCGGGCAGATCATCTGAGGTCAGGAGTTCAAGCCCGGCCTGGTCAACATGGTGAAACCTCGTCTCTACTAAAAATATAAAAATCAGCCGGGCGTGGTGGCAGGCACCTGTAATCCCAGCTACTCAGGAGGCTGAGGCACGAGAATTGCTTGAACCCAGGAGGCAGAGTTTGCAGTGAGTCGAGATCACGCCAATGCACTCCAGCCTGGGTGATAGAGTGAGATTCAGTCTCAAAAAAAAAAAAAAAAAAAAAAAAAAAAAGAAGAAGCTGTGAAACTCCAGGCCACAATTACAGTAACAAAAAGAATGGGGGTATTCTCGTATGGAGGAAGCGCCAGAAAATGTTATTCCTGAAAAAGAAAGTAAGCGTTAAATAAAGTTAGGTGTGTGTGCGCATACACACAATGTGACCCCACTTTTTGTTTTGAGAGAGTCTCACTCTGTGGCCCAGGCTGAAGTGCAGTGAGGCGATCACAGCTCACTGTAAACTCCATCTCGACTCCAGCAATCCTCCCACCTCAGCCTCTTAAGTGACTGGGACTACAGGTATGTGCCACCACACCTGGCTAATTTTTAAATTGTTTGAAGAAAAAAAGAGAACAAAAGAAAATAATAATAATAATAATAAAATAAATTATTTAAAGAGACAAAGTCTCCCTATGTTGCCCAAACTGGTCTTGAACTCCTGGGCTCAAGTGATCCTCCTGCCTTGGCCTCCCAAAGTGCTGGGATTACAGGCAGGAGCCACCATGCCTAACCCCCACTTATTTTTTAGAATCTTATGAAACGACACCATATGTCATGATTAGGTGCATCCACATGTGTGTGAGTACACACACACGTCCATCCACATACAAACATGTAAGATATGTGGAGGACGCCATGGCAGGGAGCAACGCACACTATCCACACATCCTCCTCTGGGGGCGAGAGGTGGGTCTGGAGCTGGCAATAAAGTAGCGCTTGGGCCTTATCTGTCATGTTGGAATTCTTCTTCTTATAATGAGGATGTATTCATGCATGCTTCTGTAATTAAAAACTAATAATCCTTTTAAAAGAAAGGAAATGCTAGGAGGCTGGCTTCTGCCCTCACGTACCTGATCACAGTGATATGGGACGGTCCACTCAACCCGGACCTTCATGAAATCCTCCTGATTATTTCTGTTCGTACACTCCTTCATTCATTCGACAGGTGCCATCCGCCTGTCATTCATTCATTCAGCAAGGACTCACTGAACACCTGCTCAGGCTCCGGCTGCAGCCATGAACACGACAGACAAGGTCCCTGTCCCAGGAGTTCACATTCGTGTGTGTGTGTGTGTGCAGGCGCGCATGTGTGTGTGCACGTGTGTGTCTGTGTGTGTATCTGTGTGTGTCTGTATGTGCATCTGTGTGTGTCTGTATGTGTGTGTGTGTCTGTATGTGTGCACATGTGTGTCTGTGTGTGTATCTGTGTGTCCATATGTGTTTCTGTGTGTGTCTGTCTGTGTGTCTCTGTGTGTGTGTCTGTGTGTGTGGGTCTTCCATGGCCCCACAGGACTCCTGGAGAGAGAAGAGAGGAACATTGGGCAGTGGCTGTCCTTCACCCTTGGGCTGAAGGTGTGGGGAGAAGAGGGGACTGTAAATAGGCTGCCCCTGAGTGTGCAGAAATCACATATTGGCCAGAAGATGTAATGACAGGGGTCTTCAGGCCCAGCTCAAATGCCCCCTCTTCTTGGGAGCTCTGCCTAGAACCCCCACTCCAGCCACTGGCCACACGGGACCCTCAGCCGAGCTTCCCAGCACAATAATGTTCTGCTAGTAGCTCCAGGTTGGACTCACAGACTGGCAACCGGCAGGCCATGAGCAGGCTACTGAGATATTTTGCCATGTTTGCCTGGTGGGTTACCTAGCCCACTTCACTTCCTGCCAGCACTTGGGTTTGTAGGCCCCGCTTCATAGTACACCTGGATGTGCATTTGTCTGATTCCCCACCCCTAATCTTGCTTGCTGTGTCACAGTCACTCAGGGCCAGTCTATTCCCAGTAGGTGGCTGGATGGGTGGCTGGATGAATGGATAAATGGGTGGGTGGGAGGATGGATAGATGGATGAATGAGTGGTAGATAGATTGATGGGTGTGTGGACAGACAGAAAGATGGATAGATGGGCAGGTGGGTGGATAGGTGGATGGGTGGATGGGTGGAAGGATGGATGAATGGATGGGTGGATGGATGAGTGGATCATTGGGTGGGAGGATGAATGGATGGATGAATGGGTGGGTGGGTAAATGGACAGATGGGTGGATAAATGAGTGGATGGGTGGGTGTGGGTGGGTTGTTGAGTGAATGGATTGGTGAGTGGGTGGATGGATAGATGGGTGGATGTTTGGATGGATGGATGGGTAGATGAGTGAATGGATGGATGGATGGAAGGGTGGGTAGATGGATGGATGGATGGATGGATGGATGGATGGACGGATGGATAGATGAATGAATGGATGGGTGGATGGAAGTGTGGGTAGATGGGTGGATAGGTGGGTGGGTGGGTGAATGGGTGGATAGATGGATTGGTGGGTGGATGGGTGAGTGATTAGATGGATGGATGGACAGATGAACCAAATAAAATAGAGGGAATAAACTGTTACTCAGGTGTTAAGCCCCTATGCACCAGGAATCTTGAGGATGCAGGGAGATGATGAGAAAGAGTTGGAGTGGGGGACATCTCCTTCTCTTTATTAATAAGAAGAATATGTTATAAGCTGAATGAGCCAACAGATAGTTGCTGTGCACCTATGTGTGTCCCGCACCGTAAGTGGATGTGGAAGACCATAAGAGAAGGAGGAAAAGATAAATAAAGAGAACACAGCAGGGAAAGGGGAGGAGAAAGAAAAGGCAAAGCCCAAGGCTGTTGAGACAGGATGGTGGAGCTGAGGGTAGCCACCAGCAGCCTGGAAGGGCAGCTGAAGAGGAGAGTGGCTGCAGGAGGGAGGGCAGGGCCTGGGGACACTCCGCCCTTCCCACAACCACCTGCAGCCCCTCTGCTTTGGAGAACTAAGTCTTGGGATGCCCAACCAGGAGTGAGTCATTTTTTGTCTCTCGGGGACAGCCTGTGTCACCCAAAGGCCCAGAATCTGGGGTAGAGACACGGGTCTCAATGTCAAGGGGATCACCAACCCTGTTGGAACTTCCCCCGGCCTAGTACCAGCCCCCTAAACCTGTGAGCCATGACAATTCTTCTCAAAGATAGCTCAAATACCCACCCCTGGGGAGGGTCCTGAAGCTCATGAATTTACCCATTATTTACTGGGCCTCCCTGGTGTGGGTGCTATGCCAAGGGCTGGGATACAGAAGGAACGGCAATCTGCCCCTTGGAGCTGACTGTGCCATGGGTGTGGGAGGCTGGGAGGGGGACAATTAAACAAGCGGGGAAGATAACAGCTGGTCTCCGTGCTAGGAAGAAAATGAAACTAGGGATATGGTGAGATCATTGGAGGGCAGCATCTCAGTGGGGGTCAGGGAAAGCTGCCTGGAGGAGGTGGCATCTAAGCTGAGGCCTGAAGGGACCTAGGTGTGAAGCTTGCAATTCTGCCTTCCCCGGGGTAGGTGGGGCCCACTCAAGGCTTCCCACTCCCTTGGGTCCTCAGATCTGTCCATGGACACTGCCCACAGGCCAGGCTCGGCAATGGGGAGGTGGGCAGGGGAAAAGCACAGGTACCTGCAGGGCAAACAGGGCCAGGGAGTAGGCTCCCCAGAGTCAGCCCTGCTAAGGTGGTGAACAGCTGTGCACATCCAGCAGAGGGTGCTCTTGGCCGCTTGGGAAAATGCTGGAGGCCTTCCTGGAGGAGGTGATGCCAGAACTGGGTGAAGAGGAAGAGGATGTGGTTTGCAGAGCCTGGAGTTTAAGTCCCAGGAGGAAGAAGGAGCAGTGGGAGATGGGGCTGGAGAAGGCTCAGGGCCAAATCACCAAGGGCTGGACATGCTTTCTTTTTTGTTGTTTGTTTGATTGTTTGTTTGTTTCTGAGACAGAGTCTCACTCTGTCGCCCAGGCTGGAATGCAGTGGCACGATCTCAGCTCACTGCAACCTCCGCCTCCCGGGTTCAAGCGATTCTCCTGCCTCAGCCTCCTGAGTAGCTAGGATTACAGGCATGCACCACCACGCCCAGCTAAATTTTTTTATTTTTAGTAGAGATGGGGTTTCACCATGTTGGCAAGGCTGGTCTCAAACTCCTGACTTCATGATCCACCCGCCTCGGCCTCTCAAAGTGCTGGGATTACAGGTGTGAGCCACTGCAACCAGCCTGTTTTTTGTTTTTTTTGAGTAGGATGTGATCCGCTTATGTTTTAGGAAGACCCCTCTTGGCTGCTGCAGCAAGAATGGACAGTGCTGAGACAAGGAAGGAGGTGGGATAAGAGCAAGGCATCAGGACCCTCCTATGAGACCAGCTTGGGCAACATGGTGAGACCTTGCTACAAAAAATAAAAATTGGCTGGATGTGGTGGTGTGCGCCTTTAGTCCCAGCTGCTCAGGAGGCTGAGGTGGGAGGATCGCTTCAGCCCAAAAGGTAGAAGCTGCAGTGAGCCATGACAGTGCAGCCTTGTCTCAAAAAATAATAATAATAAAGATTGCAAAGGGAGAAATAGGAAAGATACGATTTTTTTTTTTATTTTAAGCCCAGAATAATTCTGACCAAATCAATAAAGAGGACTCGGGTCATGCCCCCCAGGAGAACCCTGTGTATTTGCTAGCATCAGAAGTCATGGACCAGATCACCTGGACCTCAGAGCAACAGGACACTAAGTCAGTGTCTGAGGGAGGGTGGATATACGCCATGGCATCCAGAAGAGAGGAGGGAGGACAGCTCCCTGGAGGAGGTGGCATTTGAGCTGGCCCTAAATCTAATGTTGACAGAAGAATGTGGACAGATGCACACGTCAGGAAAGACAACAGCAGAAGAAAGGGGAGGAGGTGAGAGTCCCCAGAGTCATCTGGCTCCCAAGAAGCACAGGGTGGGTGCAGGGGTGGGTTAGGGACTCGGGATCCTGCCAGGGTAAACATCTGCCCTCTCTAGCCTCACCTGGTCACAGGGAGCAAACACTCAAACCCCGCAGCCCTGGAGCAGCCCAGGAAGGCAGCCTAGCTCTGAATCAGGCGTTGTGCAGAGAGAAAGGGTTTGACTGCGGTCTGAACAAGCTCTGAGTCTGCAACAGCCCCAGCCTCCTTGGGCCAGTGGAGCCCTTGGCCTTCCAGGCTGGGCCCACCGGCTGCTTCAGCCTGGCCTGGCCGCTTCCAGGGACACGAGGTCCCCCATGGCATTGGCACCTCCTTGGTAAATAGCAGATGGGCAGCAAAGCCCCAAGTGGGAAATAGCTCTAGGAATGGAGGCTTCTGTGGGTCCTTTGCTCTTGGAAACACCTCCTTCCTGCCACCTTCCCCAGTGCCACACGTGGCACCTTGCAGGGCCAGCCAGGAAGTCTCAGCACCCAGTTAGGCCAGCCCAGCAGCCCTGGCCCAGTGTCCAGCACTAGCTTTTTGAGCAACTTTTACCTCTCTGAGGACTTAGTTTCCCCAACTTAACAGACTGCCCTGGTGCCTCCTGGGGATGTTTTTGGACACTGAGTAAAATGGTGATAGAAGACTACAGGGACAGCCGGGTACAGTGGCTCACACATGTAATCCCAGTACTTTGGGGGGCTGAGGTGGGAGGATTGCTTCCACCCAGGAGTTCAAGATGAGCCTGGACAACATAGAAAGACCCATTCTCTACAAAAAAATAAAATAAAATGATTAGTCAGGGACAGTGGTGTGTGTGCCATTCATGTCATTCAGGAGACTGAGGCAGGAGGATGACAAGCTCAGGAGTTTGAGGCTGCAATGAGCTGTGAACGCACCACTGCACTCCAGCCTGGGTGATAGAGTGAGACCCTGTTTCAAAAAAGAAAAAAGCAAGTAAGGACCTGACAACAACCTGACCAGCTGCACGTTACAAAGGGCAGATACAAAGATAAGAAACGAGGGCCAACTACGGCAGCATTTGCATCCTTCTCCATGGTCTGGGGCCAGGGGAGGCACAGACCTGTGGGGGTGAAGCTGCAGAGGGGAGGGCCAGCTGGGCTCAGGTGTAAGACTCCATTAGGCGAAACTGAAAAGAACTGCAACAGGCCAGGTGCAGTGGCTCACGCCTGTAATCCCAGCACTTTGGGAGGCTGAGGTGGGTGGATTACCTGAGGTCAGGAGTTCAAGACCAGCCTGGCCAACATGGCGAAACCCCGTCTCTACTAAAAATACAAAAATTAGCCAGGCATGGTGGCACATGCCTGTAATCCCAGCTACTTGGGAGGCTGAGGCAAGAGAATCACTTGCACCCAGGAGGTGGAGGTTGCAGTGAGCCGAGATCGCGCCATTGCACTCCAGCCTGGACAACAAAAAAAAAGAAGTACCCTGTGACCCAGCAAATCCACTCCTAGGTATAGACCCAAGACATAAGTCCACACGATCACTTGTACCTAAACATTGACAGCAGCATTCATAAACATTCATAGAAGCCAAAACATGGAAACACTCAAGTGTCCATCAGTGGACAAACGGATGAACAAAATGTGGTATATCCAAACCACAGAGTATTACTCAATCATGAAAAGGAATGCAGTACTGGGGCATGCTGCAACACGGATGAACCCTGAAAACATTGCACTAAGTGAAAGAAGCCAGTCACAGAAGCCCACATATGACATGATTCCATTCATGTCAAAGTCCAGAATAGGAAAATCTAAAGAGACAGAAAGTAGATTGGTGGTTGCCTAGGGCAGAGGAGGTGGGTATAGATGATACCTAAAGGGTTTCCTCTTGAGGTGGTGAAAATGTTCTGAAGTTGATTGTAGTGATGGTTGCACATATCTGTAAATATACTGAAAACTGTTCATATATATAATATATATATATATATACACACACACACAAATAAATCGATAATAAAATCATTTTAAATGGGTACACTGTATGGTATGTGAATGATAGCTCAATAAAGCTCTTTTAAAAGAAAGCCTGCAAACCACTGGATGAATCCAGAATGGGCAATGTCCTACGAGACAACTGGCCTGAAATTGTCTAAAAGCCTCATGGGGGGTGAGTGCGGTGGTCACGCCTGTAATCCCAGCACTTTGGGAGGCTAAGGCGGGCGGATCACTTGAGGTCAGGAGTTCGAGACCAGCCTGGGAAACACAGTGAAACCCCTTCTCTGCTAAATATACAAAAGTTAGCCAAGTGTGGTGGCGGGTGCCTATAATCCCAGCTACTCGGAAGGCTGAGGCATTAGAATCTCTTGAACCCAGGAGGCGGAGGTTACAGTAAGCTGAGATCTCGCCACTATACTCCAGCCTGGGTGACACAGCAAGACTCCATTTCAAGAAAAAAAAAAAAAAGCCTCATGGGCCTCACAGGAAGGAAAGGAGAGGGGTTGGGTGTGTTCTATATGAAAATAAACTAAAGAATAAACACAGCAACCAAGGACTATTGGATCCTGGTCAAAAAAAAATTCTGAGGACAGTTGGGGAAATTTGGCATGGATTGGATATTAAATGATACTATTGGATAATTGTTAACATTCTTAGGTGCAGAAGTGCTACTGTGTTTACTGAGGAGGACATCCTTATTCTTAAGGGATAACTATAGAGGTAATAATTTAGACATGAAGCATCATGATGTCAGCAACTGCACAGCAAAAAGTGTGTGTGTGTAGAGAATGAATGAGAAAAAGCAAGTATAGCAAAATAGTACCAACCAGTGATTCTGCGTAGATGTTAACAGGTACTCATTATACTGTTTTTTGTTTGTTTGTTTTTCTTGAAACAGAGTCTTGCTCTGTTGCCCAGGCTGGAGTGCAGTATCGAAATCTCGGCTCACTGCAACCTCTGTCTCCTGGGCTCAAGTGATTCTCCTGCCTCAGGCCCCCAAGTAGATGGGATGACAGGTATGTGCCACCAAACCTGGCTAATTTTTGTATTTTTTAGTAGAGACAAGGTTTCTCCATGTTGGCCAGGCTAGTCTCGAACTACTGGACTCAAGCAATCCACCAGCCTCGGCCTCCCAAAGTGCTGGAATTATAGGCATGAGCCACCACACCTGGCCTCATTATACTGTTCTTTTGATGTTTTGATATATGTAATATATAAAAGTCAGAGAAGAGATGTCATTTTTGCCTTTGTCTTATGTCTCAGGACCTTGAATGTCCCGGATTTGCCAAGTTGATTTTATTCCAAACTGCACTGAATCTAGCCACTTTGTACCATGCCCTGCCACATTCCGGCCCTGGCACCATCCTCCCCCTGCATGACTGTAGGCACCTCCATCACTGGGTTCCCCCAAAAATCTGTTCTTCAATTGACAGCTCAAGGAGTCTTTCCAAGACGCACATAGAATTGTCTCTCCCTGTGGCCCTGATAATGAAGGAAGAGGCCGGGCACAGTGGCTCACGCCTGTAATCCCAGCACTTTGGGAGGCTGAGATGACAGGATCACTTGAGGCCAGGAGTTGGAGACCAGCCTGGGCAACATAGCCAGACCCCATCTCTACAAAAAATTTAAAAATTAGCCAGGCATGGTGGGGTGCACCTGTGGTCCCAGCTACTCAGGAGACCTAGATGGGAAAATCACTTGAGCCCAGGAAGTCAAAGTTGCAATGAGCTATGATTTCACCAGTGCACTCCAACCTGGGTGACAGAGTGAAACTCTCTTCCTAAGAGAGAGAGAGTGAGAGAGAGAGAGCAAAGGAAGTCCTCACAGTGGCCCCCTCGGCCACCTCCTGGATCCTCCAGTGAGTTTTGGTTATCCACCCCAGGGCCTTGTTCATGCTCTTCCTTCCTTTAAACCCTTCTATTCCCTGTCAACGCCTTCTCATCTCTTATGTCTCAACTCAAGCCTCACTGCTCAGAGGAGCCTCCTCGACCCCCTCCTCCTCCCTCACAGTCCATCAGGTTCTAAAGACCTCTGTTCCTTCTTCCAACCGCGTCCTGGCTGGTGGCCTTGAGGACTGCTGGGGTCTCGCTGCGGCTGTGTCTGGAGCTGAAGCGAGATGGCCTGACATCAGTTTCCGTTGTTGAGGATGGTGTGTGAATCACATCTTGCGCTAGAGAATGGTGCGTCTAAGGCTCAGCACACAGCGATACCTCGGGAAATGTTTGCTGTTATGCGACTCAATACCTGGCCTTTGGTGTGGTCGTTTGTCTGGCGTCTCCCTGCCCCACCAGCCTGTGGACTCCATGAGGGCAGGGCAGCCTGGGGTTCCCTGCTCATTCTGGCCCTGAGCACACTGGAGAGACAGGCAGTGCACATTTTTAAGGAAAATGAAAGACATGGAGTTGGATGAACATAGGGCTGTCTCTGTGTTCAGGGGGCCGGCATGACGGTGCAGGAGCAGTGGTCTTTGTCCCTTTAGCTGTTGCCATGTAAATGGGGTTCCCATGGAGTCTCAGACCCACCTGGCTATGGTCTGCAACCTTTGGCTGTTCTTGCTTAAGGAACAGGAAGATGTGACTTTAGCATGACCCAAACTGCAGGTTTACACGTTGGTCATGTCTGAGTTAATGAAGGGTGGTAGACACAGATATGACCCCCAGGGCCCACCTGCAGGAAGCCCACTGCCATAGCCTCCAGCTGTAGCCCTTCTGGGCCTGCCTCCACTGCAGACAGCTGCCTCGCCACAGTCACATCCTGCAAGGTGGCCCCACGCTGTGACTGATGAAGGCGGAGGTCTAAAGGTCATACCACTTTGGCCCAACACAGGACAGCGGTGGTGGCTACTCCAGCCCTAGAACGCCCTCCTGCTTCTCACCCCTGCTGATCCCAGGTGTTGACCCCTAGGACACTCTACCACTCATCCTGCACACTGAACTCTGCTTTCCGGAGACCCCAAATTGCAGCTTGGGGTGTGCCTCCATTCCAGGAGGAGGCAAAGAAGCTCTCGCTCCTAAAGCAGAAAGTTCCACAGCTTCTAGGTATGCATGAACGCATGTCCTTGATGGTGAGGACAGGGCCCAGCCTTCATATGCCACTTACAATGCAGAATGGCCAGCTGAGCCCTGGGAAGGACGGCTAGGACCCCAAGTTTTTTTCCTGTCTATGGAAAAGCGTTCCTCCCAGGGTGCCCCTTGTCACTGGTGGCCCTAGATGGTGACTTCCCCTCCCTGGACTTCCACCTGGCAGAATGATGCCGACATACTCAAGACCACAGAAGTGGGCTGGGTGCAGTGGCTCACTCCTGTAATCCCAGCACTTTGGGAGGCTGAGGCGGGCGTATCACAAGGTCAGGAGTTCAAGACCAGCCTGGCCAGCATGTTGAAACCCTGTCTCTACTAAAAATACAAAAATTAGCTGGGCATGGTGGCGGACGCCTGTAATCCCAGCTACTTGGGAGGCTGAGGCAGGAGAATTGCTTGAACCCAGGAGGCGTAGGTTGCAGTGAGCCGAGATCACACCACTCCACTACAGCCTGTGTGACAGAGCGAGAAAAACTCTATCTCAAAAAAAAAAAAAAAAAAAAAAAAAAGACCGCAGAGGTGAGGGGACAGGAAAGAAAACTAGATCTTCAGTGAGAAGTGACGTAGACAGGGCACTCCATCTGCAGAGGTGGAGTCCTGAGGAGCAGGAAGCTGTGTTTTCACGTCATGTTTTGCCCAGCTGTCCCTGCCCAAGTCCTTGTCAGCCTCTACTGGTCCCAAGACCATGGGCCTGCATGCTCATTAGGCCATGGGCAGCCCGCCTTCTCTCTGCTTGCAAACCTATCTGACCCCTGTGTCCATCCCACCTTGCCCCAACGTTGGCCAAGCCACCATCTTGCCTGGTTTGAACCACTGGTCTCTATGCTTCTGATTTCTGCTTCCTGTGGTCTCCCGCAGCCACAGAGCAATCTTTCAACAAGTAAATCAGACGAGTCACTCTCCCACTTAAAACTCTCCAAGAGCTTCTAGTAGCATTAGACTAAGATCCAAACTCCTATGACAACCCACAGTGCCCCTGCCTGCTCAGCTCTTCCCTCTCACCTCACCCACTCTCCCTCCGTCACTGTGCTCCAGCCTTCCTGCGTTCTGTGATCCCACAAAACCTATTCCCTGCTCTGCGCCTGTGTTCATGCCGGGGATACTTTCCCCATAGCTCTCCTTGCTGGATTTTTCTCATGCATCAGGTCTTAGCTCAAATGTCTCCTCTTAGATACCTTAAAGAACTAAAAGTAGAACTGCCATTTGATCCAGCAATCCCGCTACTGGGTATCTACCCAGAGGAAAAGAAGTCATTATATGAAAAAGATACTTGCACATGCATGTTTATAGCAACACAATTCACAATTGCAAAAATGTGGAACCAGCCCAAATGCCCATCAATCAGCAAGTGGATAAAGAAATTGTGGTATATATATATATGATGGAATATTACTCAGCCACAAAAAGAAATGAGTTAATGGCATTTGCAGCAACCTGGATGAGATTGGAGAGTATTATTCTAAATGAAGTAATTCAGGAATGGAAAACCTAACTTGTATGTTCTCATTCATAAGTGGGAGCTAAGCTATGAGGATGCAAAGGCCTAAGAATGACACAGTGGACTTTGGGGACTCAGGGGGAAAGGGTGAGGGGGGGTGAGGGATAAAAGACTACAAACTGGTTCAATGTGTACTGATCCAAAATCTCACAAATCACCACTGAAGAACTTACTCATGCAACGAAATACCACCTATTCCCCCAAAAACCTATGGAAATAAAAAGAAATCAAATGTCTCCTTTTAAGAGAGGCCTTCCTCCGGGCGTGGTGGCTCACGCCTGTAATCCTATCACTTTGAGACGCCTGTAATCCTATCACTTTGAGGTGGGCAGATTGCCTGAGCTCAGGAGACCAGCCTGGCCAACATGGTGAAATCCCATCTCTACTAAAATTACAAAAAAAAAAAAAAAAATCAGCCAGGCATGGTGGCAGGCACCTGTAATCCTAGCTACTCAGGAGGCTGAGGTACGAGAATTGCTTGAACCTAGGAGGCAGAGGTTGCAGTGAGCTGAGATTGTGCCACTGCACTCCAGCCTGGGCAACAAAGCGAAAGTCTGCCTCAAAGAAAAAAAAGAAAAAAAAAAAACAGAGAGAGAGAAAGGCCTTCCTGAACCACCTTATCTGAAGCGACTCACCCAAGATCCACTTACTGTCTATTATATCACTCACTTACTCTCTCAGAAGTTCTCGCTGGGTGCCGTGGCTCATGCCAGTAATCCCAGCACTTTGGGAGGCCGAGGCAGGCAGATCACAAGGTCAGGAGGTCGAGACCATCCTGGCTAACATGGTGAAACCCCGTCTCTACTAAAAACACAAAAAAATTAGCCGGGCATGGTAGCAGTTGCCTGTAGTCCCAGCTACTTGGGAGGCTGAGGCAGGAGAATGGCGTGAAGCCGGGAGGTGGAGCTTGCAGTGAGCTGAGAAGGCACCACTGCACTCCAGCCTGGGCGACAGAGCGAGACTCCGTCTCAAAAAAAAAAAAAAAAAAGAATTTCTCGTAACTGGCCAGGTGAGGCGGCTCATGCCTGCATTTTGGGAGGCTGAGGAGGGAGGATTGTTGATCCCAGGAGTTTGAGACCAGCCCGGGCAACATAGTGAGACCTCATCTCTACAAAACATTTAAAAGATTTTTTTAAAAGAGTTCTTATAACTGGGCTGGGCGCAGTGGCTCATGCCTGTTATCCCAGCACTTTGGGAGGCCAAGGCATGAGGATCACGAGGTCAGGAGTTCAAGACCAGCCTGGCCAACACAGTGAAACCCCGTATCTACTAAGAATACAAAAAATTAGCTAGGCTTGGTGGCAGGAGCCTGTAATCCTAGCTACTTGGGAGGCTGAGGAAGGAAAATTGCGTGAACTCGGGAGGCGGAGGTTGCAGTGAGCCGAGATCACACCACTGCACACCAGTCCAGGCGATAGTGCGAGACTCCATCTCAAGAAAAAAAAAAAGAGTTCTTGTAACTAAGGGAAACATTTTACCTTTTGAATATATTGTTTTACTTCCTTATGACCTGACTGTTCTCCCACCTGACAACAGGTCTCTCCTGCCTTGGTTCCATCTGTTGCTGGTGGGAGAACAGCCCTTGGCACGGGACAGGAGTTAAGTGAATGTTTGATGGATGAATGAATGGGTGAAGCTGTCCAGCCTCTGCAAGGACGGGCAGGGCAGGAGGAGCCCGTGGTCCACGCTTTCGAGGGAGTTCTGCAGACAAAGGCGGATGAGGGGCTTCTGTTGTCTTCTGTTTCGCATTCATACCATATGGCTTGTTGCACACTGGGCTGAATTGCAGATGCTCTAACTTGGAGCTTTCTTGCTTTTGTGTGTTAATGACATAAAGATAGAACATAGCTCACCACACATTTTGTGTTTGCTAACTATCTATATGTATATAAAACAGACTTCAGTGTTACTAGCCAACCCACTTGTGAAGTGGAAGGAAAACAGAGCAATTAGAGAGAGAGAGAGAGAGAGAGAGACGGAGTGAGAGCAAGGCGAATGTGAGCTTAGAATGGGGCCAGATCCCGGGGCTTGTGCTGTGCGTGCTTCCTGGGGCAGGGTAGGTGGTGGGAGAGATGGGCCTCTGTGCTTCCCCCAACCTCAGACTCTGCTCAAATGCACCTGATAGCACCCGCTTCCTCCGGGTCTTCCCCAGGAAAGGCGCTCCCCTGTCACCCCACCTCCGACACTGCCTGCTCCCCCTTCCAGGCCCTCCTGCACACATCTTTCACTCAAACCTGTGAAATATGGAGCGCCTCCCACGGGCCTCTGTGCGGCTTCCTTCTGCCAGGAAAAGGGCCCCCGACAAGTAAACAAATGTCCAATTACAAAATGTCTCAGGTGCTGTGGAGAATAAAAATATGGAGCTTAATTAAAAGGAGGAAGCATTTATTCCAGCATGTGAGCTGTATTTCAAGGCAACCAAATAGCCCTGATTGATATGGAAAATTTCTTTCCGGAGGACTCTAGTGAATCAACAGGGGTATACCAAGGTGGGGAGGGGAAAGTAGGGGCACTTTGTCCCCATATTTCATTGCTGGCATAGTTTAGAGTCTCAAGGCCATGGTCATGATAAAAAGCAAAGGACTTGGCTGGGTGCAGTGGCTCACGCCTACAATCCCAGCACTTTGAGAGGCCAAGGTGGGAGGACTGCTTGAGCCCAAGAGTTCAAGACTAGCCTGGGGTGGCCAGGCACAGTGGCTCATGCCTGTAATCCCAGCACTTTGGGAGGCTGAGGTGGGTGGATCATCTGAGGTCAGGAGTTTGAGGCCAGCCTGGCCAACATGGTGAAACCCCATTTCTACTAAAATACAAAAAATTAGCTGGGGGTGGTGGTGCATGCCTGTAATCCCAGGTACTCAGGAGGCTGAAGCAGGAGAATCGCTTGAACCCCAGAGGTGGAGGTTGCAGTGAGCTGGGATCACGCCATTGCACTGTAGCCTGGGTGACAGAGTGACACTCCATTTAAAAAAAAAAAAAAAGACCAGGGCCAGGAGCGGCGGCTCACACCTGTAATCCCAGCACTTTGGGAGGCCCAGGCGGGCAGATCACGAGATCAGGAGATCGAGACCATCCTGGCTAACGCGGTAAAACCCTGTCTCTACTAAAAATACAAAAAAAACTAGCCGGGCATGGTGGTGGGCGCCTCTAGTCCCAGCTACTCGGGGGGCTGAGGCAGGAGAATGGCGTGAACCTGGAAGGCGGAGCTTGCAGTGAGCCGATATCATGCCACTGCACTCTAGCCTGGGCAACAGAGCAAGACTCTGTCTCCAGAAAAAAAAAAGACCAGCCTCCTGGGTAACATGATGAGACCCCGTTTCTTTTTTCTTTTTAGAAAAAGAGCAAATAACTTTCAGTCCACTTTATGATTGCTGGGTCTTTTTGTGTTTTTTTTACTTTTGCGATGAGTCTCGCTGTGTTGTCCAGCCTGGAGTGCAGTGGCAACATCTCAGCTCACTGCAACCTCCACCTCCCGGGCTCAAGCGATTCTCCTGCCTCAGCCTCCCAAGTAGCTGAGACTACAGGCTCCCGCCATCATGCCCGGCTAATTTTTTTTATTTTTAGTAGAGATGGTGTTTCACCATGCCGGCCAGGCTGGTCTTGAACCTCTGACCTCAAGTGAGCTGCCCGCCTCAGTCTCCCAAAGTGTTGGGATTACAGGTGTGAGCCACCACGCCCAGCCATGATTGTTTTTAAGTTCTCTACAGACTATGAATTCCTACTCCCATTGCTGCATCAGGGTAGACTGCTTTCAAACCCTGTCCCTCCCCAGGTATGCCTCTAGTTTGGAAGAAATGAAGGAAATAGAAAAGGCACCCATTTTGCAAACCCTAATCAAATGAATGACTGATTCAGGAAACATTATCGATGCATGAAACTGTTGGGTCAGGGGCTGATGGGGAACTTGACCATGGAACGATAAGGCTGTCATCCACCACCTGACCCCACTGGCCAATCTCAGCATCATGAGAGTGGGACAGCCAGACACCACGGGTCCTGGAGCTGAGGACAGGTGAACACACAGCATCACCTCTAGACACGAATCTAATTGGGCTTCTAGAGCTTGCTTCCATCTCCAAAGAATATGGGGAGAGAGGAACGAGTTAAACAACTCCATGAAAAAGCCAACAGACAAATCCAGGATGTGCAATGATCCCACAGGAGACTGACCCGGTTTCTGCAGCAAACATGGAAAAGAGGGGGCTGTGTTAGGGTACAAAAGACAAAAAGATACAATAAGCAGATGTGATGCGTGGATCCAGTTGGGATTGTGACTCAGGCCAACAATTAAAAGACATATTTGGGACAACTAGGAAAATTGTTTCATATTCCAGCTAATTTTTAGTAGTGACAGGGTTTCACCATGTTGGCCAGGCTGGTCTCGAACCCTTGACCTCAAGTGATCCGCCTGCTTCAGCCTCCCAAAGTGCTGCGATTACAGGTGTGAGCCTGTATGAATACATGTGAATATAAACTGATACCAAGAATTAGTGTTCATTTTGGTAGGTGTGTTACTGGTGTGGTTATATAAGAAAACACTCGGCCGGGCGCAGTGGCTCACACCTGTAATCCCAGCACTTTGGGAGGCCGAGGCAGGTGGATCATGAAGTCACGAGATCGAGACCATCCTGGCCAACATGGTGAAACCTGTCTCTACTAAAAATACAAAAATTAGCTGGACATGGTGGCATGTGCCTATAGTCCCAGCTACTGAGGAGGCTGAGGCAGGAGAATCACTTGAACCTGAGAGGCAGAGACAGCAATGAGCCGAGACTGCCCCACTGCACTCCAGCCTGGTGACAGAGTGAGATTCTGTTTCAAAAAAAAAAAAAAAAGAAACCACTCATCCTTTTTCAAAATGCATACTCAAGTGAGTAACAGTAAAATGACATCATGTTTGGAATCTGTCTTATGATTCTTCAGCCAAGAGAAAAAGCCCTGGCTCAAGGAAGCAGATCTGACGGCATTTTAATTATTCAATCTGTAGGATAAGTCAATGAGGGCTCATTATACTATCATCTCTTTACTTGCGTGTATGTTTGAAAATTTTTACAATGAAAACAACAGAAGCAAAAGAAGATGCTGAGAGGAAATTGGTGAGAGGTGAAACATAAAATAACAGCACTGAGCTGGAGACAATGGAATTTAGAGATTGTGGCCAGGAAAGGCCTCCTCCAGGAGGGGACGTCGATGCTGAAGGAGCCTTCACTAAGAAAGCTGGGGAAATATTGGCGGGGAGTGGGAGGCGTAGGAACAGGTGCAAACGCACCAAAGAAGCAAAAGGCATGGAGTATCAGAGAAAAGGGGAGTGAGCCAACAAGCCAGGAACAGAGGGGCCACAGGTAAGGAGGCCCAGGAGGAGACGGCACTAGCACCAGCCCAGCCAGATGGGGCCTCGTGCTCCCTACAGGAGATGTGGTGTGATCACAATCAGTGGGATGCTGTCAGAGGGTTTTAAGAAGGGGCAGATTTGATGGGATGTACTTTTTCTTTCTTTTTTTTTTTTTTTCGAGATGGAGTTTCACTCTTGTTGCCCAGGCTGGAGTGCAATGGTGCAATCTCGACTCACTGCAACCTCCGCCTCCTGGGTTCAAGCGATTCTCCTGCCTTAGCCTCTCGAGTAGCTGGGATTACAGATGTGCCCGGCCCATGCCCAGCTAATTTTGTATTTTTAGTAAAGGCAGGGTTTCACAGTGTTGACCAGGCTGGTCTCGAACTCCTGATCTCAGGTGATCCACCAGCTTTGGCCTCCCAAAGTGCTGCGATTATAGGCGTGAGCCACTGCACCTGGCTGACCTCTAAGAGTTGATTCTAGCTATTCAGTGACAAAGGCATTTTGGTGGGGAAGAGCCACCGAAGATGAAGAGCCAGTTCAGCAGACAGTGCAACTTTCCAGCCTGCAGACCATGGCTTGGTCTAGGATGGTGGCAGAGAAGGAGAGAAGTAAACAGATTGGAAATATCTGGGGATCAGAGAGCCACTGGGGCTGGCTGGTGCATGCCATGTAGAGGGGGTTGGAAAGGGAAATTCAAGGCTAAGTGCCAGGCTTGGGGTTTGAGCAGCCAAGTAAATGGTGGTGCCATTTTTCTGGGATGTGGGAGATGCACATTGCGACAGGGTGGGGAAATTCAGAGCTCACCTTTGGATAGCCTACATCAATTAGCAACGCTTGGGAAACAGGCAAGTGAGCAGAGCTGCCAAGTGGGCAGGGCAGAGGCGTGGGTGGGAGACAGCAGGGCCTCCTGGGGAGGGAGCCTATGGAGCTCACTGCTCCCAAGCTCCCAGGGACGTTCTGAAGAATCCCATCATTTACACAGAGGAGGAGGAGCCAAGGCATGAAGGGGAGCAGCCAGGAAAGAGGGAAGGGAACCAGGAGACCGTGTCGTCCCTTAAACCCAGAGGAGAGGTGTTCTCAAAAAAAGGGAGTGGCAGGGTGTGGTAGCACCCGCCCATAACTCTAACACTTTGGGAGACTAAGGTGGGAGGATCGCTTGAGGCCAGGAGTTTGACACCAGCCTGGGCAACATAGTGAGACCCTGTCTCTACAAAAAAAAAAGAAAAAAAATCCAAAATTGGCCAGGTGCAGTGGCTCACGCCTGTAATCCCAGTACTTTGGGAGGCCGAAGCAGGCGGATCACAAGGTCAGGAGTTCAAGACCAGCCTGGCCAACACGGTGAAACCCTGTCTCTACTAAAAATATACAAGAATTAGCCAGAGATGATGGCATGCGTCTGTAATCCCAGCTACTCAGGAGGCTGAGGCAGGAGAACTGCTTGAACCCAGGAGGCAGAGGTTGCAGTGAGCTGAGATCGTGCCATTGCACTCCAGCCTAGGTGACAGAGCAAGACTCCATCTCAAAAATAATAATAATAATAATAATAATAATAATAATAATAATAAAATTAGCCAGGTATGGAGGTGCACAACTGTAGTAGCAGCTACTTGGGAAGCTGAGGTGGGAGAATCACTTGAGCTCAGAAGTTTGAGGCTGCGGTGAGCCATGATCACACCACTGCACTCCAGCTTGGGTGACAGAGTAAGACCCTGTCTCAAAAAAAGAAAAAGAAGGGAATAATTTGCTAGGCCCAACATTCCTGAGAGGGCTGTGAAATCAAGCCTGGTGTGTGCCCTTCAAAGTTGGAGAAATGGGGGGCACTGCTGAGTACCTTTGTCCATTTGGGCTGCTGTAAAAAAATCCCATAGACTGGGTGGCTTATAGACAGCAGAAATTTATTTCTCACTGTTCTGGAGGCTGAGAAGTTCAAGGTCAAGACACCAGCAGATTCAATGTCTGGTGAAGGCCCGCTTCCTGGCTCATAGAAAGTGGCCTTGTCACTGTACCCTTACATGCTCACATGGTGGAAAAAAACAAGGGAGTTCTCTTGGGCTTCTTTTTTTTGCGACAGAGTCTCTCTCTGTCGCCCAGGCTGGAGTGCAATGGCGCAATCTCTGCTCACTGCAACCTCTGCCTCCCTGGTTCAAGTGATTCTCCTGCCTCAGCCTCCCGAGTAGCTGGGATTACAGGCACCCACCATCACGCCCGGCTAATATATATATATATATTTTGTATTTTTAGTAGAGACAGGGTTTCACTATGTTGGCCAGGCTGGTTTCAAACTCCTGACCTCAAGTGATCCACCTACTTCGGCCTCCCAAAGTGCGGGGATTACAGGTGTGAGCCACTGCGCCCGGCTGGCCTCTTTTACAAAGGCACTAATTCCCTCCCACAGGCCTCCTAACACCATCTCTTTGGGGGTTAGGATTTTAAATGTACAGATGTGGTGGAAGCTTCGGTGACTTCGCTCTCTGCTTCTCTCCTCTTCCTGAGCTGCTTAGGGACCCCTGCTGCTAGGCGCTTTTTTCCCTGCATTTCTTATGCTGTTCTGTGATGAGCAGGGCCCTCTTTTTCTCCTCCACCGGGGTAAGCATCTTGAGGGCAGGTTGCCTGGTTCAGACTTCAAGCCCCAGAACAGAATTCATCCCTGCAGCCATTCCCGCAGGCTAAAAGAGCACCGGTTGTGTGCACGGCACCTCGTGGACCCGGTATGATGGCACTATAACTGATTTCCCTGTTACCCACCAGCATGAAGGGCATGAAGACAGGGAACTTCATTAGCTGTCCCCAAACACAGGAAATTAGTTCATTGAGGCCAGGTGCAGTGGCTCACACCTGTAATCCCAGCACTTTGGGAGGCCGAGGCAGGCAGATTACGAGGTCAGAAATTCGACACCAGCCTGACCAACATGGTGAAATCCCGTCTCTACTAAAAATACAAAAATTAGCCAGGCATGGTGGTGCACACCTATAATCCCAGCTACTCGGGAAGCTGAGGCAGGAGAATCGCCTGAACACAGGAGGCAGAGGTTGCAGTGAGCCAAGACTGCACCACTGTACTCCAGCCTGGATGACAGAGTAAGACTCTGTTCCCCACCGCCCCCCCCAAAAAAAAGGCAAGAAACTCCATCAGTTGTCCCCAAACACAGGAAATTAGCTCATCAATCACCCACCACCCCACCAAAAATTAATCAGGGTAAACTTAAGAAGGGACTCCTTGTGGGAACCAAGGAACAGACCCTGAAAATATAGAAAATATAGCTATCTTCTCCCTAAAGGCCAGGCACACAGAACCCACCACGGCCCTCACGTCAGCCTCACATTCATCCTCTTCATTATCCTCCTGGCCAGAGGAGAAGTGACTTCCCCAAGGTCACATGAAGGAACACTGGAGTTGGGTTCCATGCACACCAGGGCACTTCTCTTCAGCAGAGGGGATGGCACCATGGGCACCTGCCAGCCACTGCAGCCACTCCAGGGCCTCTCCCTGCAGGATGCTCTCCTGAATGAGCCTCATATCAGGGGCTGCCCATCCTTTGGCCTCCCGACACCCCTGCCCATAATTTATCTTTCCCTTACACTGACACAATATTTTAATATTTTAATATTTTTTTAGAGACAGGGTCTCACCCTGTGGCCCAAGCTGGAGTGCAGTGGTGCAGTTACAGCTCACCGCAGCCTCAAACTCTTGAGCTCAGGCAGCTCTCCCGCCTCAGCCTCTCAAGTAACTGGGATTGTAGGCACTCACCACCATGTCTGGCATTTTTTTTTTTTTTAGAGAGGGGGTCTTGCTATGTTGCCCAGGCTGGTCTCGAACTCCTGGGCTCAAGCGATCCTCCCACCTTGGCCTCCCAAAGTGCTGAGCCACTGTGCCTGGCCTGGACACAGTTTTATATATTAATTTTAGATAATATCACACACTGACAATAATGAATACTGGCAAGGATATAGAGAAAAGAGAACCCTCATATACTATTGGTGGGAAAGTAAATTAATACAACCACTATGGAGAACAGTATGGAGGTTGCTCAAAAAAAACTAAAAACAGAACTAGCGTATAATTCAGCAACCCCACTGCCATGCATTTATAAATAATCTGGTTAGTTATAAATTGTATTTTTATAAATTGTATGTTATAGGTATATTTCTAAAGGAAATCGGTATATCAAAGAGCTAGCTGTACACCCATGTTTATTGCAGCACTATTCACAATTGCTAAGATTTGGAATCAACCTAAGTGTCTATCAATGGATTAACGGATTAAAAATGTATTACACACAAAAAACAATCACACACTGAGTTGTTTCTTTTTTTTTTTTTTTTTTTTGAGACGGAGTCTTGCTCTTTCACCCAGGCTGGAGCTCAGTGGCGCGATCTCGGCTCACTGCAACCTCTGCCTCCTGGGTTCACGCCATTCTCCTGCCTCAGCCTCCTGAGTAGCTGGGACTACAGGCGCCCGCCACCATGCCCGGCTAATTTTTTGTATTTTTAGTAGAGACCGGGTTTCACCGTGTTAGCCAGGATGGTCTTGATCTCCTGACCTTGTGATCTGCCCGTCTCGGCCTCCCAAAGTGCTGGGATTACAGGCTTGAGCCACCACGCCCGGCCGAGTTGTTTCTTTTTTAATTCTCTTTCAAATGATCCAGTTAATCAAAGAGAAAGTATCAGTTTGAAGCTAAGAAGCTTTAACACCTCGCTAATGTTTGCGTTTCTCCCTTCTAAAAACACTGTGGGGCGGGACGCAGTGGCTCACGCCTATAATCCCAGCACATTGGGAGGCCAAGGTGGGTGGATCGCTTGATCTCAGCAGTTTGAGACCAGCCTGGGAAACACAGTGAGACCCCGTGTCTCCCAAAAATACAAAAATTAGCCGTGCATGGTGGCACATCTGTGGTCCCAACCACTTGATGAGTGGATTGCTGGAGGTGGGAGGATGGCTAGAGCCCGGGAAGACAAGGCTGCAGTGAGCCGTGATCACACTGCTGCACTCCAGCCTGGGTGACAGAGCGAGACCCTGTCTCAAAAAAAATAAAATAAATTGTGGTAAAATATACACAACATAAAATTGACCATTTTAACCATTTTTAGGTGTACAATGCAGTGACATTAAGTACATTCATAGCGTGCAGCCCTCCCATCATCCATCCACAGAACTCTTTTCATCTTGTAAAACTGAAACTCTGTACCATTAAACGAAAACTCCTCATGTCCCTCCCCCAGCCCCCAGCAACCACCATTCAACTTTCTGTGTCTGTGAATTTGAATGCTCTAGGGACCTCCCATAAACGGAATCACAGAGTCACCTCCTTCTCTACACAGGTGGAGATCAGGGCCTCAGGCTCATGTCTTGGGCAGGCAGCAGCCTCTGCCTCCTGTTGCTGTCCTGAGTTATAAACATTTTCTTACTTCCCTTCTCTTTGTGGCTAGCAAGGCTGCTCTTCTTCCATTTATGATAATGGATTGAAATCTACTTTTCAAACAAGTGGATCTAAGTGAGAAATAGAATTCATAGTGAAAGGCTGAAGGTGGAGAGGCTCTCACAGCAGAGGAGAAAAGAGGGGAAGAAGTTGGGAGGTGGAGAAACCCTGGCCTTGGGAGTGAAGCCTCCTTTGTGTCCAGAATACCAGCGAAGGAATGCGCCCCTGACTCGGTGCACCCGGCCTCCTTGGCTTCCTATCGCCTTTCGTAGCTTTCACCTTTGCCCTCATCCATTCATCCATGCACTTATTTATTCAGCAAACTTGGCTGTCCAGAGCCTATGGTTGGCCCTGGGGAATACTCCGGCCCCCCGGCCTGGGACGCTCCCAATCTAACTCCTCTGCAAAGCCTTCTTCCGTCTCTTGTTCTGTTTGTTTAATCCTAATCCTAACCTCATCTAGGACCCTATCATGCAGACTCTGAGTCAGCTCTGAATTCCCACGTGAGGTCCCAAGGTCAGACAACGACCTTGGCCAGGTTGATATTTAAGGGAGTAAAGACATAGGGTGAGGTGGCTCCACCCAAAGAGGGCAGCCTCCTGCTGTTGCTCTGCACACGTGTGGGCTCAACTGTGCCAAATCATCCTATTGTCCCCTGAGCCAGAGGCCCTCCCGTATCCAGGAATTCACAGCTTTGCTAGCATGCTGGGCTGGCCAGTGGTGTTCCAGATGAGTCCTGCTTGGTTAGACCCCAGCTTTCCCACAGAGTGTGTGAGGTGTTCCTGGGAGCTCCTGGAGGGCAGGGCCATGTCGGTCCACTCCAGCCCACTAGAGCTTGCCCTGGGCTGGCACACAGAGGCTTCCAAGGCCACCAGGCTGAGTCATCAGTGGATTCCCATATGACTGATGTAAGCGTGTGGCCGAGGGATGATGCCAGGAGAAGTCAGGATTCCTGGGGAATTGAGACAATGAGTCTAATGTCCACTCCCATGTGCAGGCCTGGCATCTACACAACCAGGGCCAGTGGATTTCCAGACCTTCCACATGAGGGGCCAACGTGGGTCTGCAGGACTACTAGGAGGCTCACTGGTAGGCACAAATGGGCCTGCCCAGGACTAGACAAACTTTCACGGTTCATTGTCCTTTGACATCCATGACTGTCTTGGTTGCAAGTTATAAGAAGTCCAAACCCAACTGGCTACATAAAAACATGAAAATAGCGAATTGGCTCCTGTATCCAGGAAGCTTCTAGTAATCCAGTCTTGGGCTTGATTGGATCCAGAACCTCAAGGGATCAGAAGTCTGCCTCCCAGAACCTCTGGCTCTGCTTTCCAGGAAGGACTTCCCTCTACGAAAGGTCAACTTATGTGGCAAGATGGCCTCATGGCTGCAGGCCCACTTCTAGTCGGCTTAGCAACTCCTGAGGCTCGTCATTGGCCCAGCCTGGGTCATTGTGCTTATGCCTGAGCCAATCGCATGGCCAGGAATGCGGGATTCTGATTGGCCAAGGCCCCTCCCCCATTAAAGTGCAGAGAGGGTGTAGCTTGGAGGAAAATGCTGGACCCTGACAGGAAGGGAGAGGCCAGGGCCTTTGCTATCCCAGCCCGTGCTCTGTCTTGCAGCTGTGCCTGTCTTCAGAAATCCCAAAATGAGATTTAAATGAAAGCTGAGGGTATGGCAGTCAGACACAGAACAGAACACTCTTGTGTGTTAACTGGTGCTGAGAGGGTAGCTTCCTGCTGCGTATCTGCCCAGCCACCCCCACCTCCCCAACCTCATCACACACTCCCACTCTTTCAAGCATCTTCAAATTAGTCTCTGCCCTTTTTTTTTTTTTTTTTTTTTCCAGAGACAGGGGCTTGCTGTGTCACCCGGGATGGACTGCAGTGGTGAGATCACAGCTCACTGCATCCTTGACCTGCAGTGATCCTCCTGCCTTCGCCTCCAGAGTAGCTGGGACTACAGGCGTGCACCACCATGCCTGGCTTATTTTTCTATTTTTTTGTAGAGATGGGGGTCTTGCTTTGTAGCCCAGGCTGGTGTCAAACTCCTGGGCTCAAAAGATCCTCCCACTTCGGCCTCCCAAAGTGCTAGGATTACAGGTGTGAGCCACTGTGCCCACTGCCCACCCTGTCTCTACTCCTTACAACCCTGAAGTTAATACAGAATCCAAAAATGTCAGCTGCCATCATTATCCTATCATACACTAAGTTAAAAGGCCAATTTTAATTTTCCCTGGAAGTTTTCATTGGTCACAGCCTCCATCTGAAGAAGCGATGGCTAGGCTTGCTCCCCAATGTAAGAGGAGGTTAGGCCGGGACAGAAGCACCCTTTCACTGGTTTTCATCCTTCCCACCTTGGTGGCTTTACACAGCAGTGTGCGCTGGTTCTGAGCAGGAACCAAGCCTTGGGGAGCATGGGTTGGGCCCTTGCCTGGCTGGCTGGGGGGCCTGTGCAGGCAGATTGTCCCGCCCAGGGAGGACAGGAGCCAAGCCTCCAGGGCTTTCCCATGCTCACGTTCCCTGGCGCTGGGCCGCAGACACTCTGTGGTTGACAGCCTGGTCCTGTTCATCTTGCCCGGCTCCCACTTCACAGCTCACACTGGTATAGTGTGGCCCCCTCCTCTTCTAGTATTTCCATGTGTAGCCTCACAAGATAACTGGCTCATCCAGGTGGCCACAGATGTCCAGCTTGGCCCCACAGCAAGGCCTTAGCCAGCTCCACTGCCAGCCACAGCCCACACCTTCCCTGATCAACCTTTGCTAGCAGCGGGGCTCTTTAATTGTCCGCTAAGACGCCTTTGAGGACCTGGTAGAAGTTAGGCTCCAGCTGCCTGGGGAAATGCACATGGGCCCAACAGTAGGCAGGCTCCTGGGTCTCCAAAGGCTGTCCAGGGATCCCATGTTAAGGAATCCTATCTGGGAAGGACTTCCCCCTTGCAATCCCTTGGTCTTCCTTCTCCTTAACCTTTATGTCCTGGTGCCCGTCCTCCATCATCAGAGCCTGAACCATATAGGAAGCTAAGCAAATAACCCCCAAATCTCTTTATGAGTAATAACAACACAAATTGAGCAGTTACCTTGTGCCAGATACTGTTGAAAACACTTGAGGGGTATTAATACATTTACCCCTCACCGCAACCCCATGACGTTGGGACAATTAGAATTATACCCATTTTACAGATGAGAAGATTAAAGCACAGAGAGGTTGGAGAACCTTCCCAAAGTCTCATAGCAAAGGGGAGGTGTTGCCCTCCCTACACAGCAGCTGGTTCACCACCTCTGATGCAATCCACAGTCTCCCTCAAGGCTGGGCCAATGCTCGGGAGCTCTGGACTTGAGGCAAGCACAGAATGGAATGAACCCAAACACCCAAAGGTGAGCTGCCCTAGAAAGGCGGACATTGGGCCGGGTGCGGTGGCTCATGCCTATAATCCCAGTACTTTGGGAGGCCCAGGTGGGCGGATCACCTGAGGTCGGGAGTTTGAGACCAGCCTGGCCAACATGGTGAAACTCCATCTTTACTAAAAATACAAAATTAGCCAGGCATGATGGCACATGCCTGTAATCCCAGCTACTTGGTAGGCTGAGGCAGGAGAATCGCTTGAACCCAGGAGGCGGAAGTTGCAGTGAGCTGAGATCGCGCCATTGCACTCCAGCCTGAGCAAAAAGAGCAAAATTCCGTCTCAAAAAAAATAAAAATGAAAACAAAAGACATCAGTGGTTTCTGAAGACTCCAAGCTGCTGTATAGGCTGTGTCTGCCATCTTGGACACAACTTTTCTATTGTTCCTATTAAATGT
This sequence comes from Homo sapiens, assembly GCF_000001405.40. Lineage (NCBI taxonomy): Eukaryota > Metazoa > Chordata > Mammalia > Primates > Hominidae > Homo > Homo sapiens. The sequence continues at coordinate 29,808,657 of NC_000019.10, forward strand.
GTTCATCCTTCTGGCTTACATGCCATTTTCTTCATGCAAACTTCTTGCCATCCAAGGATGGGTTGGATACATCCTTCTCCACATGAAGTCATAGCCCCAAGACTCTTCCCTTCCCAGCCCTATCATGCTACACTGCAAATGCATGACAGCCTCCCTTCCACACCGGAAGCTCCCAAGAGGGCAGGGATTGTGTCTTGCTTTGCTATGTCTTGAATTAAAAAATAATAATAATAATTATTGGCTGGGCGCAGAGGTTCACACCTGTAATCCCAGCACTTTGGGAGGCCAAGGAGGGAGAATCACTTGAGGCCAGGAGTTTGAGATCAGCCTGGCCAACATAGTGAAACACTGTCTCTATTAAAAATACAAAAATTAGCCGGGCGTGGTGGCAGGCGCCTATAATCTCAGCTACTTGGGAGGCTCAGGCAGCAGAATCGATTGAACCTGGGAGGCGGAGGTTGCAGTGAGCTGAGATAGCGTCATCACACTCCAGCCTGGGCAACAAGAGCTAAACTCCGTCTCAAATAATAATAATAATAACAACAATAATAATAAGGCCGGGCACAGTGGCTCACTCCTGAAATCCCAGCACTTTGGGAGGCCAAGGCGGGCGGATCACGAGGTCAAGAGATGGAGACCATCCTGGCCAACATGGTGAAACCCCGTCTCTACTAAAAATACAAAAATTAGCTGGGCGAGGTGGCGCATGCCTATAATCCCAGCCGCTCGGGAGACTGAGGTAGGAGAATCACTTGAACCCAGGAGGCAGAGGTTACAGTGAGCTGAGATCGCGTCATTGCACTCTAGTCTGGACGACACTCTGTCTAAAAAATAAATAATAATTATTATTATTATTTAATTTTTATTGAGTAAAAGATACATTCAGTAAAGTGCACAAATCCTAGGTGTGAACTTTTATGTATGTATCAATCAATGAGCTTTTATGTATGTATACAGTCATGAAACCACCACTCAGATCAAAGCATACATGTCTAGCCCCTAGAAGTTTCCCCTGGTCTCCTCCCGGTCATTACTCCTCACCCTAGGGGTAAATACTGTTACGGTGACTGCTGTCTTTTCTTAAACTTCAAATAAATGGAAACTTCAAATAAGTGTGTCTGGCTTCTTGGGCTCAACATGTTGTCTCTGAAATTCTCATGTTGCTGCATGATTCCTTGGTTTGTCCTTTTTATTGCTGTGTGGTATTCCATTGAATTAATATAACAACATTTATGTATCCATTCTATTCTTGATGAACATGTCAGCTAGGATGTGGAGGATTTGGGCTCTATCTTTGCTGGTGGGTGTATACATTGCTGTAATGACTAAGGAAAACTGTCTTGTCTACCATCATTATAATAACTCATTTAGTGAGCATTTACTGTGTGCCAGGTACTGTACAGGAGTCAGCTACATTATCTCAATCTTCACAATGATCCTTGGGAGTAGATAGTTGCCATCTGTGAAACAGGATAATTGTGGCATCAACATGAATAGGATTATTGTGAAGTTTAATTGAGATGATACTTTGAAGGACTTAGCCCAGTGCTGCCATTTTGGAAACACTGTTTATGATACCTGTTACTGGTGATTCCTAACGGGCACAGGATGGGGGGTTCAGGTGCCTGGGTCCCTGCTGAGCAAGTAGCCCAGCAGCCTTGGCCTCAGAGCACCTGGGGGAATCATGAATTTGTGAGCCTCTTTGATAAGACCCTGGCTCTAACTTCAAGAAAACGGTCACTAGGGGAGGGTGAGGGACAGGACTGAGACTTTAGCTTAAGAAGGGCCCTGGGAGCATTCCAGAGCCTTCTTTTACGCACATCTTCCTGAAGCTGAGTACAGAGGGTACTCTGAGGTGATGACTGTTCCTTACCTGTCTCTCTCATTAGCCGGTAAGCCCTGCAAGGGCTTGGCCAGTGCCTGTCTTTCAAATGTTCATTCAGAAACAATTTAAGTGTCTCCCTTGGTCCAGGCACTATGCCAAGAACTGACAGATACAGCAGTGAGCAAGATGGGCAAGGTGGGGAGAGAGACAAGAAACAGAGAGGCACCAAGACTGTGTAGGGGCTGGGCTCCCAGCACTTTGGGAGGCCAAGGCGGGAGGATCGCTTGAGCTCATGGGTTTGAGACCAGCCTGAGCAACATAGCAAGACCCTATCCCTACCTGCCACCCCCCACCCCCCGCCACAATAAAAAATACAAGTCTTGAGGGAGAAAGGACAGAGGAGCTGTGGAGAGGAGGCCTGAGGTCTGAGGGTGGGGGATCAGGGTCAGGTCCTGTGGAGCCTGTAGCCTAGGACACGGAGTGTGGATTTGACCCTTATGCGAAACAACTGGAAGGCTTTTTGTTTCTTTTTCTGTAGAAATGGGGGTCTCACTGTTACCCAGGCTGGTCTCGAACACCCCAAGGGATCAGCCGTCTCGGCCTCCCACAATGCTGGGATTAAAGGCGTGAGCCACCGCGCCCGGCCTCAACTGGAAGGCTTTAAGTGAGAGATGGGGTGCAAGGGAATCCCAGAGTCAGAAAGGTCTTCAGAGAGCCAGGAAGGGCTTGCGGGGGAGGGGCGCATATGGAAGGGGCGCATGGAAGGAACTCACAGATTCCTTGAATGAATGAATGAACGACCCAATGCACTGACGGATGAATGGACAGGCGGCCAGGAATAGCAGCCGGCCCCCAGGGAGCCCCAGACCCCGCGGCCTGAAGCCTTGGTTCTAGGCCAAGGCACAGGCGCGGTGACCTTGGGGATGTCCCCGCCCAGGACTCAGGGCCCGGAACTCGGCGTCTCGGGGGCGGGGAGGGCGTGCCTGGCGGGACAGCGCGCGCGGAGGAACGGCGGGCGGTGCTCCTCGGGTAGGCCCCCCACACATCCCCTTGGCTCAGCCCTGCCGGGGCCCGAACCCGCGCCGCCCGCCGTGTTTACATTCCACCCGCGCCAGCCACGCGGCTTTTTGCCGCTCCAGCGCCGCTCGGCCCCGCCCCCGGCGCCCGCGGCCCGCCCCTCGCCGCCGCGCGCCAGACTTCTCCCGCGTCCCGCCCGCCGCCCCGCCCCGCGTCCCGCGCCCCGCGCCCCGCGCCCGGCCCTCGGCGCGCAGGCCCTGTCACTTGGCCCCGCCCTGTCCGCCGGCCCCGCCCCTGATTCCCCGTCCCTGCGCCTCGCGGGCCGGCGCCGTGGAGGGGCGGGTCCGGGGGCGGGGCGAGGGACGGGGCGGGACGGGCTCTGGGTCCCGCGCGGCCGCTGAGGGGCTGGGAGCCGCGGCGGGGCGGTGCGAGGGCGGGCCGGGGCCGGTTCCGCGCGCAGGGATTTTAAATGTCCCGCTCTGAGCCGGGCGCAGGAGCAGCCGGCGCGGCCGCCAGCGCGGTGTAGGGGGCAGGCGCGGATCCCGCCACCGCCGCGCGCTCGGCCCGCCGACTCCCGGCGCCGCCGCCGCCACTGCCGTCGCCGCCGCCGCCTGCCGGGACTGGAGCGCGCCGTCCGCCGCGGACAAGACCCTGGTGAGTCTACTGCCGCGGGCTGCGGACAGGGACTCCTGGGGCCCAGACCGCGCCGGGGAGCTGGGTGGGGGCGGGGTGCGGCCGGGTCGCGGGTCCCCGGGCGGCGTCGCGGGGCGCCCGGGAGGGTGCTGAGAGCGCGGCGGGGTGGGGTGGAGGGGACACTGAGGCAGCCCGGGCCCCGGGAGGCGACGGGCCGGTGAGGGCGGCGGGGGCGGCGGGACCCCGGGTCGGGGGTCGGCGGGTGCCCGGGTCGCGGGTGACAGGCCACCCCGCCATCGGCCATCTTCCTGGCTCGCCCGGCCGCCCGCGCGCAAAGGGGGAAGGGGTACTGGGCCCGCGGCCTGACCCCGCCGCCGCCTCACCCCGCGCCGCCCCGCAGGCCTCAGGCCGGAGCAGCCCCATCATGCCGAGGGAGCGCAGGGAGCGGTGAGTGCCCGCGCCGCGGGGCCGGACGGGACGGGACGGGACGGGACGGGTGGCGTGGGGGAGGGGCGGCCGCGGGTGCTCACCCGGCCCGGTGCCACCCGGGTCCACAGGGATGCGAAGGAGCGGGACACCATGAAGGAGGACGGCGGCGCGGAGTTCTCGGCTCGCTCCAGGAAGAGGAAGGCAAACGTGACCGTTGTGAGTACAAAAGAGACAGGTTGGGGAGCATCCCCCCCATCTCACCTGGGTACCCGACTTGGCTCTGCCTACGGGGGCGGGGGTCCCTTGGGCAGGAACGGAGCTCATAACCTGATCAGCTTTCTCTTCTTCTCTCTGTTTTTGTCTTGTTTGGTGTGTTTCCTTGGGGTCATGGGGGTGGCTTCATGTTAGTTTTTGCAGGATCCAGATGAAGAAATGGCCAAAATCGACAGGACGGCGAGGGACCAGTGTGGGAGCCAGGTAGGTCCGCCCGGGGTTGGGCCTCTGTGGAGGTCCTTCTCCCCCTGGGTCACATGGGGTTTCATGCTGTCTTGTCTCTTGCTGGAGACACTCTGGTGAGAGTGAACTTCTCTAATGCAGCCACAGCCCATATGGCCCAGCACTGTACCTGTCAGTGGGCACTGGCCTCTGCCAGTCCTGGGATTCCAGGAAGCTTGGTGTTCCTGACTGGCACCGTCTGAGATTACAGATATGTGCCTAGCCTGGAAGAACCAGAATGGACATCACAGTATTCAGTCCTCCCCTTCTGCCCAGGAGGAAACTGAGACTCAGTTAGAGGAAGAAAGTAACCCAGAGTCCTGTGCCATCCAGGGGCAAAGTTGGGCTCTCGGCCTTGTCTGTAAAAGCTGGTGAACTGGGGGAGGGTTCCTGGGTGTTTATAAGCAACAACTTTCCCCCTATCTACACCTATTTTTCTTGTCATGGTGTTTAAGGACCTCCTCCGTCTTCTGTAGGTCAGATTTCAAATTCTTCTCCTCTTTCTGGCCCTGGAAGTTCTTATAGCCCCTCCAGCAATTACCTGCATTGATCCCCAGCTCAGCCTGACCTCAGCAAGAGTATCAGTGGAACATTCAGTGTAATGATAGGTGGTGTCTCAATACATTTTTTTTTGACTGCTTTTCTTTTCTCTCCTTAAGGAGTTCCTGCCAAATTTCCTGCATGCAGTGTGATAATCATTATAATATCAGAAGTTTCTTGCAGAAAAAGCTTGTACTATCTCTTTACTTTCAGAAATGGCTGGAGACTGTAGTTATGGCTCCAGTGGGGGAAGCAGCCTATCTCTAAACTAGCTGGTCAGGCCTTCTGACTCTATCACAGATAAACGCTGAACAGAAACAGTGTTCGACCTGAGTGCAGGGATCCCAGCTAGGTTAGCAGAGAAGCCCCTCACTTTGCAGAGCAGCAGCCAGGGTAGTTCATCTGGAAGCGTGAAGGGTTTCAACGCAGTGCGCCGTGTTCTAAATAGCAGTTGTCACTGCATGTAAGGTCCCCCGAAATAAGCATTTCTGAGGAGGGTCCACTGACTATTGAAGAAAGGGTTGCTGATTTCCTTTTTCATTCAAAGAAATCATTTCAGAGACGGAAATGAGACGGCATATCCCCAGTTTTTTTTTTCTTCCCTTAAAGTACATTCAAATCAAGCAAGTTGATTTTTTAGGTATTATAAAATGAATTCTGACTTTGTGAAATTCAGGACTGTTTATTTTCCCAGCTGTGTTTTGAATAGAAAAGAAACTTCCAGCTGAAGATGAAGCAGGGCCGTCCCTGTTGCATTCTTGGAGTTTTAGAAGCATGTCTGTTCTCAAGGATAGCCTGAGCAGTGACGAGGGTGCCTCCTGGGACGGATTGTGGCTCTGTCCCCTGGCCACAGTGTGGATAGCTGTGCTGCCGGAATAGCCATACCATTTCCCACTAGAAGGCATTTTCGTGGTTATCCAGAGATTAATGGCGACAGATTTCTATACGTTTTGTAGAGTAGATAGCTTAAACATTAGCTGTCTATGTATGGAGCAGTATCTTTGTTATTTCTTTGTGGAGCTTCATGAAACTAGAACTTGGGGGTACAACAGAACCTTTTTCCCTGCTCACATACAGAATTTTTCTCTGGAGTTATCATAATTCCCCCCAGTACGACAGTCTTGAGCTACTTGGAGCCATTGTGCCAAACTCTTGTGTAACTGCTTCATCGAGACCACATGGAAGCTTTTTAATTTTCATCTTAGGCTGTTCTTAATGAAAAGAATACCCTTTTATCTAAGATCTACTTAACACGTCCATTTTGTTGTTTAATTTTTTTGCACAAGACTCAATCTTTCTATTGAAGTGGAATCCTGGACTGTTACTTTTCAGAAAATAATCCTATGTAAGGAAAAAAGTGGTATGAGGAGTTGGAGTGGTTAGGAATCCCGTGGGTCTCTTATTGTTATCTCATTCTTTCCTAAATAAAGTCAGACAGATCTTGCTTTGAAACTTGGTGTACACTCAAGGACATAGACTTAATTATTCTACCTCATCCACTGGTCCCTAAAAAGGCCAACTTTGGAAACCATTTGTCTGCTGATGGTTCACCTAGTTTGGGAACTGCTGCTGGACTCATCTATGTCCAAAGGCCTGCTCTCAGATGTGCCAGCCATCTGGCTGTAGAGGGTGGCACCCAGCATTATGCCTTCAAGACTAGAATTCATTCTTCCTGAATGAAGAACAACTTACAGCGGTTGTAATGTGACCCTTTTTGAGTTAAGGAAATGCCACCCGCACATGGTACTAGAACTGAAAGGAAGCAGCCTTGCTCGCACAGCTGTTGGCAGGAGCTGTCATGGATAATTTGCATGCCCAATTCTTTGTACATTGGGTGGGGAAGAGCTTTATCTGGCTTTGCTCTTCTAACTGAAAGTGCTTGGGCTTCCTCTGAAGGCGGCCAATGTGTTGTGGTCGCCACCATGTGCTGTGTCTTCGAGGTAGCACTTACAGCCCGAGTTTCCACTTTCATTTATAGTGACCCCAGTTGTCTATTTTGTTCTTTAGTCAATGTTAATGGTCTCTGCTTTTTTTTTTTTTTTTTTGGGGGGGGGACAGAGTCTTGCTCCGTCACCCAGGCTGGAGAGCAATGGCGCGAGCTCGGCTCCCTGCAACCTCCGCCTCCCAGGTTCAAGTGATTCTCCTGCTTCAGCCTCCCGAGTAGTTGGGATTACAGGCGCCCGCTACCACACCCGGCTAATTTTTGTATTTTTAGTAGAGACGGGGTTTCACCAGGTTGGCCAGGCTGGTGGTCTCTGCTTTAAAAAAAAAAAAAAATGCCAGGTGCGGTGGCTCAGGCTTGTAATCCCAGCACTTTTGGAAGACAAGGCAGGAGGATGGCTTGAGTCCAGGAGTTCGAGACCAGCCTGGACAACATGGCAAAACCCCATCTCTACAAAAAAATACAAAAATTAGCTGGGTGTGCTCGTGCATGCCTGTAGTCCTAGCTGCTCAGGAGGCTGAGGCAGGAGGATCGCTTGACCCCAGGAGGCAGAGGTTGTAGTGAGCTGAGATTACACCACTGCACTCCAGCCTGGGGAACAGAGGGAGACCCTCTCTCAAAAAAAAAAAAAAAAAAGCCAAGTCTCAGACTTTCATATGGCTTCCATGCTAGTAGGATTGTTACCTGCCTAATATCTTTAGCAAAGTTACTATTTTATAACTTTAAAAATCAAACAGACTTCTTAGAGTAGGAATAGCTTTAAAAATGAAAATATTCTAAATGGACTTTAGTGTTTTTCAGATATTGAAAATTGAATACATATCTGAAACCTTTAAAAGAAAAGCATAGTGCTTTGGTTTCTAATAGTTCCTTATTTTATCAGGTATTTGAATTACCCTGCAAGACTCAGGAGATTCAGAGGTCTTAAGGAGTGTCTAGGCTAGCTTCCTGTAGACTTCATAGTATGACCTGTGACCATCACTTGATTTGGTTTTAACTAGGTGGATGTTCATTCTGTTTGTTTCGAGTTAAGGAAAAGAAAAAGTCCTTTATTATTTAACATATTTGGCTAGTCCTGCAACAAAAAGAAAATGTCACATTTGATGAGTTTTTGTTTTAAACTGAGGGGACTTTAATACATATGGCAGCCAAATTTACATTTTTGATCTTTTTTTTATTATACTTTTAAGTTTTAGGGTACATGTGCACAACGTGCAGGTTAGTTACATATGTATACATGTGCCATGTTGGTGTGCTGCACCCATTAACTCATCATTTAACCTTAGGTATATCTCCTAATGCTATCCCTCCCCCCTCCCCCCCATTTTTGATCTTTTATACTAATGAATGTGAAGTGCTTATGTAAATATTTTTATTGACAGTTCTGTTTTACTTTTAAGAAATTTTAGTAGATGCATTGTACTCATTAAAAAAATCTTTGAGTTGTGACAAAAAATATCATAATGTATCTTTTTGGAAGCACTTTCAGAAGTCATGCCTAGTATCTTACTGAGTTGCAGGTGAATTTGTAATGTTTTTGGGTAATGTAAGAGCTGTTTGCATCTTATCTCACCTCTCCTGTGTATTTTTCATTTACAGCCTTGGGACAATAATGCAGTCTGTGCAGACCCCTGCTCCCTGATCCCCACACCTGACAAAGAAGATGATGACCGGGTTTACCCAAACTCAACGTGCAAGCCTCGGATTATTGCACCATCCAGAGGCTCCCCGCTGCCTGTACTGAGGTCAGTGCCGACTCTGCCACATGGCTTCCAGGTCTCTTACTCCATGCTCCCCTTTATCCCTCATAGCATGGACGCATTCTTACCCCTTTGTGGGCCTCATTTTTGTTGTGTGTTTTGTTGTAGCTGGGCAAATAGAGAGGAAGTCTGGAAAATCATGTTAAACAAGGAAAAGACATACTTAAGGGATCAGCACTTTCTTGAGCAACACCCTCTTCTGCAGCCAAAAATGCGAGCAATTCTTCTGGATTGGTTAATGGAGGTGAGCTTGAGTCTTCCTGTTCGCTTCATGAAAGCACTGAGCATTTCCAGCATTTTTGTGTATTAGGACCTCTGTGTGGTTTATTCCCTCGACATGTTCTCCATCTCTGAAGCTATATGGTATATTTTTACTGTGGTGGTCTTTCTGTTTTGCTTGTATTCTTAGCAAGAATTTCTGAAATCTTTTTATCCTTCAGATGTTTTAAAATTGGCATCTAATTTTTTCCATCCAAGTTTAAATAATTGTTAAGATTGTATTTTCCAGTAAATTGTAACTGTTAACATTTGAGCTTTGTTCATTATGTTCATTAAATTGCTTTTTTTTTTTTTTTTTTTTTGAGATGGAGTCTTGCTTTGTCACCCAGGCTGGAGTGCAGTGGCACAATCTCAGCTCACTGCAACCTCTGCCTCACGGGTTCAAGTGACTTTCCTGGCCTCAGCCTCCTGAGTAGCTGGGATTACAGGCGCACGCCATCACGCCCAGTATTTTTTTTTTTTTTTTTTGAGACGGAGTCTTGCTCTGTCACCCAGGCTAGAGTGCAGTGGTGCGATCTCAGCTTACTGCAAGCTCCTCCTCCCGGGTTCATGCCATTCTCCTGCCTCAGCCTCCCGAGTAGCTGGGACTACAGGCGCCCGCCACCACGTCTGGCTAATTTTTTGTATTTTTAGTAGAAATGGGGTTTCACCGTGTTAGCCAGGATGGTCTCGATCTCCTGACCTCGTGGTTTGCCCGCCTTGGCCTCCCAAAGTGCTGAGATTACAGGCGTGAGCCACCGCACCCTGCCTAATTTTTGTATTTTTAGAAGAAACGGGGTTTCACCATGTTGGCCAGGCTGGTCTTGAACTCCTGACCTTGTGATCCACCCACCTCGGCCTCCCAGAATGCTGGGATTACAGGTGTGAGCCACCATGCCCAGCTAAATTGCTTTTAAATGTATTCACTGGGATGCATATATCACCTGTTTTATAGCTACTGTCATAAATTGTAAACATATATGAACAAGCTTATCTTAAACAGGTCTGACATTGCTCCTTTTTAACTTCTTGGAATCCATTCCCTTTTCCACCATTCCCATTTATTCTAATAAAATATATTGTTCAAATCCTGGCTGGGCACAGTGGCTCATGTCTGTAATCCCAGCACTTTGGAAGGCCAAGGCAGAAGGATCCCTTGAGCCCAGGAGTTAGAGACTAGCCTGGGCAACATAGCGAGACCCCATGTCTTTTTTTTTTTTTTTTGAGACGGAGTTTCGCTCTTGTTGCCCAGGCTGGCATGCAATGGTGTGATCTTGGCTCACCACAACCTCTGCCTCCCGGGTTCAAGCGATTTTCTTGCCTCAGGCTCCCGAGTAGCTGGGATTACAGGCATACGCCACCACGCCCGGCTAATTTTGTATTTTTAGTAGAGACGGGGTTTCCTCCATGTTGGTCAGGCTGGTCTTGAAGTCCCGACCTCAGGTGATCCGCCCGCCTTGGCCTCCCAAAGTGCTGGGATTACAGGCGTGAGCCACTGCGCCTGGCCCTTGAGACCCCATTTCAACAAAAAATAAAAAATTGTCAGGGTATAGTGGCTCAGGCTTGTAGTCACAACTACTGGGGAGGCTGAAGTGGGAGGATTGCTTGAGCCTGGGAGTTGGAGCTTGCAGTGAGCTGTGATAGCGCCACTGCACTCCAGCCTAGGTGACCATGAGACTCTGTCTCAATTTTTTTTTTAAGCATATTTTTAAAGATATTTGGACCATTGGAGTGGCTTCTGTGTTTTGAGACAGAGTTGCTCTGTCACCCAAGCTGGAGTGTAGTGGTGCAGTCACGGCTCACTGCAGGCTCCAATTCCTGGGCTCAAGCAGTCCTCCCACCTCAGCCTCCGCAGTCCTTGGGACTACAGGCATGAGCCACTACTCCCTGCCGATTTTTTATTTTTTGTTGAGTTGGGGTCTTGCTATGTTGCCCCGGCTGGTCTCCAACTCCTGGGATCAAGGGATCCCCATGCCTTGGCCTCCCAAAGTGCTGGGATTGCAGGTGTGAGCTACAGCACCCAACTCAAATCTTTTCTTGGTCCACACTATTTTATTTCTCTTTAACAGTTAATCAAAAGAACAAGTATAACAACATTTGATAGATAATGGTTAAACATAAAAGATGAGATTTTATTGGTTGTATATCTTACTGGGATGAACTGCGGTAGCTTATAGTTTCTTGATTAAGGGAAGCTTCCTAGACAACCTTGTAAGACTTGAATGGGTGAGAAGTGGGCTTTTCTTCTGAAGTGGAAGGACATCTCAGGCAGACCTGCTTCATGAAAACATGTAGAAGTTGAGTGTGTAACTACAGAAGTACCCCTCATCCTCGGGGGTACATCCCAAGACCCGCAGGAGATGCCTGAAGCCACAGATAGTACTGAGCTCTAGATATGCCATGTTTTTAATCCTCTACTTTCATGTTTTCACTTAAAGAAAGCACTTCACGGCTTCTCTTTGGCATTTCCAAATAGCCAGCATCACTACTCTTGCCCTGTGGGGCCATTATTCAGTCAAATAAGGGCTGCTTGCTTGAACACCAGCACTGCTGTGCTGTGACAGTCCATCTGATGACCTGTGTGCTAGTGAGTGACTAACAGGCAGGTGGCCTACTCCACGGGGATGTGCGGGCAAGGGGATGATTCACATCCTAGGCAGGTGAGGGTGGGACAGGCCAGAAGGGCCCCTCATTTAAAACCTATCAGTTGTTAGGCTGGGCACAGTGGCTCATCCCTATAATCCCAGCACTTTGGGAGGCCGAAGCAGGTGGATCACTTGAGGCCGGGAGTTCAAAACCAGCCTGGCCAACGTGGTGAAATACCATTTCTACTAAAAATACAAAAATTAGCTGGGCATGGTGGCGGGTGCTGGTAATTCCAGCTACTCGGGAGGCTGAAGCAAGAGAATCGCTTGAGCCTGGAAGTTGGAGGTTGCAGTGAACCAAGATCACAACACTACTTTCCAGACTGGGTGACAGAATAAGGCACCTCAAAAAAAAAACAAAAAAACAAAAAACTATCAATTGTTGAGTTCAGGAACTTTGCATTTTATATTTTCCTTCACCAAAGTCATTACAAGTTTTTTTTTTTTCCCCTCCCTCAAGTAAAACTTACTTGTGCTAAAACTTACTAAATATGTTTTCAGGTGTGTGAAGTCTATAAACTTCACAGGGAGACCTTTTACTTGGCACAAGATTTCTTTGACCGGTATATGGCGACACAAGAAAATGTTGTAAAAACTCTTTTACAGCTTATTGGGATTTCATCTTTATTTATTGCAGCCAAACTTGAGGTAAATAATTTTCAAATATTTGTTCTATAATGTGTGTTATTTCTCGAGCTCCACTGAGATTGGGGGAAGAGGTTGGCGCTTAGCCTATAGCACTCATCCTAAATTTTTCTGATTTGCTACCCTGTAAAGTTAAGACACATGCCAAAAAGAAAAAAAGGCTGGAAAGTGACCAGGAAGAGAAAAGTAGTGAGGGTATGGAAGACCTAGGTTCATGTAGTTACATTGAGCCAAAAAAAAAAATGAACTTTGAACTAAGATAATAATTTTGGGCCCGGGTTGGTGGCTCAAGCCTATAATCCCAGCACTTTGGGAGGCCAAGGCAGCTGGGTCACTTGAGGCCAGTAGTTTGAGACATGGTGAAATACCATTTGTACTAAAAATACAAAAAATTAGCCAGGCGTGGTGGCACGTGCCTGTAATCCCAGCTATTCGGGAGGCTGAGGCAAGAGAATTGCTGGAGCCCAGGTGGCCGAGGTTGCAGTGAGTCGAGATCCTACCACTGCACTCCAGCCTGGGCAACAGAGGGAAATTCTGTCTAAAAGAAAAAAGAAAAGATTAAAAATTTGTGTATGATTATCAAAGGGTATATGGGCCCAACTTTCAAATGTGTTAAAGGTACTGAAAAGGGGATATTTCAAGAGTACCCACAATGAGTCAAAGTTCCATCCATTTATTTAATGGTGGGTGGGAGTTGTGTTCTTTTTTTTTTTTTTTTTTTTTTTTACAACCATTGGTGTGGCTTCTGTGTTAATTCCATCAGTGCGCCCTCTCTCTTTCCATGCCAGGGTACTGAGAAGTCATTTTGGATGCATTATAAATTGAGACTGTTAGAGATTGGCTTTGGTGCTAGTGCCATCTTTTATTTCCTTTCAGGAAATCTATCCTCCAAAGTTGCACCAGTTTGCGTATGTGACAGATGGAGCTTGTTCAGGAGATGAAATTCTCACCATGGAATTAATGATTATGAAGGTGGGTTCCAGTGAATTTTCCGGCCATTTTTTAAATGCGTACGGCAGATCTTTTCCACCTGAAGTGTGAGTGCCTCTGGGAGGTGTTCTCCAGCTGGACACATTGTGGCATGGAACATGGCTGCATTTTGAACTTCTTTTCTCAATCATCGGTCTCTTTTCTCTCTGTTTTCCTTTAGGCCCTTAAGTGGCGTTTAAGTCCCCTGACTATTGTGTCCTGGCTGAATGTATACATGCAGGTTGCATATCTAAATGACTTACATGAAGTGCTACTGCCGCAGTATCCCCAGCAAATCTTTATACAGATTGCAGAGGTAAGTGGCTCCATCACGTCCGTGGGGCCACCTTCCCTGCAGCTGGAGTGAGGAACTCTAGAATAGGCGTGTGGTGGCATCCATCTCAGCGTTCTTTTCTTCTCCGTAGCTGTTGGATCTCTGTGTCCTGGATGTTGACTGCCTTGAATTTCCTTATGGTATACTTGCTGCTTCGGCCTTGTATCATTTCTCGTCATCTGAATTGATGCAAAAGGTTTCAGGTAAGTTGGCTTTCCAGTGCATGCACAAACAAGGTGTACTAAGCTTACATCCAGTTGTCAGCCTCAGATTAAGCCCACGATGTCTTCACTGCAGGGTATCAGTGGTGCGACATAGAGAACTGTGTCAAGTGGATGGTTCCATTTGCCATGGTTATAAGGGAGACGGGGAGCTCAAAACTGAAGCACTTCAGGGGCGTCGCTGATGAAGATGCACACAACATACAGACCCACAGAGACAGCTTGGATTTGCTGGTCAGTGCTGCTCCTTCTTTCAGTCCTTCTTGGCCAAATTCTTAAAACTGCCTAAATAGGCCAGCCGCGGTGGTTCAGGCCTGTAAACCCAGCACTTTGGGAGGCCGAGGTGGGCCGATCACTTGAGGCCAGGAGTTCAAGACCAGCCTGGCCAACATGGTGAAACCTTGTCTCTACTAAAAATAAAAAAATTAGCCGGCTATGGTGGTGGGCACCTGTAGTCCCAGCTACTCGAGAGGCTAAGGCAGGAGAATCATCTGAACCCGGGAGGCGGAGGTTGCAGTGCGTTGAGATCACGCCACTGCACTCCAGCCTGGGCAACAGAGCGAAACTATGTCTCAAAAAAAAAAAAACTGCCTAAATAACCTGTTCACTTTTCTTCAGGCAGGCCCCAAATATCCTTGAAAAACTCCAATTTTAATTAATTGAAAAAGAAAAATCCTGGCAAATTGATGCTGTATCTCACTATCATATAGACTATAGAGTTTTAAAGTGCTCTTTGATATTTTTTTTTCTTTCACTCACCTCCGTAGAAAAAGACATAGTGGCCAGACACAGTGGCTTTTGGAGGCCAAGGCAGAAGGACTGCTTAAGCTCAGAAGTTTGAGACTAGCCTGGACAACATAGGGAGACCCTGTCCCTAAAAAATTTAAAAACTAGCCAGGCATGGTGGCACATGTCTGTAGTCCCAGCACTTTGGGAGGCGGAGGCGGGCAGATCGCCTGATATCAGGAGTTCAAGACTAGCCAGGCCAAAATGGCGAAACCCTGTCTCTATGAAAAATACAAAAATTAGCTGGACATGGTGGCGGGTGCCTATAATCTCAGCTACTCTACTTGGGAGGCTGAGGCGGGAGAATCGGTTGAACCCTGGAAGTGGAAGTTGCAGTAAGCCGAGATCCCACCACTGTACTACAGTCTGGATGAGAAAGCAAGTCTCCATCTTGAGAAAAAAAAAAAATTTAAAAATTAAAAAAGAAAAAGCCTATGGTAATTGAAGCCCAAGGATATGTTCTACTCTAATGTGTTGTCCCTTTTATTCTTACCAACAGGACAAAGCCCGAGCAAAGAAAGCCATGTTGTCTGAACAAAATAGGGCTTCTCCTCTCCCCAGTGGGCTCCTCACCCCGCCACAGAGCGGTAAGAAGCAGAGCAGCGGGCCGGAAATGGCGTGACCACCCCATCCTTCTCCACCAAAGACAGTTGCGCGCCTGCTCCACGTTCTCTTCTGTCTGTTGCAGCGGAGGCGTGCGTTTGCTTTTACAGATATCTGAATGGAAGAGTGTTTCTTCCACAACAGAAGTATTTCTGTGGATGGCATCAAACAGGGCAAAGTGTTTTTTATTGAATGCTTATAGGTTTTTTTTAAATAAGTGGGTCAAGTACACCAGCCACCTCCAGACACCAGTGCGTGCTCCCGATGCTGCTATGGAAGGTGCTACTTGACCTAAGGGACTCCCACAACAACAAAAGCTTGAAGCTGTGGAGGGCCACGGTGGCGTGGCTCTCCTCGCAGGTGTTCTGGGCTCCGTTGTACCAAGTGGAGCAGGTGGTTGCGGGCAAGCGTTGTGCAGAGCCCATAGCCAGCTGGGCAGGGGGCTGCCCTCTCCACATTATCAGTTGACAGTGTACAATGCCTTTGATGAACTGTTTTGTAAGTGCTGCTATATCTATCCATTTTTTAATAAAGATAATACTGTTTTTGAGACAGCTGGTTTTATGAGCTATGTCTGGTAACTTAAGGTAGCAGTCAGCTTTAATTGTGGTTATATCAACTTCTGTTTTTTGACTTCATACTTCTTGAGGCTCAAGTCTTTCTTTTTTTTTTTTTTTTTTTTTTTTTTTTTTGAGACAGGGACAGGGTCTCGCTCTGTCACCAAGGCTGGAGTGCAGGGGCACAATCTTGGCTCACTGCAGCCTCTGCCTCCCGGGTTTAAGCGATTCTCCTGCCTCAGCCTCCTAAGTAGCTGGGACTACAGGCGTGTGCCACCACACCCAGCTAATTTTTGTATTTTTAGTGGAGATGGGGTTTTGCCATGTTGGCCAGGCTGGTCTCAAACTCCTGACCTCAGGTGATCTGCCCATCTCAGCCTTCCAAAGTGCTGGGATTACAGGTGTGAGCCACCACACCCAGCCTTGAGTCTTAACTCTTTTGGTCAAATACATTTTTCAATGTATTTGATGGAAAGGAAACTTTAGACGTGGGCTTCAGGTGCAGCCTGTCTGCCTCCTGGTGCCCCCTGAGCTGGAAGTGAGGAGTCCACCTGGTATTTGTCTCACCACGCCCTGCACTGGTGGCTGCTCACACCAGGTTTGTTGGCCATCAGTAGTAGTAGTGATGAGGTAATGTCCACACCGAAGAGGATTCCTAGGTGTAACTTCCTTCCTAGGACTGGTTAAAGGCCATAAGGAATCTGGAATTAGCATGATTTAATGCTTTTTTTTTTTTCCCCTTACCGAAATCTTAGCCTAAAGAATAAGTGAATTTTTATTTGGAGAACTTTTAACATAGTAGCCTAAAACTGCTTTTAAGAAGAAAATGAGGCTGGGTGCGGTGGCTCATGCCTGTAATCCTAGCACTTTGGGAGGCCAAGGTGGGCGGATCACAAGGTCAGGAAATCGAGACCATCCTGGCTAACAGTGAAACTCCGTCTCTACTAAAAATAGAAAAATTAGCCAGGCATGGTGGCGGGCACCTGTAGTCCCAGCTACCTAGGAGGCTGAGGCAGGAGAATGGCATGAACCCAGGAGGCGGAGCTTGCAGTGTGCTGAGATCGCGCCACCACTCCAGCCTGGGCAACAGAGCGAGACTGTCTCAAAAAAAAAAAAAAGGAAAAGAAGAAAATGTGGCTGGGCGTGTGGCTCACGCTTGTAATCCTAGCACTTTGGGAGGCTGAGTTGGGCAGATCACTTGAGGTCAGGAGTTGGAGACCAGCCTACCCAACATGGTGAAACCCCATCTGTAGTAAAAATGCAAAAATTAAGGCTGGGCATGGTGGTTCACGCCTGTAATCCCAGCACTTTGGGACCCAAGGCAGGCAGATCACCTGAGGTTGGGAATTCAAGACCAGCCTGACCAACATGGAAAAACCCCATCTCTACTAAAAATACAAAATTAGCTGGGTGTAGTGGCACATGTTTATAATCCCAGCTACTCGGGAGGCTGAGGCAGGAGAATCCCTTGAACCCGGGAGGCAGAGGTTGCAGTGAGCCGAGATTGCACCACTGCACTCCAGCCTGGGCAACAAGAGCAAAACTCCATCTCAAAAAAAAAGAAAAGAAAAGAAAATTAGCCAGGCGTGGTGGCACACATCTGTAATCCCAGCTAGTGGGGTGGCTGAGGCAGGAGAATCACTTGAACCAGGAGGCAGCAGTTGCAGTGAGCCGAGATCGTGCCACTGCACTCCAGCCTGGGTGACGGAGTGAGACTCTATCTCATAAAAAAAAAAAAAAAAAAAAAAAGTCAGGGCGCAGTGGCTCACGCCTGTAATCCCAGCACTTTGGGAGGCCGAGGTGGGCGGATCACCTGAGGTTGGGAGTACAAAACAAGCCTGACCAACATGGAGAAACCCCATTTCTACTAAAAATACAAAAAAAAAAAAAAAAATTAGCCAGGTGTGGTGGCACATGCTTATAATCCTAGCTACTCGTGAGGCTGAGGCAGGAGAATCGCTTGAATCTGGGAGGCGGAGGTTGCGGTGAGCTGAGATCGCATCATTGCACTCCAGTCTGGGCAACAAGAGCAAAACTCCATCTCAAAAAAAAAAAAAAAAATGCGAAGTAGAGTCATATGTCAGCTGAGCGCATGATGCAGCCTGTTCGCTGAGCACTGATGGAGTCACCAAGTGCCTTGCTAATCATTGCTGCCCACTTACAGGCCTCGTGTACAGCTCATGTGACCTTTGTTTTTGTACTTTTAGTAGAGACGGCGGTTCACCATGTTGGCCAGGCTGGTCTCGAACTCCTGACCTCGTGATCTGCCCACCTCAGCCTCCCAAAGTGTTGGGATTACAGGCGTGAGCCACCACGTCTGGCCGCTCACATGATTTTTTTTTTTTTTTTTTTTTTTTTTGAGAGGGAGTCTCGCTCTGTCACCTAGGCTGGAGTGCAGTGGCACAATCTTGGCTCACCGCAACCTCCACCTTCCCCCTGTTCAAGATTCTCCCACCTAAGTCTCCCAAGTAGCTGAGATTACAGGTGCCCGCCACCACACCCGGCTGATTTTTGTATTTTTAGTAGAGATGGGGTTTCATCATGTTGGCCAGGCTGGTCTTGAACTCCTGACCTCAGGTGATCTGCCTGCCTCGGCCTCCCAAAGTGCTGGGATTGCAGGCGTGAGCCACCGCATCCGGCCACTCACATGACTTTTTACTGAACATTCTTCAAATGGTGGTCTTTTGGAGTCTTGTGTTTGACTAACAGTGCTTCATCACGTGTGCTAGTGCATACAAGGAAGGGTGAATGAACAAATAAATACTGCTTATTTTCAACTTGGTATTTTATCTCATTTGGCAAAAATCTAAAGAAAAAAGCAGCCATTTGAAATTCGTAACCATACGCAGTGAGCCAAGATGGCACCATGGCAGTACAGTCTGGGCGACAGAGCAAGATTCCATCTCAAAAAGAATAAAATAAAATCTGTAACCATATTTGTATGAAGTTGGAGAGACTTTACTTTTGACATTGATGTAGTTCTGGCAGATTTTTTTTTTTTTTTTTTTTTTTGAGACGGAGTCTCGCTCTGTTGCCAGGCTGAAGTGCAGTGGCACAATCTCGGCTCACTGCAACCTCCACCTACCAAGTTCAAGGCATTCTCCAGCCTCAGCCTCCTGAGTAGGTGGGACTACAGGCAGGCGCCACCACACCCAGCTGATTTTGTATTTTTAGTAGAGACGGGGTTTCTCCATGTTGGCCAGGCTGGTCTCGAACTCCTGACCTCAGGTGATCCTCCCTCCTCGGCCTCCCAAAGTGATGGGATTACAGGCATGAGCAATTGCGCCGGCTTTTCTGGCAAGTTTTATTTATTTATTTATTTATTTTTATTTTATTTTATTTTTTTGAGATGGAGTCTCACTTTGTCACCCAGGTTGGAGGGCAATGGCGCGATCTCAGCTCACTGTAACTTCTGCCTCCTGGGTTCAAGCAATTCTCCTGCCTCAGCCTCCTGAGTAGCTGGGACTACAGGCGCGTACCACCACACCCGGCTAATTTTTGTATTTTTAGTAAAGACGGGGTTTCACCATGTTGGCCAGGCTGGTCTCGAACTCCTGACCTTGTGATCCGCCCGCCTCAGCCTCCCAAAGTGCTGGGATTACAGGTGTGAGCCACCGCACCCGGCCCTCTGGCAAGTTTTAATACTACAGTTATCCTAATAAACGCATTGTAAATCTACATGTAATGGTATTTAGTCAAATGATAGGACTAGCCAGTTATTTCTTCACTTTAGGCAGAGATGTTCTAGTCTTAAAAAGCAGTGAGTTTTTGGCTGGGCGTGGTGGCTCACACCTGTAATCCCCACACTTTGGGAGGCTGAGTTGGGCAGATCACTTAAAGCCAGGAGCTTGAGACAAGCCTTATCTGCAACCTTTGCTTCCCAGGTTCAAGTGATTATCCTGCCTCAGCCTCCTGAGAAGCTGGGATTACAGGCACCTGCCCATGCCCGGCTAATTTTTTTTTGTATTTTTAGTAGAGACGGGGTTTCACCATGTTGGCCAGGCTGGTCTCGAACTCCAGACCTTGGGTAATCCACCTACCTCAGCCTCCCAGAGTGCTGGGATTACAGGCGTAAGCCACCTTGCCCGGCCTACATTTAGCATTTTCTTTTTTTTTTTTTTTTTTGGAGATGGAGTCTCACTCTGTCACCCAGGCTGGAGTGCAGTGGCATGATCTCGGCTCACTGCAACCTCCGCCTCCCAGGTTCAAGCGATTCTCCTGCCTTAGCCTCCCGAGTAGCTGAGACTACAGGCACCCACCACCACGCCCTGCTGATTTTTGTAGTTTTAGTAGAGAGGGGGTTTCACCATGTTGGCCAGGCTGGTCTCGAACTCCTGACCTCAGGTGATCCACCTGCCTTGGCCTCCCAAAGTGCTGGGATTACAGGTGTGAGCCAGTGTGCCCGGCCTACATTTGGCATTTTGTAAGCAAAAAGATGGCACTAAAAAATTTCTATTTCCAAAGTTTCATAAATTTGAGAGCTTGACACATTGAGGTAACAGCAAATTTGAAAGTACGTTTGAGGCTAGGCACAATGGCTGAGGCCTGTAATCCCAGCATTTAGGGAGATTCGAGGTGGGAGGATCACTTGAAGTCAGGAGATCAAGACCAGCTTGGCCAACATGGTGAAACCTCATTTCTACTAAAGTACAAAAAATTAGCCAGGTGTCGTGCTGGGCGCCTGCAGTCCCAGCTACTCAGGAGGCTGAGGCAGGAGAATCGCTTGAACCCAGTAGGCAGACGTTGTGGTGAGCTGAGATCATGCCACTGCACTCCAGCCTGGGTGACACCTAAAAAAAAACAAACACATTTGAGGTAAATATTAATTCATAGGTCATTTAGCCACCCACCGTATTAGAGAGGGTGCTAGAATATGCTGAAATAAGAATGCCTTATATGTAACTTGTTGGAATGCTGTGTTTCTGGAAGTCAAAGCTTTTTAAGTGGCAGTGTTGTCACAGGCAGCTCTTAATTATTGGTGCTAATAAAGGCTAAGTCCTGAATGGGTAAATGACATCCATATTAATCAATCATGTCTATACTCAGGAACCCTAAGAGCTGCTAGTAAGTAGAAATCAAAATTCCCCTGTAAGAGGAGCTTTTTCCACTTGCTAGTAATCCCTGCTTTGGCCTCTCTCTCATTGGCTGCAAATACCCCTTGACCAAGTCGCTTATGTTCTGCTATTCAGCTAAAGCCAGATGAGGCCACAAGAGACACTGGGGTGAAAATGGCAGCTCAGTCAACTTGGGTGAACAGATGTCCTGAGGAGATGTGTTAGCAAGAAGGACCAGAGAAAGGAGGTGATGTGGCCCCTGATCTAACTCTCGGGTTAGAGATGGAGAAAAAGCGAGTGATTCACCAACCCTGGAGACCCTGAACTGTGGTTGAGCAGACCATATCCTCATATCCCGCCTCAGCTCACAGAATTCACTTGCGGCCAGGCACAGTGGCTTATGCCTCTAGTCCCAGCACTTTGGGAGGCCAAGGTGGGCAGATTGCCTGAGCTCAGGAGTTCAAGACCGGCCTGGGCAATATGGCAAAACTCCATCTCTACAAAAAATTTAAAAATTTAAATTTTTTTGTGGTGGCGCATGCCTGTAGTACCAGCTACCCAGGAGGCTGAGATGGGAGAATCACCTGAGCCTGGGAGGCCGAGGCTGCAGTGAGCCATGACTGTGCCACTGCACTCCAGCCTAAGCGTCAGAGTGAGACCCTGTCTCCCAAAAAAGAATTCACTTGCTAGAGTCCGCCAGAGTTGTTGTCATTTCTCTGCCCACTGTGCCTGACGACAACAACAACAAAAAAACCCTGGTCCTCAGGTGGTGGGAGTCAAGGGTTTTCCAATGCCGTCTTCCCTGTGTGGAACACGGACAGCTTACTCTTTCATGATGGTTATTTGGTACCATGTGATAAATACATGATGCAGAGGTTCACACTGACTTTTAGTTTCTAAGGCAGGTAGAGCCATGGAGCCCTTTAAGATTCAGAGCATGGCACCCAATACGTGTCCATCCTCTAACTCAGACACAAACGAGATTGGAGTTTATTTGGGCAAAATTAGGCTCTAGCTCTGAGCAGGGCTAGAGAGAGAAATCAAATCTGATAATGTCTAGTCATATTTACCCAACCGTGCATTTTCCTACCACATGTTCCACATTTTGAAATTCAAATCACATTTATACCTTGGACATTGTTAGAAGACTATTTTTATCCCTGCTGTAATCATCTAATTTGCTGATTACAGGTCTCAAATTGCCACAGAGAACTCAATTTTTGAAAGAATTGTCCTGTTTGATCAAATATGTTATTCAAGCAATGCAGTCATTTGTTCCACAAGTTTACCTGCCAGGTAGAGTTAACCAGGAGTAATAGCATTAGAAGCCTATACTTAAAATCAAGCATTAGCTAATCCGCCTGCGACAATAGAGTCTTAAATATAATTTGCTGCAGATACTTCAGTTCCTGCACCGACAGACAATTGCAGTCTGTATCCAATGAGCACAGATTTTTTCCTACCTCGTCCCAATTCCAAATTTAACTTCAGAAGACTCTAATGTACTCAGTTGCATAGGCTTACCAGGTACTCTTTCCTGGGAGCCTCACATGGGAGGGCAACACTATCCTTTATTCAATAAACAGCATCCCCCACCTTTTAAATCATTTTCCTGATCAATGCCAATTCCAAAAGTTGTGTGGTATCTGATTATGCAGTGCGGTTCAAGTCAAATGCTGGCTTCCTTGGGGTTGGTGAGTGAGGTGCCCTCGATGGAGTCCCTGCTAAGTGTACACTGCCAGTCCTGGAGACATGAACTCAAGGGAGCCTGGGAGACCGGGGAAGCCCTGGAGTCCCCGGAGGGCACTGGTATGAAATGAAAAGGTGGCACTCTAGGAGCAGAGCAGCAGCAGGACTCAAGCTCGGGAGGTGGGGCTGTGGAATGCTCTCCAGCAGTCACAAAAGCCCTCACAAATAGGGTAGAGGAAGGCCACATCACAAGGGGCTTTTGCCGTCAACTAAGATGGGTGTGGTCTCCCCCGCAGCAGGAAGCCGGTGTTTGTAAGACAGGAGTGACTTGCTCAGAGCCGGTTTGGAGGAAGAGGTTGATGAACAAGTACAGAGTTATGTGTCTTTGTGCCGTAAGAAAATGACTGTGCAAGTCGGGCGTGGTGGTGTGCACCTGTAATCCCAGCTATTGGGAGGCTGAGATGGGAAGTATCGCTTGAGCCCAGGGGTTTGAGGCTGCAGTGAGGCATGATCACACCACTGTACTCCAGCCTGTGCAACAGAACGAGACCCTATCTCAAAACAAACAAACAAAAAATCAAAAAAGAAAATGAAAATGAGTGTGTAGTGTGTGGAGGACAAGCAGGCAGGCAATGAGGACATTCGTAAAATCAGCTGCATCACCATCATTTCTAAATGGCGCTGCCTGCATATCTCCCCAGGCCCCCGTGATTCTGCTCCTGTGCCCCTGCCCAGGCCTCTGCCTACAGTGGCTGGACCCCACCTCCTGCAGGAGTGCACCCCTGACGTTGGCCCACACTGATGTCATTTCTTCACTGGGTTCTGGAGGCAGTTGACTCATGTGGGAAGCCGGCTCTGCCACTTCCCAGAGTGGTCTTGGGCTCTGTGCTTCATTTCTCCAAGCTTCGTGTTTCCCAGCTGTGACCTGAGGATGACAACATAGTGCTTCCCCCATGGAACCGAGGGGAGATGAAATGAGGTCACGCATAGATATGTTGAGCACAGCGCTTGGCACATTAAAGAGAAACAGCAAATGACAGCTGATCCCTCTTATTGCCACCACTGGGTTCACTGTCACTGAGCTAGGCTGTTCTGTGAAGGATTGAGCATTCTCTTTTCTTTTTCTTTTTCTTTTTTTGGGACGGAGTCTCGCTCTGTCTCCCAGGCTGGAGTGCAGCGGCATGATCTCGGCTTACTGCAACCTCTGCCTCACGGGTTCCAGCGATTCTCCTGCCTCAGCCTCCCGAGTAGCTGGGACTACAGGCGCCCGCCACCACGCCCGGCTAATTTTTTGTATTTTTAGCAGAGACAGGGTTTCACTGTGTTAGCCAGGATGGTCTCGATCTCCTGACCTCGTGATCCACCCGCCTCAGCCTCCCAAAGTGCTGGGATTACAGGCGTGAGCCACCGCGCCGGGCAATTTTTGTATTTTTAATAGAGAACGGGGTTTCGCCATGTTGGCCAGGCTGGGCTCGAACTCCTGACCTTAGGTGATCCGCCCACCTCAGCCTCCCAAAGTGATGGGATTACAGGCATAAGCCACCATGCCTGGCCAAGCATTTTCTTTTTTAAGAGAGAGGGTCTTGCTCTGTCATCAGGTTGGAGTGCCGTGGCACAATCATAGCTCACTGCAGCCTCGACCTCCTAGACCCAAGAGATCCTCCCGCCTCAGCTTCCAGAGTAGCTGGGACTACAGGTGCACACCACCATGCCCTACTAGTTTTAAGTTTTTTTTGTAGAGATGGGGGAATCTCACTATGTGGCCCAGGCACGCCTTGAACTCCTGGCCTCCAGTGGTCCTCCCGCCTTGGCCACCCAAAATGCTGTGGCTACAGGCGTGAGCCACTGTGCCCGGCTGAGTTTAGCACTGGGGACGTGTTCTAGCCCTACAGACAGCCCTGGTAGGGCACTGAGGTGGGGACTTACCGGCTGCCCTGTGTGCCTTGCGCAGCCCAGGGCACAGCAGTGAGGACTCCAGGAATGCCTGGGAGCTTGTGCAAGCGAGCCCTTAGCCTCCTTAGCCTCTCCCCTTGGGCCCGCCCCTGTGTCTTCTCCAGGCTTCCACCCCCCTCCCTCTCCCAACTTCCCAACTTGTCTTCCTTCTGTTTTTTGTTTTTTGTTTTTTTTTGAGATGGAGTCTCACTCTGTCACCCAGGCTGGAGTGCAGTGGCATAATCTCAGCTCACTCCAACCTCCACCTCTCAGGTTGAAGCCATTCTCCCCCACGTAGCTGGGACTATAGGCACACACCACCGCGCCCAGCTAATTTTTGTATTTTTAGTAGAGACGGAGTTTCATCATGTTGGTCAGGCTGGTCTCGAACTCCTGACGTCAAGTGATCTGCCTGCCTCAGCCTCCCAAAGTGTTGGGATTACGGTGTGAGCCATCGCACCCAGCCGCCACTTCTTTTCCTGGGCAGCCCCTTTGAAAGTGTCATCTACACTCACTGTCACTCCCTCTTGGACCCTCTCCAGTTGGCGTCGCCACACCACACAGTGCCCTCAACAAGGCCACCTAAGACCTCTGTGGGACAAATCTCACAGTATGCGTCTGCCTTCCTCTCCCAAGGCACCTCTGCCACACTTCGCTCTGCTGACCCCTCTTTCCCTCTGGAAACTTCAGTGCCAGCTCCCCCCCGCCCCCACGCACCAAGCATCATCCCTCCCAGGCAGCTCCTCTCTGCTCCAGCATAAGGTGGAGGACCCGCAGATTCATCCCGGCCACCGCCGCCCCCTTGACATTTGTCCCTGGGCAACCTCACCACCTGGAAGACTTTGCCACTGCCTCTGTGCCGGCCTCACCCAAGCAGGGGGTCTCTACCCCAATGAGGCCTGCCCTGGCTGCACACCTGAATGCCCACTTGCCTGCAGGGGGCCTCCACCTGCGCCCTTCACCACCTTCTAGAAAAACTCCTTATTTCACCTTCCATTGTTCATGCTATTACGAAAAATGGGAACTGGCAATACACAATCAACATGAAGGTGACTCAATCCGCAAGTCATCGGGGAAATGCAAAATAAAACAATGAGATAATTTCACAGCCACCAGGTTGGCAAAAATTTTAAAGTACAAAGAACAATACAAATGAATAGCTGTGGATCCATCATCCATATTTGCCTACTTGGCTTCATATCATGTTTTAAAGAAGAAATACAACATTTGAGTATGCAGCAGTTTGTCAAAAGAAAAAAACTAAAAAAGGAAATACAATATTGTAGACATAGATGAAGATCCCCTCATGTTCCTCCTCAGCTGAAACAACTCCCCAAGGTGGATGTATATGATGCCCATACATATTTTTAGACTTTTACCATTTATTTTTGGATCCAGAAGCAATAAATAGACTTATAGCAAATACTGCTTTGGGTGTTTAAAAAATTACCTACATTTGGTGGAAGGAAGAAAAAGAAATAGTAAAAAAACAAAAAAAGAAAAAAAGAAAATAAGTGGAATCAAACTTTACATATCACAATATCACTTGCTATTTTCTTTCAATGTTATTTTCTTTTCTTTCTTTCTTTCTTTTTTTTTTTTTTTTCTTTTTTGACATAGAGTCTCGCCCTGTTGCCTAGGCTGGAGTGCAGTGGCGCAATCTCAGCTCATTGCAACCTCCACCTACCAGGTTCAAGTGATTCTCCTGCCTCAGCCTCCTGAGTAGCTGGGACTACAGGTGCCCACCATCATGCCCAGCTAATTTTTGTATTTTTAGTGGAGACGGGGTTTTGCTATGTTGGCCAGGCTGGCCTCGAACTCTTTACCTCAGGTGATCTGCTTGCCTCAGTCTCCCAAAATGCTGGGATTACAGGTGTGAGCCACCGTGCCTGGCCTCAGTGTTATTTTCAAGATTTACCTATGTTGATCCACGTAGGGTTGAGTTTATTCTTTTGAAATGGTGGTAGAATTTTCCCCTGTGTGAATGTTCCACAATAGATATGCTCCCTGCCACCCTGGTCCACAAGTAGGTTTCTGATTTTTTCACCATCACAAACAGTGTTGCAATTGGCATCTTGTGCACATTGGTGCCACTTACCTGGA
Organism: Homo sapiens; assembly: GCF_000001405.40. NCBI lineage: Eukaryota > Metazoa > Chordata > Mammalia > Primates > Hominidae > Homo > Homo sapiens. The sequence goes on from NC_000019.10 coordinate 29,835,094, forward strand.
TTCCTTTAGGGCACATTCCTAGATGTAGGATTGCCACGTCAAAGGGCGTGTGCCTGTGCACCTTAACTAGATGTGGTCAGTGACTTCCTCAAACTGCACCAATCTCCGCTTCCCGCCAGGGAGTGTGAGAGCTCCTGCCTCTCCACCCTTGCTCCAGTACTCAGTATCGTCAACTTCTCTTCCCATTAAAATTGCTAGTATTTAACTTTATTGGTTTTTCTCTGGCTATGAAAGTAAAGCTTGTTTGTTATAATAAATCAGAATACTACAAACACGTACAACATAGAAACTGATGATTCCCCAGAGATGCCGTTCTTAAGAGTTGGAGTGTTAAAACAGTGTACATTGCTCTAGAATTCTTTTCAATGCACACGCTAACACATGAGTGAATGAAAATATTTGCTGTTTTTCTACAGGGCGGTTTCATTCAGTTATATCATCACTAAGTAGTTTAAAATGCATATGCACATACAAACTCACTCCTTTTCTGTTGTTATTTCTCAGTGATGACTTGCCAATTGATTCCATTGCCTTCCTGGCACAAAATAGCTGCTCAGTAAATACCTGCTCCATGGATGGATGGATGGATGGATGGATGGATGGACGGACGCACGGATGGACGGACAGACAGACGGATGGATTGATGGACGAACGGACGGATGGATGGATTCTTACATTTATAGCCACTTTCTTACATTTTCATGCCCAGGAGACTATAGACTATCTTCTACTTGCAAAAGACCAAAAGATTGCATAAGATTAGAAAGCGAGACATTAACAGAAATTAATCAAGCCCCTGTCCAGGTTCTAGTCCTTTTTTGAGCAAAGGTGCCATACACCACGGAATCCCAGTTCCTGGCGGGGTTACCGGGGGCATGGCATCCAACAGCCCAGTCTGCAATGCACCATTAGACACACAGACAAATCCATCCCCTCTACTTTGGGGCAGCACTGTGATGAACCATCCTTGGGATACTGTCCCTTTTTTAAAAGGAAAAAAATCCAAAGTTAGTATGTTCCAGCAGTCACAGCCTGAGTCATCCATCCAGAAAGCTCTCTGTGCTCCTCTTGCTAAGCCCCTGAGTTATCTCTTGTTATAGACAAGTAATGAACATCCAAGCTCTGTAAGATGGTTACTTGGTCTGAAGCATTCCCTCCTTCTTAAAAAAAAAAAGTTTTATTTATTTTATTTTTTACATCTCTTATTATTTATTTATTTATTTTTTGGTAGAGATGGGCTCTCACTATGTGGCCCAGGCTGGTCTTGAACTCCTGGCCTCAAATGATCCTCCTGCCTCAGCCTCCCAAAGTGCTGGGATTACAGGTATGAGCCACCATACCCAGTCAGAAGGGTTGCCTTTGAAGTTCTGCATCTTCCATCCCTCTTCTAAGCTGTAGGGGATTCGCCCCAGCATTCAGGGCTAATGTAGAGGCTGCACGTTGGGGCCTGCAGGTCAGGTGGGTTGTGCTGGGGCTGCCGAGTCATTTCAAAACACTTGAGGCAATATTGAAAACCTGGAAAGTTCACATTCAGATACAGCTCCCCAGCTCTGGGCAGCCCTGCAGGCAGGGCATGTGGTCTGCAATATACCAGAATCCTCACCACCTCTACCACACCCTACGCTAAGGTCTCAGACTCCATTGCTGTTTACCTTCACAAACGCACTGCACATCTTCTTGGAGTAGACAAATATTTCTTGTAACTGTGACTATCAAAAGTGAGAAAACAGCTTTGAGTGCAGTGGCCCACATCTGTAATCCCAGCACTTTGGGAGGCTGATGCAGGAGGATCACTTAAGGACAGGAGTTCAAGACCAGCCTGGACAACATAGTGAGACACTGTCTCTACAAAAAAATTAAAAATTAGCCGGGCATGATGACTCATATCTGTAATCCCAGCACTTTGGTAGGCCGAGGAGGGCGGATCATTAGAGCCCAGGAGTTCGAGACCAGCCTAGGTGACATAGCAAGACCCCGTGTCTTTAAAAAACAAAACAAAAGTGAGAAAACTGTGTAGATCAAGAAGGTGGAGTGTTTCAAGAAGAATGGCAGAGAGGGAACATTTCTTCTAGAAATGCAGACTACTTGAGCATGTTTAATATTCAATACAAAGATGTCTTGGTGTCCAAAGACATCTTCTTTTATGGGCCTGGCTCCCATAGGCACCTGAGTTTGAGATTCCTGGATTTATAGGAGTCTCGGCTCTGACCCCAAGGTCCTGTGGGGCTTTCAGCTTGTCCCTTACTTACTATGGGCCTCAATTTCCTCATCTGCCCAATGAACACCATCTCTACTAAAAATACAAAAATTATCTGGGCATGGTGGTGCGTGCCTATAATCCAGCAACTCAGGAGGCTGAGGCAGGAGAATCACTTGAACCCAGGAAGTCAGAGGTTGCAGTGAGCTGAGATCTCACCACTGTACTCTAGCCTGGCGACAGAGTGAGACTCTGTCTCAAAAAAAAAAGTTGCTTTCTGTTTCTCTTCCAACTCTTGTCTTCCAGGTGGTGATGGAAGACTAGTTTGGGGATGTTTTCAGGTTTGCAATCATACTTCAGGGAACTCCCCTGCTTCCTGTCATGCAAAGGAGCTTTCATTTCTCTAGATGTCAGGGTGGGTGGGTGTGAGAGAGACAGTGGGCAGGACCAAAGTCAAACTAGCAAGCAGGTGGGCGAGAAGCTGCCAGGGGCAGAGAGAAGCCCGCAGCCTCCACCCCACACCTTACTTCTATTCCCTAGGCCTCCTGGTGATCCCTGAGGTGACCTTTGGCCCTCAGTCCCTCTAAGGCACATCAAGGCCGGAGGTGAGGCAGGTGTGATTCCAGGGCCGCTGCCGGGAAATAGTTCCCCCACACCCATCAAAGCCTGGTGCCTGAAAGGTAACTGGTTGTCTGGTGGCTCTGGAGAGAGAGATCCAAGGTGGGAAGGCGCTCAGGCCTCCCAAAAAAGCTTCCAGCACTGAGGCGGACTTTGCTCTTCCTTGAAGGGAACCCTGCACTGTGCTCCCGGGAAACCCCCTCTCTGATTCCACCACTGTGATGGAGAAAACTGAGGCTGCAGAAGAAAAATTGCAGCTGCAGAAGATGAGTGTACAGATCCCAGGAGTGATTTTTCCACACTGTTCATCTCCGTGCTATCCAGGGCAGCTGAAAAGGATGGCTCATCTGCGGCTTGAGATAGATGCAGACGTCAATAAGGAATTCACGGAAACACAAAAGGCGGGCTGGGTGGCTTTTATTAATTATATTTCTTCTATCTTCAAAACAATAACACATCAGTAATCTACGTTGAATGAGCCCAATTGATGCCAATGATTTCTTTTTTTCTTTCTCCTTTTTTTTTTTTTTTTTTTTGTGAGACAGGTTCTTGGTCTGTCGTCAAGGCTGGAGTGCAGTGGCACGATCTCAGCTCACTGCAACCTCCACCTCCCGGGTTCAAGTGATTCTCATGTCTCAGCCTCCTGAGTAGCTGGGATTACAGGCACCCGCCACCACACCCAGCTAATTTTTGTATTGTTAGTAGAGACAGGGTTTCACCATGTTGGCCAGGCTGGTCTCGAACTCCTGACCTCAGGTGATTCACCTGCCTCAGCCTCCCAAAGTGCAGGGATTACAGGCGTGAGCCACCATGTCCAGCAGTGATGCCAATGATTTTATCCTTTTGTTTCTGTTGGAGGGAAAAAAGAAAAAAGGTCTGTCTGCCCAAGCTAGTCAGCCCTCGCATGAGCCTGGAGATCAGCAAAGCCCTAGAAGCCCTTACCAGGGCCCCCTCACTGCCATTTTTGCATCCTGGCTCTCCCTGGCAATGCCCACAGCAGTCCTGCCTGGCAGTGCCCATCTGCTGTGTCCCCAGCCACCGTCCCCTCTCCTGCGTTCTTCTTTGCTATAGTCCCACGTAGAGGAGTTCTGACCTCAGTATTGAGTCCTCTCTTTGGGTGGAGGTAGAGGCAGGGTATGTGTGTATTGGGGGTCTGGGGGGCAGTGTTTAGAAACTGAGGACCCCTCTTGGTGCACCTCAAATCACATTCCTCACCTAACGGTTATTTCTGAAGAAAGAAAAGAAATAATCGGTTCTAGATTGCTTTCTTCCTACAATCCTTATCTATTATCATTAGATTTCACTGTTTGGCACACATTAGAAAAGGGTATGTGTACGGTGGGGCACACAGCAACGGCTGAAAGACTCACAGATTATTTGCCCGCTTCTGTCATCACTCTCCACCCCCAGATCCTAGGGTGAACTGTCAGGGATGGCATCGAACAGTTTCCAAACTTAAATGTGCTAAACCTCAGTATCCTTTCCTCCTCCTCCTCCGTGCCACCCCAGAACAGGCGGTGGCTGCACATCTGGCCCAGGAAAGAGGCACTGAGAAAAGCATTCAGGCAATATACAAATGAGAGAGACAGGTGCATACACCTGACATTTGTTATTATTTGGATACAAACGTCATTAGCATGTGAGCTTCAAACAGCCGCTAAAGTCTGGGCTCTGTGCAGCCTCCGCACCTAGATTTCACCAAAAGGCGCTTTCAGAATGGGGTTGGGATGACCTTTCCTGGACCCACTTCACCAGGTAGCCCTGGTTTGTGAAAATGACCTAGATAAGGCTGGGCGCAGTGGCTCACGCCTGTAATCTCAGAATTTTGGGAGGCCAACGTGGGTGGATCACTTGAGGCCAGGAGTTCGAGACTAGGCTGGCCAACATGGTGAAACCCCGTGTCTACTAAAAATACAAAAATTAGCTGGGCATGATGGCACACGCCTGTAGTCCCAGCTACTTGGGAGGCTGAGGCAGGAAAATCGCTTGAATCTGGGAGGTGGAAATTGCAGTAAGCTGAGATCGTGCCACTGCACTCCAGCCTGGGTGACAGAGTGAGACTCTGTCTCAAAGAAAAAAAAATGTCCTAATGGGGTCCCAACTCAGCCACCTCCACCTGCAACTCAGGCAGTTCTGGAATTTCCATGCAGGGGGCTCGAGGGTGACCTGCAATTAAAAATGGGGGTCACAGGCAGATACCCAGGATGAGTCTGCAACTGTGTGTTGACTGAGATAATTTGGAGCGAACCAATGGCGACAACAGAGGGTGTCAGAGTCCCCCCTACCCCCATCTCCCGCACTGCCAACCTTCTTCTCTTCCTTCTTCTCCTCAACCCCCACTGGGCTTTCTGCCCTCCAGACCACCTCCTCCCAGACACTAGGGGCTGATTTGCACAGCTGGTGGTCGAGGCCCCTCCTGGCATCCTTGGTGGATCCAACACTGAGTAAAGTTGCCGAGGCGAGTAGCGATGCTCTGGTGGAAGGCTCCACATGCACATTCACCCCGAACAGCTGCTGGAAACTGGCACACTCTGCTGCTGTAGAAATTATCAGCACTGCCACCTCAGCTCCTGGAGAAAGTCTCGGTGTGACAGCCTGCAAAGTAATCCTGCATTTGAATTTCACTGACAAATCCTGGCTTCCTCCAGACAAGCTCCAACCTGCACAGATGGCCCCTCGCATCAAAAAGTAAAAATAACAAAGCTTGCAATTCTGGGCCTCCCTTTTTCTCTGGGCAGATGTGCTGGCTGCACATTTCGGGAATCGCGCGGTCTGAGTTCCAGCAGCAACCTCTCTCCTCCTGTACGCTCGCACTCGCCCCTTCTGGCGTGCTGCTGGGGAGCGGCCGTGGCCCCTCCGAGTGTGTTCAGGGAAGTGTCTGGGATGCCTGAGCCTTTTGAGTGGGAGAGAAAGACCCAGAGGGGAGAGAGTGTGAAAATTCATCCCCCACTCAAGATTAGCCATGTTGTCATCCATAAGACAGCTGGCCCAGGGAAGGGGTTGCAGCGTTGGAGAAAGGTCTCAGGTAAGGTGGTCAGCAGAGGTGGGGGATGAGGGGCGGCTGCGCTAAGGGCCAGCCAGTGCATGCCAAGTGCAGGCGGCAGAGTGGGAGATGAAGCTCTAGAAGTTTCTGATTTTTTGCTTTTTTTTCCCCAATCAGATGCATCAGAAGGACTGATTTTCTTGCCCAGGCTCATCCTGAACTCCTGGCTCAAGCAATTCTGTCACCTTGGCCTCCCAAAATGCTGCGTTTACAGGCGTGTGCTCCTGATTTTTTTGAATCCCCCAAACCTTGACCAGCCACAGAATTCTCTCCACTCATATTTGCTGAGAACCTCTGGGGATATCCAGGCCCTAGGGATATGGTTATGGATGAGACAGACCCAGAGAGCACAGGCTCAGGGAACACACAGCCAAGGCCATCTGTGAGCTGGGTGGCCACAGACTCACTGCTCAGGAATGCCAGAGCAGGAGGCCAAGGGAGAGGCCAGAGACAGGGACCTGCAGCTGGCGACATTGCGGGAGCCACTTACCCGCAGGTAGGTTTCACCTTTGATGAGCCATCTGACCTGGAGCCACCAAGGCTCATCCAGAAATGGTGGCTAAAGTCTTTGCTCTACTAGAGGGTCAGATGAGATAAGATGTTCAGCTGCAAGGAAAAGACAACTCAAAGTGCCAGGAGAAAACAAGGAATTCATGGATTCGTATGAATGTATGGATTCAAACGAATGGCCCAGGGGCCTATCTAGCCTCAGGCATGGCTGGATCAGGGTGTTTACATTGCTGTCCTCAGGAATCCTTGCCTCAGCTCTGAAAGCTGACTGTGCCGACTTTGTTCTCCACGTGGCATTTGCCAGTAGAGAACAGTGTCTCCAGGCAGATATTCCTCCCAGCAAGTACCTCCTACCCAGACTCTCCAGCAAAAGTCCTGGGGATGCTTCTCATTGGTCCAGCTTGGGTCACATGCCCATCCCTTCTCTAATCACTGTGGCCAGAGGAATGCAGTGCTGTGATTAGCCAGGCATGTGTCAGGTGTCAGTCTCTGGGGCAGAGTTGGAATAGGTCCATCTGAACTACCTGGCTCTGCAGAAAAGGGGAAGGGATGCTGGGTTGGCAAAAGCAGCAAGTACAGAAACAATAAAGACTCTCCCAAAGCATGGGTGACTGCAGAGATGGGAGCATGCTCTGGAACAGCTGCAAAAATCCTGCTTCCCACAGCAGGATTCTTCTTGCTGCAGTTGTGTGGCCACTGTCATTCATCCCCTCAGCGTCTCTAATTCCAGCGTGCTGGCCTCTGTGCCAGGCCCGGGATATGGGGAAGGTTCCGCATGACCGTGTGGGGAAGCCTGCCTGCCACCTGGCCTCAGGGGTGGGAGCAGCCCCCTGGGGACTTTTCGCAGTTGAGGTCTGCCTCACCCCTAAGGCCCCTAGTTTCCCTCTCTGGTGTCTCTTAGATCTCCCTGTGTTTGGATTTCCATTTTCCTCTTCCTTAAACCAACACCGTAAGGTCCAACCTTCAGGACCCTGACCCTGGAGAGAAAAAAACAGAGACCAGGAAGGTCTTCACTAGCCAAAGCCCCAGGTCTGGGCTTCTCATGCACAAAGCCTCTGTCTGCCACCCACAAACCCATTCGGGGTAGAGTTGCCCTCTTGTAGTGGAATAAAGGACAAGTGTGGCCAAACTTGTTTGGCTCTTGGTCCTGGGCCGGGGGTGGAGGGGAGAAAACAGGCATTATCAGAGAAGGGCATGCTGAGGCTGGCCAGGGGGTATGTGAACTGGGAGGGGGCCAGCTGGGGAGCTCAGCTTCCAGGCCCCCACCCAGGCCTATGTCGCTGCTCTGATGTGTCTCAGTGAGTGCACCGGGCAAGACGCTGTTTGAAGGAGCTTCCGTGGAAACATCCATAAAACTAACCTTGAGGGAAGAACTGCCGCCCTGGCTTTACTCCTGTTTAGTCATTTCATTTTCTCACAATCCTATGGGGTGGGAATGATCACTGGCCCCATTTTAGAGAAGAGGAAACTGAGAAACAGGGAGGTCCTGCAACTTGCCCAAGGTCCCGCAACTTGCGCAAGGTCCCACATGGGGCCTGGCTTCAGGGCCTGTGACAAGACACTGCATGAGAAGCCCGGGGCTGGTTGATAGGACTTCTCATTAACCAGCTCATAGGACTCCCAAAATCCAACTGAGGGTTGGGGCCCAGTCATCAGCTTTTGGGGTTTCTGGCCCTGGGGTGGCCCTGGCCACATAGGCCTGCATAGGGCATGCGTTGCCCCGCTGAAGCTCGGCAGCTTAGCTCTTCTGCCGGGACAAGCGCTTCCTAGGAATTCTGAGCACTTCTGCCCCCTCCCAGGGGCCCCTCCCAGGCCTCCTCCGCCGCCAGTCCGGGCTGACAGCTTGGCTGGCCCCAGGCTGGGGCCGACTCTGAATGCGGCGCCTCCTGGTCACGCGGCATGGGCAGAGGAGGAGGAGGAAAAGGGAGAGGAAGAGGAGGAGGGGAGAGGAGGGAGGCCGGCCTGGGTAGAAGTCAGCTCCAGCTCCTGGAAGGAGCCCACGCGTGCTCTAGACGCCTTCCCTGCACGGGGCTCTGCCCATCCCCCACCTCTGGGAGGAGACAGGGTGGCCCCGGAGGAGGGGGCGGCAGTCCGGTGAGCAGCGACTTGGGGCCCGAGGCCCCGGCCAGTTCCATTCTCACCACGCCCGGCGGAAGCTATCGCCACGATTTGGGGAGGGCCGCCTCTGAGCCTCCTCTGGAGGCGGCACCTCTGCTACTCCATTGCACAAACGGGGAAACCAGCCCCGCCGAGCGTACCAGGCCAGGCCGGCCCTGAGGGGCAGGGGCAGGACGCCAGGAGCTGACCCCCAGCGTCCCCGACTGCCAGTGCCCCTGTCATGCAGGCCGAGGCCAAAGCACGAAGGGGCCTCGCTGCAAAAGGTCGGACCTGCGTTGCACCGGTTTCCAGCCAAGTGCTTTGGGCAAGTTTCTTAACCGCCTTGGCCTCCACTTTCCCCTTCTGTGAAATAGGATGGTGCCCACCTGACAGGGTTATCATGTTCCCTTGGGCAGGGCCTGGCAGGCTGAGCCAACGTCAGTGTTTGCGTGGCTAGTTTGGTTTTATTTTTTACGTATTGTTTTGGAGACAAGGTCTCTGTCACCCAGGCTGCAGTGCAGTGGTGCGATCAGCGCTCACTGCAGCTTCGAACTCCCAAGCTCAAGCGATCCTCCCACCTCAGCCTCCCAAGTAGCTGGGATTACAGGTGGGCACCATCACACCCAGCAACATTTTTTATTATTTTTTGTACCAATGAGATCTCCTGTGTTGCTCAGGCTGGTCTGGAACCCCTGGCCAACAGCGATCCTCCTGCCTTGGCCTCCCACAGCGCTGGCCTATTAACGTTTTAACAGAATGAACTGAGGCTCAGCTGGGCCAACGCGGACCCCGGCCTGCGCCCACGCCTCACCGGCTCCCCAGGGCCTGGGACCGGCACAGCCCGGGCTCAAGGGCTGGGACTGCCGCCCCGCCCTAGAGCTCAGGCTGCGCTCCACGTGCGCCGTGTTTACCCACGTGATGCGCTGCCCCGCCCCGCCCCGCCCCGCGTCTCCCCGCCCCGCGTCTCCCGCGCCGCGCGTCTGCAGCCTGGCCAAGGCGGATGCTGGGGGTTGGGGGCCCGAGCGCGGCCTCACGTCGCCCGGACGCCCCCCGCCCCACCCGGGAGACTGGAGCGAGCCACGGCCTCCCTGGGCGGGCTTGGCCCAGCCACTCCGCTGTGTCCGCGCTGCCAGGGCGCGGGAGCACTTCCGGGCGCGCGCCGCGGGAGGGGCAGGGCCGAAGAGGTGGGGGCGGGGCCGAAGAGTTAGGGGCGGGGCCGGAGAGGTAGGGGCGGGGCCGGAGAGGTAGGGGCGGGGCCGGAGAGGTAGGGGCGGGGCCGCCCCTTGCGGGGGGGTTCTGAGCGGCCCGCACCGCAAAAGGCGGTGTCAGGGCGGTGAGGGGCGGGGCCTGGCAATGCACAGGGGCTCTTAGGGGCCCGCACTGCGGGAGGGGCAGGGCCAGGGCGGTTGGTGGACTGGGCCTGGCTGTACGTAGGTGCTCTGAGAAGCCCCCGGCGAGAGGGGCGGGGCCAGAGCAACAGTGGGCGGGGACAGGCTGTGCGTCGGAGCTCCGCGGGGCCTGCGGCGGGGTGGGTGGGGCCAGGGCGGCGGTGGGCGGGCCGTGCTGTGCGTAGGGGCGCTGAGAGGCCCGCAATGTGAGAGGGGCGGGGCCGGAACAGCGGTGGACGGGGTCTGTAGTTCAACTGTGCCGTGGCGTCTTCTTCGCGGCGAGATCTGAGTGCCTCGCAGCAGCCGAAGGCGGGTTTGCAGGTTGCGTTGCGCTGGCCCTGCCCTCGGCAGGCAGAACGGGATAGAGCGCGGACAGGCGCCGTCACTCCCAGATTCCTCTGCGTCCATGGCAGAGCCACTCCTCCTTGGTACTCCTTCCTTGACCCACCGGGGCCCCCTTCCTGCTGTCTCTGCCCCTCTAGCTGCTGCCTCCAGGGGCTTAGGTCTCGGCCCCTTTGGCTTCTGGGCTGCCCCTGGCAGATCTCGTCCATCCTAGGTTTTAACGCCTACCTGCATGCGGATGATCCTGATAGTTCTAACAGTAGCTAAACTGTTTTCCACGTGCTTTCTGAACATTGATGCTGTTTGGACCCCTGACAGCCACATTTTTACGCCCCCGCGCAGCCCGCTGCTCTGAGCTCCGTATTCCCCGCCGGCCGGGTGTTCCACGGCCCTTCTGAGTCAACGTGTGTGCAGTGAAGTCCTTCTTCCTTCTCGTTTCACCCTGGGTCTCCTCCTCAGGGAGTGGCATCACGGTCTGCTCAGTGGCAGGCAAGCCCCAGATAGCGCTTCCGTCTTGACTCCTCACTCTCCTCCCTCTGATCTGTCCCAGAATCCCATCAGTTCTTCCTCCACCCCACCCGACCCACAATTCTCTGCTACACTTGTCTCCACGGCCCTGGTCTGAAACACATGATGCTTCACCTGGACTCGTAGGCGACCGATCTTTCTGCCTCTTGGCTTACTACTCTTAAGTCTCGCCTTCACGGGCAGTCGCAGGGATCTTTCTCAAGATCTAATTTCTAATGATTGCATTTTTCTTCTTTAAGCAGTAGGCTGAAAGCCAAAGCTCTCCATCTTTTTACAACTCAAAAAAAAAAAAACAAGGGTGCCCTCTGTCTGGCCTTGCCACTGTTCAACCTGGTACTTGCAAGTCTTGTCCAGTGCAATGGGATGAGAAAAGTGAGTGATAGAAGGATCGGAAGCAAAATGAAAGCACTGTTATTGTCAAGTGATGATCATCGACATAGAAAACAAGAATCAACAGAAAAATTAACCTAATGAGAGAGTTGCACAAAGGTAGTTTAAGGTCAGAATAGGGCCAGGTGTGGAGGCTCACGCCTGTAATCCCAACACTGTGGGAGGCTGAGGCAGGAGGATTGCATGAGGCCAGGAGTTCAAGACCAGCCTGGGCAACATAGTGAGACCCTCTTCTTTTTTTTTTTTCTTTTTTTTGAGACGGAGTCTTGCTCTGTCACGCAGGCTGGAGTGCAGTGGCACAATCTCAGCTCACTGCAAGCTCTGCCTCCCGGGTTCACACCATTCTCCTGCCTCAGCCTCCCGAGTTGCTGGGGCTACAGGCACCCGCCACCATGCCCAGCTAATTTTTTGTATTTTTAGTAGAGGCGGGGTTTCACCATGTTAGCCAGGATGGTGTCGATATCCTGACCTCGTGATCCGCCCACCTCGGCCTCCCATAGTGCTGGGATTACACGCGTGAGCCACCGCGCCCGGCCAACCCTCTTCTATTAAAGATCAGAGGCTGGGTGCGGTGGCTCACACCTGTAATCCCAGCACTTTGGGAGGCCAAGGAGGGCGGACCACTTGAGGTCAGGAGTTCGAAACCAGCCTGGCCAACGTGGTGAAACCCTATCTCTACTAAAAATACAAAAAATATTCGGGCATGGTGGCGTGTGCCTGTAATCCTGGCTACTGGGGAGGCTGAGGCAAGAGAATCGCTTGAACGTGGGATGCAGAGTTGCAGTGAGCCGAGATCACACCACTGCACTCCAGCCTGGGCTACAGAGTGAAACTCTGTCTCAATAATAATAATAATAAAGGTCAGAATATAAAGTCAGTAATGGGTTCCTCCCCAAAAATAATACACGTATTGTGAGTAATAAAAATAAGGTATTCTGCATGATACTGAAATATTTATGCATTAACCTAATAAAAAAATGCACAGAATCTTTAAGGAGAAAAACCTGAAATTCTAATATATAGATTTTGTTTAAAAAGGCTTGAATACATAAATAGTGAGATAATGTCTTAACCTTGAAGGAATGTAAATTTTCTGTTACATGATCTAACTATGCATTGCAATTTCAGTAAAAATTCCAGCCCAATTATTTTGGAACTTGAGAAACTTGATTCTTAACTTTTAAGGAAGAATAAAAATCCATGATCTGCTAAGACAATCTTGAAAGAGGACAAAGGGAACTCTTATTCAACAGGCATTAAAACGGATTACAAAGGCATAGTAATTAAAATAAGGTGATATTGGTACAGAAAAACAGGTAAGTGGAATAGTTTGGAGAGTACAGCATAAACTCAGTTATATATGGTAACATATAATATTTCTGTGATAGGAAGGGATTTCTCATGACCTCCAAATCATAAGCTGAAAGGTGAGACGTGATGGATTTTGACTACACCAAAATGAAAAAATGTTGCTTTGCTACAGACAAAATTAACATATGAGTGATAAGCTAGAAGATATTATCCATGTTTTAAATGAACAAAAGGCTATAACTAGAATACACAAGGAGCTTCTGAAAATCAGCACAAAAGAGAAAGAGATAGGAAACCGAATTTAAAAAATAATGGGCAGCCGGGTGCGGTGGCTCATGCCTGTAATCCCAGCACTTTGGGAGGCCAAGGCGGGCAGATCATTTGAGGTCAGGAGTTCGAGACCAGCCTGGTCAACATGATGAAACCCTGTCTCTACTAAAAATACAAAAAAAAAAAAAAAAAAAAAAATGAACCGGGGGTGTGGTGGTGTGCACCTGTAATCCCAGCTGCTCTGGAGGCTGAGGCACAAGAATCGCTTGAACCCAGGAGGCGGAGGTTGCAATAAGCTGAGATGGCGCCAATGCACTCCAGCCTGGGTGACATGGTGAGACCCTGTCTCAAAATAATAATAATAATAGTAATGATAATGGGCCAGATATATATATGCCGTTCACAGAAAGAAAAATCAGAATGACTGAGGTATCCAGAGAGGCTCATTCTCACTGGCAGTCAGAAGAAGGCAAGGGGAAGGAATGAGATGTCACATTGCCCCACGAGCTGATACAACTCAGCAAGCCAGATGATGTGAAGTGCTGGCGTGGATGGATGAGAGAGGGAGTCCCATGCACTTGTGAGTGAGTGTGTGGCCAGTTACAGTGAAATTAAATACGTGTATACTTTTGCAGAGCTAGGACCAGGGAGAGGAAGGGAGGTGCTTGGGCACACACGTAAGGAAGCACTTACTGTCAGGGTCGACCCCACCCCTTATAAAGCCCTGAAAGTGAGGGCTTTCTTAGTTTTTTTGTTTGTTTTTGAGACAGAGTCTTGCTCTGTCACCCAGCCTGGATTGCAGTGGTGTGATCTCGGTTCACTGCAACCTCTGCCTCCAGGGTTCAAGTGATTCTCATGCTTTAGCCTCCGGAGTAGCTGGGATTACAGGCGTGCATCACACCGAGCTAATTTTTGTATTTTTAGTAGAGACCGGGTTTCACCATGTTGGCCAGGCTGGTCTAGAACTCCTGACCTCAGGTGATTCTCCTGCCTCAGCCTCCCAAAGTGCTGGGATAGCAGGCTTGAGCCACCGCACCGGGTCTGTTCTTAAATTTTATACCTTAGGTGCCGCATTGCCTTGCCCTAGGCCCAGCCCTGTACGTTCCGCACAGTTTCACTCTTGGTTATGTACCTAAAGAGACTTCATCAGAGGTCCACAGCGTTGCTTATGACGTAGGTATCCCCCAGAGGGACCTGGACAGGTAGAACTTGGTACATGAAGACAATGACAAGTATTTTTACAGAGGGCAGGGATTCCCTAGCGCTTGGCCTCTGGGAAGGAGTTTGGGGAACTTGGTGAAAGACAGCTGAGAGCAAAATACAAAATGACTTTGTTCCAGCTTCTCAGAAGTGAGACCAGAGATGACATTTGCATCTGCCTTGGAGCGTTTTGTAGATTTCTGAGCCTTTGTCACTGATCCTCCTGCCTTGCCCCCAATAAATGCCTTTGAATTTAGGTAGAAAGAAAGTTGGAAGACGCCCGCAGGGTGTCTAAGAAGGGTTAGGCATATTTTCACTATGCCTATAAGGAAGCAGAGGTCAGATAAGGAGGCAGAAACTGGAGAATTCCAGATCCTGCTCCTCTGTCAAGGCAGAAAGGATTTAGAGGGCACAGCTTGGACTTTGGAGTTTACATATATTCCATTCCCTTTTCTACTCTCTAGAGATGAGAACTTGGGCAGGAAACCCAGCCACAGTGAACTTTGGTGTTCTTCCCAGTGAGATGGGAATAATAATAAGGCCTAACTCAGAATTGGTGTTAGGAGTCAAAGGAGAAAGGATATCTGAAACCACTTATCTTCCTCCCTCCTCTTCTGTCAAACAGCATAGACAAATGGAGATTCCCTGACTTTAAAAACAAAACAAAACATTTTTCAGTCATGGGACAGCAGTCTAGGGGCCTTTAGGAAGAAACTGAGGACCAAAGGATGCAACTGAGTACTGTCAGCTCAAGTGGCAAATGAAGTCATCAGCTCCAGGTAGTTCAAGTCCCAGCCCCACCTGGCTTTGAGGTGAGGTTGTGCTTTGAGCCGGTACCATTTTGGATGTTGCTCAGCTCTGGAATGAGAGGTGGGGTAGGAAGGGTGTGATGGTTAATTTTAGGTGTCAACCTCACTGGGTAGGAGAAGCCCAGAAAGCTGGGGAAACACTGTTTCTGTGTATGCCTGTGAGATTGTTTCTGGAAGAGACTAGCATTAGAATCAAGAGACTGAGTAAAGGAAGTGTGCCCTCACCAATGTGGGCAAGCATCATCCAATCTATTGAGGACCCAGATAGAACAAAAATGCAGAGGAAGGGTGAATTCTCTCTCCTTGAGCTGAGACATCCATCTTTAGTTCCCGGACATCAGACATTGGAGTTCCTGGTTCACAGGCCTTCACGCTCTTTGTTGAAAGAATTTTTTTTTTTTTTTGAGATGGAGCCTCACTCTGTCACCCAAGCCGGAGTGCAGTGGCACGATCTCAGCTCACTGCAACCTCTGCCTCCTGGGTTCAAGCGATCTTCTGCCTCAGCCTCCCCAGTAGCTGGGATTACTGGCACCTGCCACTGCACCCAACTAATTTTTGTATTTTTAGTAGAGACGGGGTTTCACCATATTCGCCAGGCTAGTCTTGAACTCTTGACCTCAGATGATCTGCCCATCACTGCCTCCCAAAGCGCTGGGATTACAGGCATGAGCCACCACACCCAGCCTGTTGAAAGAAATTAAGGAAGACCTAAATAAATGGAGATATACATCTATACCATGTTCATGAATTGGAAGACTTGGTATTGTTAAAATGTCAGTTCTTCCCAAATTGATCTATAGCTTCAGTGCAATGGTGAGAGTTACACCATTGGCTTCCTGGGTTCTCAGGACTTTGGACATAGACTGAATTACCCCATTGTCTTTCCTGGATCTCCAACTCACAGATAGCAGGTCATGGGACTTCTCAGCCTCCATAACTGCATGAGCCAATTCCCATAATAAATCTCCTCTTTTTTTTTTTCTTTTTTTTGAGATGGAGTTTCTCTCTGTTGTCCAGGCTGGAGTGCAGTGGCGCAGTCTCGGCTCACTGCAACCTCTGCCTCCCAGGTTCAAGCAATTCTCCTGCCTCAGCCTCCCGAGTAACTGGGACTATAGGCGTGCGCCACCACGGCCAGCTAATTTTGTATTTTTAGTAGCGATGGGGTTTCACCATGTTGGTCAGGCTGGTCTTGAACTCCTGACCTCAGATGTTCCTCCTGCCTCAGCCTCCCAAAGTGCTGGTATTACAGGTGGGAGCCACCATGCCCGGCCCCATACTACTTTGATTAGTATAGCTTTATAATAAATCTTGAAATCAAGTAGTGAAAGTTCTCCAAATTTGTCTATCTTTTTAAAAAATAGCTTTAGCCATTTTAAATCTTTTGCATGTTCTCTCTCTCTTTTTTTTTTTTTTTTTTTTTTGACAGAACGAAGCTGTAATGCATTCTCATTTAAATTTTAACATCAGCTTGTCATATGCTACCAACAAAGCCTGCTGGGATATAGATTGGGATTGCACTGAAGCTGTAGATCAATTTGGGAAGAGCTACATTTTAAAAATATTGAGTCTTCCAATTCATGAACATGGTATAGATGTATATCTCCACTTATTTAGGTCTTCCTTAATTAATTAATTAATTAACCTTGTTTCTTTTTATGAGATGGAGTATCACTCTGTTGCCCAGGCTAGAGTGCAGTGGCACGATTTGTGCTCACTGCAACCCCCTCCTCCTGGGTTCACACAATTCTCCTGCCTTGGCCTCCTGAGTAGCTGGGATTATAGGTGTGTGCCACCACACCTGGCTAATTTTTGTATTTGTAGTAGAGACGAGGTTTTGCCATATTGACCAGGCTGGTCTCGAACTCCTGACCTCAGGTGATCCGCCCGCCTCAGTCTCCCAAAGTGCTGAGATTACATGCGTGAGCCACTACCCCTGGCCCTTCATTTCTTTAAATGATGTTTTGTATGTTTTGGCATACCAATCATAAACATATTTTGTTAGATTCATCCCTAAGAATTTCACTATTGATTTATTTACTTGTTTATTTTTAGAGTTGCTGTGTCACCCAGGGTGGAGTGCAGTGGCGTGACCATGGTTCCCTGCAGCCTGGAGGCCCTGGGATTCAGTGATCCTCCCACCTCAGCCTCCCCAGTAGCTGAGACTATGGGCACACTCCCTCATGCCTGGCTGATATTTCATTCTTCAAGTGTCATTTTAAATGGTATTGATTTTAAAATTTCAGTTTCTAGTCACTTCTATTTATTTTATTTTTGATACATTCTTTCAGATTTTCCACACAGATTTGACCCTGGGGTTTGGGTATCAGTCACATTTTCCTGTGCCCAAGAGATGGGGAGGATGTTTCTCAAGGGAGGACTTGCACACTTGATGGGGCCTCTTACTCTGCAAGAGCAGGATGAACAGGGGCTAGTGTGGTCTGGTAACTGCGACTCAGGTGGAAGCATGGCTTTCTCAGCTGATGCCTACAAGTGTAGATGTCTCAACTGTAACCAGTGGATTTCCACATCAGAGAGCAACAAGTCTTGTTTCTCATAGTTTCTAGTTCTCTGCTGAGAATAGTTGTCTTTTTATACATATTGATCAGAGTTTCCTTTGTATTCATCTGTGTAGTTATGAGAGCTGCCCTAAAGTTACCATCTGCTAGTTTCATCACCACAGGTCACTTTTTATGTCGTATCCATTGGTTTTCTTTTCTCTGGAGTTTGGGTCTTGTTTTCCTGTTTTCACATGTCTGGTAATTTTGGATTTTATCCTGGATGTTGCCATGACATGTTGCAGAGACTCTGGACTCTTTATACTTTAAAGAGTATTGGTTCTTCCCCCACCCCAGCTTTATTAAGGTATAGTTGATATATAAAAATCATAGATATTTACAACATGATGGGTTTTTAAAAAAATTTTTATTTTTGGTTTGGGGGCACATGTGAAGGTTTGTTACACAGATAAACAGGGTTTATTGTACAACAAATGGGGGTTTATTATACATATTATTACATCACCCAGGTATTAAGCCCAGTACCCAATAGTTATCTTTTTTTGCTCCTCTCCCGCCTCCCATTCTCCCCCTCAGTGTCTGTTGTTTCCTTCTTCTTTGTGTTCATAAGTTCTCATCATTTAGCTCCCAACATGATGTTTCGGTATCTGTATACATTGTAAAATGATTCCACCAAGTTAATCAACATATCTACCACCTCATATGCTTATCGTTTTTTTTGTGTGTGTGTGGTGAGAACGTTTAAGATCTACTGTCATAGCAATTTTTAAATATGAAGAGTATTGATTTTTTTGTTTAAGTAGGCAATTAACTTGGCTAAACTTAACATGTAAACTCTCTCTCCCCTATAGAGGATGACAGTTGAAATCTGAAGTTCATTTAGCCTTAACTGCTGCTTAATGACTTCCTCACTCATACCTGATTCTGGAGTTGGCAAGAGATTTGTGCATTTTATACATGGATTTGGGGACTCCCCTTCTGTGGCTCTTTTTTTTTTTTTGAGATGGAGTCTAGCTCTGTTGCCCAGGCTGGAGTGCAGTGGCATGATCTCGGCTCACTGCAACCTCTGCCTCCTGGGTTCAAGTGATTCTCCTGCCTTGACCTCCTGAGTAGCTGGGATTACAGGTGCCCTCCACCAGGTCCAGCTAATGTTCGTAATTTTAGTAGAGACGGAGTTTCACCATGTTGGCCAGGCTGGTCTTGAACTCCTGACCTCGTGATCCACCCGCCTCGGCCTCCCAAAGTGCTGGGATTACAAGCGTAAGCCACTGCGCATGGCTTTTCTCTCTCTTTTTATTTTTTTTTTTTAGAAATTTCGCCAGTCGTTTTTGTTTTTTGTTTTTAGTTTCTGTAATTACAGTGACCTTTAGTTTTTCAAGCCAGTAAGTTTGTTTGTTTGTTTTTTCTTTTTTGAGATGGAATCTCACTCTGTCACCCAGGCTGGAGTTCAGTGGCTCGATTTCAGCTCACTGTAACCTCCACCTCCCGGGTTCAAGAGATTCTCCTGCCTAAGCCTCCCTGGTAGCTGGGATTGCAAGCACGCGCCATCATGTTCGGCTAATTTTTGTATTTTTAGTAGAGATGGGGTTTCACCATGTTGGCCAGGCTGGTCTCGAACTCCTGAGCTCAAGTGATCCCCCCGCCTCAGCCTCCCAAAGTGCTGGGATTACAGGTGTGAGCCACCGTGCCCAGCGCAATAAGACTTTTCTACCCAAGAATTTCTATCTGAGTCCTGCATGGAGTAGTCCTGAATGGCTCAGATCCATCAGAAGGGAAACTTGCCCAGTGCTGTTCTCTTCTAAGTATTGATTCTCCTGCAGTATCTGCCTTTTTGTTGCTGTCTGGGGACTTCAGTTACTGTTCGGATTTGTGGCTGTTAGCTCCGGAAGGGTTGATCAGATATTAGGTAGTTGACCATGACAAGAGCAGGACCTCTGAGCAACGACGCTGTCAACAGTGCCATGACTCTGTTAGTCCTTGAAACTCAGAAGGAGGAAGAGGGTGGGGAGGAAAGTCTAAACTGGCTGAATTTAAATCTGAAATGACTGAACAAAGCTCAAAGTTTCTGAGAAAACCACCATCTGACTAGATTGACTCTTCGGCCATCGTGTAAAATTTTCAGTTATAGAATGGTAGAGAAAAGTGCATTTTCCCATCTACATCTTGTGGCCTGAAAATATCTTCCCTCCTGCATATAGGAAGGAAAAACCTTGAAAATGGTGGATGTGGGATCGGGGAGAGGCTGGATGAAAAGTAGTTATATCTTCCAGGTACTGAGTTTTCTCATGCATAGAATGGTGGGGTTGAGGGAAGTCTAGAAGATTCCAAAGTCTGTTCTCGCTCGCACACTTACACTAAGTGCTTTTTACGAACTTCTGAGGCCACAAACTTCTGCCCTGACAAGAGTCTCTCCCTGTGAAAAAGGGGTGGAAGTCCAGTGCTGGAGATGCCTTCCAAGGCTGTAGGCGCCCCTCCACCGCTTCTGAGGCCCTGCCTCTCTCAGGTCCCAGGTCTCTGTCAGAGGAGTTTTGGGGCAGAGCCGGAGCTGTTGAAGGGTGGGGCAGCCAGACATTCCCCAGAGCTCTTTCCTGTCCAGATTCGATCAGACCTGTGGCTTTTTCAGGAGAGGACAGTCAGGCCCTTGGGCAGCTGAACCTGATCAGCTTCCCTTACTCTACCTTATTTCTTCCTTTAATATTTTTATTTCTTTTTAGAACTTCAGTTCCTGTCCCTGCTTAGGAGAGGGGAGTTGTCCATTAGACAGAATCTACATCTACCCTAGATTCTTCTATCACTAGTTTTTTTTTTTTCCCAAGTCTAGCTTAGCAGTAAGCTCTAAGGTCCCAGCCTAGCAAGGCTGCTGGGAGAAAGACAGCCTCTTTCCCAGGAATTCCAGCAAAAGTCTCAGGGCTGAGCCTCATTAATCTGTCTTCGGTCATGTGACCATCCCTGAGCCAGTCCCGGAGGCTGGGGAGATGAAGGGCCCTGATTGGCCAGCCCTGGTCATGGCCACCCCTAAAGTCAGGGCCAGAGGTAACTCCATCCCAATCACCTGGACAGAAGGGGGCTTCCCCAAGGATGAGGGCGGGACTGTTACCAAGATAAGGGAGATGCATGCTGGGAGGATGAAATCAACAGACTTCCACAACATAAGTTTTTCTCAAAGTTCCGGATCCAGGATTCACGAGTGTTGCTTGCCCTGTGCCAGGCACTTCCTTTACCTTTTGTATCTAGTTATTTTATCCCAAGAGATCATGTTGTTCCAGACAGGGAACTGAGCTTAGAAAGAGGAAGGGCCTTTCCCAAGCCGATGGCACAGGGTCTGCACTTCCTGCCTGGGAAGCAGGCCTGGGGCTTCCCACGTGGCCTGACCCCTCTCATCTGACACCTGCCCCCCACTCCCTCCCCTCTGCCTGCAAAACTGACATGAGGAGACTGCTTGTGTTTCCAGAAAGAGGGGAATTGGCAATAGCCATGAGTTGAGACGACTTGATAAAATATTTCTTGTTTTCTCGAGTTTACATAGACCAAGTTTTCACTGTTGCTATGGGGTGGGTTGGCAGAGAGATGAAAATAAATCTGTGTAATTTATTTTTTCTCTGAGTGGAGTATATTTCTGCTGGCTTCATACACATGCACACACGCGCGCGCACGTGCACACACACATGCCCGCACATACAGGCTTTCATAAAATACTTAAACCCCTCTAATGCTCTCTGTGGAAGGAATAAATATGTACTGTACTTTCAACTTGTGTTCTCTGAAATACCATATGGTCTGCACTGTGAGCTTAAAATACTCTAGTGAGCGGATGCTTTCATGCAGCAGATAGCCAGGTGGAGCTCTCCCTGCCAATCTTACAACGTTAATTAATCCTTTAAAATAGAGCGTGGAGGGGTCCCTGCGTCAGAAACGGGTGCTGTGTGAGGGAAGTAGCCCGGTGGCCTGCACCGGGGCTGAGCAGAGAGTACAAAGGCGGTGGGAAGGTGGGCTAGGCCGGGAGCACCCCTGCTGCCTGACGGCGCCTTTGATGAGCCCGCTCAGTCACTCAGATACTCACAGTTTGCATTCTGCATAATCAGTCTAACAGGCTGATGGTTTGCATGAATATCTAAGTTTGTCATTGTGGTTAATTTTTCCTCAAAAAGAGGCCCCCTATCTCTCTGGCCCAATGCATATTTATAAAGGGCAGGGAAGTCAGGCAGAGGATGCTGGATGAAGGGGCGGCTCAGGGAGGGGGCCCCGTGGCCGGTCCCTGAAGCCTGGGAGGCCAGGCTCCTGCCAGAGCTGGTGGCTCAGAGAAGGGTGCAGAGCTCCTCAGAGCCTGGAGGGAAGGAACTGCAGGGAGAGGGGACAGCCTGGTTTGCAAGGCCCCATTTGGGCTAGCCTCTTCCCTGCTCCAGGCCTCAGTTTCCTTATCCATACAAGGAGCATGTGGGCCACTTGATCCAGGCCTCAGGGTCCCAAAGGAACTATCCTCTCCAAATGAGGTTACACAGAGTCAGAGAGGGGAGGGAGAGAGGCTCACATCCATTCAACAACTTTATTATTTATTTATTTATCTACTTTTCTTTGAGATGGAGTTTTGCTCTTGTCGCCCAGGCTGGAGTGCAATGGCTCAATCTCGGCTCACTGCAACCTCTGCCTCCCAGGTTCAAGTGATTCCTGCCTCAGCCTCCCGAATAGCTTGTATTACAGGCGCCCGCCACCACGCCCAGCTAATTTTTTGTATTTTTAGTAGAGACGGGGTTTCACTATGTTGGCCAGGCTGGTTCCAAACTCCTGACCTCAAGTGATCCACCCGCCTTGGCCTCCCAAAGTGCTGAGATTACAGGCATGAGCCACCATGCCCTTGTTAAGCTGTTAAGCTTACTTAACAACTTTAGTGGTGTGACTCCTTCCCAGAGCACCTGTGGTGCTCCACGACCAAGTATTTTTATAGGTTAAAAACTCCAGTTATCTTGTAAAAAACGTAATTGCATTATGTTGTATATATTTTGGTGTAAAAAGCATTAAATTGCTCGTTTTAAATAGGCTACGGTTATTTTTGTTTTCTTTTGTATTTTGTTTTTGTGTTTGACACAGGGTCTTGCTCTGTCACCCAGGTTAGAGTGCAGTGGTGCAATCATAGCTCACTGCAGCCTTAACCTCCTGAGCCCAAGCAATCCTCCCACCTCTGCCTCCTGAGTGGTCATGACCACAGGTGTGCACCACAATGCCAGGCTGATTTTTTTTTTTTTTGAGACAGAGTGTTGCTCTGTTGCCCAGGCTAGAGTGCAGTGGCATGATCTCGGCTCACTGCAACCTACGACTCCGTGGTTCAAGCAATTATCGTGCCTCAGTCTCCCGAGTAGCTGGGATTACAGGCATGCACCACACCCAGCTAATTTTTGTATTTTTAGTAGAGACAGGGTTTCACCATGTTGGCCAGGCTGGTGTCAAACTCCTGGCCTCAAGTGATCTGCCTGCCTCGGCCTCCCAAAGTGCTGGGATTACAGGTGTGAACCACTGTTCCGGCCTGAGCCACTGTGCCTGGCCCTGGCTAATTTTTAAATTATTTGTAGAGATAGGGATCTCTCTATGTTGCTCAGGATGGTTTTGATCTCCAGTGCTCAAGTGATTCTCCTGCCTCGACCTCCCAAAGTGCCGGAATTACAGGTGTGAGTTACCGCGCCCAGCCAGCTATGGTTTTTGTAACCTTGTTTTGGCATTTTTTTTCTGACTCGTCAAAGAATATTTCGGCAACTTTGGAGTGGCCAGGCTTCCCTTTCCCATGCGCAGCAGGAAGTCCAGGTGGGAATGGGGAGAGGCTGGGAGATCCCTCAGGTCGGCGGCTTTCAGAGCTCTCCAGGCCACGCCTCTCAGTGGCCAGCAGGTGGCAGTTCTGAGCCTTCCACCTGGCCACCCTCCTTCCTCCACCCCCGGGGTGCCCGTCCCCCCAGTCCACATACCACAGAGTCCCAGGTGGCTGGAGAGAGCTCCTGGCTTCCAGGCCCTGGGCCATTCTGAGAAGCTGGATGAGGCAGCCTAGTGGCCATCCAGCTGCCCCTGCCTGGGACTGCCTGCCTACCCCTTCCCATCCTTGGCTCCATGCTAAAGGAAGGTGGGCTTCCTGGAGGAGCTGACATCTTAAGTGAGACCTGCAGGACAATAAAGGATTTCAGGCAGAGGGAACGGAATATGCCCAAATCCAGAGAATCCAGACCCTGTGCTTTCAGGAACTGGCAGGAGGCTGATGTGGCTAGAATGCAGACTGTTGGGCTTGGGAGAGGGACTAGGGAGGCCAGGTAATGCTTGGCACTCTGGGAGCAGCAGGACCAGGGCAGCCCGAGTCTAGACATTATCTTGAGGGCAGTAAGGAGCCCTCAGCCCATTCTAACCCATCAGAGTTGGCCTCCGGAAGGATCGCCATGGCTGCAAACTGCCTAGCCTCTCATCGCCCCTCACCCGCTGTCACTCACACACCTGGGCCTCCTACCGTGCTGGCCAGGAAAGAGCTGCAAGTCCTCGGGCCCGAGGCTCGGCAGGCAGCCGACCTACCTTGCAGTCCTCAGGAGAAGCTGTCCAGGAACCCCACCCTCCTGAGCTCCCGGGGCTTTGGTGGGGAAGGGAGCCTCCCAGGGTCCCGGAGCACTAAACAAAAAGGAGCTGAAGGTCACCACACTTTGGCCATTTGCAGGGAGCCCTTCCCCACACAGGGGCGGCATGTTCCCTTGTGGCTGCCAGGGAGCCCCCAACACCCCTGGGAAGATGGCAGGTCGAGGGGAGGGGACATGGCCTGAAAACAAGGAAGCAGTCTGCAATGGGGAGATGTGGGGCATGGGGCTGTTTTAGACAGAGGAGGCGGCAGGTGCGCGTATGTAGGTTTGAGGTAGATTTTGCTACCCAGGAAATGGGCTCTTGCCTCTTCCACCTGCCTGTGAACTGGCCCTGGGACCCAGCAGGAGAGGCTCCCCTGAGTGACTTGTGACATTCTTTTTTTTTTTTTTTTTTGAGATAAGTCTCATTCTGTTGCCCAGGCTGGAGTGCAGTGGTGCGATCTCAGCTCACTGCAATCTCCATGTCCTGGGTTCAAGCAATTCTCCTGCTTCAGCCTCCCGAGTAGCTAGGATTACAGATTACAGATGTGTGCCACCAAGCCTGGCTAATTTTTGTATTTTTAGTAGAGATAGGGTTTCACCATGTTGGCCAGGCTGGTCTCGAACTCCTGACCCCAGGCGATTCGCCTGCATCGGCCTCCCAAAGTGCTGGGATTACAGGGGTAAGCCACCTTCCCCGGCCAACACATGGTGTTCTGAAACAGCACAGCCTAGTGTAACCTCAATTGGTAATTAATTAATTACACTCCCCAGGTGTCTCCTGGAGTCCTTCCTGTAGGGGAGGGGAGGCTGAGGCTGCAGAGGCCCCATTCAGAGGGCTGTTGAATGACTCATGGCTGTTGAGAAGTAATGTCCACTAAATAACATCTGATTCTGTATTTAACATTTAAATATTTAATTAACTAAATGGGCCAAATATTTAATCAAGCACCATCAAAGCCACTGTGAGCCTCCACTTTGCATAATTCCAAGGCAGGCCAGCTTCCCTCCGAGTCCCCATCCTCATCCTGACAGTGCTATCAGTGCCCCTGCCTGGTGGGAAACATACCCATTCTGGTACCCAATTCTTTTTTTTTCAGAGACAAAATCTCACTATATTGCCCAGGCTGGTTTCAATTTGCCCAGGCTGGTTTCAAACTCCTGCACTCAGGCAATCCGCCTGCCTCGGTCTCCCAAAGCACTGGGATTACAGGTGTGAGTCACTGTACCCATCCATCCGATACCACATTCCGAGACTCAGGGCATCTCATGTCCTAGGCAAAGTTGCTTGTTTGCTTTTGTTTTGTTTTGTTTGTTTTTGAGTCAGGGTCTCTCTCTGCTGCCTAGGCTGGATTGCAGTGGTGCGATCTCGGTCCATTGCAACCTCTGCGTCCTGGGCTCAAGCGATTCTCCTGCCTCAGCCTCCTGAGTAGCTGGGATTACAGGCGCGCACCACCATGCCTGGCTAATTTTTGTATTTTTAGTAGAGATGGGGTTTCACCATGTTGCCCAGGCTGGTCTCCAACTTCTGGCCTCAAGTGATCCGCCTGCCTCGGCCTCCCAAAGTGCTGGGATTACAGGTGTGACCAACCGCACCCCACCACAGTTGTTTGATTAGACTCCAGGTTTGCTATGCTGGAGATAGAGTTCCCCCCATGGCCACCCTTTCCTCTCCTCTTTCTCTTTCCTCCCCAAGTAGACACAATTGAGACTGGCTGCTGGGTTCCCCTGGAGGCAGTGTGGTACCAGTCTTCCTGCCTCTGATGACAGATTCAGGCCTTGACAACAGGGGTGAACATGTGACCCAGTCTGGACCAATCAGAATTCTTCTCCAGGATTTTTGTAACTGGAGTTAAAGGCGGGAAGACTTTTTTGAGCTGGACTTGCTCTGTCACCCAGGCTGGAATGCAGTGGCACAATCATGGCTCACCGCAGCGTCAACCTCCTGGGCTCCAGTGATCCTCTTGCCTCAGCCTCCTGAGTAGCTGGGACTATAGGCAAGCACCACTGTGCCCGGCTAATTTTTTTTATACAGACGGGATCTTACTATATTCCCAGAGATGGTCCCATGGTGTCCTAATCTCTGCATCCAGCTGTTCCTGAAGATGGGCCTACCCTGATCTTTCTATGGGAGGGCAGGTGAACCAATAAGTGCCCTATGTCTTTAAGCCAGTGGAAATCAGTTTTCTATCACTTGTATCCAAAAGTGCCCTGACCAATACCTACTCCACCATTATAGTCATGTAGCTTATGTGCAAATAAAATGACTTTTAATTATTTAACTGTAAATAATACTTGTGTTAGATTAGTGCAAAATCTTTGTGCATTTACTTTTCAGCCAAAACCACAATTACTTTTGCACCAATCTAATATCTAATAGCTCATAGCTCATATTCCTACCAGTAAGTTTTTTTGTTTTTGTTTTTGTTTTTTTTTTTTTTTTGGAGACAGAGTCTTGCTCTGTCGTCTAGGCTGGAGTGCAGTGGCGCCATCTCAGCTCACTGCAACCTCCTCCTCCCGGGTTCAAGCAATTCTCCTGCCTCAGTCTCCTGAGTAGCTGGGACTACAGGTGCGCGCCACCACACCCAGCTAATTTTTGTATTTTTAGTAGAGATAGGATTTCACCATATTGGCCAGGCTGCTCTCAAACTCCTGACCTCGTGATCTGCCCGCCTCGGCCTCCAAAAGTACTGAGATTACTGGCGTGAGCCACCACGCCTGGCAGCAAGGTATGTTTAGGTTTCCTTGAATATGTCCTCGGCTCTTCAGAATGAAGGGAGGATCTGAGCCTGGAAGGATGGGTCCCTCTGACACCTGCTATCCTGCTGATGAGGTCAGCGTGCTTCTGGAACTGCTGAATCCTGGGGCTCTGGTGACGTCACCATCTCTCTCTCCCTCTTCCTCTCCCCCCACCATGCCTCACCACACCCCACCTCTTCCTGGGCTTTGCTTTTCATTATATTGGCTTCGTTATCCTGCAAGTGTTCTTCCAGTTGTAGCCCCAGCAGCTCCAGGCTTACACTGTCCTTGCGAGAAATCCCTGTGGAAGAGGGCAGTTTTTTTTCCCAATAGAACCACAAAGGTGGCTAGGCGCGGTGGCTCACGCCTGTAATCCCAGCACTTTGGGAGGCTGAGGCGTGTGGATCATCTGAGATCAGGAGTTCGAGACCAGCCTGGCCAACATGGTGAAACCCCATCTCTACTAGAAATACAAAATTAGCTGGGCGTGGTGGTAGGTGCCTGTAATCCCAGCTACTTGGGAGTCTGAGGCAGGAGAATCGCTTGAACCCGGGAGGCGGAGGTTGCAGTGAGCTGAGATCGCGCCATTGCACTCCAGCCTGGGCAACAAGAGTGAAACTCCATCTCAAAACAAAAAACAAAAAACAAAAACAAAAAAACCCACAAAGGTCCCAGGAAAGGCTCTGATTGGATAGACTTGGGTTATGTGCCCATTCCTGAACAAATCACCGTGGCCACAGGGAGAATACATGCATTGGCTCAGCTGAGCAACGTGCCAGGCAGAGGGGGAAATGGAGGAAGGAGCACTGAGAGAGGGGTGGTTCCCTAGGAAAAGTTCCTGTGGTGCTGTTGACCACAGGAAGAGTGAGGGGAGCTGGCCAGTCCAGTGACACCCTGCCTAGGAAGCTTCTCTACCCTGGAGACTTCACCCTGCAGAGGGTGCCCTCTGGGTGCTAGA
This sequence comes from Homo sapiens, assembly GCF_000001405.40. Lineage (NCBI taxonomy): Eukaryota > Metazoa > Chordata > Mammalia > Primates > Hominidae > Homo > Homo sapiens. The sequence goes on from NC_000019.10 coordinate 29,862,588, forward strand.
AATGGAGGTGGGACTGCTGCAGGAGGGGAGGAAGCATGAGGAATGTGTGTGTTCCACAGTCTAGAGAAGCACCAGGGCTATCACTGCTTATCCTTCCCCTTGTGGCAGAGAGTGGGTGGGAGGGTATTTCTATGCAGGCAGTTATATAGTGTGGACTGAAGGGGACAGGGAGAAAGCACCAAGAAAGCCCTTACTGTATACAGGACAGTCACTCTGAGAGACTTGGGGCACAATTACTTACTGAGCTGCCCAGGGAATTCCCTGCATTTTGGCCATTACCATCCAAGACTTCGTGAATCCATTTTCTTGCTGGTGGGAGCATAAATTGTTACAACCAGCCTTCACGGGGGGCAACGTGGCAACATTGATTACATTTAAAAATGCACAGACTCCCAGCACTTTGAGAGGCCGAGATGGGCAGATCACTGAGGTCAGGAGTTTGAGACCAGCCTGGTCAACATGAGGAAATCCTGTCTCTACTAAAGATACAAAAATTAGCCAGGTGTGGTGGCATGCACCTGTAATCCCAGCTATTCAGGAGGCTGAAGCAGGAGAATCACTTTAACTTGGGAGGTGGAGGTTGCAGCGAGCCGAGATTGCACCACTGCACTCCAGCCTGGGCAACAGAGTGAGATTCTGGCTCAAAAAAAATAGTAATAATAGGCCAGGTACAGTGGCTCATGCCTGTAATCCCAGCACTTTGGGAGGCTGAGGCAGGCGGATCACGAGGTCAAGATATCGAGACCATCCTGGCCAACATGGTGAAACACCGTCTCTACTAAAAATACAAAAATTAGCCAGGCGTGATGGCACACGCCTGTAATCCCAGCTACTCGGGAGGCTGAAGCAGCAGAATCGCTTGAATCCGGGAGGCAGAGGTTGCAGTGAGCTGAGATCGCACCACTGCACTCTAGCCTGGCAACAGAGAGACTCCGTCTCAAAAAAAAAATATATATATATATAGTAATAATAAAAATAAAAAATAAATTAAAAAAAGAAGCTCCCTGGCAATTCTAATGTGGCCCAGACCCTCTGGTCCAGATTTCCAGCCCCTGCAGAATTCCTGGTCTCCTCTTGGCTCCACCCCAGCACACACCAAACCTGGGGTTCGGGGTGCGGCCCTTTCTCCTTGATTTCCCCTCGAAAGTGTCCTTCCCCTCCTGCTGGGTGCTGGGTGAGGCCAGCTCACGGTGGAGTGCTGGGGAAGGAGTAGCTCACCCTCACAACCGCCCATGCAGGAGCCCCTCTCTGTCCTCCCCCTGGAAAAGGGAACTTGGCATTCTGTGTAGCACTGCTGGCCTCAGGAAACCTGGTGGGCTGCATGCCCGCATGGCCTGAGAGGACACTGCCAGCACTCAGCAGAAGGGTCACGTTGGCCAGCTCACTCCCTGCCAGCCCCTGAAGTCGAAGCTGCCTGAAACTGCGGTGCTGGTTTGCCACTGCCAGGAGATGCCAGCAGCCTAATTTACATGGCTGTCCAGGGTACCCCCAGCCATGCGACAGCCAGGAAAACTGCACCCCATCTTAGAAAACTCAGGAACCTGAGGGAGGAAGTCCAAACTGAAAAACCTCAATTAGCCAGGCGTGGTGGCTTGTGTCTGTAATCCTAGCTACTCAGAGGCTGAGGCAGGAAAATTGCTTGAACTCGGGAGATGGAGGTTGCAGTGAGCCGAATCATGACACTGCACTCCAGCCTGGGCGACAGAGCGAGACTCCATCTCAAAAAAAAAAAAAGAAGAAGAAGAAAAAGAAGAAGAGGAAGAAGAGGAAGAGGAAAAGAAGAAGGAGGAGAAGGAGAAGGAGAAGAAGAAGGAGAAGATGATGAGGAGGAGGAAGAAAACAAAAAACAATACAAAACAAAACAAAACCTGTTCCAAACAGCAGGCACTGCTGAGGAAGGAAAAGAACTTTCACAAAAAAGTAAGACAGAGATGAACTGGTAGTTGCATGGTCGGGGAGGACTATCAGGAACCAAAAGAATCAAACGACTTCTCTGTTTAAAAATTCAACTGATAAACCCAGGAAGGGAATGATCACTGCTGAGAAATAAGTTGATACCATGAGAGTTCAGGTGGAAGGAAATCTCACCGCAATGCAAAACCAGAAAAAGATTTGGAGGACAAACCCTGATGATCTAACATTCAAAAAAGCAAAAGAGAAGGAAAAAAAAGATATAAAGGGAAAACGATAATCAAATAATTAATCAAAGAGCATTTTCTTCCTTTCTTTTTTTTTTTCAGAGATGGGGTCTTGCTATGTTGTTCAGGCTTGAGTTCCATGACTATTAACATGTGTGATTGTAGCATACTACAGCGTTGAAACTCCTGGGCTCAAGCAATCCTCCTGCCTCAGCTTCCCGAGTAGCTGGGTCCGTAAGCACACACCACTGTACCCAGCTCCTAATTAAAGAACATTTTCTAAGCTGGCGAAAGCCTTGATTAAAAGGGCCGATAGAGTTCCAGGAAGGATTAATTGAAAAGACATATACTTAAAACAGACCCTGGTGTAATTCCTGAATTATGAACTTCCAGACAGAAAGTAAGGTTACTTACAAAGGAAAGAAAAATCACGTTGATGTTGGCTTTGTCATCTGCCACCCTGGAAGTCAGGAGACGAATGGAACAGTGACTTCAGGGACAAGGACAGTGACCCAGGAATCCTATGTCCACAAGAGATATCATGCATACATCAGGGCAATGGCAAGAGATTTTTCTTTTTATTTTTATTTGTTTTGAGACAGGGTCTCACTCTGTCACTCAGGCTGGAGTGCCTGGTGTGATCACGGCTCACTGCAGCCTAGACTGGCTGGGCTTGAGCAATCCTCCCACCTTAGCCTCCCAAGTAGCTGGGAACACAGGTATGTGCCACTGTGCCCCACTCATTATTTTAATTTTTTTTTTTTTTTTGTAAAGACGGGTCTCACTGTGTTGCCAAAGCTGGAAGAGATTTTAAAGTATGCAAAGACTTATATCCTCTCTGGGGAAAATGCTAAATAAATACTACAGCCAAAAACAGATACACTGGGCCAGGCACGGTGGCTCACATCTGTAATCCCAGCACTTTGGGAAGCTGAGGCAGGCGGATCACTTGAGGTCAGGAGTTTGAGACCAGCCTGGCTGACATGGTGAAATCCCATCTCTACTAAAAATACAAAAATTGGCCTAGTGGCAGGTGCCTTTAATCCCAGCTACTTGGGAGGCTGAGACAGGAGAATCGCTTGAACCCTGGAGGTGGAGATTGCAATGAGCCGAGATCTCGCCATTACACTCCAGCCTGGGCAATATATCCAGACTCCATCTCAAAAAAAAAAAAAAAATAAGTCCACAAACCCTTTGATGATCGTCCCTTCAAGATGTGGATCATGGACCTTAATTTCCCTCCCTGGTAGTGTGGGACAGACCTAGTGACCCACTTCTAACCAAGAGAATCTAAGAGAGTGACAGGATGTGACTGAGGTTAAAGCATAAACGGTACGAGGAGTTCCTCTGTCTCTCATCACTTGATGTGAGGGAAGCTGTGTTGTGAACAGCCCCATAGATGCCCTTGGGACAAGGAACAGAAGTCTCCTGCCAACAGCCACATGAATGAGCTTCAAAGAGGATCCTGCAGCCTCAGCCCAGCCTCAGAGGGCTGCAGCCTTGGCCGACACCCGGTTACAGCCTCCTGAGAAACCTTGAGCTGGGACCATTTAGCAGAGCTGCTCCTGGACCTGACCCGTAGAAACTGTCAGATAACAAACATCTCTTGTTGTAAACTGCTAAGTTTTGGGGTAATTTGTTACCCTGCCATAGATAAATAATACAATCTGTAAAGAAACACAAATTTCTATGTTAACAGTGGAGAGGTACCCATTAAAGGAAATGAAAAGTATTGTGGAATTTCTGAATTAATACGGGTAAAGAATGATGAAAAACCTGAGCCAACCATCAAAGAAAAGTAAATGGGAAAGGGAAAATAACAATAATTTAGTAAGCATAAACCAGAAAAATGTAATAAAATCAGTAAACACACAATAAGATGGAAGAGGTTAAACCCATTATATATCATCTATCATTATAAATTATGAATTTTCCTATCAAATTGGAAAAAAAGAAAATTCAAGTAGATGCTGTTTATATGAGGCACATTTAAAATAAAGACACAATGAAAAGTTGAAAATTAATTGTTGAGCAAGGAGTTAATGGAAAAATGCAGACAAAAAAAGAAGCATAGTGGCAGTATGAAGATGAATCAACATGGAATCCAAGGGGCGAGGTCCTGAGCAGAGAAGGAGATTATGAAACATGGAAGTGCAATTCACAGAGAAACTAAAGTCTTCAGAAACATGTATGTACCAAATAATGTGGTAGCCAAACACATAAAGCAAAACTCCCAGGAATACACAGAGAACATGGTAAAAATATAATTATAATAGAAGGTATTTTAATACAAAGGACTAATTATCTGAGTATCTATTATTCAAGTCCCTGTAATTATAAGACTGCTTTGAAAAACAAAAGTATTCCTGGTACAATTACAGCAGCAACAATAATGATAATAAGAAATAACAAACGTTAAGCTCCTATGATGCGCCAGCCAAGGTTCTAAGTACTTTACATGTACTAACCCTTTTGGTCCTTACCACAAATTATATGTCATGATTTATTACTATCTGTTAGCCAAGATGACTATAATAATTTCTTCCATCCTTGTATATACAAACTTTTGCAATGTGACTTTATCAATTCCTCTTTTAAGAGGCAGAATGTATTTTTTTTTTTTTTTGAGATGGTGTCTCACTCTATTGCCCAGGCTGGAGTGCAGTGATGTGATCTCAGCTCACTGCAACCTCTGCCTCCCAGGTTGGAGTGATTCTCCTGCCTTAGCCTCCCAAGTAGCTGTGACTACAGGTGCACACCACACCACCATGCCCGGCTAATTTTTTTTGTATTTTTAGTAGAGATGGGTTTTTGCCGAGTTGGCCAGGCTGGTCTCCAACTCCTGATCTCAGGTGATCCATCCACCTCAGCCTCCCTAAGTGCTGTGGCGTGAGCCACTGTACCCGGCCTATTTTTATTTCTTTTTTTGAGATGGGGTCTCATTCTGTCACCCAGGTTGAAGTGCAGTGGCTCAGTCTCGGCTCACTGCAACTTCCTCCTCCCAGGCTCAAGTGGTCCTCCCACCTCAGCCTCTCAGTAGTGGGGACTACAGGTGCGAACCACCAAGCCTACCTAATTTTTCATATTTTTGTAAGAGACAGGGTTTCGCCATGTTACCCAAGCTGGTCTCAAACTCCTGAACTCAGGCAATCCAGCCCCCTCAGCCTCCCAAAGAGAATCTATTTTTATATCCATGAATCTGGTCTGGCTTTGCAACTTGCTTTGACAATGGGATGTTGTGGAAATTACTTTTTTTTTACTTGTGAGTTAGCCCTCAAGACACTGCACAGCTTCCACTCTTGGTCTCTTGGAACACTTCCACCATCGTGTGAAGAAGCCTGGGCTGGGCTGCTGAAGACCTGTAGCCAAACACCCATCATCAGACATGTGGGTGAGGCATCTTAGAACATCTGGTCCCAGCTGAGTTGCTGGATAACTATAGCTGCATTAGTAACCAAGGACAAGATCAGCAGAAGAGCCATCCAGCTGAGCCCACACCAAACTGCCACACACAGAATTGTGAGAAAACAAAATGGTTTTTGTTTAAAATTTTTGAACTGGTTTCTTTTGCAGAACTAGACAACTGAGAAACCATTCCCATTTTGCAAATGAGGAAATAGAAGCACAGGAAGGTTGAGTAATTTGCCCAAATTTTCACAGCTATGATTATGATTCTTAGTTAAGTCGTGACTTGAATCCAGTTACTAATGAATTGAGCTTTTATAAAATTATTATTCACTCAACCATTCCTCCCAGTTCACTGTTAGCATTTATCCTGGACAAATGCATCAGCATTTTTGATGGTCAGCCTCTCAATAATCGTAGAAATACCCCATAGTACAATATAATTCAAGTCAATTACAAAGTGAAACTACACATTTTGAAAAAAAAAAAAAAAAGGATTTTATGAAAGAGCAATATTGGGTGAGGTGCTGGTGGCTCATACCTGTAATCCCAACACTTTGAAAGGCCAAGGTGGGAGGATTGCTTGAGGCCACGAGTTCAAGACCAGCGTGGGCAACATAGTGAGAGCTTGTCTCAGTACATAAATAAAAATAAATGGTTTGATTATTGTGACAGAAGTTGTCAACTGTTACCCAATATTCATTCTGTTTTCACTGACATGAACCCAGTTTTGCCTAGGGTGGTAATGTACTCAGCTAAAAATCCTCTCCTCCCAGACTCTTCTGCAGCTAGGGGTAGTCGTGTGATGGTGTTTCGGCCAACGTAACATGAAAAATTCTACTTGTGGGGCTTCTGTGAAAGTTATTGCTTTCCCGATAAATAAGGGGCAGACTAAGGTGGCTCAAACCTTTTTGCCTTGAGTCATGCCCCCTTTGAACTGGAATGTGGATGAGATTCCTAGAGGTGCAGCTGCTACCTTGAGAAAGCAAATAGGAAACCTTCAGGAGGGTGAAGCGGGGGCCAGAAGGGCCACATCTGTGATGTTTTTCGTGTGCAATGGCACCAGCCCATCTGTTTGCCTTTGGATTTTTTTTGTCATATAAGAAAAATAAGCTCCTAGCTTGTTAAAGTTGCTAAATTGGGTTTCTGTCAAATGCAACCCTGACTGATACAAATAGCAAAGGATTAAGAGAGGCCCTTAGGACGATAGCTGAAGCCATCAATTACCTTTTGCAAAACACAGTAGTATTGCAGAAGTCAGATGTGAAGTGAAGGGTGTCTTGTCATGATATCACACAATTTTATTAGAAAAATTATACTTTCAAAAAGTCAACATTAGATTTATTATTTCTAAGCAAACTTTTTATTCAAGTATAACATACCTATGGGAAAGTACACTGGATTTATATTTGTCTTAAAAATGACATTGTTGCAATTATAACCTAAATTTCAGTAAATATTAGATAAAGTAAATGTCTTTTTTGTACTACTTGGTTTCATGTCTCGGTATAACATTATGCATGAAATTTTGCCCTCCCCCAAGTGGATTCACGCTAAAGTGTTTTTTCTTTTTCCTCTAATACAATTATTTTTGGATAATGATGATGACTTGTATCTCTTTCAGAAAGTAGTAGATTTCTGTAGAAAGGCCTCTGTAGGAGGCCGGGCGCAGTGGCTCACACCTGTAATGCCAGCACTTTGGTGGCCAAGGCGGGAGGATCTCAGGGAATCAAGACCAAAAAAAAAAAAAAAAAATTCTACCTGTTATCTTCTCTGATCATATCCTAGTGAAAACAGAAAGCAACAATTAAAAAAAAAATCCCTAACGCGGTGAAACCCCGTCTCTACTAAAAACACACAAAAAATTAGCCGGACATGGTGGCGGGTGCCTATAGCCCCAGCTACTCGGGAGGCTGAGGCAGGAAACTGGCATGAACCCGGGAGGTGGAGCTTGCAGTGAGCCGAGATCGCACTATTATTGCACTCCAGCCTGGGCGACAGAGGGAGACTCCGTCTCGGGGGAAAAAAAAAAAAATCCAACCCCCACCCCCACCCCCCGGCCCTCCCACTGCCCCTGCCTGCTCCCCTCAAGAATCATTGAGGAAAACAAACCCGTAATACTTACTTGGAAATTCAACCATTTCTTTTTTTCTTTTTTTTTTTTTTTTTTTTTGAGACAGAGTCTCGCTCTGTCACCCAGGCTGGAGTGCAGTGGCGCAATCTCGGCTCACTGCAACCTCCACCTCCTGGGTTCAAGCGATTCCCCTGCCTCAGTCTCCCGAGTAGCTGGGACTACAGGCGTCCGCCACCACGCCCAGCTAATTTTTTGTATTTTTAGTAGAGACGGGGTTTCACTGTGCTAGCCAGGATGGTCTCGTTCTGACCTCGTGATCTGCCCGTCTCGGCCTCCCAAAGTGTTGGGATTACAGGCATGAGCCACTGCGCCCAGCCTCAACTATTTCTTGACATGTGGATCAAAAAAGGAATTAAGGAGAAGAATTTTTTTTTTTCTGAGACAGAGTCTTACTCTGTGGCTCAGTCTGGAGTGCAGTGGCACCATCTCGGCTCACTGCAACCTCTGCCTCCTGGGATCAAGCAATTCTCTTGTCTCAGCCTCCCCAGTAGCTGGGATTACAGGCATCTGCCACCACGCCCGGCTAATTTTTGTATTTTTAGTAGAGATGGGGTTTCACCATGTTGGCCAGGCTGGTCTTGAGCTCCTGACCTCACGTGATCCACCCACCTAGGCCTCCCAAAATGCTGGAATTACAGATGTGAGCCACCATGCTTGGCCTCACAGACATTTTTAATTGTAATTAAAATTATAGTTACTTTGCAAAACATGTAACAATTTGTCATCCCACCAGCAATGACCAGGATAGGTGTCCACTTCCCCACAACCTCATCCACCTTAAATGCTAGTGTTCTTTTGAATTTTTGTCATAGTCACAGGTACTGTTCTGGCAGGAATGTTCCTGACACTTTGAGAGGCTGAGGATCTTTGCACATGCTTGTAGGATGTCTGGAGCTCCTCTTCTGTGAATTGCCTCCTCCTATCTTGGCCCATTTTTCCACGGTGTTGTTTGCCTTTTTGTTATCAGCTTGTAGAAGGCCTTTGTTTATTAAGGTCAAGGAGGCCCAGGAAGTGGAGCCAGCCTTGTGAGCAGGGAGGGTTCTTTCTGGGGCAAGGGGCAGATCAGAAGATCTGATAGAGAGCCCCCCCCCCTCCAACTACGTGCTCACAGTGTGTTCAGGACTTACAGACCACAGAGCAGGAATGTGCAGGGCTCAGGTCAGCATTAGGGTCAGGTTCTTAGGAAAAGAAAGAGCAAAAACAATGAAACACAATACAAAGTAAAGAACAAACACAGTGAGAAAATATAACATAAAATAAAATAAAGGCAGTAAGGCCCTGGGCCTGAGACCCTGAGAAAAAGCTGGTAGGTCTTAGTCCACACCCTGCCCCGTGTTTCCTTCCTTTTAAATGTCTGCAGCAAGCATTCATATTCCCGTTTAATGAAGGATCCGGCCAAACACGGTAGCTCATGCCTGTAATCCCAGCACTTTGAGAGGCCGAGGCAGGCGCATTGCTTGTGGCCAGGAGTTCGAGACCAGCCTGGCCAACATGGCGAAATCCCGTCTGTACTGCAAATATAAAAATTAAGCTTGAACCTGGGAGGCGGAGGTTGCAGTGAGCCGAGATGGCGCCACTGCACTCCAGCCTGGGCAACAGAGTGAGACTCTGTCTTAAAAAAAAAAAAAAAATTAGCCACGCGTGATATAAAAATTAGCTGGGCATGGTGGCGCGCGCCTGTAATCCCAGCTACTACTCAGGAGGCTGAGGCATGAGAATCGCTTGAACCCGGGAGGTGGAGGTTGCAGGGAGCCGAGATTACACCACTGCACTCCCTCCTGGGCGACATAGTGAGACCCTGTCTCAAAACAAAAACAAAAACAAAACAAACAAACAAAAATCCCCGTGACCCAGCCCAGAGAGGAATGACAGCCAGGAATGGAACTCGAGGTTTCATTCCACACCACAACACTGTCTTTTAATTTTTTATTGTTTTACTTCTCTTCATTGCATTTTGTTTTATTTCATTGTTTTTACCCTTTCTAAGGACTTGTGAATAAATGCGTGGAACTGCAATGTGCATACAGTAGGCGCCCAAGCGGGGGCAGTGCAGCCCCTGCTCCCCGCCCGCGGGTGCCTTCGCTGATGAGCCTGAGGCGGGCAGCCCAGCCCTCCCGCCCGTAGGCAGCCTGACTCCAGGCCAAGGGGCAGCGGAGAGCTTCGGGGCTGCGCGCAGGAGCGCACGGCCAGGTGGGCTTTTTATGGCGCGGGCCGAGGAGGTCATTCTTTTTAGTGGGCTGTACAGCGTCCACCGCGAGGCACTTTATTTTTAGCTTCTTGAAGGCTACGATGGAGCCGCCTCCTCCGCTTTCCCAGTGCTTGCCTCCACCTCCCCCTTGACGCCCGGGTGCCCGCGGCTGCTCCTGGCTGCAGTGTCCCGATCTGTGTAGTGCAGGGTCCCTCTAGAGGTCCCCGGGCACCCTCAACTCTCAGCCCCCGTCCCCTGGCGCAGAATATTCCAGCTCCCGGGTCATGGCCCTCCACCCCCACTCGAACCTCCATCCTGTTCTGCGCCCGTCCTGAATTGCTCTTTAAAATAGTAATAATAATTTCCACTTTGATTTTGGATTCGTTGGGGGGGGGGGGGTTACACGTGCAGATTTGTTACACGGGTGTACTGTGAGGTTTGGGGTACGAATGATCCCGTTACCTAGATAGTGAGCATGGAACCCAGTAGGTGGTTTTTCAGCCCTTGCTTCGCCCACACCCCGTGGTAGTCCCCAGTGTCCGCTGGTCCATCTTTGTGCCCCCGTGCAATGCGTTGCCCTTGACGGGCCAGGTGATCTCCCCGAGGTGGGAGCCTGGCCACCCTCCCCCATTCTGCAGCCTTCACCTCCAACACCCAGCCAGGGCCAGCTCAGAGGCGCCCTGACTTGCCCACGGGGCCTGCACCCATGCTCGCCCAAACCCCTCGCATCCAGCACTGCAGGCCGGGTTCTGAGCGTCGTCGGGCGTGGTGGAGCTCGGCGGGGCCCAGCGCGGGCCTTGCCGCGGGGACACAGGGCAGGGTCGCGCTCTGCCCTCTGCCGCCACTCCAGGTCAGCATCCTCAGGGCTCGCGTGGGTGACGGCCCGTCTCGTAGCGGGGGTGAGCTGGGCTGGTCCGAGGGGTCTCCGCGGCCTCCCCAGCCACAGTCCCCGCCCGCTCCGCGCCCTCCCCGCGGGGTCGATGGCTGGGGGACCCGGCTCCGGCCCAAGCCAATCAGTCCTTCCTGAGCAGCGTGAGGTGGCTGCCCGAGGGCGGGCGGGGTGCTGCTCTGGCGGGCTCCTGGAGGCCTGGGTGGCGCAGCCCGGGGGAGCGGAGGGAGGAGGCGGCCCTGAGACCGAGCCGCGCGGCGGGTGGGCTCCCCTGACCCCGCTCCGACCCGGCCCCGCGCCCTCCCGGCCGCTCGATCGCAAAGCGTCTGCTGCCATCTGGTGGCGGCGCCCGGGCATCTGCGGAGCGGGGAAGCCTGGCCAGGCTGGTGCTCAGACCCCCACCCAGCGCCCCCGCGCCCCCGCGCCCGCGCCGCTCTCCCGGGAAGTCCCCAACAGCCTCTGGCTTTGCTCGGCTTCTCCCAGCAGAAACCGAGCCCCACGTCTCCTGGGAGCCAGCGCGCGGTGGCCGGTGCCGTGCCCAGGGGGTGACGTGCGTCCCTCTCTAACTCGGTTTTCTCATCTCTAAAATGGGGTTCATGGAAGTGCGTGCCTTGTGGAGGCTTCGCAAGGCTCCCAGGTTCCCTTAGCTCAGAAATCAGGCCTTACCCCTGAGGCGCGAGGCTGCGGGCACGAGGCTGCGATTTGGCGGCAGCCGTATTTGCACACTGTCACAGAATTAACCTCAGAGCTGGCTGGCTGCGGGTCCTGGAGGGGGTGCAGAAAAGGGGAGGGCGGGCCAGGCTCCCACCAGGAGCACCTGCAGATCGCCCTGATCGTCAAGAGCAAGGCATGACCCCTGCAGAACGGGCTGTAGGCTCGGGGCGAGGGGGGAGGGGGAGGGGACTGTCACCGGGGGGGGGGCCAGAATCCTCTGAGCCTGGGGACAGGGGACTGAGCGAGGCAGGTAGAGCCCCAGGCCCAGGCAAGAGCTCGAAGAGTATTAGCTTTTGCTGTTGTAAACCCCATGGGGTGGTCTGCAAACTGCTTCCCATACTCGCTCCGTCATGCCCTGGCTCGGCTCTGACATCACTGGTGTTGGCCATATCGCGGATTTTCTGTTTCCCCCTCTGTAAACTGGGGATGCCAATGCCAGCCCCCACTCCCGGATGAGGTACCTGGTGTACAGATGGCTCGGCCACTCTGCTGACCGTGCCCCCGACATCATTGTTCCCCGGGGTTTTCCCTCTAAGCTCCAAGAGGTTAGTTAATTCTCTGCCAGTGTGCAGAGACTCCCACAGCTGCCCCCAAACCTTGAGGTCTCCCCCCATATCCTCCTGCCTTATAGGCAAGGCCTGTTTCCTGAGCCAAGGGAAGGCGGGTGTCTTTCCTGGGAACCCCCTCCGCACGATCACAGACTAGAGAGTCCAAACCACAGATCATGTTTTCTTTCCAAAAATAGGAGCCCCACTGAGGCAGAAACTTCATTCTTTTAATAAGATGATGGTATGTTTAAGGAAAATAAATATTTCTTTTAAAAAAGAAAAGGCGATTTGGATCCACTCACATGCCAAGCACTGTCCCGGAGACCCAGGCTTGGTGCATGGCTGCGGAGGATTCCAGCAGGCATGCAACTTTAATTACTTCTCAGTGTACCACAGAGGTGGCCTGCAGCACCGGGTGTGACAGCAAGGTATGCCACCAGTAAGGGGGATGTCTCAGCAGCTGCCAGCACTCTGCCTGTGAAAACGCCAGCTCCAATTCAAAGGTATCAAATATTTGCCTAGCTGTTCAACATTTCTTCAAATAATATACTCACGACTAATTCATATCTGGACTCGACGTCTTCATCTCTCCAGGCCTCCCTCCTGGATTAGCGTGTCTTGTCTATTCCGGGAGAAAGTTGTCCTACATTCTAAAAATAGAGCTGGGAGTCTGGACATGGGCATGCACAGTCAGGGGAGGCTTTATTTATTTATCTTAAGGGTTGTCCTCTGAAGACAGCTGCAGCTGAGCCTGGGACTCACTCATCAAATAGCCATTCGCGGCTGGGCGCAGTGGCTCATGCCTAAAATCCCAACACTTTGGGAGACCGAGGTGGGTGGATTACCTGAGGTCAGGAGTTCCAGACCAGCCTGGGCAACATGGTGAAACCCCATCTCTACTAAAAATACAATAATTAGCCGGGCGTGGTGGTGGGCGCCTGTAATCCCAGATACTCAGGAGACTGAGGCAGGGGAATTGCTTGAACCCAGGGGGCAGAGGTTGCAGTGAGCCGAGATTGCACCACTAAACTCCAGCCTGGGTGAAACAGTGAGACTATCTCAAAAACAACAACAACAAAACAAAAACAAACAAATAAAAAAACAACAACAGAAAACAAACAGCCATTCATAGGTACTCAGCAGAGGGCAGGGCCTTCTAAGAAGTCTGTGCTGGCTGCTGCCTTCCAAAAGAGGCCGTGCTCCACTCCAGGGGATGCTCCGTGACCTCTGAAGTGAGGACACCCTCTCAAATCAGAGGCACGGGCCTCTCTCCTCCATAGAGGGGTTCTTCCGTTCCTGGGGATTAAAAGCCCCAAATGCCCCTGTATCATCCAGGACCCATTGGGTGGATTGCTCAATCTGGCCATCCAGGCGGAGTTTTATAAATAACTGTTTGCATGGGGGACCTCAGGAGGAGGAGTGGTACCCTGGGTCTAGTAGCAGTGGGCTGTTCCCATCCCTGGGGCCGCAGGGCTACGTGAGGAGGCGTTCTCTGACGCAGGGCAAGGTGGCTGTGTAGGCAGCACTCCCTGATAGCAGTGGTGACCGAAGAAGGAGGAGGAGCTCAGGGAACCCCCACTCTAGGTGCTCTCCTCTGCCCCCCAGTTTCCTGCTAGGGCCTCCCAGGTCCACCTGCCCAGAAGGCAGAGCGAGGCATCCACAGATAGAGTCTGTGGAGGGGTACACAGAGCCAGTGGAGGAGGGTGAAGGGGGTGTGCAGGGCAGAGGGGAGACTACCAGCTCCTCTCTCTTTTTTGAACCCGCTCCACCTCTCCAGCCTCCTTCTGTGTCTCCTGTGCTAAGTACCATTTCTCTTTCTTTCTCATGTTTCATCACCTCCGTCTCTCATTGACTCTCCTCTCTGTTTTCCTCTTGATATATCCTCCCCACTTCTCTGCTGCAGAAGAGGCGAGGTGAGTACCATTCACCTCTCCCAAGTGGTCCAGTGGCAGTGGGGCCCCCACGCACTCTACACCGTTGTTGTGTTGCTAGAGGAAGGAGAGCAGCTGAGCCCTGGGGACCTGGGGACGGGCTTCATTTGATTCTCTGCTCTTCCTCCTCTGAACTACTCTAAGTGAAGCCAATCAGGATTACTTTCATTTCATCACTTCAAGGACTTCCTCCTCGGAGTCTTTTCATCCTTCTCCTGCCTTGGCCTAGAATTAGGGAGGGGGAGTTAGTCCCCTCCTCTCTTCAGCCCCTCTGGCCAGCATCAAGCCCTTATTGAGAGCTCCAACTGTGCACCCAGCGTCAGAAATGATTTGGGGTGCCTGTGTCCGGAGCATACAGTCCTGACATGGGTGGGGACCCATGATCCATTCATTCAGTCATCGGACAGAATGCATCCAGGGCCACCCTGCTTGGGCTCCGGGCTAGACTTTTTTTTTTTTTTTTTTTTTGAGATGGAGTCTTGCTCTGTCACCCAGGCTGGAGTACAGTGGTGTGATTTCACTGCAACCTCTACCTCCCAGATTCAAGCAACCGATCCTACTACCTCAGGCTCTGGAGTAGTAGGGACTACAGGCATGGGCCACGAGCACCATCCCTGGCTAATTTTTTTTTTTTTTTTTTTTTAGTAGAGATGTGGTTTCACCACATTGGCCAGGGTAGTCTCAAACTCCTGACCTCAAGTGATGCAGCCACCTTGGTCTCCCAAAGTGCTGGGATTACAGGTGTGAGCCACTGGGCCCAGCTTTTTTTTTTTTTTTTTGAGACAGCCTTGCTCTGTCACCCAGGTTGGAGTACAGTGGCACTATCATGGCTCACTGCAGCCTCTAACTTCTGGACTCAAAAGATCCTCCTACCTCAGCCTCCTAAATAGCTAGGATTATAGGCATGCACCACCACACCCACTAATTGTTTTTTTTTTCCTTTTAATTTTTGTTGTTGTTTTGTTTTTTGTTTTTAGGCAGAGTCTTGCTCTGCCACCCAGGCTGAAGTGCAGTGGCATGATCTCAGGTCACTGCAACCTCTGCCTCCCGGGTTCAAGTGATTCTTGTGCCTCAGCCTCTCAAGTAGCTGGGATTAGATTTCGCACCACCATGCCTGGCTCATTTTTGTACTTTTAGTGGAGATGGGGTTTTCCCATGCTGGCCATGCTAGTCTCAAACTTCTGGCTTCAAACGATCCGTTGGCCTCAGCCTCCCAAAGTGCTGGGATTACAGGTGTGAGCCACCGTGCCCAGCCAATCTCTGGCCCTGATAGAGCAGATAGGGAAGGTGTGTAGCACAGTGGATCAGTAGATAAGCCCATCCAAGCCTCAGTCTCCTCTTCTCTTAAATGGGGATGAGAATCCCTACTCACAGGTTTGTGTGAAGGTAATATGACCTCACAGAGGGTTGCTTTCTTATTAAGTGGCAGGGACTTCTGCTCTGCCCCTGAAGCCCCCAAATACACATAAAAGGTGTAACCTCAGATGCAAGTAAGGAGGCACCACCAAGAGGGTAGAGGATACAGACCTGAAACACAAGGAGGAGATTGGCACCTCAGCTGGAACAGATGGGCTTGAGCCCCCGAATTCTGCTCGGGTTTTAAATTGAATAAAATAATCCCCAGAATGAATATCCCCTCTGTGAAGCACGTCCACTGTGAGGAAACCCCTAGTAACAGATCTCACCATGGCACAAAGAAAATCCTGCTCTCATAGTCTTGGATGATATATACAGCCAGCTAATGCAAAAAAAATTTCATGTTATTTTTGCTTATTTTTAAGTCCACTGGGTGCATCGTGGCTGATCGCTGTTCTGACATTTTTCTTCCCTCATTAAGAAAGATGCCCCTGGTGAGATACCTGTGCTGGGCTCAGAGCAGAAAATAAATATCGCTGGCATCCACTTTCCTATACTCTCTGGGTGTAATTAAGAAAAAGGCACCTGCAGGAGAGAGAAAGTGCAGGGTAGAAAATGGCCCAGTGGTTACTGCTCATGAGAACTCCCCAGTCTTCATAACCATCCAAATGTCACTCCTTCCATGACATTCTTCTTCTTCTTCTTCTTTTTTTTTTTCCTGAGAGAGGGTCTCGCTGTGTCGCCCAGGCTGCAGTGCAGTGGTGTGATCATAGTGAGCTATGATCAGCCTCGAGTGAGCCCGAGGGAGCAGCCTCGACCTCCTGGGCTCTAATGATCCTCCCGCCTCAGCCTCCCGAGTAGCAGGGACCACAGGCGTATGCCACCACGCCAGTCTACATATATATATTTATTTTTTGTAGAGATACCGTCTCACTGTTGCCCAGGCTGGTCTGGAACTCCTGGGCTCAAGCAATCCTTCCGCCTCAGCTTCCCAGAGTCCTGGAATTACAGGCTGGAGCTGCTATGCCGGACCCATTACAACCTCCTGGATCTGCCGGGGTCCCCCTCCATCTCTGAGCCCTAACACTTCCCTTTGGGGACTTTTCCTTTCCATTGCGGTTTTGCTTTTCCCCCTTCACACGTCTCTTATCCCAGCTGTAGTTGGCTGTCTTGTTTGTTTTGTCCAAGTCACCCTGCTTTTCTTTGGAGGACCCATCCATGACTCACAGTCCATGTGATTTAGGTAGAGCTCCAGCAGGGAGTGGCACTACCCAGGAATGGCCAACCAATGAGGGCACAGAAGTGCAGCTGCAGGCCACTGTGATTGGTTCAGGGGTGGGCAGTGAGCTAAGCTGAACCAATCAGAACGAATCCCAAGATATGGCGGGGAAGTGCTGAACAAGCCCCTCTCCTTGAGCTGAGGCTGGGACTGAAGTTGTAGTCGCCTTTGGCGCCACTGGGGAGAGCCTGCCTGTGAAAGAATTCCACTCCGAGGACAGCTGAGCCTCTCATGACAATCTGGGTCCTGATGCCGCTGTTTGAGCCCCTGGGTGCAGGGCTGCTGGAAACTTCCGGAAGGAGATTGCTCTTCTCTCTGGGAGACGTCCCCGGGGAAGCTTCAGACCCTGCCATCTCGTCCATCCCCACCATGCCCACCACCGCTCTGGCTGAGGCAGCTCCCTGCGGAGTCCTGCTCCGGGCTCAGTCTCCCAGAGAGGCAGAGTCGGGCACCGTGGGCATGGGAGACCTGCAGCCTGCCTGGTTCTCAGCTCTCAGGGGCTGGCCAGGGTCACAGTTACTGTAGCCCAGGGGGATTCTGTGAGAGACAGATGGGCTAATTTGGCTCGTTCGTCATTTTTAATGCCCTAATTTCCTGTTTTACACGCAGAAATGGCCCATAAATGGCACAGCAGGCTTCAGGGAGCTGAACTTGTACTTCCCGCTGGGACTGACTTACTCCTACTTTTTGGAATCAGGTGCACCTGCAGCCGTTCAGGAGCTGGCTGGCCGACTGTCCCAGTACCTCCTTGGTCACCTTCATACGGAGCTTTGGTCCTTCAACTTTGGAAAGGGTTTTGATTACCGAATGCCAGGCTCTCTTTCAGTCGGATTTTCCTTTGCCCCACTTTATTTCATTTTGCTTTTTTTTTTTTAAATTATTTTCTGGGCTAGGAGCCGGGGCTCATGCCTGTAATGCTAGCACTTTGGGACACCAAAGCGGGTGGATCATGAGGTTCGGAGTTCAAGACTAGCCCGGCCAGCACGGTGAAACCTCATCTCTACTAAAAATACAAAAATATTAGCTGGGTTTGGTGGTACACCCCTGTAGTCCCAGCTACTCAGGAGGCTGAGGCATGAGAATCACTTGAACCTGGGGGGTGGAGGTTACAGCGAGCCGAGATCACGACACTGCACTGGGTGACAGATGAGACTCTGTCTCAAAAAAAAAATTATTTTCCGTAGAGATGGGGGTCTTTCTATGTTGTCCAGGCTGGTCTTGAAATGCTGGGCTCAAGCAATCCTCCCACCTTGGCTTCCCAAAGCACTGAGATGACAGGCATGAGCTACTGTGCCCAGCCCATTTGCCCCACTTTGCACACTTTCTCCTCTCTTGTCACCTTTCCTTCCATTACCTTCAAATGTGCTCATCAAACCGTGAGCCCCTATGAGGCACTGGGCGTGCACACCCTGAGCAGAGGCCTCCCTGATGCTCCACGCCCATGTAGCTTTAGTTTCTGCTGTTCCTCTCTCCTAGGGTGTCTTGTTCCTTCCCTGCATAACCCTTATCATGGTCTGCCATTGCTGAGCATTTTGTTATGGTTGTTTATTGGGTTCACTGCTGTTACACTGTCAGTTCTCAGAAGACAGAAACTGATTTCTTTTTCTCCTTAAGAACGTTTGCATCCAGCTCAGAGACTGGCCCACGGAGGGCCCTAGAGAAACACCCAGGGCGTGACCGAGTGGGTGGGTGTGAGTGTGCCGCACCCTGGCCCTGGTGCTGGAGGGGAACCAAGCAGAACCTGCCCCAACACTGCTCCCAGGAGGCTCAGCTTCTAGAGGGGTAGCGGTGGGAGAGGGGTTGGTGGGGTGTGGTGAGCTGTCCTAAGTGCAAGTGCAGATCAGAGTCTGAGCTGCAGCTGGGAGAGGGAGACAGGAAGCCTGCCCAGCAGCGGGGAGCCTGGGGTGGACTCTTTTTTTTTTTTTTTTTTTTTGTCAGAGACAGGGTCTCACACTGTCACCGAGGGTGGAGTGCTGTGGTGTAATCTCAGCTCACTGCAGCCTCGACCTCCCGAACTCAAGAGATCCTTCCATCTCAGCCTCCCAAGTACCTGGGAATACAAGTGCATGCCACCACACTCGGCTAATTTTTTGTTGTTGTTATTTTTTGTAGAGACAGGGTCTCACTATATTGCACAGGCTCGTCTTGAACTCCTGGGCTCATCAAGGAATCCTCCTGCCTTGACTGCCCATAACGCTGAGATTACAGGCATGAGCCACCTTGCCCCGCCTTGGGTGGACTCTTGACTGAAACACAGAACTTTAAGAGAAATGCAGAAATAAGAGAATGGGGGCTGCCATCCAATGCTTGATCATATTCGTCTCCTGCTTTGCTTTCTGATCCTGACTTCCCATGGAGGAATTCAGCCTTAGGAGCAGAAATGGGCTGTGGTTTCTAATCTGCCCCACATCATTCAGCACAGGGCTGGGCTGCGTGGCCTGTGACTAATCAGCGCTCACCCATAAGAAATGGTGTGCATCTGCAAATGTCGTGGTGTCCCTTGCAATGCCCTATTTCAGGTCTGCAGTGGGTGAGGGATGGGCAGGGAAGCACAGTGAATTATGTGACACCAGCCTGGAATGGCTTCATCCAACAAAGGGCTGACATTTTCTCTTGGTTTATTTTGAGATGGAGTCTCAAAAATCTGATTACAGATCACGCCTGTAATCTCAACACTTTGGGAAGTCAAGGCAGGAGGATTCCTTGATGAGCCCAGGAGTTCGAGACCAGCCTCTGCAACATAGTGAGACCCTGTCTCCACAGTTGCCCAGGCTGGAGGGCAGTGGCGCGATCTCGGCTCACTGAAACCTCCGCCTCTTGGGTTCAAGCGATTCTCCTGCCTCAGCCTCCCGAGTAGCTGGGATTACAGGCATGCACCACCATGCCTGGCTAATTTTTGTATTTTTAGTAGAGACAGGGTTTCACCATATCTGGTCTCGAACTTCTGACCTCAAGTGATCCCCCCAGCTGGGCCTCTCAAAATGCTGGGATTACAGACATGAGCCACCGGCCCGGCCAGGAGTGACATGTTCATTCCAAGAGCCCATCTCTGTTCCTGTATTATTTACAACGGACGCTGGCCTTTCGGACCCCCAAACATGTAAGTGGTTCTAGCTCGAGGAGAGGTGTGAGGCATGTGCTATGGGTTCAAGTCCCAGCTCTACCACTGAGTAGTGAAAGGCCTGGGGAAGCTCCTTAACCTCTCACAGGCTTACTTCCTGCCCCTGAGAAGTGGGAGCAGTGGGTAGCCCCAGGCGAGGGTGGGGGTTGGGGCAATGCCTGGCCCATAATGAAGCACCCTCTGCCGAGCCTCTGCGTGGCTGCCCCGAAGCCTGGGTGCAAGGCCCCTCTGTCACCTCTGGAGTACTTGCCTCCATCAAAGAAGGGAGCAGCTGCCTCCTGCCGGTGTTAGCCAGGCATAGGCTCTCTGCCCTCCCTGCCTGGGCTTTGTGTATTCTTGGTGTTCAAAAGGTATCTCTTGAATGATGTGTGAACAACTGGTAGAAACTCATCAGCACTTATGGAAATAGCACACCAAGTTGTCAACTGCCCGTAAACCCTTTGCCATCCCTCCGGTGGCAGCATGTTCCCCGCTGGTGGGGAGAAAGGGCCTTGCTTGGTCTCATGGACCAGCCAGGCAGGCAAGGAGGCCGCAAACACAGGACTAATAGCACCCTCGTGGCCTGCCCCCAGCCCTCATTTCAGAACGTGGCCCTTCCTGAAGCCGCTTTAGCTGGCTGGGGGAGGGGTGGGGTTGGAGGGGTGGAGACGGTAGCGGTTCTCCACCTTCCCTCTGCCCCGCTGTGCCGCCCAGCAGATGGGGAGTTAGCACGTCACAGGTGCAGCTCCACTTTGGTCACCTGGAGGCTCTGCTTGCAAATGTGGGGCTGGTGCTTGGAATTCAAGATGCCCAATAAAGGATCCATCCACAGCGGCTGCCCACGGGAGCCATCTCTCTGTGGCTCCCAGGAGCCAGGAGGGCCTGGAGCTGGGGACAGGGGGAAGTTCTGATTTTAAATTGGGGAATTCTGACATCAGCCCAGTCTCGTTCCCCAGAAAGAAACTGGTCCCGTCTGCCGTCTTTCCAGATAGTTCCTTCTGGAGCAGAAGTAGTCCAAATTCCAAACCTCTGATTACTGACATTTGCGGTTAGTTTTTTGGTATTATTTTTATACAGGAAAACTTGTTCTGAATAATGCAACTTTACACAGACACTCTCACCACTGGGCCTCACCAAGTCCTGATTTTCAAAACACTCAGAGCCCTTCCTGAGCTCACCTGAGAGATGCTGTCTTTGGAGTTTGTTCCTGATGAGTTTTAGAGAGCTTTTCTTTTTCTTTGTTTCTTTGTTTCTTTCTCTGTTTCTTTCTTTTTTTATTTTTGGTTTTGTTTTTTGAGATAGGGTCTTTCTCTGTCACCCAGGCTGCAGTGCAGTGGTATGATCTCCGTTCACTGCAACCTCGGTCTCCTGGCTTCTAGTGATTCTCCTGCCTGAACCTCCCAAGTAACAGGAATTACAGGTGTGCACTACCATGCCCAGCAAATTTTTTTTTTTTTTTTTTTTGAGACAGAGTCTTGCTCTGTCACCCAGGCTGGAGTACAGTGGCACGATCTTGGCTCACTGCAAGCTCCGCCTCCCAGGTTCACGCCATTCTCCTGCCTCAGCCTCCTGAGTAGCTGGGACTACGGGCGCCCGCCACCGTGCTCGGCTAATTTTTTGTATTTCTTTAATAGAGGCAGGGTTTCACCGTGTTAGCCACGACGGTCTCGATCTCCTGACCTCGTGATCCACCCGCCTTGGCCTCCCAAAGTGCTGGGATTACAGGCGTGAGCCACCGCACCCAGCCTCCAGCTAATTTTTATATCTACTAAAAGTAGAGATGGGTTTTCACCATGTTGGCCAGGTTGGTCTCGAACTCCTGACCTCAAGTGATCCACCTGCCTTGGCCTCCCAAAGTGCTGGGATTACAGGTGTAAGCCACTGCACCCTTCTTTTCTTTCTTTTCTTTCTTTCCTTCTCTCCCTCCCTCCCCTTCCTCCTTCTCTCCCTCTCACCTTTCCTTCCTTCTTCCTTCTTCCTTTCCTTTCCTTTCCTCTCCTTCTCCTTCCCCTTCCCCTTCCCATTCTCATTCCCTTCCTTCTCTCTCTTTCTTTCTTTTCTTCTTTCCTAAAGCAGGGGTTACACAAATTAAGGTGAACCGAATACATCTATATTTAGCAAGTGAATGCTTTAACTTCAACACACATAGATACTTCCTAGAAACCCTCCCCAACACAGCGACAACAGGCTGCATTGGGGGCTCATCAGGAATGAGTGGCCTGGGCAGAATGGCCCTCCAACCCCTCGCACTGCCCTGCCCATAACCGGCCCTGCCCTTGAGGGCTTTTGGGAAAAGGTAGGAGGGGCAGAAATAACCTTGACTTTCAGCCAAGGCAGAAGAGCCAGAGGATGGCTGCTGCTCCTGGCCTGCGCACTGCGGCTCCTGGAAGCCAAGACGGGCAGGCTTGTGTGGCCGCGGTGAGCAAGGAGGGCAGCCATCCCATGCAGATGTGTGGGAGGGGCGGGGAGGCAGCCAGGAGTAGCTGTGTCAGGCAGGCCAGGCCAAGGTCCTGGACTGGCCTCCTTGAAAAGCAGCCCCTCATCCCTGATAGCCCAGGGTTGCGGGGAGCCATTGGGGGATGGTCTGAGATGATGTCTCCGGACCCCGTGCAGGAGTTTTGTTACGACAAATCTAGTCCCTTCTCAGCTCCTATGGTGACAAGAAGCTCCAGCTATTTTATTTTGTTTTGTTTACTTTAGAGATGGGATTTTGCTGTGTTGCCCAGGCTGGAGTGCAGTGGCCCCATCTCAGCTCACTGCAGCCTCAAATTCCTGGGCTCAAGCGATCCTCCCACCTCAGCCTCCTGAGTACCTGGGACTACAGGCATGTGCCACAACGCCTTGCTAATATTTTGATTTTTAAAAAATTTATTTTTATGTATTTATTTTTTGTGTGGAGATCTGGAATTCTTGGGCTCACACGATCCTCCTTCCTCGGCCTCCCAAAGCACTGGGATTTCAGGCATGAGCCCCACAGTCCAGCCAGCTCCAGCTTTTATTTACTTTTTATTTTTTTGAGACAAAGAGTCTCGCTCTGTCACCCAGGCTGGAGTGCAGTGGTGTGATCTCAGCTCACGCAACCTCCACCTCCTGGGTTCAAGCGCTTCTCATGCCTCAGCCTCCAGAATATCTGGGACTACAGGTGTGTACCACTACACCTGGCTAATTTTTGTATTTTTTGTAGAGACAGGGTTTCGCCAGGTTGGCTGGGCTGGTCTCAAACTCCTGGCCCCAAGTGATCCCCCACTTTGGCCTCCCAAAGTGTTGGGATTACAGGCGTGAGCCACCGCACCTGGCCCAGCTCTAACTTTTAAACCTGCTCACTGGCTGGCTCTCTTCTCGACTTCTTGGGACCTGAGTTGTCCTTCATCTCTGTGACCTACCTGACAGGTGTTTCTGGGGTCCAGCCTGAAGCACCTGGCTGGTGAGATCAGAGTCCAATTCTCACCCTCTTCCCAGGACCCCCTCCCAGCTCCTGAGCCTGTCAACCCTGGCTATGCACAGCCCTCGCCTGAGAAGCGTCTTCAAAATTCTAGTGCCTTCTCCTCCCTTCAATTCCAGGATAATGGCACACACAGCACCAGTCAGGCCCTGGCCTGTGTTGCAGGCACACCTCCGATACATTTTGACCTGCATGCCAACTGCAGAACCTAAACCCAGGCAGGGGTCACTCCCCAGCAGGGTGCTGAGGTTCAAAGAGCTCGAAGGAAATACCTGCCTGGGAAGACAGGTGACAGGTGACTGAGTTCCTCTCCAGAACTTTCCAGACAATAATCAGGCTGTGTGTCAAATTCACCAAGATTTAGCTCCAGACCCAGCTGATCTGCAGCCAGGATGCTATTGGGAGCATCACTGCTTCCGTCTTTGACCCATCTTTCCACGTGGCCCCCCAGACAGAGAGCACTTCCAACCTATGCATAAAAATACAGGGGAAAGGCCAGGTGCAGTGGCTCATGCCTGTAATCCCAGTACTTTGGGAGACCGAGGCCATTGGATCACTTGAGGTCAGGAGTTCGAGACCAGCCTGGCCAACGTGGCGAAACCCCGCCTCTACTAAAAATATAAAAGTTAGCTGGGCATGGTGGTGGGCACCTGTAATCCCAACTACTCAGGAAGCCAAGGCAGGAGAATCACTTGAACCCAGGAGGTGGAGGCTGCAGTGAGCCAAGATCATGCCAGTTATACAACAGCCTGGGTCTGTCTCAAAAAAAAAAAAAAAAAAAAAAAGGGAGCAGAGCGGGGGAAGAAAAAAAAAAAAACCCAGAGAGCACTGTTATTTACCCTGATGCCTCATTTTCAAGCATGCATTGTGAATAGAGCTGACCACAGTAGCACAGGTCTCACCGTAGGCCTCCAGGAACACCCTGCAACCTCAGTCTGCCCCTCCACATTCATTTCCAGGAAACTGGAGTTGATCGTTAATTCTCAGACATCCTTTGGTGCAGACTGGAGGATATCAATGAACATGAACACATGCGAGAGTTCCTGTACGGAGCTGTGGACCATAAACCACGCATGCTGTCCCGGTGGCAAGTCAGGGGGCTTTCTGGGTAGTTCTGCTTTCTCTCCCTGTATGGAGAGTTCCACAGTGACTCTGGGGCAGGCAGGGTTGAGGGCCCCTTATCAGTCACCTGGTCCCTCCTCTCCTTCCCAATGTCACCCCCATTCTGCTGACCTCAATCCCTGCTCTCCAGCTACAGATACATTTCCTTGATCTTCACCTTGAAGCCTGGGCCCTTGCTCTTCTCTATTCCTGGCACATCCTCCTCACAGATCTTTACATAGCAGGTTGATTCTCACCCTTTAAGTCTTGCTCAAGGTCACCTCCTCTGAGAAACCCTCCCTGACCACCCAGGCTAAAGGAATCCCCGCCACCCCTCCCCTCCCACCCGCCCCCCGCCGCACAAAATGCTTCCCACACCTGCCACATCTGGGTCAGTCTCCTGTCTGTAGAGTGCAAGTTCACAGCTCTAGTTACAGCAGCTACAACTGTGTCTGGAGCTGGGGTACTACCCCATTTAACCATCTGTTGATTAATGCACTTGATTAACATCAGAGGACGTAAGGTCCTCGTAAAGCTAAGAAAGAATTTAGGAGAATGACTAGGGCTGGCCACATTAGCAATGGACCCACAGTAGGAGGCTTCAGGGACACCCTGCCTGTGTCCCTCCAGTGTTCACTGCTCCCTTGCATGAGACCCAGAAAGGGGCTGGCACTCTGCTTGGGGAAAGGCTCTGCCTCCAGGAGACTGCTCTGTTGTGTGCAGAACAAGGGGGAAGTGCCAGAAATTAATGGCCCAGGGAACAGCCTTCAGCAATGATGAAGAGAAGTTGGATAAGTAGCCCAGCTCTCATGTCTACGGGATGGGTCAAGGCTGAGTCTGCACTGCCTCCCAGAGGCCCCAGTAGAGGGGCTGCCTGCAGCAGTATCTGCTCAGTCATACACCCCTACACGTGTACACTAGGAAGGAAGTGCTGGCTTCCTTCCCTTCCCTGCTGCACACAACACTCCCTGAAACATGCCTGCAAGAACCACCCCTTGGCTCAGCAGCTTTGCAGTGATGAATCCAACCTCTGCAGAAAAGGCACCCTGGTGTTCTAATTCCTGGGCATGGACAAACTGCCCCGAGGAGGATGAGAGGTGTCTCCTTCACCTCTGATGTTGGGTCTCAGGTTCCTGGGTAAAGGGACTCCTTTGGTTTCCTGGCTCCTGCCCCACAGACAAATTAAACTGGACAAGGTGACAAAAGGAGTCATTTGGAAAAGTCTTGGGACAGGGCTTAGTGGCTCATGACTGTAATCCCAGCACTTTGGGAAGTTGAAGCCAGGAGTTTGAGAACACCCTGGGCAACACAGTGAGACTCCATCTCCACAAAATTTTTTCAGACTTAGCAGAGTGAGGTGACATGTGTCTGTAGCTTCTTGAGAGGCCAAGTCAGGAGGATCACTTGAGCCTGAGTTCAAGGCTGCAGTAAGCTATGATCGCACCACTGCACTTTAGCCTGGGCAACAGAGCAAGACCCTGTCTCTAAAAAAAAAAAAAAGAAAAAGAAAAAGAAAAGTCAGGCCGGGTGCGGTGGCTCACACCTGTAATCCCAGTACTTTGGGAGGCCAAGGCAGGTGGATCACCTGAGGTCAGGAGTTTGAGATCAGCCTGGCCAACATGGCAAGACCCCATCTCTACTAAAAAATACAAAAATTAGCTGGTCTTGGTGGTAGGCACCTGTAATCCCAGCTACTCAAGAGGCTGAGGCAGGAGAATTGCTTGAACTCTGGAGGCGGAGGTTGCAGTGAGCCAAGATCACACCATTGCACTCCAGCCTGGGCGACAAGAGTTAAACTCTGTTTCACCAAAAAAAAAAAAAAGAAGGAAAGTCAAAGTCTTGTGGCTAAAGACGGCAGGTGGAATGAGGAGTGGGAGAGAAGGGCGGGGAAAGGAGGTGAGATGCCTGGAGAAGTTGAGGTCCAGGGAACCAACTCCACCCAGAGCAAGCTCTCTGCAGGCAGGACTCAAGCAACAGCCGCAGATGGGAGCAAAAAAAGTTTTGCTACTCCTCCCTCCCAGAGATATTTCTAAGAGCTCCATTTTCTTTCCAGTTGGCTAAGAAGCAAAAAAGGAACAATAGATTCAAGCTGAAATAATTTGCATTTATGATGAACACAAGGAATATCTACCTTGCATTTTCCTAAAAAAGAAAAATTAAACCCCATTTTTAATTAACTGATAAACTATTAATCAAATTTTTGCAATGTTAGGTGACACATTATTCATTTAGATAGAATGACTGTGAACTTAAACTAATCAAATCTGATTTGCCCACATAGGCTTGATTGAAATACATTTTAACTAGCATATACAAAGAGAAAATCTTGGATTTCTTACCTAATCTTCAGAGTATACTGCTGAGTTAATAAGGGCAGTTTTTTTTTTAAATGAGACCACCATTTCTTCATCTGCATATCAAAATCAAGAGGAACTTAATTGCAAAACACATATTCCTGAAATCTAATCATTACACTGCTTTAGGGTATTTTATTGAAGCATGTTAAATTATGGACAGAATATTAATGATGAAACTAATCAAACCCAATTAGTCACTTCTAACAATAGTCACATAAATATACAAGTCAGGTACTAAAGTACTGTAGATATGATGTAAAAATGGTTAAAATCTTAAATGTATGGAATATTTATGAAATATTCATGTTGAATTTAAAGCCAAAAATTATTGGGGTAAGTCACTTTAAAGAAAATAAATTAGGCAGTGTCCTATACTGTTTGACCGGAATTCACAAGTTCACATTTTCTTCAGGTATCTTTGAATCTAGGAGATTAGTGAGTCTATAATCAATCAATCAGCAAAATTTTAATAAGATGACTTACCATATTCATGACCTAGTATTTCATTCTTGCATCCAGAGACTTTTTTTTGGATTTTTGTTTTCTGACTTTTTCAAGGCCTTTTGGAAAGGGGTCTCCAGGCCTTGGAAAAGCAGATGGAGTGGTGGATGATTTCTGGGGTTGGGGATTTGCCATCCACACTGTCTCCTTCCCTGCCTCCAGCCCCAGGTGCAGAACTTGCTCTAGGGGCAAAAGCAGTGAGGACAGAACAGAGGAGTCACTGCCCAGGGGGCCTCCTCCTCCTCCTCTCATACCTGAGGCTGCAGAGGAAGCTGAAGGGCCCAGGGGAGCTCCTGGCCTTGGCCTGTGAGGATTCTTGGTGGAAGATTCCAGGCTGGGGAGCCAGGCCAAAGCAGACAGGCAGTACTGGGTCTGGGGTTCCCCAGGCAGAGACCTCCCTCTGCTTCAGTTCAAGCCAGTCCCTTCTGGCTACCTGGGCCCAGACTCCAGCATCCACACATATACAGCCAGCAGTTTCATCACGTGGTAGCTACAGCTGCCTTCTTAATCAAGGAGGTTGTCAAGCCTCACCATTTGCTTTTCTGGCCCTTACCCTGTTCTGCTGTCCACTCCTGATCCCCCATTTCCTCCCTCCAGACTTCTTTCCAGGATGCTGCATTCCTACCACGTGTGCTGGGAATCTCAGCTCCTGGAGAAAGCCGGTCAGCGGCTCTGGGCCCTGCTCTGGCCAGACATCTCAAGTGGAGCACCACAGGAAATAGGAAACATTGTTCATTCATTCATCCATCCACCCATCTATCCCATCCACCCACCCATCCACCCATCCATGCATCCATTCACCCATCCATCCATCCATGTACCCATTCATGCACACATCTATCCATCCATCTACCCATGAATCTATCCCATCCATCCACCCACACATCCATCTACCCATTCATCCACCCATCTATCCATCCATCTACTCATGAATCTATCCCATCCACCCACCCATGCATCCATCTACGCATCCTTCTGCCCATCTATCCATCCATCTACTCATGAATCTATCCCATCCATCCACCCATGCATCTGTGTACCCATTCAGGCATCCATCTATCCATCCACCTACCCATGCATCTATCCCATCCACCCACCCATCCATGCATCTAGTCATCCATCCTTCCATCCGTCCATCCATCCATCCATCCATCAATCCACATACCCATTAATCCACCCGTCTATCCATCTACCCATGCATTTATCCCATCCATCCACCCATGCATCCATCTACCCTTCCATCCACCCATCTATCCATCCATCTATCCCACCCACCCACCCATCCATCCATGCATCCATGCATCCATGCATCCATGCATCCTTCCATCCATCCATCCACATACCCATTCATCCACCCATCTATCCATCCATCTACCAATGCATCTATCCCATCCATCCACCCATGCATCCATCTACCAATCCATCCACCCATCTATTCATCCATCTATCCCACCCACCCATCCATGCATCTATTCACCCATCCATCCATCCATGTACCCATTCATCCACCCATCTATCCATCCATCTACCAATGCATCTATCCCATCCATCCACCCATGCATCCATCTACCAATCCATCCACCCATCTATTCATCCATCTATCCCACCCACCCATCCATGCATCTATTCACCCATCCATCCATCCATGTACTCATTCATCCACCCATCTATCCATCCATCTACCTACGAATCTATCCATCTATCCACCCATTCATCCACCCATCTATCCATGGGTAGGTAGATACTCATGCATCTATCCCACCCACCCACCCACCCACCCATCCATGCATGCATGCATCCATCCATCCATGCATCAACCCACCCTTCCATCTATCCATCCATCCATCCATCCATCCATCCATCCATCCATCCATGCATCCCATAAACATTTACCAAAGACAAATATGTCCCGGGCCCAGTGCTGGACTCTCCCCAAGCCTGGGGAGCATATTAAAGAAGTAGACTTTGTGTTGCTTTTTCCCGCATGGCATGCATGCTCCTGCTTCAGAGAAAGACATCTGTATTGTCCCTTGAAGGACCCCTCTGCCCCACTTTTATTCCCTAAGGTCTAGGGGGCTGCTCCATCCCCTCAATCCACTGGCCATGTGATCCAGGCCTGCCCTAGTCCCTGAGATGGGCTCACAGGTGGGTACATGACCAGGGTGTCATCCTGGCACTTTTGCTGGAACTAAAAGAGGAGATAAGCCCTTTGCTGCTTGGGGTCTCTTGGGGGAGAGGTTGGGACCATGACATGGAGATGGCCTGCCTGAGACTGAAGCCGACAGAGGAGAGGAGGCCAAGTCCTTATGACATCGACTGGGCTCCCGGAGCCCACTCTGCCTGGAAGTTTCCACTTACCTGAGCCAATAATATTTTTTCCTTTAGCCAGGTTGAATTGTATTTTCTGTCACTTACAACCAAAGGAGTCTTGGCTCATAGAGAAGATAAACAGGAAAGACACTATCCAATGCCACTTCCTCCATGAAGTCTTCCCTGATTCTTGCCAGCTCCATTGGATATTTTCCTGCTTAGAAGCCTGGCGGGGGAGGAGGGATTGTTCTTATGGATCTCTCATGACCTTAGCTTTTTATGCCTTGGAGTATAAAGGGGAAATCTGGGTGCAAAGCCTGTATATGCATTTGAGTGGGGACAAAGCAGCAGAAAGAAAGATACAGAGTTAAGCACAAGATCTTAGCGGAAGATGAAAACCTCAGCCAAATATAAGTGGGGGACTCTGCAGTGAGGCAAGTGGACACCTCAGAGGACATGGGAGTGAGAGTGGTGTTGAAATCACCCAGTTCTAAGCTACAGGGAGAGGGTAGTGCTCTTGGCCTTGGTGCATATCTGTGACCCAGGTCCCCTATCCAACCATGAGCCTCCAACGCAGGCAAGAAGCCGGCCTCTTCCTTCCAGCCTCCTGGCACCATCAGGAAGGGTTGCTTGGCAGGCCACCTCCGGACTTTGATGCAGAATGTCCCCAGGTTCTATAAGCCTCCACCCTCGAGTTCCCAAAGGCTCTACTTGAGATGTTGCCTTGGGTCAATGTGTGGCCTAGGTTCCTGGTCCATTGGTGCATTTCCATAGCAGGTTAAGCTGGACCTTGGTAAAGTGTCACATGTACTTTTTTTTTTTTTTGAGACAGTCTCGCTCTGTGTCCCAGGCTGAAGTACGGTGGTGTGATCTCAGCTCACTGCAGCCTCCACCTCCCAGGTTCAAGCGATTCTCCTGCCTCAGCCTCCCGAGTACCTGGGTTTACAGGCACCCACCACCATACTAGCTAATTTTTGTATTTTTAATAGAGATGGGGTTTCACCACGTTGGCCAGATTGGTCTTGAGCTCCTGACCTCAGGTGATCCACCAGCCTCAGCCTGCCAAAATCCTGGGATTAAAGGCATGAGCCTCCACGGCCAGCCTTGAGGCCATTTTAAATTCATCCTATCATCACATGATTCTGATCTTCTTCCCTCCCAAGACTGGGTTTCTTGTAGGAGGCATGGCTGCTGTGGGTTTCAGGTAAGCAACTTAGCCTCAGTGTCTTTATCTGTGAAATGGACATCATGATGGCTAACCCATGGCATTTAGACAATGCAAGCCAGCTTTTTTTTAGCCTTGTAGGGTCCAGACCCGATGGGTGAACCATAGTCTGTCTCTTTGCAAGCAGTCAGGCCTGGACCTGTGCTCTCATTTTTGTCAAGAAGAAGAGAGTCTGTACTGATGAAACCAGAATCTATTTCAAGTCAAGCAGAACTTCTCCGGAAGCTGGGGTAGCATCCCATGTCCCCACAATTTGCTGCAGGGGGAGCTGGGGCACCCCAAGGAAGGTCCACTTTTCCCTGCCAGGAAGCTGAGGAGGCAGTGGGGGCATAGGTGCTTCCTTCATCTCTCCATTTTGTGTGGCTGCAGAATTTGTGCACAGCCCTGGTGGCATCATAGTTACTCCTGCCACCCACCTGGCAGGCCTCCATTGCTTCTAAATGCGGTCCAGGCCTCTTTCTGCCCTCTCCCTCCCAGGGCCTGGACAGACCCATGGAGGGGAGGCGGGTCCCAGGGTCAGGGCAGGCTGATACCTTGGAAAGAAAGCATTGTGTCATCAGAGACACACATGGGAGGATGATTTATTTCTGCTCTGGACTGCCACAGCGGTCTGGCCTTATCTCTGTTTTGCAAGGCCCCCCGGCCCACGTGCTCAACCACTCTGCTTCACTCTAGAAAGAAGAGAACCATTTAGATGACTGACTGAATTTTCCTGGAAATCTGGCCCTCCATAGATCTTCCTGGAAACATCTGGAGCTTATTTGTAAGCTGTTGAGGCACCATCAAATCCCACATCACAAAGAGATGCACCCGTTTTAAATGAACTTAGAGAAGATTTGGCGAATCCATACTCCAGTCTACTTAGGCTTTAAACCGTCTTTTATTTTTTCTCACTCTGTCACCCAGGCTGAAGTGCAGTGGCACTATCTAGGCTCACTGCAAGCTCCGCCTCCTGGGTTCAAGCCATCCTAGTGCCTCAGCCTCCCAGAGTAGCTGTGACTACAGGTGTGCACCATCACGCCCGGCTGATTTTTGTATTTTTAGTAGAGGTGGGGTTTCACCATGTTGGCCAGCCTGGTCTCAAACTCCTGACCTCAAGTGATCTGCCCGCCTCAGCCTCCCAAAGTGCTGGGATTGCAGGCGCGAGCCACCGTACTCAGCCAGAAATAGGTTTTAAACCTTCCAAACTACTTAATTTTGGAGGATTTTGATTCTATTGATTGAAAACATAAAAATGCAACTCTTCTCATTCAAGGAGCACAAACCCCGACTGTCATCAGGGAAGATTGGCATCTGCTGGCCGGATCGTCACAGAATTCTTGGTCCATTTGTATGGCTGGTGGGAGGCGTGGTCACTGGGAGGGGAGCACCATGACCCAGCGGTGCCCGGGCTCTGTGGGAGACACATGTCTCCCTGAAGTGCCTGTTTAGTTATCAAGCCATTAAACCAAGTATCAAAATAAAATGAACTCAGAACCAGGCTTTCAAATTGCTGCATCACGAAGTGTTAATCAAGATTTTCAAAAATAATGAAGCACATTTAATCACATTGCCATTCACTAAGAGTATCATAATTAATATTTGGGTGAGAGTAAAAAGATTGTGTTGTTAATAAATAAGTTATTTTAAATATTGTTTATCTTTAGCTTATCCTTAAAACATCTAGTCAGTGTATGTTTTATTATAAACATAGTAAAATAGTACCATAGTACATGCGTATTGGTGGCACGTCTTTGGGATCTCCTAAAAGCACACCTGAGTTAAGGAATGGGTGCAGGTAGTTTATTTGGGAGTTGATTTCAGGAAGCATGAGGGAGGGAGTAGGGGATGAGGGAGGGAGTAGGGAATGAGGGAGGGAGTAGGGAATGAGGGAGGGAGTAGGGAATGAGACAGGGGGCCAGGCACGGTGGCTCATGCCTGTAATCCCAGAACTTTGGGAGGCTGAGGCGGGCAGATCGCTTGAGGCCAGGAGTTCGAGACTAGCCTGGCCAATATGACAAAACCCCATCTGTACTAAAAATACAAAAATTAGCCGGGTGTGGTGGTATGCACCTGTAATCCCAGCTACTCTGGAGGCTGAAGCAGAAGAATCACTGGAACCCAGGAGGCAGAGGTTGTCGTGAACTGAGATCATGCAACTGCACTCCAGCCCCTGAGTGAGAGAGTGAGACTCTGTCTCAAAAAAAAAGACAGGGAGGGTGCATTCAGGACAGGCTCACCCCGCTCCACGGGGCCTTCTGAGAGATCAGGTAGAATGCATTCAAATTGTCCCATTGAGGAATGAGGAAGCTGGGATATCTTCCCCCTATTTCTGTCCTTTCTTGGTGGAGAGTTGCCCTTAGGATAACTCCCCAGTACTTTCAGGCTGCCCTCCATGCTGACTAGCAAGCAAAAATCATTTAGCTTAAAAATCAGAGGGGACACGGTGAAACCCCGTCTCTACTAAAAAAAAAATACAAAAAATTAGCCGGGCGTAGTGGCGGGCGCCTGTAGTCCCAGCTACTCGGGAGGCTGAGGCAGGAGAATGGCGTGAACCCGGGAGGCGGAGCTTGCAGTGAGCCGAGATCGCGCCACTGCACTCCAGCCTGGGCGACAGAGCGAGACTCCGTCTCAAAAAAAAAAAAAAAAAAAAAATCAGAGGGGAGGCCAGGCACGGTGGCTCACACCTGTAATCCCAGCACTTCGGGAGGCCAAGTCAGGCAGATCACTGGGGGTCAGGAGTTCGAGACCAGCCTGGCCAACACAGCAAAACCCTGTCTCTACTGAAAAAAAAAAAAAGCCAGGAGTGGTGGTCCACACCTGTAGTCTCAGCTACTTGGGAGACTGAGGTGAGAGAATCACTTGAACACAGTAGGCAGAGGTGGCAGTGAGCCAAGATCATGCCACTGCACTCCAGCCTGCATGACAGAGTGAGACTGTGCCCCTCACCCCGCACCCCCCCACCACCTACCGAAAAAAAAAGCAGAGAGGAGAAAAAGCTAGTGGTGGGAGGCTTGCATGGGCAGTGTCTACCACAGCTACGGGTGAACCCAGAGGTGGGCTGAGGAGCTGCAGGGTGGGCCAGTGACAGGATCTGCTGAAAGATCTGTGCTTGTGGCCAGGTGTGGTGGCTCACGCCTATAATCCCAGCACTTTGGGAGGCTGAGGCGGGTGGATCACGTGAGGTCAGGAGTTCAAGACCAGCCTGCCAACATGGTGAAACCCTGTCTCTACAAAAATACAAAAGTTAGCTGGGCATGATGGGGGGATGCCTGTATTCCCAGCTACTCGGGAGGATGAGGCAGGAGAATTGCTTGAACCTGGGAGGTGAATGTTGCAGTGGCGCATGTCGCCATTGCACTCCAGCCTGAGCGACAGAGAGAGACTCCATCTCAAAAAAAAAAAAAAAAAAAAAAAAAAAAAAAAAAGAGAGAGATCTGTGCTTGTAAACATTTGGCTGAAAAGGGTGAATAACCAAACACTAGGTAAGGCTGGCACAGTGGCTCACACCTGTAATCCCAGCACTTTGGGAAGCTGAGGTGGGAAGAGTGTTTTAGAACAGGAGTTCAAGATCAGCCTGGGCAATGTAGTAAGACTGTTTCTATGACAATTTTGTTTTAAATAAAATAAAAATTAGCAGGGCATGTGGTGCACACCTGTATTCCCAGGTATTTGGGAAGCTCAGCGGTAGGATTCCTTGAGCCCAGGAGTTCAAGGCAGCAGTGAGCTATGATTGTGCCGCCGCACTCCAGCCTGGGTGACAGAGCAAAATCTTATCTCCAAAACAAAACGACAAAACAAAACTGAATGGAGACTACTCATCTTGAGATTTTTATGAAGTGGCAATGAACTGGTGATGGGGAGTAAGTGCTATTTGAATCCAATCTCCACCCTTGTTATTAACAACGAAAGCTCACCAGCGTGCCCCCACCCCCCACCATCCACCCCTTGTCCCTTGGCACCCAGCCCAGGTTATTTCACTGGTAAAATCTGTCAAATCCTAAAGGACAAGAAAATAATTGTGCCGCTTTGACTGTCCCAGAGCATAGGAAAAGACCTGCTATGTCCCTAAATGAAGACTTACTGTTGGAATGATGTGCATTCCCCTTGGATTAGTCTACAAATTTAGTGTAATTCCAATCAAAGCAAAGGGAAACTCATTCTGTCAAAATTTTTATGCCTTTCTTTTAAGAGCTCCTGAAAGGCACCCCTCGATGCCTTTGAATTTTATTTTTTTAATCAAGTTAATTGAGGTATAATTTCCATACAAAAAAAAGTGCATCCATTTGTAGTGTGCACTTTGATGAGTTTGGCAGACGTGTGCACCCACCAAAAGCAACACTACGACTGAGACACAGAACATTTCCAACACCCCCAAAAGTTTCTTTATGCTTTCTTCAGTCCCCTCCCCAACACCTGGCCACAGGGACCACTGACCTCCTTCCTGTTACTAGAGATTAGTTTGCATTTTCTAGATTTTATGTAAGTGGAATGATGCCATGTGCATTTTTTTGTGTCTGGCATTTTTCACTCTGCATGGTTATCTTGGTGTTTAGCCACGTGGTCTGTTCACACATATTACCAAGTACTTTCCTGTTGTACAGATATACCATATTTTGTTTGTCAATTCACCTGTTGTTTTGTCATTTATGTTGTTTCCAGTCTTTCTCTGGCTCTTGTGAATAAACAATAAACATTTTAATTTTTATTTTTATTTTTTTTTTTTATTTTTTTTTTTTAAAGGACATATCATATTTATTCATACACATGCTGGAATTATTGGTGCAGACATTTAAATACATTTTCTTTGAGAAAGTCCTTTTTTTTTTTTTTTTTTGATGGAGTTTCCCTCTTGTTGCCCAGGCTGGAGTGCAATGGTGCAATCTCAGCTCACAACAACCTCTGCCTCCTGGGTTCAAGCAATTCTCCTGCCTCAGCCTCCCAAGTAGCTGGGATTACAGGCATGCACCACCACGCCCAGCTAATTTTTTTTATTTTTAGTAGAGACGGGGTTTCTCCGTGTTGGTCAGGCTGGTCTTGAACTCCTGATCTCAGGTGATCTGCCCACCTTGGCCTGCCACAGTGCTGGGATTACAGTCGTGAGCCACCACAGCTGGCCTGGGAAAGTCCATTCTTTTTTTTCTTTTTTTTTTTTTTTTTAAATTTATTTTTTTATTGATAATTCTTGGGTGTTTCTCACAGAGGGGGATTTGGCAGGGTCATGGGACAATAGTGGAGGGAAGGTCAGCAGATAAACAAGTGAACAAAGGTCTCTGGTTTTCCTAGGCAGAGGACCCCGCGGCCTTCCGCAGTGTTTGTGTCCCTGATTACTTGAGATTAGGGATTGGTGATGACTCTTAACGAGCATGCTGCCTTCAAGCATCTGTTTAACAAAGCACATCTTGCACTGCCCTTAATCCATTTAACCCTGAGTGGACACAGCACATGTTTCAGAGAGCACAGGGTTGGGGGTAAGGTCACAGATCAACAGGATCCCAAGGCAGAGGAATTTTTCTTAGTGCAGAACAAAATGAAAAGTCTCCCATGTCTACTTCTTTCTACACAGACACGGCAACCATCCGATTTCTCAATCTTTTCCCCACCTTTCCCGCCTTTCTATTCCACAATGCCGCCATTGTCATCCTGGCCCGTTCTCAATGAGCTGTTGGGCACACCTCCCAGACGGGGTGGTGGCCGGGCAGAGGGGCTCCTCACTTCCCAGTAGGGGCGGCCGGGCAGAGGCGCCCCTCACCTCCCGGACGGGGCGGCTGGCCGGGCAGGGGGGCTGACCCCCCCCCACCTCCCTCCCGGACGGGGCGGCTGGCCGGGCGGGGGGCTGACCCCCCAACCTCCCTCCCGGACGGGGCGGCTGGCCGGGCGGGGGGCTGACCCCCCCACCTCCCTCCCGGACGGGGCGGCTGGCCGGGCAGAGGGGCTCCTCACTTCCCAGTAGGGGCGGCCAGGCAGAGGCGCCCCTCACCTCCCGGACGGGGCGGCTGGCCGGGCAGGGGGGCCGACCCCCCCCACCTCCCTCCCGGACGGGGCGGCTGGCCGGGCGGGGGGCCGACCCCCCCACCTCCCTCCCGGACGGGGCGGCTGGCCGGGCAGAGGGGCTCCTCACTTCCCAGTAGGGGCGGCCGGGCAGAGGCGCCCCTCACCTCCCAGACGGGGCGGCTGGCCGGGCGGAGGGCTGAGCCCCCCATCTCCCTCCCGGACGGGGTGGCTGGCCGGGCTGAGGGGCTCCTCACTTCCCAGTAGGGGCGGCCGGGCAGAGGCGCCCCTCACCTCCCGGACGGGGCGGCTGGCCGGGCGGGGGGCTGACCCCCCCACCTCCCTCCCGGATGGCACGGCTGGCCGGGCGGGGGGGCTGACCCCCCACCTCCCTCCCGGACAGGGCGGCTGGCTGGGCGGGGGGGCTGACCCCCCCCACCTCCCTCCCGGACGGGGCGGCTGGCCGGGCGGGGGGCTGACCCCCCCACCTCCCTCCCGGACGGGGCGGCTGGCCGGGCAGAGGGGCTCCTCACTTCCCAGTAGGGGCGGCCGGGCAGAGGCGCCCCTCACCTCCCGGACGGGGCGGCTGGCCGGGCAGGGGGGCCGACCCCCCCCCACCTCCCTCCCGGACGGGGCGGCTGGCCGGGCGGGGGGCCGACCCCCCCACCTCCCTCCCGGACGGGGCGGCTGGCCGGGCAGAGGGGCTCCTCACTTCCCAGTAGGGGCGGCCGGGCAGAGGCGCCCCTCACCTCCCAGACGGGGCGGCTGGCCGGGCGGAGGGCTGACCCCCCCACCTCCCTCCCGGACAGGGCGGCTGGCCGGGCGGGGGGCTGACCCCCCTACCTCCCTCCCGGACGGGGCGGCTGGCCGGGTGGGGGGACTGACCCCCCCATCTCCCTCCCGGACGGGGTGGCTGGCCGGGCTGAGGGGCTCCTCACTTCCCAGTAGGGGCGGCCGGGCAGAGGCGCCCCTCACCGCCCGGACGGGGCGGCTGGCCGGGCGGGGGGCCGACCCCCTCACCTCCCTCCCGGACGGGGCGACTGGCCGGGCAGAGGGGCTCCTCACTTCCCAGTAGGGGCGGCCGGGCAGAGGCGCCCCTCACCTCCCGGACGGGGCGGCTGGCCGGGCAGGGGGGCAGACCCCCCCCCACCTCCCTCCCGGACGGGGCGGCTGGCCGGGCGGGGGGCCGACCCCCCCACCTCCCTCCCGGACGGGGCGGCTGGCCGGGCGGGGGGCCAACCCCCCCACCTCCCTCCCGGACAGGGCGGCTGGCCGGGCGGGGGGCCGACCCCCCCACCTCCCTCCCGGACGGGGTGGCTGGCCGGGCTGAGGGGCTCCTCACTTCCCAGTAGGGGCGGCCGGGCAGAGGCGCCCCTCACCGCCCGGACGGGGCGGCTGGCCGGGCGGGGGGCCGACCCCCTCACCTCCCTCCCGGACGGGGCGGCTGGCCGGGCAGAGGGGCTCCTCACTTCCCAGTAGGGGCGGCCGGGCAGAGGCGCCCCTCACCTCCCAGACGGGGCGGCTGGCCGGGCGGAGGGCTGACCCCCCCACCTCCCTCCCGGACAGGGCGGCTGGCCGGGCGGGGGGCTGACCCCCCTACCTCCCTCCCGGACGGGGCGGCTGGCCGGGTGGGGGGACTGACCCCCCCATCTCCCTCCCGGACGGGGCGGCTGGCCGGGCTGAGGGGCTCCTCACTTCCCAGTAGGGGCGGCCGGGCAGAGGCGCCCCTCACCTCCCGGACAGGGCGGCTGGCTGGGCGGGGGGGCTGACCCCCCCCCACCTCCCTCCCGGACGGGGCGGCTGGCCGGGCGGGGGGCTGACCCCCCCACCTCCCTCCCGGACGGGGTGGCTGGCCGGGCGGGGGGGCTGACCCCCCACCTCCCTCCCGGATGGGGCGGCTGGCCGGGCGGGGGGCTGACCCCCCACCTCCCTCCCGGATGGGGCGGCTGGCCGGGCGGGGGGCTGACCCCCCCCCACCTCCCTCCCGGACGGGGTGGCTGCCGGGCGGAGACGCTCCTCACTTCCCAGATGGGGTGGCTGCCGGGCGGAGAGGCTCCTTACTTCTCAGACGGGGCAGCTGCCGGGCGGAGGGGCTCCTCACTTCTCAGACGGGGTGGTTGCCAGGCAGAGGGTCTCCTCACTTCTCAGACGGGGCGGCCGGGCAGAGACGCTCCTCACCTCCCAGACGGGGTCTCGGCCGGGCAGAGGCGCTCCTCACATCCCAGATGGGGCGGCGGGGCAGAGGCGCTCCCCACATCTCAGACGATGGGCGGCCGGGCAGAGACGCTCCTCACTTCCTAGATGTGATGGCGGCTGGGAAGAGGCGCTCCTCACTTCCTAGATGGGATGGCGGCCGGGCGGAGACGCTCCTCACTTTCCAGACTGGGCAGCCAGGCAGAGGGGCTCCTCACATCCCAGACGATGGGCGGCCAGGCAGAGACACTCCTCACTTCCCAGACGGGGTGGCAGCCGGGCAGAGGCTGCAATCTCGGCACTTTGGGAGGCCAAGGCAGGCGGCTGCTCCTTGCCCTCGGGCCCCGCGGGGCCCGTCCGCTCCTCCAGCCGCTGCCTCCCGGGCGGCGCTCGCCGGCGCGGCGGCAAAGACTGAGACAGCTCCGCTGCCCGCTGAACTGCATCCTCCCGGCGGTCGGGCGGCGGCGGCTGCGGTCGGTCGCGGCAGCGGCTCCGCTTCATATCTGCAGCTGGGGCCCGCGGGCGTCAGCGCCGCGACTGTCCTGGCTCCGCACTGCCCCGGGCCGCAGCGCAGCCGCGCCAACCACCAGCCGCGGCCACCATGGCCGGACGGGCTCCCTAAGCCACCGACCCCAGCCCGCGGCGCCTTCGACCCTTCTGGGGCCTCCGGCGCCGCGACCTCCTCTGCCTGAAATTTCTTTTTTCTTTTCCTTTTATTTTATTTTATTTTTTGAGACGGAGTCTTGCTCTGTTGTCTGGGTGGAGTGCAGTGGTGCAATCTCGGCTCACTGCAACCTCTGCCTCCCAGGTTGAAGCGATTTTTTCTAATTTTTATTTTTTATTGTTTTTTTGAGAGAGTCTCACTCTCTCGCCCAACCTGGAGTGCGGTGGTCCAATCTCGGCTCACTGTAACCTCCGCCTCTCAGGTTCAAGCAATTATCCTGCCTCAGCCCCCCGAGTAGCTGGGATTACAGGCATGCACCACCTTGCCCAGCTAATTTTTATACTTTTAGTAGAGACGGGTTTCGCCATGTTGGCCGGGCTCATCTCAACCACTGACATCAGGTGATCCACCCACCTTGGCCTCTCAAAATGCTAGGATTACAGGCATGAGCCACTGTGCCCGGCTGAACATATTTGGTTAGTTTGTTCAAAGCAGAAGAAACCTCAGACACTGCATGGTTTTAGGCTTTGGCCCTACCATCCTCGTGAGCTTCCTGTCCAGGAGGATCATGAATGCCCCGGTTCTACTAAGTGCGGACCCCAAGGTCCTTCCCACCCCCGAGCCAACTGCTAAATTCCCTTACTAGTCCTAGCAATTGTTTTGTAGAGTCCTTAGAGTTCTTTATGTAAACAATCATATAATTTCCAGGGGATTCTTCCTTTCCAATATTTATGTATTATATTTCATTTCATATTATTATTGTATTTTATTTCATTTTACTTTATTTTTATTTACTTAATGTCTAACTGCAATGGCTAAAACTTCCAAGACAATATTGAATAAAAGTGTTAGGAGTAAGCATTCGTACCTTGTCTCCAGCCTTGGGGGAAAGCATTCACTATTTCGCCTTTAAGGATGATTTTATTTTTTATTTTAATTTTATTATGATTTTTTTGAGATGGTGTCTTGCTCTATCGCCCAGGCTGGAGTGCAGTGTCGCGATCTCAGCTCACTGCAACCTCTGCCTCCGGGGTTCAAGTGATTCTCCTGTCTCACCCTCCCTAGTAGCTGGGATTACAGGCTTGTGCCACCATGCCTGGCTAATTTCTGTATTTTTAGTAGAGATTGGGTTTCACCATGTTGGCCAGGCTGGTCTCGAACTCCTGACCTCAAGTGATCTGCCTGCCTCGGGCTCCCAAATTGCTGGGATTACAGGCGTGAGTCACTGTGCTCGGCCAAGGATGATTTTAACTGTAGGCTCTTCAAAGGTGTCCTTGATCAGATTGAGGAAATTCCCCTCTATTTCTATTCTCTTCTATTTCAGTTTGCTAAAAAAGTTCTTTAAATCATGAATAGATGTTAAAATATGTCAAGTATTTTTCTACATTTATTGAAATGATCATTGGTTTTTCTGTTATATTCTGTTAACATGGTAAATGGTATTGACTTTTTTTTTTTTTGAGACAGGGTTTTGCTCTGTTGCCTAGGCTGGAGTGCAGTGGCGTGATCTCTGCTCACTGCAGCCTCTGCCTCTCAGGTTCAAGCAATTCTCCTGACTCAGCCTCCTAAGTAGCTGGGATTACAGGGGTGCACCACCACATGGGCTAATTTTTGGTAGAGATGGGGTTTCACCATGTTAGCCAGGCTGGTCTCGAACTCCTGGCCTCAAGTGATCCACCCGCCTCGGCCTCCCGAAGTGCTGGAATTACAGGAGTGAACACTGTGCCTGGCCTTACATTTATTTTTAAATCTTAAATTAAATGTCTTTGTCAGATTTTGGTGTTAGGTGTTGCTGGTTTCAAAGCAGGGGATGAGAAGTGTCCCCTCTTATTGTGTCTGTTTTGCAAAAGGGTGTGTGAGATTGGTGCTATTTCCTCCTTGAAATTATAATAGGCTTCACCAGAGAAGCCATTTGGACCCTGGAGTTTTCTCTCTTGGAGGATGTTTAACTACCAATTCAAATTCATTAGTAGATCCATAGGACTTTTCAGATTTTGTTGCATTTTGTCTTAATTTTGGCAAGTTGTAGTTTTCAAGGAATTTGTCCATTTTTCTGTTTGTCTTGATCAGTCTGGCTGGATGTTTATCTGTTTTGCTGCTCTTTCCAAAGAATGAAAATGAACACCTGTGGAGCAGCCATAAGCCAGTGCACATCCAGGAGCCCAGCCCACTGGACCTGCAGCTTGCAGCACAGCCACCCTGCAGAGCACAGCCTCAATTAGCCAGTTCCCAGCCAACCCACGGAGACAGGAGCCAGGAGAGATAGCTGAGTTTTGGGGGTGGCTTGTTAAGCAGTAATAGCTGACTGATACAGTTAATGGGTATACACTTTATTTAACCAGTTCCCTACAGATGGACATTTAGCAAAGTGAATTATTTCGAGAGAAGCTTGGCTCCATTTAAAAAACATTTCTGGGCTTGGCGCAGTGGCTCATGCCTGTAATCCCAGCACTTTCGGAGGCCGAGGGGTGGATCACTTGAGGTCAGGAGTTCAAGATCAGCCTGGCCAACATGGTGAAACTCCATCTCTACTAAAAATACAAAAATTAGCTGGGAGTGGTGGTGAGTGACTGTAATCCCAGCTACTTGGGGGATTGAGGCAAGAGAATCGCTTGAAACCAGGAGGTGGAAGTTGCAATGAGCTGAAATTGTACCACTGCACTCCAGCCTGGGCAATGGAGCAAGACTCCTTCTTAATAACTAACTAAATAAATAAATATTAAAAAAAAATTTCTGACCAGGTGCAGTCACTCACACCTGTAATCCTAGCACTTTGGGAGGCTGAGGCAAGAGGATTGCTTGAGCTCAGGATTTCAAAACCAGCCTGGGCAACATAGCAAGACCGTGTTTCTCTCTTTCTCTCTCTCTCTCTCAATATATATCTCTCTCTCTTTCTATCTCTCTCATTTTCTCTCTCTCTCTTTCTCTCTCTCTCTCTCTCTCTCTCTATATATATATATAAATTCCTTAAGATCTATTTCTAGAAGAATTGCAGTCATGGTTTACATATTTATAATTTTAAAACATATTCCTAAATTATGCTCACCAAAGCTATGCTGTTTCACATTTCAGCAATTTATAAGCATCAATTTTCCTCATATTTTCCAACATTGAGTGTTGAAATATTTAATTTTCTGCAATCTAATAATGAAATGTAATATCAATTTAAATTTGCATTCCCCTGAGCATTAGAGGAGTTGAATAAACTTTTCATATACGCATTAGCCATTTATTTTTCTTCTTCCCTGAATTGCCCTTCGTCTTGTTTGTTCTCTTTTGTAGTGTTTTGTCTTTTCCTATTTGTAGGAGATGTTTATATAACTGGATATTAATCTTTTGTCTGCTAAAAGTATTGTAAATATTTTCTTGAATTATAAGAGTTTCTAAAAAAACTTTGTAGCATCTTTTATTGGAGAAAAGTTTATTATATTTACACAGTTAAATCTGATAATTTTTTTTAATGCTATTATATTTGCCTAAGAATATTTTTCCTATTCTGGCTGGGCACTGTGGCTCACTCCTGTAATCCCAGCTCTTTGGGAGGCCAAGGCAGGCAGATCACCTTAGGCTAGGAGCTTGAGACCAGCCTGGCCAACATGGTGAAATTCTGCCTCTACTAAAAATAATATGAAAAATTAGCCAGGCATGGTGGTGTGCACCTGTAGTTCCAGCTACTCAGGAGGCTGAGGCAGGAGAGAATTGCTTGAAATTGGGAGGCATGGAGGCTGCAGTGAGCCATGGTTGTACCACTGAACTCCAGCCAGGCAACAGAGCAAGACTCTGTCTCAATATATATATATGTTTTTCCTATTCAAAAACTATAAACATTAATCATATTTTCTTCTGTTATAATACTTTTTATTGCTTTGGGTCTATAAATTATCTGACACTTATTTTGGGGTTATTATTTTTAGTATAAGATTCTTTTCCAAAACAACAGGCAGTTCTTCCAACAGTGTTTATAATTTCATTACTTCCTCTTTAATTCGAAATGCCAAATTTAAACTAGTTTTTAAATAAAGGTTGTTTCTGGAATTTCTCTTCTACTGATCCCTCATGGCATTATATCAATATTATGCTGTTTTACTGCTGATTTTTTTTTCTTTTTGAGATGGTGTCTCACTCTGTTGCCCAGGCTGTAGTGCAATGGTGCAATCTCAGCTCACTGCAACCTCTGCTTCCCAGGTTCAAGCGATTCTCCTGCCTCAGCCTCCCTAGTAGCTGGGACTACAGGTGCGCACCACCATGCCCAGTTAATTTTTGTATTTTTAGTAGTGACAGGGTTTCACCATGTTGGCCAGTCTGATCTTGAATTCCTGACCTCAAGTGATCCACCTGCCTCAGCCTCCCAAAATGCTGGGATTACAGGCATGAGCCACCATGCTTGGCCTGTATGGATGTTTTATTCTGATATTTACTCTTCCAAATGAGCTTGCGAATATTAACAAATTCATAATAAAATGTGCGTGGATTTTGTGTGGGATTGTATCAAATATGTAGACTATTTGTAGAGAATCATAGTTTGATAGCATTGAGTCGTTGCATTTGATTTATATCCTTTTTTTTTTTTTTTTTGAGACGGAGTCGCCCAGGCTGGAGTGCAGTGGAGCTATCTCGGCTCACTACAAGCTCCGCCTCCCGGGGTCACACCATTCTCCTGCCTCAGCCTCCCAAGTAGCTGGGACTACAGGCGCCCGCCACCACACCCGGCTAATTTTTT
The DNA here is from genome assembly GCF_000001405.40 of Homo sapiens. Classification (NCBI taxonomy): domain Eukaryota; kingdom Metazoa; phylum Chordata; class Mammalia; order Primates; family Hominidae; genus Homo; species Homo sapiens. Next base: position 29,906,753 of record NC_000019.10, read on the forward strand.
TTTTTGTATTTTTAGTAGAGACGGGGTTTCACCATGTTAGCCAGGATGGTCTTGATTTCCTGACCTCGTGATCCACCCGTCTCAGCCTCCCAAAGTGCTGGGATTACAGGCGTGAGCCACTCGTCCAGCCTGATTTATATCTTGATCTTTAGAATTTCTTATTTTAATGATCTTCAGTAAAAATTATTTGGTTTTCTTACCAAACACAGCATGTTCTCACTCATAAGTGGGAGTTGAACAATGAGAACACATGGACATAGGGAGGGGAACATCACACACCGGGGCCTGTCGGGCAGTGGGGGGCTAGGGGAGGGATAGCATTAGGAGAAATACCTAATGTAGATGATGGGTTGATGGGTGCAGCAAACCATCATGGCACATGTATACCTATGTAACAAACCTGCACGTTCTGCACATGTATCCCAGAACTTAATGTATAATTTAAAAAAATTATTTGGTTTTCTTCAGGTAGGTTTTGCACAATTCTTTTTTTTTTTTTTTCTCTTTTTCAAGAGATAGGATTTTGCTCTGTCACCCAGGATGGAGTGCAGTGGCATGATCATAGCTCACTGTAACCTCCAACTCCTGGGCTCACTTGATCCTCCTACCTCAACCTCTTGATCAGCTGGGACTAAGGGTGCATGCCACCATGCTTGGCTAATTTTTTATTTGAATTTTTTTAGAGATGAGATCTCTTGCTATGTTGGTCTGGCTAGTCTGGAACTCCTGATCTCAAGTGATCCTCCTGCCTCGGCCTCCCAAAGTGCCGGGATTACAGGCATGAGCTACCACACCCGGCCACAGTTCTTGCTAGGTTTAATTCTAGAGTTTGTTTTTGTTGTTCTGTAATGAATCTACTGACATGAAAATCTTTTTCTGACATATTAAGGCCAAAACTTAGGTTAATAGCATTCATGATATATTCTAATTTTTGCAAAGACTGTATCTACATATATGGATAGCTGTATATGTAGGAATCTTTAGTTGTAATTTTTTTTTTTTTTGAGATGGAGTCTCACTCTTGTTGCCCAGGCTGGAGTGCAATGGTGCGATCTCAGCTCACCACAACCTCTGCCTCCCGGGTTCAAGTGATCTCCTGTCTCAGCCTCCCGAGTAGCTGGGATTACAGGCCTGCGCCACCACGCCTGGCTAATGTTGTATTTTTAGTAGAAACGGGGTTTCACAGTGTTGGTCAGGCTGGTCTCGAACTCCCGACCTCAGGTGATCCTCCTGCCTCGGCCTTCCAAAGTGCTGGGATTACAGGATAATTGTTTATTTACTTCTCTGTCTCCACTTGGTTGATGTGTTTTAGGAAAGGAACTATATTTTGACGACTTCATGTCTAACACCTGCATAGCACCTGGCACATTGGTAGCTCAAAAATCCTTTTTACATGAATGAATGAATGGAATAAAGGGATAGTGAAGGACCTACATTGAGCGATGACAGTGTCTTTTCCTTCAGTGCATGGCATTTGTTGATTCCTTTATTTCTGCTTCCTTGTATTTTCTGATTTTTCTTTTGTGATCATGTATTCTGTTGTGATTTAAAGAACAGAAAGAAAAAGATATTCACTTGGAAAAAGTAGAACCATAATGAAAGAGCACCACAAGGTGTACCTCATATACTACTAGTAAATTTTTTTCTTTCCACTTGAGACAGTGTCTCACTCTGTCACCCAAGCTGGAGTACAGTGGCAAGATCTCAGCTCACCGCAAACTCTGCCTCCAGGGCTCAAGTGATCCTCCCCGCTCAGCCTCCTGAGTAGCTGGGACCACAGACACACACCACCAAACCCGGCTAATTTTTTGTAGTTTTGGTAGAGACGGGGTTTCGCCACGTTGCCCAGACTGGTCTTGAACTCCTGAGCTCAAGTGTAAATTTTTAAAATGAGAAAAACAGGCTGGGTGCGGTGGCTTATGTTTGTAATCCCAGCACTTTGGGAGGCCAAGGCAGGTAGATCACCTAAGGTCAGGAGTTCGGGACCAGCCTGGTCAACATGGTGAAGCCCAGTTTTTACTAAAAATACCAAAAAATTAGCCAGGTGTGGTGGTGCATGCCTGTGATCCCAGCTACTCAGGAGGCTGAGGCAGGAGAGTTGCTTGAACCCAGAATGTGGAGGTTGTAGTGAGCCAAGATTGTGCCACTGCATTCCAGCCTGGGCGACAGAGCGAGACTCCATCTCAAAAAAATAAAAATAAAAATAAAATGAGAAAAACATATGCAGTTCCTAAAATGGCTTAGGGTGCAGGCCGTCACCTCCTGGGTGATTCCCATTTCAGTGGCGTGGCTTTGTGGTCTGTAAATGGGCTTCGTCCTGCCTTGCTGGTGCCCCTTACCACCCCTGCTGTGCAGGGCAAGGGTTGGCTTGCCTGCTGCTCCTGGCTCCAGGCCCTCAGCAAAGGCCCAGCACAGTTCAAAGGGACTAGAGGGAAGCCAGGGAAAGTAATTCTTTAGTCTCCGAGGTTGTTTTAACATTATGATGATATATGGCATATGTTGCTACAATGGCTGGGCACATTTACACGGAGGGCAGACCGGGAGGCCCTTAGGGCTGGGAGGGCCACCAGGTCAATAATATATGCAACCGGCAAAAGAAAACATCGACCTCATTTCCTCCAGAGAGCAGACAACTGTAACCCTGGAGTCCTGGTTTGCATGTAAATAATGAGCAAGATACTGCGTGGCCACTTGTATCATTGAGGGGAGAGTGAGACAAGAACAAGAAAGATAAATTAGAAAAATATGAGGGCACCACTTATGGATCTGTACAAGGAAGTGTCATTCTTCAGGTTAATTTTGCTTCCTCTAGAAAGCAGCTCAGTGTTGGTAGGCTTCTATGTCTGAGATTTTAAAATGGCTTTGGTATGATTATTATCAATGAAATAATCACTGTCAGTAACAAAAAATCAGTTTCTCGAGAGGATGACTGACGTGCGGTTGCAGCATTTGGCCCCGGGGCCCATTAAATCCTGACCAAAGTGCTGAAGAGTTGCCCCACAAATGATTTGGCTACACTGGGAATCACCCGGAAGGAGGCCAAGGGTGTGTAATTCTGGGGAAGTTTGGCGGCAGCCTAGGGCCTCCTCAATCTGAAAGCTCTTGTTTCGCTTTGTAAAGCGTTTGCTTGTTTCTTTTTCTTTCTCTCTTTTTTTCTTTCTTTCTTTTTCTTTCGCCTGCCTCCCTCCCTCCTTCCCTCCCTCCCTTCCCTCCTCTCTCCGTCCCTCCTTCTCTCCCTCTCCTGCCTCTCTCCCTCTCTCCCCCCTTTCTCTTTCCTTCCTCCCTCCCTCCCTTACTTCCTCCCTCCCTCCTCTCCCTCTCCTGCCTCTCTCCCTCTCTCCCCCCTTTCTCTTTCCTTCCTCCCTCCCTCCCTTACTTCCTCCCTCCCTCCTCTCCCTCTCCTGCCTCTCTCCCTCTCTCCCCCCTTTCTCTTTCCTTCCTTCCTTCCTTCCTTCCTTCCTTCCTTCCTCCCTCCCTCCCTTCCTCCCTCCCTCCCTTCCTCCCTCCCTCCCTTACTTCCTCCCTCCCTCCTCTCCCTCTCCTGCCTCTCTCCCTCTCTCCCCCTTTCTCTCTCCTTCCTTCCTTTCTTCCCTTCCTCCCTCCCTCCCTCCTTCTCTCCCTCTCCTGCCTCTCTCCCTCTCTTCCCCTTTTCTCTCCTTCCTTCCTTTCTTTTCCTTCCTTCCTTCCTTTCTTTCCTTTCTTTCTTTCTTTCGCCTTCCTCCCTCCCTCCTTCCCTCCCTCCCTTCCTCCCTCCCTCCCTCTCCTGCATCTCTCCCTCTCTCTCCCCTTTCTCTTTCCTCCCTTCCTCCCTCCCTTCCTCCCTCCCTTCCTTCCTCCCTCCCTCCTTCTCTCCCTCTCCTGCCTCTCTCCCTCTCTCCCCCCTTTTCTCCCCTTCCTTCCTTCCTTTCTTTTCCTTCCTTCCTTCCTTCTTCCTTTTCTTTCTCTCTTTCTCTTTCTTTCCTTTGCCTTCCTCCCTCCCTCCCTCCTTCCCTCCCTCCGTCCTTCCCACCCTCCCTCCTTCCCTCCCTCCCTTCCTTCCTCCCTCTCTCCTTCTCTCCCTCTCCTGCATCTCTCCCTCTCTCTCCCCTTTCTCTTTCCTTCCTTCCTTCCTCTCTCCCTTCTTTCCTCCCTCCCTCCTTCTCTCCCTCTCCTGCCTCTCTCCCTCTCTCCCCGCTTTTCTCTCCTTCCTTCCTTCCTTTCTTTTCCTTCCTTCCTTCTTCCTTTTCTTTCTTTTCTTTTTCTCTTTCTCTTTCTTTCTTTCTTTCTTTCTTTCTTTCTTTCTTTCTTTCTTTCTTTCTCTCTTTCTTTTTCTTTCTTTCTTTCTCTTTTCTGTCTCTCTCTCTCTCTCTCCCCCACCTTTTTTTTTCAGACAGGGTCTTGCTAAGTTGCCCAGGCTGGTCTCAAACTCCTGGCCTCAAGTGATCCTCCTGCCTTGGCCTCCCAAAGGAGGAATTATTATCACTATTTTGCCTTAGATGTGATAATGGTTGTATTTTTACATACTTATGTTTTGGAGATACCTGCTGAATATTGATGGGTGGAATGATAGAATTTAGGGGATTTGCTTCAAAATAGCTAGGGGAGGCAGTAGGGGGAGGTACAGAAGAAATGAAATTGGCCATGAAGTGACCATTGCTGAGTCCAGATGATGGATACATGGGGGCTCACTATGCTGTTCTACCCTTTTACTTGCTTGAAATTTTTTATAAGAAATAAAGCTTCCCAGGTGGTTCTGATGATCAGCCAGAGCTGGGAACCCCTGGCTTGGCTGATCCGCAGAGGCTGATTCCTAGCTATTATTCTCTGACCTTCCATGTCGCAGAAATTATGATGGTAATCAGAACTGGATCATGTTTCCTCTCTAGTTTGGAGGAGGTCATGAGATACCTTAACAAGAAAAGGGTCTGGGGGACCGGCATGGTGTCTCACACCTGTAATTCCATAGGCCAATGTGGGTGGATCATGAAGTCAGGAGTTTGCGACCAGCCTGACCAACATGGTGAAACCCTGTCTCTACTAAAAATACAAAAATTAGCTGGGCATGGTGGCACTCACCTGTAATCCCAGCTACTCAGGAGGCTGAGGCAGGAGAATCCCTTGAACCCGAGAGGCAGAGGTTGCAGTGAGCTGAGATCGCGCCACTGCACTCCAGCCTGGCAACAGAGCAAGACTCTGTCTCAAAAAAAAACATAAAAAAAAGAAAAAAAAGGGTCTGAAGGGTCTGGGGAAAGGTCCCCTGACAAATCAGTTCATCCAGGACATGAACTGACCTGCAATCCGCTCGGAATAGGATGTCGGATCAAAATTGTCTTGTTCCTTAGAGAAATAGCCTCCTTTCCCATAAAAAGACAGGAGGAGATCTATCTTTATTTATTTATTTGTTTTTAAAAACAGAGTCTCACTCTTTGTCCGGGCTGGAGTGCAGTGACAAGATCATAGCTCACCGTAACCTCCAAGTACTGGGCTTAAGTGATCCTCCTGCCTCAGCCTTCCAAGTATTCTTGACTACAGGCATGCATCACCACTCCAGGCTAATTTTTAATTTTTTTTGTAGAGAGATGGGGTCTTGCAACTTTGCCCAGGCTGATCTTGAACTCCTGGCCTGAAGTGATCCTCCCACCTCAGCCTCCCAAAGCACTGGGATTACAGGTGTGAACCTTCACGCCCAGCTTTCTATCTTTATTTTGAAAAGTAAAATAAATACAAATTATTAGTTCATTGATTTATTGAACTAATTATTTATTGGATTGCTACTGTATGCCAGGCACTCTGCCAAGCTCTATCGAAGTTCTCAAAGTTTAATTTGGGGCCTGGCATGGTGGCTTACACCTGTAATCCCAGCACTTTGGGAGGCAGAAGTGGGTGGATCACTTGCAGTCAGGAGTTCGAGACCAGCCTGGCCAACAAGGTGAAACCTGATCTCTACTAAAAATACAAAAATTAGCTAGGCGTGGTGGCACATGCCTGTAGCCCCAGCTACTTGGGACACTGAGGCACGAGAATCACTTGAACGTGGGAGGTGGAGGTTGCAGTGAGCCGAGATCGCACTTCAGCCTGGGTGACAGAGTGAGACTCTGTCTCAAAAAAAGAAAAAAAAAAGTTGAATCTGTAGACCTCTGGGATCCCAGAGATTCTTTCAAGGGGTCTACAAGGTAAAAACCATTTTACAATTTATATTTATTTACGATAATACTAAGATGTCATTTACCTTTTATTTTGGTATTTGCACAGATGGTATAAAACCAACAGCGAGTAATACTGCTTGTACTTGACGTTAATTTGTCAGTGGCACTGACTGTACTAGAACTCATTGTATTCTTCACCACTCACAGTTTATTTATTTATTTTTACTTTTTATTGATTTTTATGTTTTGAGATAGAATCTCCCTCTGTCACCCAGGCTGGAGTGCAGCAGCACAATCATGGCTCACCACAGCCCCAATTGCTCAGGCTCAAGCAATCCTCCCACCTCAGCCTCCCGAGTAGCTGGGAATACAAGTGTGCGCCACCACAACCGGCTAACTTATTTTATTTTATTTATTTATTTATGACAGAGTCTTGCTCTGTGGCCCAGGCTGGAGTACAGTGGTGCAATCTCGGCTCACTGCAACCCCCACCTCCCGGGTTCAAGCGATTCTCCTGCCTCAGCTTCCCTAGTAGCTGGGACTACAGGCATGGGCCACCATGCCTGGCTAATATTTGTATTTTTATTAGAGACAGGGTTTCGACATGTTACCCAGGCTGGTCTCGAACTCCCGACCTCAGGTGATCTGCTCACCTCAGCCTCCCTAAGTGCTGGGATTACAAGTGTGAGTCTACTCACAGTTTAAAACAATCCACTTTCACTTAAGAATGTTCCTAATGAAGCAGTAAGAATTAGTGTTATTAAATTTGAATTCTCGAGTCCACTTCTGAAGATTGTGACGGAGTGAACACAGAACAGGATTCCGCCACACACTGGGTACAATGGCTTTTCAAGGTGAGACACTGGTGCAGTTGCTTGAGTTGCGAGCTGAACTAGCTGCTTTTTATCATGGCACACTGTTTTACTTGGAAGAAAGTTCTGACACATCAAAGTACAGATATTCAGACTCTGGTATTTGGCAGACATTTTCTCAAAAATGAACAAAATGAGCCTGTCACTTCAAGGGAAACAACTGGCAGTATGTTTTGCCAATGATAAAATTCAAGCTTTCAAGTTGAGCATTAGGATTTTGGGAAAACTTGTTATCTGCCACCAAGAGCTTGACAGCTTCTCAATTTCTTTCTTTCTTTCGTTCTTTCTTTTTTGAGATGGAGTTTCACTCTTGTCGCCCAAGCTGGAGTGCAATAGCAAGGTCTCGGCTCACTGCAACCTCTGCTTCCCGGGTTCAAGCGATTCTTTTGGCTCAGACACCCAGGTGGCTGGGATTATAGGCGCCTGCCACCATGCCCAGCTAATTTTTGTATTTTTAGTAGAGATGGGGTTTCACCATGTTGGCCAGGCTGGTCTCAAACTCCTGACCTCAAGTGACCCACCTGCCTCGGCCTCTCAAAGTGCAGTGCTGGGATTACAGGCATGAGCCACTGTGCTTGGACAGCTTCTCAATATTTAGATACCTTTTAGATGAGATCACTAGTGATATTTTTAAAATGTGATTTTTGATATTGTATAATAAAACTGACATTTGGAAGTTTTGCATAGCTTAGCGAACCAACATTTTCCAAATGACCAATGCGTGATGTTACAAAATCATTCAAAGTGCAAGATGGATATTACCAAGTAATCCTTCTCCCACCTAGGACACAGTAAGGGAGAAACAGCAGTTGTCCCACCCTAGCAAAAGCAGGAAAATTGCAAAAGCAAAGAGCCAGGAAACCTCAAAAGCAAACTTTTTCTTGAACCTACTGGAAAGCTGAAGGGGCAGGGCAACTGTGTAGCCTGAAATCTAAGGAAAGACAGTTGCCTCCCCAGTGATAGATGGGACATGAGCACCAGCTTACCTGTGTGCAGTACAAGAGGAAGAGGTTCCTGGTGCCATGCACGAGAGAAAACATTATTTAGCTAACATTTTTAGCAAATTTGCTGGAGCCTGAGTGCAAACTAGAGTAGGCATATAAAGTCCTGGGCACTGCAGACTCAAGGAGAGTTTTCATAGACCTCCAGTTTATGAGAAAGACCAGGAGCAGAGCAGGACACCAGAGACCACCTCCCTCGTTGGTACAGGGCTAGAGGATAGTGACAACTGAAGACAACGAGGCTCATTTGGAAAGGAGAGCTTTATTTCTCATAAAGGGTTGCAGCCTGCAGAGTGGCCATTCTGACAGGCTGGGAAGCATAGCCTCTGGTCACAAGCCAGAAACAGTCACTTCAAGGGAGGAGCAAAGGGAATAGGAATTTATGCTGAGCGGGATGGCTGAACATACATATTTAATAAGATATAGGAGTCATGAATATTTATGAAAGGAGAAACACATGTGCAAGTGTGCTTCATGTCCCTTCATGGGTCCCATGTACAAAAACATGGCAGTATCAGCCTGATTCAAGGGTGGAGTTTTCAGCCTTCTGATATCAAAAGGTGACATGAAGATGTAGAAACCTTTATTGAGCATTCTCCATGGACTGACCAGACCATGGAGGTCTCTTATCAGGTAAAAAAGAAGGAGCAGCCTCAGGTGGTTATAGGTGATATCAGTGTGGAGTCTTTTGAAAGGGCTGGTTTCTGTTTAGCCCTTAGGGAAGAAAATCTAATTGTAGTTAGTGATGAAGGGAGCGTTAACAATGAGGTGCATCAGACCCCCTATCCCATCATGGCCAAGCATTCTGTTTTCAAGGTGACTCTGCATTCCCTTGGCCAGGAGGTGGTCCATTCAGCCAGTTGGGTGGGGGTGGGGGGGCACTTAGAATTTTATTCATATTTCTAGATAGGATTGGCCACATTTGTGGGAAAGGCATAAACACCATCCAGACTCTTCATTTCTTTCTTTTTTAAAAACAATTATTATTATACTTTAAGTTCTAGGGTACATGTGCCAACGTGCAGGTTTGTTACATATGTATACATGTGCCATGTTGGTGTGCTGCACCCATTAACTCATCATTTACATTAGGTATATCTCCTAATGCTATCCCTCCCCCCATCCCCGACCCCATGACAGGCCCCAGTGTGTGATGTTCCCCACCCTGTGTCCAAGTGTTCCCATTGTTCAATACCCACCTATGAGTGAGAACATGTGGTGTCTGGTTTTCTGTCCTTGCAACAGTTTGCTCAGAATGATGGTTTCCAGCTTAATCTATGTCCCTATAAAGGACATGAACTCATCCTTTTTTATGGCTGCATAGTATTCCATGGTGTATATGTGCCACATTTTCTTAATCTAGTCTATCATTGATGGACATTTGGGTTGATTCCAAGTCTCTGCTATTGTGAATAGTGCCACAATAAACATACGTGTGCATGTGTCTTTACAGCAGCATGATTTATAATCCTTTGGGTATATACCCAGTAATGGGATGGCTGGGTCAAATGGTATTTCTAGTTCTAGATCCTTGAGGAATCACCACACTGTCTTCCACAATGGTTGAACTAGTTTACAGTCCCACCAACAGTGTAAAAGTGTTCCTATTTCTCTACATCCTCTCCAGCAACTGTCGTTTCCTGACTTTTTAATGATTGCCATTCTAACTGGTGTGAGATGGTATCTCATTGTGGTTTTGATTTGCATTTCTCTGATGGCCAGTGATGATGAGCCTACCTCCCTTTATTTTTTGAGTTGGAGTCTTGCTTTGGCACCCAGGGTGGAATGCAGTGGTGCAATCCTGGCTCACTGCAATGTCCGCCTCCCAGGTTCGAGTGATTCTCCTGCTTCAGCCTCCTGAGTGGCTGGGATTACAGGCACACGCCACCACACCTGGCTAATTTTTGTATTTTTAGTAGAGACAGGGTTTCACCGTGTTGCCCAGCTGGTCTCAAACTCCTGGCCTCAGGTGATCTGCCTGCCTTGGCCTCCCAAATGGCTGGGATTACAGGCGTGAGCCACTGCACCTGGCCCAGACCCTTCATCTCTACTCCCCTAGAAAACAAAAACTATAAGCTGCCATAGGGAAGTGGGGAGGGATTACTGAGAAAGTTCTACCTCTGAGACCCAAGGACACAGGAAGCATGAAGTAACAAGTAACTGCAGTTTTCCCATTAGGAGGGGCAAGAGTGTGGGGAGAGCCCCTCGAGGTGTGAGTGCACAGAGAAGACCAGAAACTGAGGGTGAGGAAGAAATATTAAGAACGACCCTTGGGAGGTAATTCCAGGGTTTTAGGAGGCTGAGGCAGGGAGATTGCTTGAGGCCAGGAGTTCAAGATCAGCCTGGGCAACATGGCAAGGCCCAGTCCTGACAAAAAAAATTTAAAAATTAGCCAGGTGTGGTGATGCACAGCTGTAGTCTCAGCTACTTGAGAGGCTAAAGTGGGAGGATCAATTGCTTGAACCCAGGAGTTGAAGGCTGCAGTGAGTTATGATTGCAACCACTGCACTCCAGCCTGGGTGACAGAGCAAGACGTTGTCTCAAAGAAAGAAGGAAGAAAGAAAAAAAGAAGGAAGGAAGGAAGGAAGTGTTAGATATGAGTTCTAAATTTATTTTCAAAGAATCAATATGTCAGTATGTTCAATTCTTTACCTTCTACTTTTAAACTTAACTTCCTTATAAAGCAACCTTTTTTGATTACCTGCTCCACCCTGACTCATTTCAATCACCTGCTCCACCCTGACTCATTCTGATTACCTGCTCTGTCATAACCATTTTTCCTGCCAAAGCACTCACCCCGTTATTAGCCAATCAGAATTAGTTTAGCCTGTGCGGTCTAACTCTACCAATAGGGGAACAACACAGCAGCAGGGGCCATGTGGGTCACGGATAAGAACCCCTTCCCCTCCCTTGTCCAAGTGTGCGCTCACCATTGCTCTATCTGTAAGGGCGCACCCTTCTATGGAAGTACCTTGCCTTGCTGAGAATTAAAAGAAAATTTTATATTTGAGTGCAATTGGTTTTGCGGCACTGAAACTTTACATATAACAGGAGGAAGGAAAGAAGGGATGGAGGGAGGGAGGGAGAAAGAAAGACACTGAAGCAACTCAACCCCCATCTGAAGCACAAGGTAATTCTAGAGGAATTTGAACCTAGTGTTACACTGACGGAAACCATGGCAATAACAAAAGCCAAACCCAGATTGACTCCTGACTGGATTGCCTCAACTTCCCATTGGTTGCTTTCCACAACCAATCAGACAGATTTCGGGCCACCACTTGGTTTACACGAGTTGACCACCAAGTGGCCAATGGGAAACCTGTAGGGAGTATTTGGACCCAAGAAGATTCTGTATCCGGGCCCTTGAGCCCCTATGCTCGAGCCCGCTCCTGCACTGTGGAGTGTACTTTCATTTTCAATAAATCCCTTCATTCCTTCCTTGCTTTGTGTGTTTTGTCCAATTCCTTGTTCAAGGCACCAAGAACCTGGACACCCTCCACCGATGACACTGAGAGGTGTTGCAGGAACTCCCAAATTTGTGTTGATTAATTTTTGTATTTTTAGTAGAGATGGGATTTCGCGATGTTGTCCAGGTTGGTCTCCAACTTCTGACCTCAAGTGATCCACCTGCCTCAGCCTCCCAAAGTAAGACCGATGCCTCAATGCTGTGCCTGCAATTGCCTGTTCCTGCTGTTTCAGGGTAGTTTTGTTTGTGTCCGGTTCCTGCTGTCCTCCCTGCCCCACACAGGAGGCCTCTGTGCAGGACACACAGCCGTTCCTCGAGAGCCACTCTGCACCTGCTGTCTGCACTAGCTACAGAAGGGTCCAGATGAGTGTCTGCACAGGTAGGTCTTGCCGCTGAAGACTAAGCCTTGCAAAGCAAACCAGGAGAAATGGATTTTGGTATGTTAGACAGGCAGGCAGTCTTCGTCCTAGTTTTGTTTTGTTTTTTGCTTAGTAACTGCTATTGCAACCATAATATTTTCATCCTTCTTTCCTTCTGAAATTGTGCCTCAAAGAGTTAAAGAAATCAGTAACTCTGGGCACAGTGGCTCATGTCTGTAATCCCAGCACTTTGGGAGGCTGAGGCAGGAGGACTGCTTGAGCCCAGGAGTTTAAGACCAGCCTGGACAACACAGTGAGAACCCGTCTCTACATAAAATAAAAATTAGCTGGGCATGGTAGCGCATGCCTGTCATCCCAGTTACTCAGGAGGTTGGGGCAAAAGGATTGCTTGAGCCCAGGAGTTCAAGGCTGCAGTTAGTCACGATTGCGCACCACTGCACTCCAACCAGGGTGACAGAGGGAGACCCTGTCTCACAACAACAACAACAACAACAACAACAACAACAACAACAAAACCAGTAAGTAACAGAAATTCTTGAGTTTGCAGGATAGCAGATAAGGAAAGAAACAACTTGCTGAAATGCTGAAACTCCTTTCATTCGTAAGATAATAAAACTGGCTGAAATCAGTTGGAACGAATGTGGCCAACTAGAGTCTGTGCAGAACCAGCTTGCTGACATCACAGCCTGAATTTCCATCACGTTTCAGATAACTCCCTCTGAATTTGCACACGCGAACCATAAGTTAGCATGAGAAGATAATCATGAATCCTCAAGGATTCTGCCCATCTCCCTCTTCCTTCCACCAATCACCTGCTAATCCAACCCCAAAACTTGACTAATAAAATGACTGCCTTAAAGCCAGGAGGGAGACAGATTTGAGCTGGATGCATGTCTCCCTGGGAGTCAACTTTTCTTTTTTCCTTTTTGTTGAGAGAGAGTCTCACTCTGTGCCCAGGCTGGAGTGCAGTGAAGCGATCTCTGCTCACTGCAACCTAGGTTCAGGCGGTTCTCCTGCCTCAGCCTCCTGAGTAGCTGGAATTGCAGGTATCCACCACCACACCCAGCTAATTTTTGTATTTTTAGTGCAGACAGGGTTTCATCATGTTGGCCAGGTTGGTCTCAAACTCCAGATCTCACCTGGCTGACCCTTTTAAACTTTACCTCAAATATATAGTGGTGGATCTTTTCGATTTCTGTATAAATGGATTCACACTCTAAATATCCTACTATGACTTGTTTTCTTTCTTTAACAATATGAATAATTGGCCGGGCGCGATGGCTCATACGTGTAATCCTAGATGGTTGGGAGGCCAAGGCGGGCAGATCACCTGAGGTCAGGAGTTCCAGACCAGCCTGGGCAACATGGTGAAACCCTGTCTCTACTAAAAATGCAAAAATTAGCCAGGCGTGGTGGTGGGCGCCTGTAATCCCAGCTGCTCGGGAGATTGAGGCAGGAGAATCACTTGAACCTGGGGTGTGGAGGTTGCAGTGAGCCAAGATCGCACCATTGCACTCTAGCCTGGGCGACAGAGTGAGACTCCATCTTAAAAAAAAAAAAAAAATATATATATATATATATATATATATATATATATATATATATACGTGTATATATATATATATATATACACGTATATATATATACACACATATATATATACGTATATATATACACACACATATATATATATATATATATATATATATATATACATAAAATTATTTTGTCCTGGAGGTTATATTTTGTTTTACTGTGACATTAGTAAAGATACAGCTAGTACAGAAGTCAATGATTTCATGAATATTATTAAATCAAATCTTTACATTAAAAATATGAGTTGGGGCCAGGCGCGGTGGCTCACACCTGTAATCCCATCACTTTGGGAGGCTGAGGCAGATGGATCACCTGAGGTCAGGAGTTCAAGACCAGCCTGGCCAACATGGTGATACCCTGTCTCTACAAAAATACAAAAATTAGCCAAGCATGATGGCAGGTGCCTGTAATCCCAGCTACTCAGGAGGCTGAGGCAGGAGAATCACTTGAACCTGGGAGGCAGAGGTTGCAGTGAGCCAAGATTGTGCCATTTTATATATATATATATATATATGAGTTGGAGCTGGGTGCAGTGGCTCACACTTGTAATCCCAGCACTTTGGGAGGCCAAGGCAGGTGGGTCACTTGAGGTCAGGAGTTGGAGACCAGCCTGGTCAACATGGTGAAATCCTGACTCTACTAAAAATACAAAAATTAGCCAGGTGTGGTGGCGCATGCCTGTAACCCCAGCTACTCAGGATGCTGAGGCATAAGAATTGCTTGAACCCGGGAGGTGGAGGTTGCAGTGAGCCAAGATTGTGCCACTGCACCCCAGCCTGGGTGACAGAGTGAGACTCTGCCTCAGAAAAATAATCTACATATATATGTATGTGTGTATGTGTGTGTGTGTGTATATATATATATATATATAAAACAAGCACAGAAGTCAATGATTTCATGAATATTATTAAGTTAAATCTTTACATTAAAAATATAAGTTGAGTTTTGCACACATCGCCACTGCCTCCAGGGGCCCCATACTATCAGCTATGGTCAACCCCACCAAGTTCTTCAATGAGCCCTGGGGCCGCATCTCCATCCAGCTGTTTGCAGACAAGTTTCCAAAGACAGCAGAAAATGTTTGTGCTCTGAGCATTGGAGAGAAAGGATTTGGTTATAAGGGTTCCTGCTTTCACAGAATTATTCCGGGGTTTATGTGTCACGGTGGTGACTTCACACACCATAATGGCAGTGGTGGCAAGTACATCTATGGGGAGAAATTTGATGATGAGAACTTCATCCTGAAGCAGACAGGTTCTGGCATCTTGTCCAAGGAAAATGCTGGACCCAACACAAACGGTTCCCAGTTTTTCATCTGCAGTGCCAAGAGTGAGTGGTTGGATGGTGAGCATGTGTTCTTTGGCAAGGTGAAAGAAGGCATGAATATTGTGGAGGCCATGGAGGGTTTTGGGTCCAGGAATGGCAAGACCAGCAAGAAGATCACCATTGCTGACTGTTGACAACTCTAATAAGCTTGACTTGTGTTCGTTTTGTTTTGTTTTTGAGACAGTTTCACTCTTGCCATCCAGGGTGGAGTGCAATGTCACAATCTCAGCTCACTGCAACCTCTGCCTCCCAGGTTCAAGTGATTCTCCTGCCTCAGCCTCCTGAGTAGCTGGGATTACAGGTGAGCACCACCATGCCTGGCTAATTTTTGTATTTTTAGTAGAGACGGGGTTTCACCGTGTTGGCCAGGCTGGTCTTGAACTCCTGACCTCAGGTTATCCGCCCACCTTGGCTTCCCAAAGTGCTGGGATTACAGGCATGTGCCACTGTGCCCAGTCGACTTGTGTTTTATCTTAACCTCAAGACCATTCCTTCTCTAGCTCCGGAGAGCACTCCTCCACCCCATTTGCTCACAGTATCCTATAATCTTTGTGCTCTCACTGCAGTTCCCTTTGAGCTCCAAGTTTTCCTTATTCCCTTCCATGCCTAGCTGGATTGTAAAGTTTATGATTATGAAATAAAAACTAAATAACGACAACAAAAAATATGAGTTGATTTAAATAAAAATATTAAGTAAATATTAGTATAGGTGGCAAGCGGATATGGCAAAAAAAATCAATAAAATTTGAATGTGAATGGCTACAATTCAGGAAATATGGTTTTAATAAAAACAGATACAAGCTGTGGCACGTGCTTGTAGTCCCAGCTGACGCGCAGGAGGGAGGAGTGCTTGAGCCCGGAAGTTCAGGGCCAGCCTGGGCAACATAGTGAGACCTCGTCTCAACAACAAAAATGAAAAAAATCAACAACAACAGAAACACAGATACATCTAAAATTGCTCTGGATCTTTGGAACAGGTCTGCCCTGAAGTGGTGTTTTATGGGCCTGGGCACTCTGGCACAAGCCCTTTCTGGGCACAAGGCGAAGTTGATGAGACTCATGCTTACTGCCAGCTTGCTCCAGGCCACTTTCAGCCACCAGCACCATGGCCTTCTGCCTCCTTAGTCTCTGTACCTTCCCTGGGATTTCCCCCAGGCTTGACTCTTCTCCCAACTCCTCTGTGCATGGCCTGAACTTGCCCTTGCAACCTGGCATGGATCAAGCTGGCTTCCTAGTTTCTGCCCCCCAGCTCCATTCACCCTTGGGTACTGGCCTCGCTTCATCACCTCTTTCTGTTATCTACACCCTTTGCCACATCACTTTGCAGTGCCCTGTCAATGTGACTCTGGGCTGGCCATGAGACCTGTGTTGACCAACAGAACCAGGCTGAAGTGACAGTGCACCAGTTCCAGAGGCCCTGAGTGTCTCTATACCATCTTGTGCATTTCTGCCATCTCTAAGATAAGGACGAAATCAGCAGGTCCTAGGATGAGGGTAAAATATGTGGAGCAGAGTTGCCTCAGCCAAGCCTCCAACCTCCAGCAGCACTCCAGCCCTCCCACAAACTCATGAAAAATAAGACATTATTGTTTTTTTTCAGCCATTGAGCTTTGGAGTGTCCATGTATCGGTTAGCTATTGCTGCGTATTTGTTGCACAGCAATAGCTAACTGATACATGGACACAAAGCAGCAGCCCCTGGCCCCCACCCCTGTTCAGTGACTGCTGTACTCACACACAGAGTAGAAAATGCTTGCACAAGTGGGATCAAGCATTTTCCCACTTTCATAACCATGCCCCATGGCGTTGCCACTGATATTGCCCTGCCTAGCACTGGAAAGAGGAGGTAGTGAGGGCAAATGGAACCTCTTTTGCTCAGTCCAGGGAGCAATAGGCAGCTGTCACCCACAAACGACATGGCTCCCACAATCTACTTCCCAGATCATAGTCCTGCCTAGCTGGGACTGGAGGTAGGATACAAGTTAGAGGTGTATTCCAGCCCCAGGGTGCTGGGTGAGGCCTGGGGATGTGTCCCTGCCCACAAGATAGAACTGGAATCTTCACGTCCACCAGATTCTGGGCCTCTCTCCTATGTCACAGATGGGAATTCTTTCCACATTATTCCCAGTGGGTCTTCTCACTCTTTTCCAGGCTCCTTGGAGGTCACTGCCCTGATGACAACATGGTCTTCCCTTCAAGGAAGCCACGTTTCTAAGAGGGCTCTGGCATATGCATTGGTGAGTTGAAGCTTGACAGTGTTATAGCTTCTCTGCTGTTAGTGTGAGGTTTGAGGATTTTACTTTAACCACATGGATTAGTCAGAGAAACAGAATGAACAAGATACAGATGGCGCTGTAGACATAGCTATAGACCTGGAAGAGGGGCTTTATAATGGAGATTGGCCTGAGTGATTAGGAGCCTAAGAAGTCCCACAGTATGTCATCTGCAGGTTGAAGAGCCACGGAAGCTGATGGTATCATTCAGTTTGAGCCTGAAGTTCTGAGAACCAGGAGCTTCAACGTCCCAGGGCAGGAGAAGGTGGATGTCCCAGGTCCAGAAGAGAGTGAATTTGCTTTTCCTCTGTCTTTTTGTTCTATTTGGGCCCTCAGTGGATTGAATGTTGCCCACCTACATTGGTGAGGGCAGATGTTTTTTACTCGGTCTACTGATTCGAGTACCAATCTCTTTGAAAACACCCTCCCAGATGCACCCAGAAATAATGTTGCACCTGCTATCTGGGTATCCCTTAACCCAGTCAAGCTGACAGCTAAAAGTAACCATCACACCACACTTTCACAAACACCTGGGTGCTTGCGGACTCACCTTTTACAATGGTTTTACCAGCCTCCTCCACAAGCACAGGCAAAGTCAGTTTCAAGGACAGGAGCCCCCCATTGTTGCTCGGTGTACTGGCGATCTAAACAAACACGTGCATTATAGGGGGTTTCTGTCATTTTTTAGCCACCTCGCTTTCATCCCTGGTCCTCATGACCCCTTGATTTCTTTCTGAGGAATTCCCTCCCTCCCACTGTGAGAACAGAGGGGCCAGGCCCTCCGTCTGTCTCCCAGCTCTAGGAGAGCCAGGGGTTGAGCCCCAGGCCAGAGCTCAGCCAATCAGAGGCTGTCCTGTGAGCAAGTGATACCGGGACTGATGGGATGGCTGGAGTGTGTGTTGCACAGATGCAACAGCAGCACACTGACCAGACCATGCCCCTGTGAGAGCCGGGGTGGGGCTCCACTGCTCCCTAGGGCTCCCAGGAGCTCTGCCTGCCCTCAGCTTCCTGTCCAGGCTCTCTGAACCCCCTCTTATTATTTTGTTTAATTTTTAATTTTTTTTAGATGAAGTCTCCCTTTGTTGCCCAAGCTGGAGTGCAACAGTGTGATCTCGGTTCACTGCAACCTCCGCCTCCTGGATTCAAGTGGTTCTCCTGCCTCAGCCTCCCAGGTAGCTGGGATCACAGGCATGCACCACCACGCCCGGCTAATTTTTGTATTTTTGGTAGAGACGGGGTTTCACCATGTTGGCCAGGCTGGTCTCGAACTACTGACCTTAGGTGATCCCCCTGCCTTGGCCTCCCAAAGTGCTGGGATTACAGGCGTGAGCCACCACACCTTGCTGCACCCTCTCTTGTTGATCCTTCTTGCTTGGTTAGGCAGAGACAGCCTCCAATTCTTGCAGCTACAAGGCCCGCACATGAAGGACAAAATGTTTTGGTTAATAATGTCTTCATGTGTGTAAGTCCTGTTTTTGTTTTCCAGTTGAATTGAGAGTTCCTTTTGGGCAGGAACTCTTTTTTCCCTTTGTCCTGGGTCCGGTACTTGGCATGCAGTAGATTCTAGGGCAGAGCTGGAGGCAGGGGGAGGCTGCCTAGAGCCAGAGGGCTTGTGTGTGAGGTCCGCCCCTGCACTCACTCACTGGGGGACCTTGGCTGAGTCCCGCGGCATTTTCAGTCTAGACATTGCATCAATTAAACAGGTGTGATGCTTATAATGATCACCCTCCTTCTTGGCCTCAGGGCCTCTGTGAGGTTTTAATGAATGAAGGCTGAAGAAACTCCACAGAGATGGTGACTTTCCCCCAGCACAGCTCTTGCCCTCAAGGAAGAGACACTCGACCAAACAGGCAACTGGAAACAGGATGGCTTCGTGGGCGTGTGTGACTTACACAGGGCTGTGCACTCAGAAGAATCCCGTGACTGACTTAGGCTCTGCAGCTGCCATCTTGAAATTCTTAATAACTTTTGAATGGTGTTGGGGGTGGGGTTGGAGGGGATGGTCCACACTTTCATTTTGCACTGGGCACTACAAATTATGTGACCGGCTCTGATTAAAATGCTACAAGAACTAACATGAAACTGGACACAGAAACCAGACCCCAGAGCACATACCGTATGAGTCCATTGGTATGAAGTTTAAAAACAGATGGCACTAGTCCAAAGGATTGGAAGTTGGAATAGTGGTTACCAGGACTGGGGGGAGGAAGGGATGGTGGATGGTGAACAAAAGGACCTTGGAGGGCTCCTGGGGTTCTAGGAATCAATCTTCCTTCTTTCCTTCCTTCCTTCCTTCCTCTTTCTCTCTTTCTTTCTGTTTTTATTTCAATAGGTTTTTAAGGAACAGGTGGTGTTGGTTACATGAATAAGTTCTTTAGCAGTGATTTCTGATATTTTGGTGCACCCATTACCCGAATAAAAATCTTCTCTCTTTCTTCCTCTCTCCTTCCTTCCTTCCTTCCTTCCTTCCTTCCTTCCTTCCTTCCTTCCTTCCTACCTTCTTTCCTTCAACAGAATCTTATTCTGTTGCCCAGGCTGGAGTGCAGTGGTACAATTATAGCTTTTTGCAGCCTCAACCTCCTGGGCTCAAGTGATCTTCCTGCCCCAGCCTCCTGAGTAGCCAGGACTACAGGAATGTGCCAACATGCCTGGCTAATTTTAAAAAATTTTTTATAGAGAAGAGGTCTCACTATGTTGCCCAGACTAGACTTGAACTCCTTCCCTCAAGTGATCTTTCTGCATCAGTCTTCCAAAGTGCTGGGATTGCAGGCATGAGCCACCTCACCCAGCCTTAGAAATGTTCTGTTTCTTGACCTGAGAGCTGGATATACAGGATTGCTCACTTTGTGAAAATTCGCTAAGGATTTGTGCACTTTTCTGCATATGTGTTAAACTGCAGTACAAGGTTAAAAGAAAATGTGTGAAACGACCTATACATTGCAAAGGAAAGGCCAGGGTGTTGAGCTTGACCCACCTTGGGGATGCTCAGAGAAGGCTTCCCTGGAGAGGGGTCTGGGTCAGGTCCTGAAGGAGGAGCAAGGGATGGGGGTTGGGAAGTTTTGTGGCTCCCTACCAAGGGATGACGTGCCTGTCTGGCAGGAGCTAGGCTCATGCATGGCTCGGGAGAGCACCTGCTTGTACTGAGTCTGGCTCTGCCTGGGAGCTTGAGGATGCGAATGAATTGGAGACACAAAGACCAGCTTGTGGGGGCCGTGGACTCCACTCTCTGGGCTCGAGACTCCAGCTGCAGTGTGGAGGACAGCCTGGGGTGGGAGATGGGAGGCAGGGAGACCCTGCAGAGGCTACTGGACTTCCCAGGTGAGCAGTGATGGTGTCTTGGGCTGGGGGAGTGTAGACAGGAGAATGGATTCTGGAGACTTTATTCCAGTGGTAGCTGTGGTGGTCTTCACATAGGATCACAAATTCCTTGGCATTTGTCCCATCAAGAGATGAAGTCTAATTTCATCCCTCTTTTTTTTTTTTTTTTTTCTGAAATGGAGTCTTGCTGTCTTGCTCAGGCTGGAGTGCAGTGGTGCAATCTCGGCTCACTGCAACCTCTGCCTCCCAGGTTCAAGTGATTCTTCTCCCTCAGCCTCCTGAGTAGCTGGGATTACAGGCACATGCCACCACACCCGGCTAATCTTTTATTTTAGTAGACACGGGGTTTCACCATATTGGCCAGGCTGGTTTTGAACTCCTGACCTCAGGTGATCCACCTGTCTCGGCCTCCCAAAGTACTGGGATTACAAGCATGAGCCACTGCACCCGGCTTTTTTTTTTTTTTTTTTTTTTTTTTGAGACAGAGTCTCACTCTGTCGCCCAGGCTAGAGTGCTGGAGTGCAATGGCGTGATCTCAGCTCACTGCAACCTCCACCTCCTGGGTTCAACCAATTCTCATGCCTCAGCCTCCCCAGTAGCTGGGATTACAGACGCCTGCCATCATGCCCAGCTAATTTTTGTATTTTTAGTAGAGATGGGGTTTTGTTATGTTGGTCAGGCTGGTCTCAAACTCCTGACCTCAAGTGATCTGCCCACCTCGGCCTCCCAAAATGCTGGGATTAGGCGTGACCTACGGTGCCCGGCCTAATTCCATCCCTCTTGAATGTGAGCTGGCCTTAGTGACTTGCTTCTGATGAGTAGAATGTGGCTGAAGGGATACTACACGACACTCCAGGCTAGATTAGAAAAGGCCATGCCACTTCTGTCTGGCTCCCTTGGAACTCAACAGGCGTGCTGCAAAGAAGCCCAGGCTATAAGGCAAGGCCACATACAGGTGATCTGGTTGACTGCCCTACTGAGATCCCAGGTGACAGTTAATCTCAAGTCCAGATATGTGCAAGCAGAAGTTTTCAAGATGACCGCAGCTGCATGAGCCTCTGAATGAGAGCTGCCCGGCTGCCTGGCTGGGAGCGGTGATTTTTGCCACTGAGTTTGGCTGGTTTGCTAGCAGCAAGAAAACAGCAGCCTAGGCTGTTTCGAGGAATCACTAGAGAAGCTTAAAAACTTCCCACCGCCCAGGTCACGCCCAAGCATTATTTTTCGGAGCTCCCAACATGCATCCAAGGCTGAGAAGGAGTGCAGGAGGCCAACCCTGAGGCCCCTGAGCCTCAGTGGAGACAGCAGTCTGGGCCGATGTCACGAAACGCCCCTTTCCTTTCCACCACCTCCCTTCACTCAGCTCTCTTTTGTCTCCGCCCACTTGTTTCCATCTTCAGTTCCTGGTAGATGAAAGGGATCCATTTAAGTGGCAGGGACTTTGAAATCAGTGTGTCAGTCCCTGATGCTTGTTTATTTTCAAAGCAACATAGGAGAATGGATGTGGAGGGGAAGCGGGGAGGCTCTCAAGGGCAGTAGTGGGAATAGGATTGCCAGATAAAATACAAGAGGCTGTATTAAATTTGAATTTCAGATAAACCATGAATTTTCTTTTCGGTAGAAGGGTGCTCCAAATATTACATGGACATACTTATACTAAAAGATTACTTGTTGTTTATCTGAAATTCAAATTTAATCGAATGACCTATATTTGTATTTGCTAAACCTGGCAACTCTAAGTGTGAAGCCAGGTCAAGGTGACACCCAGAACTCATTTAGGGACATTTGCAGACTCCCAAGTTCCTTCACCAGCAAAGTAGGAAACCTCTCAGGAATCCTCAGGCTCTTCCTCTTATTTAGAGAAAGTGAGGCTCCAAGACAGGAAGTAACACATTCAAAACAGGCAATTCTTGGTTTGCACATTATCATGGTCACTAAACACATGTATACTGAAACCGTGTTCTTGCTTTGCTGCTATGAATATTTGCATAGAGGTTTTTGTATTGACACAAATTTTCAACTCAGTTGGGTAATGCCTGGGATTGTGATTGCTGGGTTGTATAAGTCTATGTTTGACTTTGTAAGAAACTGCCAAACTGTCTTCCAGAATGGCTGTACCATTTTATCTTCCCACCAGGAATGAAAGAGAGTTTCAATTTCTCTACATCCTTGCCAACATTTATTTTCCATTAATTAAAAAAAAATTTAAGGCTGGGTGCGGTGACTCATGCCTGTAATCCCAGCACTTTGGGAGATTGAGGTGGGCAGATTACTTGAGGTCAGGAGTTGGAGACCAGCCTGGCCAACATGGTGAAACCCCATCTCTACTAAAAATACAAAAATTAGCGGGGTGTGGTGGCAGGTGCCTGTAATCCCAGCTACTTGGGAGGCTGAGGCAGGAGAATGGCTTGAACCCAGGAGGTGGAGGTTGCAGTGAGCTGAGATAGTGCCACTGCACTCCATCCTGGGCCACAGAGTGAGACTCCATCTCAAAAAATTAAAGAAATAAAATAAAAAAATAAAAAATAATAGCTATCCTAGCAGCTGTGAGATGGTCTGTCATTGTGATTCAGATTTGCATTTCCCTAATAATTAGTGATATTGAGCATCTTTTCATGTGCCTATTGGCCATTTGTATATCTTCTTTGGAGAAATAGCTATGCAAGTTCTTTGCTCATTTTGGGGTTTTCCATGAAACTCCTACAACTCAATGACAACAAAAAAACAGTGCAATATATATATGCTTGATATTAAACCCTTATATATAAGATACAAGATTTGCAAGTGTTTCTTCTCGTTCTGTGTGTTATCTTTTCACTCTCTTGACAGTGTCTCTTTTTTTTTTTTTTTTTGAGACTGAGTTTTGCTCTGTCTCCCAGGGTGGAGTGCAGTGGTGTGATCTCAGCTCACTGCAACCTCTGCCTCCAGGGTTCAAGTGACTATCCTGCCTCAGCCTCCCAAGTAGCTGGTACTACAGGTGCCACCCAACACCAGGCTAATTTTTTGTATTTTTAGTAGAGATGGGGTTTCACCATGTTGGCCAGGCTGGTCTTGAACTCCTGACCTCAAGTGATCTGCCCACCTCATCCTCCCAAAGTGCTGGGATTACACGCATGAACCAATGAGCCCGGTTGATAGTGTCCTTTGATGCATAAAAGTTTTTAATTTTGATGACATCCAATTTACAGTTTTTTTCTTTTGCTACCTGTGCTTTTGGTGGCCTATTTGAGAAACCATTGCCAAATCTAAGATCATGATTGCCCCTATGGTTTCTTCTGTGTTTGACTTTAGGTCTTACGTTCAGGTCTTTGATCAATCTTGAGTTAATTTTTATTCATAGTGTAAGGCAAGGGTTCAACTTCATTCTTTTGCATGTGGATATCCAGCTTCCTTGGCACCATTTGTGTTTTTTTTTTCCTTTTCCATATATATTCTTCTTATGTAAGGCACCATTTATTAAAGAGACTGTCCTTTTCTTATTGAATGGTCTTGAAATTCTCGTCAAAAATCAGTACGCGAGAGGGTTTATTTTCTGGGCTCTTTATTCTAGCCTATTGGACTATATGACTATCTGAGACCACAATGTTTTTTGTTTTTTTTGTTTTTTGAGACAAAGTCTTGCTCTGTCATCCAGGCTGGAGTGCAGTGGTGCGATCTCGGCTCACTGCAACCTCTGCCTCCTGCATTCAAGTGATTCTCGTGCCTCAGCCTCCCAAGTAGTAGACAGGAATACTACTAACTGCCACCATGCCTGTCTTTTTTTTTTTTTTTTCTGTAGTTTTAGTACAGACAGGGTTTCACCATGTTGGCCAGGCTGGCCTCGAATTCCTGACCTCAAGTGATCTACCTGCCTTGGCTTCCCAATGTGTTGGGATTACAGGCATGAGCCATCTGCCTGGCTTCATAGTATTTTGATTACTGTAGCTTTGTAGTAAGTTTTGAAATCAGGAAGTATGAGACCTCCAACTTTGTTCTTCTTTTTCGGTTATTTTGGTTATTTGGGGTCTCTTGAAATTCCATACAAATTTTAGGACCAGTTTGCCTACTTCTGCAAAAAAAATGCCATTGGGATTGGATAGGAATTGCACTGAATCTGTGGATGGCTTTGGAGAACATTGTTGTATTAGTCTGCTTGAACTGCTATAACAAAATACCATGACAGGTGGCTTAAACAATAGAAATTTATATTCCTCACAGCTCTGGAAACTAAGGATCCATGATGAAGGTGTTGGAAAAGCCAGTTTCTCATGAAGTTTCTCTTCCTGGCTTGTCCATGACCACCTTCTTACTATGTCCTTGGATGGTCTTTCCTTGCATGCAGAGCAAGAGAAAGCTCTCTGGTATCTCTGCCAGGATAGGGACACTAATCCTATTGAACCAAGGCCCCACCTTCATTTAACATTAATTACTTCCATAAAGGCCCTATCTTCAGAAACAGTCCCATTGGTGGTTAGGGCACTGACATATGCATTTTGGAAGAACACTAACATTCAGCCCATAACAATTGTCATCTTAACAATATTGTCTTCCAATCCATGAAGGCAAGATGTTCTTCTGTATATTTCTGTTTAATTTCTTTCAGCAGTGTTTTGTAGTTTTCGATGTACAAACTTGCTCCTCCTTGGTTAATTTTTTTACTAAATATTTTATTCTTGATGTTACTGTACATGGAATTGTTTTCTCAATTTTCTTTTCAGATTGTTGTTTCCTACTACTTAGAAATATATATCCTACTATATAGAAACTGATTCTTGTGTGTTGATTTTGTATCCTGCAGCTTTGCTGAATTTATTAGCTCTAACAGTTGTGTGTGTGTGTGTGTGTGTGTGTGTGTGTGTGTGTTGGGTGGGTATTCATTAGGATTTTCTACATATAAGATTATATCATCTACCAAGAGAGATAATATTACTTCTTCTTTTCTAACTTGGCTGCCTTTCATTTCTTTATCTTGCCTAGTTGCTGTGACTAGAACTCTTAGTACTACGCTAAATAGTAGTGGTAAAAGTGGGCATCCTTGTCTTGTTCCCAATTTAGAGGAAAAAAATCTTCAGTCTCTCATTATTATGTTAGTTATGGGCTTTTCTTATATGGTCCTAATAACGTTGAAGAGGTTCGTTTCTATTCCTACTTTACTAAGTGTTTTATCTTGATGTTGGATATTGTCAAATGCTTTTTCGGCATCATTTGAGATGATGATTATGATGATGATGATGATTATTATTATTATTTGAGACACAGTCTTGGTCTGTCACCCAGGCTGGAGTGCAGTGGTGTGATCTCAGCTTACTGCAACCTCCGCCTCCCGGGCTCAAGTGACTCTCCTGCCTCAGCCTCCCAAGTAACTGGGATTACAGGTGTCTGCCACCGCACCCGGCTAATTTTTGTATTTTTAGTAGAGATGGGGTTTCACCATAATGGCCAGGCTTGTCTTGAACTCCTGACCTCAGGTGATTCACCTGCCTCGGCCTCCCAAAGTGCTGGGATTACAGGCGTGAGCCACCGTGCCAGGCCCATTTGAGATTATTATGTGGTTTTCCCCCCTTCATTCCTTTTTTTTTTTTTTTAGACTGAGTTTCCCTCTTGTTGCCCGGGCTGGAGTGCAGTGGCACGATCTTGGTTCACTGCAACCTCTGCCTCCCGGGTTCAAGCAATTCTCCTGCCTCAGCCTCCTGAGTAGCTGGGATTGCAGGTGCCCATCACCACATCCAGCTAATTTTTTGTATTTTTAGTAGAGACAGAATTTCACCATGTTGGCCAGGCTGGTCTCGAACTCCTGACCTCAGGTGATCCACCCGCCTCAGCCTCCCAAAGTGCTGGGATTACAGGTGTGAGCCACCACACCCGGACTACATCGATTTATTTTTATATGGTGAATCACCATTGTGTCTCTGGAATAAATTCCACTTGTTCATGGTATATAATCTTACAAATACGCTGCCAAATTCGTTAGTATTTTGTTGAGAATTTTTGTGTTTATGTTCATAAGGAGCAGTGGTCTGCAGTTTTCTTTTCTCTCAGTGTCTTTGTCTTGCTGGCCTCATAGAATGTGTTCTTTCCTCTTCAATCTTTAGAAGAGTTTGAGAAGGATTTGTGTTACTTCTTTAAATGTTTAGTAGAATTCATCTTGAAACAATCTGTTCCTGCGCTTTTTTGTTGGAAACTTTTTGATTACTGATTCAATATCCTTACTTGTTATAGATCCAATCAGATTTTCTATTTCTTCTTGAGTTAGTTTTGGTAGTTTGTGTTTTTCTAAAAATTTGTACATTTCATCTAAGGTTTTCTGATTTTTTGGAGTACAATTGTTTATAGTATTATCCAATTTATTTCTGCAAAACAGTACTGTCTCACTTTCATTTCTGATTTTAGTAATTTGACTCTTTTCTCTTTTTTTCTTAGTCAATTTTGTTGATCTTTAAAAACATCAACTTTTCACTGGGTGTGGTGGCTCACTCCTGTAATCCTAGCACTTTTGGAGGCTGAGGTGGGTGGATTGCCTGAGCCCAGGAGTTCAAGATCAGCTTGGGCAACACGGTGAAACCCTATCTCTACTAAAATACAAAAAAATTAGCCAGGCATGATGGCGTGTACCTGTAATCCCAGCTACTCAGGAGGCCGAGGCAGGAGCATTGCTAGAACCCGGGAGGCGGAGGTTGCAGTGAGCCGAGACTGTGCTACTGCACTCCAGCCTGGGCAACAGAGTGAGACTCGATCTCTTTAAAAAAAAAAAATCAACTTTTATTTTCATTGATTTCCTCTATCATTTTTCTGTTTTCTGTTTTGTTTTTCTCCACTCTAATCTTTGTTATTCCTTCTTTCTTTTTCTTTTCTTCCCTTTTTTTTTTTTTGAGATGAAGTCTTGCTCTGTCACCCAGGCTGGAGTGCAGTGGTGCCATCTCGGCTCAGTGCAACCTCTGCCTCCCAGGTTCCAGTGATTCTCCTGCCTCAGCCTCCCAAGTAGCTGGGATTACAGGTGCCTGCCACCACGCCCGGCTAATTTTTGTATTATTAGAAGAGACGGGGTTTCACCATGTTGGCCAGGCTGGTCTTGAACTTCTGACCTTAGGTGATCCACCTGCCTTGGCCTCACAAATTGCTAGGATTACAGGCATCAGCCACCATGCCTGGCCTTATTCCATCTTTCTGCTAGCTTTGGTTTTAGTTTACTCTTCTTTTTCTAGTTACCTAAGCCACATAGTTAGGTTATTGATATGTTAGTTTGCTAGGGCCATGATAACACTTTATCACGAAGTGAGTAGCTTAAACAATAGAAATTTATTTTCTCACAATTCTGGAGGCTGGAAGTCCAAGATCAAGGTGTCAGCAGGGTTGATATTTTCTCAGGCCTCACCCCTTGGCTTGCAGATGCTGCCTTCTCACTACAATCCCACGTGGTTTTTCTTATGTGTACACACATGCTACTGTTCAGATCTCTTCTTCTCTGTTATGACATGAGGTCTTGCTCTGTAGCCCAGGCTGTAGTGCAGTGGTGAGCTCATAGCTCACTGCAGCTTCGACCTCTTGGGCTCAAGCAATCCTCCTGCCTTAGCCTCCCAAGTCGCTGTGACTACAGGCATGTGCCACCAAACCTGGCTTATTTTTTTTTAATTTTATTTATTTATTTATTTATTTTTAGAGACCAGGTCTCACTATGTTGCTCAGGATAGTCTTGAATCCTGGGCTCAAGTGATCCACCTGCTTTGGCTTCCCAGGGATTGGTAGCATAAGTGCTGGGATTACAGGCATAAGCCAACATGCCCATATTATTTTCTTACTTTCCATCCTTTCGAATCTTTTGATCCAAAGTAAGTCTCTTGCAGACAGCATATAAATTAATAATTTTTAGAAATCCATTCTATCAATCTCTGCCCTTTAATTAGACAGTTTAGTCCATTTACATTTAAAGTAATTACCAATAAAGGATTTAATTCTGCCATTTATTTAATAGCTATTTGCTTTTCTGTACATTTTTTAAATTTTGTTCCTCAATTCCTCCACTACTACATTTTTTTGGTATTTAATAGATTTTAGTGTATCATTTTGATTCCTTTTTTCTTTCCCTGTCTGTATATTTTTTAGTTATTTTCTTAGCGGTTGCCTTGGGGATCACAATTAGCATCTTAAATTTATAACACCCTAATTTGAATAATACTAACTTAGTTTTAAGAGTATACAAATACTTTGCTCCTATACATCTCTTTCCCTCCCTCTTTATATTATTATTGTCCCAGATCATATCTTTATACATTCTGTGCCCATTAACATAGATTTATAATTATTGTTTCATGCATTTGCCCTTTAAATGATAGGTGAAAAACAAAGTATTATGAACAAAACCTACAATAATACTGGCTTTTATATTTACTGATGTATGTAGTTACTATTTTTATCAGTGTTCTTTTTTTTTCTCATCATGGCTTTGAATTACTATCAAGTTTCCTTTCATTTCAGCCTGATGGATTCATTTTAGCAGCTCTTGTAGAGCAGGGCTACTAGCAATGAGCTTTCTCTGCGTTTATTTATCTGAAAATGTCTTAATTTCTCCTTTATTCCTGAAGGATAGTTTGTCTGGTAGGAAATTCTTGGTTGACAGTCTTTTTTTTTTTTTTCCCCAGGACTTTAACTGTGTTATTCCACTGCCTCTGGGCCTCTGGTTCCTTTTCTTTTCTTTTCTTTTCTTTTCTCTTTTCTTTTTTTTTGAGATGGAGTCTCACACTGTCATCCAGGCTGGAGTGAAATGGTGCCGTCTTGGCTCACTGCAACCTCTGCCTTCCAGGTTCAAGCAATTCTCCTGCCTCAGTCTCCCAAGTAGCTGGGACTACAGGCACCCGCCACCACGCCTGGCTAGTTTTTTGTATTTTTAGTAGAGACAGGGTTTCACTATGTTGACCAGGCTGGTCTAGAATGCCTGACCTCATGATCCACCTGCCTTGGCCTCCCAAAGTGCTGGGATTATAGGCGTGAGCCACTGTGCCCGGCACTTAAAAAAAATTTTTTTTTGAGATGGAGTTTTGCTTTTTTAGAGTTTTGCTCTTGTGCCCAGGCTGGAGTGCAGTGGTGCAATCTTGGCTCACTGAAACCTCCACTTCCCAGGTTCAAGCAATTCTCCAGCCTCAGCCTCCCAAGTAGATAGGATTACAGGTGCCCACCACCGCATCTGGCTAATTTTTGTATTTTTAGTAGAATGGGGTTTCGCCATATTGGTCAGGCTGGTCTCGAACTCCTGACCTCAGGCGATCTGCCCACCTCGGCCTCCCAAAGTGCTGGAATTACAGGCCTGAGCCACTGCACCCAGCCCCTCTATGGTTTCTGATGAAAGCTTAGCTATTAATGTTACTGAGGACTCCTTGTACCTTACAAGTTGTTCCTCTCTTGCTGCTTTCAAGATTCTCTTTTTGTTTCTGATTTTTGACAATCTGGCTGTGAGTTTCAGTATGAATCTCTGAGTTTCTCGCGCTTGTAATTTGTTAAGCTTCTTGGACGTGTATGTTCATATCCTTCATCAAATTTGGGAAGTTTTCAGCCATTATTTCTTCAAATTTCTTTTTCTGTCCCTTCCTGTTCCTCTTCTCCTTCAGGAACTTCTACTATGCATATGTTGATATATGCTTGATGGCATCACATGGATCTATCAGGCTCTGTTCATTTTTCCTTTTCTTTTTTTTGAGATAGAGTCTCACTCTATTGCCCAGGCTGGAGTGCAGTGGCATGATCTTGGCTCACTGCAACCTCCTCCTTCTTGATTCAAGTGATTCTCTGGCCTCAGCCTCCCCAGCAGCTAGGGTTACAGGTGCGCGTCACAATGCCTGGCTAATTTTTGTATTTTAGTAGAGATGGGGTTTCACCATGTTGGCCAGGCTGATCTCAAACTCCTGAATTCAAGTGATCCACCCTCCTCGGCCTCCCAAAGTGCTGGGATTACAGGCATGAGCCACCATGGCCAGCCTATTTTTCGTTATTTATTTTTCTCTCTTTACAACTGGACAATTTCAATTGCCTTATCTTCAAGTTCACTGGTTCTTTCTTCTTCCTGATTCTTCAGATCAGCTTTTTGATCTCTCTAGTGAATTTCTAAGTTCAAGCTATTGTACTTTTCGGCTCCAGGATTTCTATTTTGTTCCTTTTTATAAGATTAAACTATCTCTTCATTGGCCTTCCCTATTTGTTCATATATTATTTTGGTTTCCTTTAGCTCATTGGGTGTAAGACAGTTGATTTAATGTCTTTGACTAATGTTTCCAATGTAAAGGCTTCCTTGGGGATGGCTTCTATTGAATTCTTTTTTTCCCCCTGTGAATAGGCTATACTTTCCTTTTTCTTTGTATGCTTTGTAATATTTTGTTGAGCACTTGGCATTTTGGGTATTATTGTAGTAACTCTGAAAATCAGATTCTCCTCCTCTTCAGGGATTGCTGATTTTTGCTTGTTGAGGGTTGCAGCCATCTGTTTGTTTAGAGACTTTTCCAAACTATGTTTGCAAAGTGTGTAGTCCTTATTGCATGTGGTTACTGATGTTTTTGTTTCATAATCTTTACAGGCAACCAGTGACCTGGAAATGATATCTGTAAATTTCTGGCTACAAAAAGGTGTTCTTTACTTTCAAATCTCCTGATGGATGCTGCCATAGGAAGCACAAGAGGGCTGAAACCAATACAGGAGTCTGTGCTAATCCCTCAGGACTCAAAAATGCCCCAATTTTTGGAGGACAAGGGTCATCTTGCCCACCTTGCAACCAGCCAGCCATTCCAGGAAAGCTATTCCTGCAGCCTCATGGTAGGGTGAGGGCTGAGAAATGGGGCATGGCAGCTGTTTTGCATCCACCCTGTTGCTGTTCTCTTACCAACAACCAGCAGCCTCTTTTTTCATCAAGAACTCCCCTGGCTGTTTATTCATGTCTCATGAGGTTTGCCTGTCTAATTTTTTGTATCTTTAGTAGAGATGGGGTTTCACCATATTGGCCAGGCTGGTCTCGAAATCCTGACCTCAGGAGATCCATCTGCTTTGGGCTCCCAAAGTTTTGGGATTACAGATGTGAATTATTGTGCCCAGCCAAGGCTGGGTAATTTGTAAAGAAAGGAGGTTTATTTGGCTCGCAGTTCTGTGGGCCATACAAGCATGTGGCACCAACACCTGCTCGGTTTCTGGTGAGGCCTCAGGAAGCTTCCAATCATGGTGGAAGGCAAATGGGGAGCTGCACGTCACATGGCAAGTGGAAGTAAGAGCTAGGGAGCAAGAGAGGAAGGAGGAGGTGCCAGGCTCTTTTAAACAACCAGCTTTCATGTGAACTCATTACTGCAGAAGAGCAGCAAACCATTCATGAGGGATCCGCCCCCAAGACCCAAACACCTCCCACTAGGCCCCACTTCCAACATTAGGGATCACGTTTCAACATGAGATTTTGAGGGAACAATATCCAAACCATGTTAGTGGCCCTCTATTGACTCCAACATCTATGAACAGGGCTGGTGCTTGCCTTGGTCAACTCTTGTCTCCCATTCCCAGTGGGGGGCCTGGCACATGAAGAAGGGATTAACCAATAATAAGTAATAAAGTAATAAGGTAATAAAATAATATTTACTTTTTTTTTTTGAGACAGAGTCTCACTCTGTCACCCAGGCTGGAGTGCAGTGGCACCATCTCGGCTCACTGCAAGCTCTGCCTCCCGGGTTCATGCCATTCTCCTGCCTCAGCCTCCTGAGTAGCTGGGACTACAGGTGACTGCCACCACACCTGGCTAATTTTTTGTGTTTTTAGTAGAGATGGGGTTTCACCATGTTAGCCAGGATGATCTCGATCTCCTGACCTCAGGATCTGCCCACCTCAGCCTCCCAAAGTGCTGGGATTACAGACATGAGCCACTGTGCCTGGCCTACCATTTTTTTTTTTTTCTGAGAGGAGTTTCACTCTTGTTGCCCAGGCTGGGGTGCAATGGCATGATCTCGGCTCACTGCAACCTCCACTTCCAGGGTTCAAGTGATTCTCCTGCCTCAGCCTCCCCAGTAGCTGGGATTACAGGCATGCACCACCACACCTGGCTAATTTTGTATTTTTAGTAGAGGTGGGGTTTATCCATGTTGGTCAGGCTGGTCTTGAACTCCCGACCTGAGGTGATTTGCCTGCCTTGGCCTCCCAAAGTGCTGGGATTACAGGCGTGAGCCACTGCGCCTTGCCAATTTTTTTTTTTTTTTAGACGAAGTGTCATTCTGTTGCCCAGGCAGGAGTGCAGTGGCATGATCTCTGCTCACTGCAACCTCTGCCTCCCAGGTTCAAGCGATTCTCCTACCTCAGCCTCCCGAGTAGCTGGGATTACAGGTGTGTGCCACCACGGCGGCTAATTTTTGTATTTTTAGTAGAGATGGGGTTTCATCATGTTGGCCAGGCTGGTCTCAAACTCCTGACCTCAAATGATCCGCCTGCCTCCACCTCCCAAAGTGCTGGGATTACAGGCATGAGCCACTGCGCCCGGCCAAAGCTGATCATTTGAAAGTGTGATAAGTGCTACAAAGAAAATTTAAAAAGTGAGGTGAGGGCAGATGCCTAGAGGAGAGGGGAGGGGCTTTTGTGGACAGGAGATCAAGAAAGCCCTGTTATTATTTGAACTGAGGCCTGAGTAATGGCAAGGAGGCAACCATGGAAAGATATGGGAGAAATATTGCAGGCAGAGAGATCAGCAGGTGCAAAGGCCCTGAGGCAGGAACTAGTCTGGAGTATCTGAAGAAGAGAGAAATTGTTGTGGTTGGCTTGAGTGGTAGGGGGCTTGGTTGGAGGTGGGGAAGGTGGGTCCGACAATGCTGAATTCTAGTAGGATGTCTGGATTTGATTCTGGTTGCTGTGGGAAGCCATGGAGGGCCCTAGAAGGGAGACTGACATGACCTGATCCCCTTTGAAAAGCTCACCCAGACTGCTGAGTGGATAATAGTTTAGAGGTGTGCGAATTGGATGTCTTTGGCTGCTCATGATAGAAAATTGTCCTGGTCATTTAGAAAATTTACTGGCCTTTTAAACGGGAAGTTCAGAAGTGATGCAGACTCCAGAGCTGGTTGATTCAGCCCTGGATCAAGTTCTGTGATGCTGTCAAGGATTGGGTTCTGTTCTCAGCTCTGCTGACCACAGATCGCACTTCATTCTGAGTACTGGAGTGTCTAGGTGGTCTGGGGGGCTGTCTGATACACATGGGGCTACCTGCTTTGCACTTCCTGGCCAAGGGGATAGACTGATTCCTTATGGGAGCACTTTTGAAGAATGAGGAAGAACCTTCTCAGGAGAGGCGTGGTGGCTCTTGCCTGTAATCCCAGCACTTTAGGAGGCCAAGGCGGGTGGATCACTTGAGGCCAGGAGTTTGAGACCAGCCTGGCCAACATGGTGAAACCCTGTTTCTACTAAAAATACAAAAATTAGCCAGGTGTGGTGGCACGCGCCTGTAGTCCCAGCTACTCAGGAGGCTGAGGCAGGAGAATCGCTTGAACCCAAGAGGCAGAGGGTGCAGTGAGCCAAGATGGCACCATTGCACTCCAGCCTGGGCAACAGAGGAAAAAAAAAAGAACCTTCCCAGAAGCCTCCAGGAAGTCTCTGTTTGGACGACATCGCACACCCATTCTTGAACCAACTATTTAGAAGGGAGATGCATCACCCCCTTTGCCTGGAGCTAGGGGGTGGGTCAGCTTCCTACAGGCACAGGACTATGTGGTCGCGGGTTAAGCCCCTAAACGAGGGGAAGTGGGGTGGGCAGCAGCCGATCTCCATTACAAGGGACAAGAGTAGGGGCAGCAAGGCCAGATCAATGGTTGCTGAGGTGGCTGGGGATGGAGAGAGGATGGTGGTGGTAGAAGAGATGGTAACAATGGTCAGGTCCTGGCTGTTCCAGAGGTGATGATGGTTGGATATGCAGTGAGGAAAAGACAGGAATGAACATTTATCTTTTCCCAAGTTGTCCTTGCTTTCTTCCTTTGAAGCCATAAAAAGGAAAAAAAGGGTGGATCTGGACTTGGGAGCTGGGCAGGAGTGAGGGAAGAGAAGCAGAGCAAGCAGGCACACCAGGCTGTGACTCTGCAGGCATCTCTCTGCCTAGACTTGTCTGTATGATGTGGAACGAACACGACCCATCTTTACTGCTAGCGACTGCAGCAGATAAGGCAAGGCCACTTTCACGCAGTTAGGTTAATAGGAGGCTGTACAAAGGGCTGTAGGAGGAAGTGGGCACAGGAGTTCTAAAATAATTGGAACGGCCAGGTGTGGTAGCTCACACCTGTAATCCTAGCACTTCAGGGAATCCAAGACAGGAGGTTAGCTAAGACAGGAGGCTCGCTTAATGTCAAGACCAGCCTGGGCAACATAGGGAGACCCCGCCTCTACAAAAAATAGAAAAATTAACAGGATGTGTTGGTGCGGGCCAGTGGTCCCAGCTACTCCTGAGGCTGAGGTGGGAAGATCGCTTGAGTCTAGGAGTTTGAGGCTGCAGTGAGAAATGATGGCACTACTGCACTCCAGCCCGGGCGACAGACCAAGACTCAGTCTCTTAAAAAAAAAAAAAAAAAAAAGAAAAGTGGGGGCAAAGTTATCCTTGGAAAATTTCTTAGTCCATTCATAGCAGCATATTAAAATTAGTACAGTAGCTTAATTTATATAAGAGAAAATACAATGTGTACAGTAATTAATGAACATGCAAAATATAATTGTATATTTCAACTCACTAAAAAGGCACAGAAAGAGTTGAATTTGCTAAAATTAAATGTGCTTATGAAACAGCTCTAGTACATGAATTAAGCTCCTAGATACAGATGCAGCGCCAAACGACGGGGAGGGAGATGGGGCACTCAAGGCGACACGCGGCTCTTGTTGCCGAGCGTTTCCTGGGCGTGGAGCTTCTATAGAATGTAAGCTTTTTTTTTTTAAGGTTCCAAAGCCTATATTTAGTGCTTTCATATACGTAATCTCAAAAAAAAAAAAAGAAAGAAATATCGGCATAAAATGTAAGCTTCCAGAGGGATACAAACGCAGCCCAGCGCGGACACCGCCAGCCCCAGCCACGCGGTTCGCATCAAGCGCACTCCCCTGGGGGCGGGGCCTGCGCGAGCTGGGCGTGTCGGGGGCGGGGCCTGCGCGCTTGCTTCCGGCGTGCCGCGAGAGGCGGGGCGTGTGGGGAGGCGCGGCCGCCACGCGACGCCTGGCTGGGCCCGCACCGGAGAGGCGTCTCGGTACCTGGCAGGCGGCCTGCTACTCGGAGCCCGCTGCGGGGCGGCGGCGGCGGGGACATGCACGTGTGAGATGCGGCAGCGGGCGGCGCGGACGCGAACAGCAGCGGCGGCGGCGGGCGCGGCCTCCTGGGCGCGGGGCGCGCGGTGCCTGAGGGCGGGCGCGCGGGCGCTGGGCAACTGCCGGCCGCGCCGCCTGCGCAGGCGCTGGTTCAGGACTCACACGCCGCGCTGAGGCCCGCGGGCCCGTCATGGAGGCGCCCACCGTGGAGACGCCCCCCGACCCCTCGCCCCCTTCGGCCCCGGCCCCTGCCCTGGTTCCGTTGCGCGCCCCGGATGTGGCGCGGCTGCGCGAGGAGCAGGAAAAGGTAACTAGCAGCCCCGCGCCGCTTCCGCCTCCGCCCGCCGGGCTGCCCCTGCCTGTGCTCTGGGCCGCCGCCCCGCGTGGCCTAGGCCCAGCTGCCCGGGCCCCCGGAGGGAACGGGGATAAACTTTTGTCACGTGCTTCTGTTGTCTTTGTCTGCAGCCCTTTGACTTCGCAGCGGAGTGAGGGGTGTGCAGCCCGTTCGCCTGCCCAGGAAAGGGGGCTTCTGAGCTGAAGGCGTGCGGCAGCGCGTGGGAATTTGGGGGCGGGGGCAGCACGCTGTCAACGGAAGCGTTCGCCTTAATATTTGTAGCTTGTAATGACCTAAACATTGCTTAAAATGTGTACTGTTTGTTGCTCTTTGATTGCACGGAAAAGTTTTACCGCGTTTGTCATGATAATGCTTCCTGTGCAATATTTGGTTATTTAATATTTGTCACAATATAATGCCATTTAAACATTAAAAAAAAAAGAGAGTCTCACTATGTTGCCCAGGCTAATCTCGAACTTCTGGCCTCAAGCGATCCTCCCCCTCCTACCCTTCCCCACCTCGCCTCCCAAAGTGTTGGGATTATAGGCCTGAGTCACCGCACCCGGCTCATTTTTACAAATTTTAATTTCATCGTATAATAAATGAGTTTTAAACTACTGGTGAAAAGGGTACAAAGTTTTGTGTTTCCTAGTGGGACTTTATATAAAGAAGTATTCCCAATTTAAGAAATAGTTTTATTGTTAAATCTGATTTTTCTGTGGATTCTGTGGTCTTTCAGATTGATTCTGTCCCCTCAAGTGTCTTGAAATTGTTACTTTGAAAAGCAGTATTTAATTTGCTTAAAATATTTTATGTCATGTTTGGAAGAGCATGGATTATAAAGGGTTAGGAAGTTGCTTCAACACTATAAGCAGTTTAAAAGTTCTTAACTTTTTAATTGAACATTCCTGTATAAGAACGACTGTTTACATAGATACAAAAATATACTCAGTTCTACTAGATGGGGGTTTTGATAGAACTTAAAAAACCCTCGTTTGCTTGGAAACCACCTGTTGGGATGAACTGCGGGAATCTTTCTTTGTTCTGGTTGGTTTAAATTATTTTGTGGGTTGGATTTTCATTTCTCAGCCATTTTTCTCTAATAACGCAACTGTTAGGTTTGGAAGCCATGTTTTCAAGATGAAGGTTTAAAAATCCAGTGGCTAGGGTGGTGACTCAAACCTGTAATCCCAGCTGCTTGGGATGTCAAGGTCGTGGAATTGCTTGAAGCCAAGGAGTTCGAGATCAGCCTGGGCAACACAGGGAGACCTCCGTCTATACAAAAAAATACAAAAAATTAGCCGGGCCATGGTGGTGCACGCTTGTAGTCCCACGTACTTGGGAGGCTGAGGTGAGAGGATCACTTGAGCTCAGGCGTTTGAGGCTGCAGTGGGCCATGGTCATGCAACTGCACTTCACCCTGGGCGACAGAGTGAGACCCTGTCATTCATATATATATATATATATATATATATATATATATATATATATATATATATATAAAACTTAACTAGTTTGGCGTCTTTAAATTAGAAGACATTAATGTATTTTTTTAAAAGAGAAAGATAGAAAAAGAAGAAAGAAAAAACAGCCCCTCATGAAATCTTACTCCTTTTGCCAAAACTTGGCATTTTTTATTCTTTCAGAGAATGTGACACAGACCCTCAGAGGATGGTGTTTCTATTGCCTTTCCTCTGCTGCAGTGGGTTAATTTCACCTCCTTCAGTGTATAATACGTGCATAATGCTGACTTGATATGTTTTCTGCCATTTGGCATATTAAAAAGATATCCTTAGTTTTATTCTGATGTTAGTGTGACTGAAATGCAAAGGATACTTTTTGGGGTGCTCTGAACAGCTTTCTGGTATCGTGTTGAGTTACATTGGAAGAGAGAGTAACTGCTTTTTCAGTTACAGTCTTGTGGCAAACTGAATGACTGTTTTCTGTAGACATTGACTGTGCTACCAAATTATTTTTCTGTGTTGTGTTAATGTTAATTCGGCACACAAAATAACCACGTATATCTGTCATGGGTGTGTAAAATTATCCCCAGTTCAGGAAAAAGCGCGTCAGTATTTAATCTATCTTTATTTAATAGAAGCATTTGCTTCAGTGGACAGGAGACCCACAAGGCCACAAAATAAACTGATTAGATAGCTGCACTGTAATTATAGTGTAGTACAGGAAAACTACCCAGTAAATCGGCAGTGAAAATTTTTTGTGAAGCAATTTATTTAGGCTTTAAAGCTGGCCCAGTTGTGGGAGTACAGTGAGTTCTAGTAAAGTAGAAGCGTAGTGACATCCTGAGTGTAGAAGGGGAAAATGTCATAGTAGCTTCATATGTGGCACTTAGTATTCCTTTATGAAAGATGAATCAAACATGCTTTTAAGCTCTTGGCCTTTCCCTACATGGGTTTTGTGAGACAGAGTTAAACTCTGCAGAAAATGATTTGAATGACTGTTCTCAGTTTTCCCTGAGAGGGTACCTACCTAGTTGGCTGTAGATGCAGAGAGAGAAATGAGTTCCTTACACACAGTGGGTGCCTTAGGCTTAGGGCATAATCTTCTCTGGGAGCCTTGATTGAGAGGGGCTGGTAGGTAATGTGGCTTAAATGTTGCTCATTAGTTTTGCTCTTTCTTTTTTTCCAAATTCAGCTAAGGAGTATAACAAGTTTTACGCTCTCTCTCTCTTTTTTTCTTGTATGTTCTCTGGAACATGGAATAAAAAGGACAAAAAATTGGCAACCTGAGGAAGAGGACAGACAAGGGGCATGAACAAGCCACAACCTCTAAGTGACAATATCTGTAGTCAGCGGTTAGGATCAAATATTTTAACATTGCTTTCACTTACAGTCAATGGTGAAACATTTCCAAAACAATTTATTTTAGTTAGAACTTCGGTTTGTTTCTATTTTGATCTAGCAATAAAACATGTAAGAAACATTCCCTGCAGCTTTGTTTATAAAGAGAAAAACTAAAAGTCTGACATTGGGGGATTGGTTAAATAAATCAGGAGCTGTTACGTAGGCATTGAAAACTAGGACAGTATGTATAGGGTGGTTCCAGTTACGTTTATATAAATATTTACACATTTTACATAGGAAAACACCATTGTTTTAAAAGTACACAATTTTATTATTTTACCTAAAAGTTTGTAAAATTGGATGGGATTTTTTTTTTTCCAAAAAAAGCTATTGATAAAACTTATTTTAATTTTAACGAAAATTGGAATGTTACTTTAATTGCAAAACACTTTCTGAGCCTGAAAAATGGCTCTTGGCTGGTTTGAATGCCGGTTAGGCAGGTTTATTTCTTGGTTACTTCAGAGCTGATATATATAATTTATTCAAACAACCATCTTCCAGTTGATTTCCTTCCCCCCCCCAAAGGTTTTATTTAATCTTCATTTGTTATAAGATACAGGGAGAGGAGAGAAATTCAGATCATCCTTTTTTTGTCTTTAACTAAATCTGTTTTTACTAACAGCAGTAAAATATTTGTTGGAAAAATGGAAGCTTAACCTGTCTAGACTGTGACCTATACCATAAAATGTGTGGTCTAGGACTGTTGTGGAGTGTCTTGGGCTGTTCAGGGAGGTTTCCTTGTACTAAGATCTTGTTAAATCTGATTCTAAGAATTGCATTATGTTGAAATTTTTGTTTCTTGGCTAAGGTGATGTTTCTGAGATACCTGTATTTTATCTCTAGATACTATTAGCTTTTATTAGCAGAACTACTGAGATTTTATTGTAATATTTTAAAAAGTGGTGGATCCAGTATCGTTTTTATAGGCTTATTTGCAGGATAATAGTAAGATTAGAAAATTCATTAGGATAATATATTTATAATTGAGTGCCTCATGTAGTTCTCACTTGGAATTTTGGAATAGCTTATACTTCCTGATATAGATCCTTGGGGAATTAAATGCATTAAGAGTAAATATTTTAAATTTTTTATAAAGCAGAACAGCTAATTTAACTTAATGGAGGGTTTTCATATTTCTTGTGATAAACTAAACTGCACATAGTTTAAAGAACTGTCAGCCACGTAGGCCATATAACAGCTATTCTTTCCAAGCCTAGAATCCATGCCATAGAATTTATGTAACAAATATTTAATGAGTATCTACTACATGCCAGGCATGTTCTGCTGAGTGTGCAGTAATGAACAAAATACAGCAAGTTCTTTCTTTCATGGTTACACTCTAGGGGTGAAGGCATGCAGTTACATAGCCTTACCTTGGGTGTTTGGTAGGTAAGGCTAAGTAGAAAAACAGGAAGGTAAGAGGCGTGTAGAGAATGAGGGATGTGAGTGGAGGGATGGTGTCTTCTGTAAGCCATCAGAGAGGGCTTCTCTGTTAGGTTCCATTTGAGCAGAAACTTGAAATAAGTGGGGAGTGAGCTGTGTGGATATATGGAGGATATTTTAGAGAAGAGCTTTCTAGCCAGTATGAGAGCAGTACCAGATCATTGTAAGAGTTTTGGTTTTCATATTTGTGAGATGGGAAACGATTGGAATGTGTTTTGAGGCTGATCTTAAATTATATCCATTTGTCATGCATATGTGAAGAAATGGACGGATGGAATTACATTATAGGGAGCAACTCTGTGTGCCACGCATTGTGATAGATGTTTACAGATCCGATCTTAGAATTTTCATTAATACTGTTTATTTTTCAGATGAACAGTTTGTTTCTAGTTTTTGCCTGGAACTTTCTCATGGCGTGTTTGTGTCTTCAGTTCCACTTAGAATGCTTTTTCTAAGGTGGTTATACCAGTTTACCGCTTGCTAGCAGTGGACAGAAGTTCTCCCTGCTTCAGTCTTTACCACCATGTGTCTTTTCATATTTGCTAGCCAATCTAGTGATGAGTAATGAGGTTGATGACCTTTTCAGATGTTTATTGGCTACTTGGATTTTTGTGTTTTGTTTTTGTGAAATACCTGCTCATCTGTTAACTACTTTCTATTGGGATGTTAGTTATATTCTAATTGATTCATAGTAATGACTGCCTTTCCAATTATATATTGTAAGTTTCTTCCCTGGTCTGTGGCTTGACTTGGAGCACTTACAGTGGTGTCTGTCCTTTGATCAACAGACATTTTTAATTTTAACAATTGTTTCCTTCATGGTTAGTGTTTTTTGTCTTATTTTTAAGAGGTCTTTCTTACTACTTTTCTGAAGATATCCTCTTATATTGTCTAATAGAAGCTTTACTGCTTTGCTTTTCACATTGAGAATCTACATTCTACCTGGAATTGGCTTTGTATATGGGGGAGATTGAGGTCAGGTTTCATTTTTACTGTATGGATACCTAGTTGTCCCATCAGCATTTATTGGAAAGAGTGTCATGTCTCCACCGCATTGTCATCTTTGTCATAAATCAGGTGACTGTGTAAGTAGATCAGTTTCTTGACTGTTCTGTTGGCTTGTCTGTTCTTGCAGCAAACCTACACTGTCTAAATCATTATGACTTTGTGTTATCTTGGTACCTGGTACATGGTGGTGTAGTTTTAGTTGTGGTTCCTCAAGATTGCCTTTATTTTCTCCTTTCCAGTCCGTATGCTGTTTCTTTCTTTTTCTTGCTTTTGATACTGGCCAGTTCAAGTGCTGGTAGTGGGCATCAGGGGTCAACTTTTAAACATTTACCATTAAGTGTGGTATTTACTGTGAGTAATTTTTGTATTTGCTTTTATCAGATTAAGGAAATTTCCTTATATTCCAAGTTTGCTATGAGTTTTTATGAGTGGGTGTTGAATTTTAGAAATGCTTTTTCTAAATTGATTTAATTATGGTAATTTATTGAAAAGAGTATATTTGTTCTGTAAGTTCTGTAACTTCAATAAGTAATGTTGAAGTTACTTTTTTTTGCCTTCAAGCATCTGTTTAACAAAGCACATCTTGCACCACCCTTAATCCATTTAACCCTGAGTGGACACAGCACATGTTTCAGAGAGCACGGGGCTGGGGGTAAGGTTATAGATTAACAGCATCCCAAGGCAGAAGAATTTTTCTTAGTACAGAACAAAATGTAGTCTCCTATGTCTACTTCTTTCCACACAGACAGCAACAATCCGATTCCTTTATCTTTTCCCCACATTTCCCCCTTTTCTATTCGACAAAACCGCCATCGTCATCATGGCCTGTTCTCAGTGAGCTGTTGGGTACACCTGCCACACGGGGTGGCGGCCAGGCAGAGGGAGTCCTCACTTCCCAGAAGGGGCGGCCGGGCAGAGGCACCCCCCACCTCCCAGACGGGACCGCGGCCGGGCGGAGGCGCCCCCCACCTCCCGGACGGGGCGGCTGGCCAGGCGGGGGCTGCCCCCCGCCTCCCTCCCGGACGGGGCAGCTGGCCGGGCGGGGGCTGCCCCCCGCCTCCCGGACGGGGCTTCTGCCGGGCGGAGACGCTCCTCACTTCCCAGACGGGGCAGCTGCCGGGCGGAGGGGCTCCTCACCTCCCAGATGGGGCGGCTGTGGGGCAGAGGGGGCTCCTGACTTCCCAGATGGGGCGGCTGCCGGGCGGAGGGGCTCCTCACTTTTCAGACGGGGCGGCCGGGCAGAGACGCTCCTCATCTCCCAGACGGGGTCGTGGCCGGGCAGAGGCGCTCCCCACATCCCAGACGGGGCGGCGGGGCGGAGGTGCTCCCCACATCTCAGACGATGGGCGGCTGGGCAGAGACGCTCCTCACTTCCTAGACGGGATGGCGGCCGGGAAGAGGCGCTCCCCACTTCCCAGACTGGGCAGCCGGGCAGAGGGGCTCCTCACATCCCAGACGATGGGCGGCCAGGCAGAGACACTCCTCACTTCCCAGACGGGGTGGTGGCTGGGCAGAGGCTGCAATCTCGGCACTTTGGGAGGTCAAGGCAGGCGGCTGGGAGGTGGAGGTTGTAGCCAGCCGAGATCACGCCACTGCACTCCAGCCTGGGCAACATTGAGCACTGAGTGAACGAGACTCCGTCTGCAATCCCGGCACGTCGGGGGGCCAAGGCTGGCAGATCACTCGCGGTTAGGAGCTGGAGACCAGCCCGGCCAACACAGCGAAACCCTGTCTCCACCAAAAAAATACGAAAACCACTCAGGCGTGGCGGCGCGCGCCTGCAATCCCAGGCACTCTGCAGGCTGAGGCAGGAGAATCAGGCAGGGAGGTTGCAGTGAGCCGAGATGGCGGCAGTACAGTCCAGCTTCGGCTTGGCATCAGAGGGAGACCATGGAGACAGAGGGAGAGGGAGACTGTGGGGAGACGGGAGGGGGAGGGGGAGGGAGAGGTTACTTATTTTTTAAGAAAGGCACAGTTGTAAGAATATGTTTGCTTGTATAGCCGAAGGCACATTCCGTTTTGTAGGTAGGTGAGTTTTCAGAACTCATTACTTGTAAGTTTTATTTTAGATAAACTTCTTGTTGTTGGCACTTAGTATTGTGCCAGTAATGTGCCATAAGAAGAGACAACTTTGGTTTTAGTTCTTTGGAAGTTGTCAATAAACATAAAACAGTATTTCAAGGAGGAAAAAACCCATTTCATTGTTTTAGGCTTCTCTAGATTGGAAGAAAAGATGGTAATGGTCCCAAAACACTGGGGGGAAAGGGGGAAGAAGGTGCGTGGAATCTGTGATTTGGCCATAACTGCTTTATTTTGTTTTACCTGTTGTTATCATTTTTAGTTTAAGAACCTTTTAGCTTGTATCACTTGCCCTTATCTCCAGAGTGATGTCTCAATCTTTTTAGTCTGTCATATGCAATTTTCCCCCCTTAAACTACAACTGTTTATTTGAAAAATTATAAAAGTACAGGAAAGGTGAAAGAACAATATGATGACCACTGTTTAGAGTAATCAGTTAGCATTTTGTCCTATTTGCTTTTCTCTTTATATATTCCTTTTTTTTCCCTTTTCCCCCTGCAGAACCATTCAAAAGTGAATTGCAGACATCATCACATCAATAATACTGAAGCACTTATCATTTTACATCAAGGTCATTCTTCTACATAACCATATCTTTTTTTACACTCAAGAAATTAACATTGACATGTACCATATTCACATTTTCTCAGTTTTTCTAAAAATGTCCTTTATAACTCTCTTTCAATGCAAGAGCCAATCAGAGATTACTATGGCATTTGACTCTCTTAGCTCCTTAATCTTCTTTCATCTAAAATTATTCCCCGCCACCTTCTGTCTTTATGAAATTGGCATTTTTGAAGCGTTAGATCAGTTTTCTTGTAGAACGTCCCACAATTTGGAGATGTCTAATGAACATAATCATGAAGAAACAAACATTTTTGGCAA
This sequence comes from Homo sapiens, assembly GCF_000001405.40. Classification (NCBI taxonomy): domain Eukaryota; kingdom Metazoa; phylum Chordata; class Mammalia; order Primates; family Hominidae; genus Homo; species Homo sapiens. The sequence goes on from NC_000019.10 coordinate 29,950,971, forward strand.
GAATACTACGTAGATAGCTGGTTGGTGGCACAAGCCTATAGTCCCAGTTACTCCAAAAGCTCCGAAGGCTGAGGCAGGAGGTGGAGTCCAGCCTGGGCAACAAAGTGGTAAGGTCCTGTCTCTAAAAACACACACACACATACACGCGTGATTACATAGATGATGATGACTTTCCATTGCATCACATCAGGAGACACATAATGTCATTTTTGTCCCATTATTAGTGTTGCTAACCACTTGTTTAAGATGTCAAGTCTCTCCATCATAAAGTTACCTTTAAATGGTATAGTACTTGAAGACAGTGTAAATATCCTATTCCTCAAAAGCCTTTTGCCATGGATGATCCTTGCCTAAATCAGTTATATTGGTGTTTGCTAATTAGTGATTTTCTAACAATGTATTTATTAGTTTATGTTTTTCGAGCAACAAGAACTCTAGCACCCCCCCCTTTAGTTTCACAATAAACTCATTTTTTTGTTGTTTCAAGTTGAGAGTGATGTGATTTCTTCATTCCTTTTGATGTTCAAATTGTTCTAAATTTGGCCAATGGGAGCCCCTTCAAGCTGGCTCAAGCATGCATTCTTTTTTTTTTTTTTTGAGACAGAGTTTCTTGTTGCCTAGGCTGGAGTGCGGTGGCACGATCTTGGCTCACTGCAACCTCCGCCTCCTGGGTTCGAGTGACTCTCCTGCCTCAGCCTCCCAAGTAGCTGGGATTACAGGCCTCTGCCACCACGCCCAGCTACTTTTTTGTATTTTTAGTAGAGACGAGGTTTCACCATGTTGGCCAGGCTGGTCTCGATCTCCTGACCTCAGGTGATCCACCTGCCTTGGCCTCCCAAAGTGCTGGGATTACAGGCGTGAGCCACCGTGCCTGGCTTGTGCATTCTTTTTTCATTATTTGATCGTTACCTTGCTTTCTGGCACAGGATGTTCCAGGCTTGCCCTGTAGTTTGCCTTAGTCCTGAAATTGACTGTTTCTTCCAAGAGCCTTATAAAATAAGAAATGCTTAGAAACCAAGATATGGACACAAGTAGTGCTGATTGCTGCTGGGGTGTTAATTGCATCAAGCAGACAGTACTAAGGAAATATATTAACCTTCAATATACCAGAAAAAGCAGTCATCACCATTTACCATCTAGGTCCAGTGGATCCTGTTTACTGTTTATATTTTTAAGTAATTTTTGCAAATAATTTACAGGTCTAAGAATAAGGGTTAGTGAAAAACAATTTTATTGGAAAGTTTAATCAGAATTTAAACACAGCAGTTCTCTTTATATTAAGCAAATCTTGATGCACAAAGATTATAAGAGATTTAAGAATACTGCCACATGTCCTCTTAGAACAATGAGATTATCCAGGTTCTTGCATCATGAAGTCTTTCCTGTTGAATGACTGACTGGATGGGAATATCCTATTTCCTTTTTGTTCTTACAAGTATAGTGTTCACTCACGGATTCTTAATTTTTCCTTATTCTAATCAGTCAACTCTTTTTTAACATTCACTAAGTTCAGATGCATGTAGTTTTCTTCCTCCATTGGCATGGTTTCTTCTAGGACTTAAAACAATACAAAGATAAACCATTACAGAATGCCTGCTTTAAGAACCTATTTCTGGTGTCTTCAGGGTTTTTTTCTCCTAGCCTCTGACCTCAAGAATTTAAAAAACTTACAGGAGTAGAAGAGGAAATAGAGTTTAGAGATCTTTTATTCTAGCAATCTTGTTTTATTATGGTAAACTAAATATATTTAATAAAATCTGCCATTTAACATTTCTTGTGTGTATACTTTTCAGTGACATTGATTACATTCACTGTTAGGTAACCATCACTATTCTTTCTAAAACTTTTTCGTCACCCCAAACAGAAACTCTCTACCCATTAAGCAATAACGCTGTCATTCTCCCCTCCCCCAAACCCCAAGTCATTTATGACTATACATTTTGTTGCTTGTGTTTTTTGGTGTCATATCTAAGAATCCATTGCCAGATCCAAGGTCTTGAAGATTTATACCTATGTTTCCTTCTAGGGATTTCATGATTTTAGCGCTTATATTTAGGTCATTGATCCGTTTTGAGTTAATTTCTGTATATTCATTGATTGTTGATTTTGAGAAAATTCATCTAGGATATTTTCATCTGAAGGCTCATAATCTGAGATTTAATTTATGCTCTCATTTCACCATCACGAGTGTCTTTCTGCGCTAACCAATGTGGTAGCCATTAACCACATGTGGCTATTATACTTAAATTCAAAATTCAAATTAATTAAAATTAAGTAAAATAAAAATTCAGTTTTTTGGTTACAATGGCCACATCTCAAGTGCTCATTAGTCACATTTGGCTATTGACTGTTGTATTGGTCTGTGCTGATGAAGATTCCCTTCATCAAAAAAAAAATTTATTGGACTTCATTGGTCAAGAGTGCTACTAGCTCTTTATATTCATAATCTGATTCATTTAATAATTGTGAAGTATCTTTCCATCACTTTTTTCCTCTTTCCATTATAGGCAGAAAGTAAAAACAATCTGAATTCTCAACTGTGTTTATTGAAAGCGAAAAGCAGAGTACAAAGATGGTGTCTGTTATCATTTATACTGTCTTGAAAGATGATGCAATATCCTAGGCAATGCAGTAGACAATGGAAGGATGATATTTTGCTGTTGATTGCATTATCCTTCTGAGTGATTCCATAATTCTTCCATTTTCTCATTTTCTTATTAGTTTTTTTTTTTTAGAGCGTAGTTAGGAATAGTTGATCATAAAATAATTACTAAGGTGATGATGAAATGGCAAGATGCAGGAAAAACATAATCACTAGGATCCTGTAGTGTATCTTAGACTTACAAAGCCACTGTATTCATATGGTAATTGCAGAATAAAATGAGTTTTTTTTTTCTTAATAGGAAAATTTTCTTTTGATTCCTTGGAAGGCCTCTAAGAGAAGATAAAAGGCATGAAATATTAATCCTTGCAAATAGTTAGAACTACTCAAGAAAGAAACTAAAAAAATAAAACTGGGTTCAATGGACCCTGACTGTATACCCTGATACTTTGAATTCAAATCCATTACCACAAGGTTCTTCTTAAATTTTCCCCAGTCTATATTTGAAACTCCCCTTCTTTCATAGTGAAAACCTTGGTTCTCAACATCTGCATTTATTCATTTGCTCTATCCTACAATATATACAAAATAGCTTCAGAATTACTGCATTAATACCACTGCCAATGGCAAACCTGAAGTAAAGTTCAAAATGTCTTTGCAGTTTCATTGGCTTTTGTGTAATTAATGCTTTTGGGGTGTACAGTTAGGGTACTGATCCCAAAAGTCACTTGAATTACTTTTTTTCTGTGCAGTTATACCTTGGATTTTTATTTATATTGAATCTTAGTATTTGTTTTTTATCTTTTTCACTTAATTGCATTTTATGAATACATGAAAACATTTGCATGGTTCAAAATCACAACTAAATCAAAAGTTATCCCTACTGAGGTAATTCTGATTCATTCCCATTCCTGCTCTTACTTACCCCTACAGATAAACTTTTTTTTTTTTTTTTTTTTGAGACAGAGTTTCACTCTTGTTGCCCAGGCTGGAGTGCAGTGGCGCAATCTCGGCTCACTGCAACCTCCACATCCCAGGTTCAAGCAATTCTCCTGCCTCAGCCTCCCAAGTAACTGGAATTACAGGCGCCCACCACCATGCCCGGCTAATTTAAAAAATATTTTTAGTAGAAATGGAGTTTGACCATGTTCGCCAGGGTGGTTTCAAACTCCTGACCTCAGGTGATCTGCCCGCCTCAGCCTCCCAAAGTGCTAGGATTACAGGTGTGAACCACCACAGCCGGCCTAGATAACCATTTACATTCACTTTTGACCTGTCCTTCCTCTGTTTCTTCTTCAAAAATACATGTGTTCACTTTATCTCCCCTCCATACTGCTTTCTTATACAAAAGGCAGCTTATTTTGCCTTTTGTTCATCTCATTAAATGATAAACCTGGGAATTACTCTGGTTCATAGAGATATTCCTCATCATTTTTTTTTTATTTTTTTGGAGATGGAGTCTCGCTCTGTTGCTCAGGCTGGAGTGCAGCGGTGCATTCTCGGCTCCGCCTCCCGGGTTCATGCTATTCTCCTGCCTCAGCCAAGCTAATTTTTTTTTTTTTTTTAATTTTTTAGTAGAGACGGGGTTTCACTGTGTTAGCCAGGATGGTCTCGATCTCCTGACCTCGTGATCCGCCTGCCTCGGCCTCCCAAAGTGCTGAGATTACAGGCGTGAGCCACCGTGCCCGGCCTCCTTATCATATTTTGTGGTTGCATAGTGCTTTATGTCTGTGTCATCAGATATTCAGCTGATATCTTATTGATGGGCATTTGGTGTTTTTTAGTCTCTTGATAGTATAGATAATGCCTCAGTAAATCACTTTATGCATATGTTGTTTCTCATTTGTGAAGTAACTTTGGGTAAAGTCCTAGAGTTGGATTACTGAGTCAAAGGGTAAATTTGTTTAGCTTTATCCATATTTATAACCACCCTCTCAATGAACTATTATGTTTAATTTAATTTATAATGTGAAATAAAAATACATAAGAGAAATAGAAGAATATTATATCTGAAAACTAGGAATTCCTTGAATTGGCTGTTTCCTGTGATCTTCATTGCCATTTTCCCAGTTACCATTTTTTTCTTTTCTTTTTTTTTTTCTTTCTTCCTGGGTTCAAGTGATTCTCCTGCCTCAGCCTCCCAAGTAGCTGGGATTAACAGGCACCCACCACCGTGCCCAGCTAATTTTTATATTTTTAGTTGAGACAGGATTTCACCATGTTGACCAGGCAGGTCTCAAACTCCTGACCTCAGGTGATGTGCCCTCCTTGGCCCCCCAAAGTGCTGGGATTACAGGCGTGAGCCACCGTGCCTGGCCCAGTTATCATTTCTTACAAAAGAGGCAGTAATTCCTGGCTGGCCTTGGTAGTTCCACTTTGTTCCTCTTCTGTCTATTTCCCAGAGTAGTCTTTTTTTTTTTTTATTTTTTGAGATGGAGTTTCGCTCTTGTTGCCCAGGCTGGAGTGCAATGGAGTGGTCTTGGCTCATTGCAACCTCCACATCCTGGGTTCAAGCGATTCTCCTGCCTCAGCCTCCCATGTTGCTGGGATTACAGGTGCCCGCCACCACACCCAGCTAATTTTTGTATTTTTAGTAGAGATGAGCGCCATGTTGGTCAGTCTGGTCTCAAACTCCTGACCTCAGGTGATCCACCTGTCTTCGGCCTCCCAAAATTTTACAGGCATGAGCCACGGCGCCTGGCCCAGAGTAGTCTTTTTTTTTTTTTTTTTTTTAAGAAGGTCCAAATCAATAGGTCTTTTATTGCATCATTGAAATATCACAAGTATGTCTTAGGAGTCATCTGGCATCTTCTTTCTGTAGCTGGATAACTCTTAGATCTGATTCATCAACCTGCTGAACAGTTCCTTTTTCAGAGACATAGATACCATCCAAAAATTTCCTGATATCCTTGTTTTTAACTGTTGTGGGTTGCTGAATCAAAGCTGCTGAATTTGAAACAAGCTCAGTGTCATTTCCTTCAAGGATTAATTCATCTTTCTGGGCTTGAGGTACTGAACAGGCAACACCTGGTCTCATCTGAACCCTGCGGATGTATTTTTCACCCAAGAAATTTCGGATTTCAACAAGAGACCCATTCTGGATAACGACGTTGATGGGGGAAGTGAGCATACACAGACCTCATCTTGTAATGGAAGCCCAGTGTAACACCCTTGATCATGTTCTGTACATGACTACAAATAGTCCGAACGGTAGCCAGTTCCTTTCTGTTACCCGACCATTTGTCAACCCGGAGCCTCTTTTTTTTCTTTCCAAGGAGTCTGAGTTCTACGTTGATGTGATTGAAGTCCTTCCGCAGGGTTCCTCTGGGGCCCTTTATGATAACTGTGCGTCCCTTCAGAGTAACGTTGACATTTTCTGGAATGTCAACAGTCTGATTGCTGAGAATGGTCTTCATTCTCACAGTAAACGCAGCAAAAAAAAGTGGCCCAGAGTAGTCTTTTTAAGAATGCAAATTGGATGATGTCATTTTGTCATTTTCCTGCTTATAATTCTTTTGGATTTATCAGCAGGAAAACCGTAAAAGAAATACAATTTATGTTTTGAAATTTTAAAATGGATTCCAAGTTTCTGTTGACATCTGCAACTTTTCTTCTGTTTTCATGAATGTATTAATCATAAAGTCTATTATATTTTATAAATGCAATATGTCAATCAAATGAAGGTCTGCTTTTATTCCTTCCCCTTGGTTTCTTTATAGCCGCTTTTGTTTTTATAGATTGCCTTGTACCTTGTAATTTTGAACTGGATGCCAGATATTGTAACAAAAAATTCTAGGGATTCTGGAGGGGGTTAAGCTTTCTTTTAGCAGCCAGAGTAATCCTTATGGAGTATGTTGTCTGTTTCATAAATTATGTGATTATTTGTGTGTAGCTCTGTTTCTCTATTCTGTTCCATTGGATTATTTGCCTGTAATTGCACCAGTATCACACTCTTACTATTTTAGCTTTATAATAGGTCTTGATATCTAGTAGTAAAATTCCTCTAGCACTTTGTTCTTCAAGATTGTCTTTACTATTCTGACCCTTTGCTTTTTTGTATATATTTTAGGATCACCTTTCCAATACTCAAAAAATAACATTACTGGGGTTTTGCTTGGAGTGCACTGGATCTAAAGATCGGTTTGAGGAGAATTAAGATGTTTACAATATTAAGTTTTAAAATCTATGAACATGGTATATCAATTTATTTACTTCTATAACTTTTTAGTATTAGCTTTTAAAAGTATATAAATCTTCATGTGTTAGATTTATTTCTAGATACTATTTTTTGTTGCCTTTTGTAATTTACTTGCTATTCATTTTTTTTTTTTTTTTTGCTGGTAACATACTTGATTTTTACATATTGACTTTGTTCTAAAATTTTTTGTTGTTGTTAAAAAATAGAGATGAGTTTGCTGTGTTGGCCAGACTAGTCTCCAACTCCAGGCCTCAAGTGATCCACCCGCCTCTGCTTCCCAAAGTGCTGGGACCACAACAAGTGTGAGCCACCATGCCTGGCCTAAATTTATTTGAATTCTAATTACTTGCCTGTACATTCTGATAGTATCTGTGTAGTTACATACAGGCATGTTGTTTGTAAATACTGACAGTTTTATTCATTCCAGTTCTTAAGTTTTTTTTTATGGTTGTTTGTTTTGTTTTGTTTTTTGCCCTATTGTATGGGCTAGAACCTTTAATATAATGTAAAATAAAAGTTAGGACATTGGGCTTTACATACCAGGAGGGCAGTTTTAAGTATTTCACCATACAGATGTTCGTAGTTGGCTTTTTGTAGCTACTCGTTATGAAAATAAGGACATTTTCTCCTGTTGCTAATTTTATCATTAATGGATGCTGAATTTTATCAAATGTATTTTCTATGTTTCTTGAGATAACAATATGGTAAATTACTTTGATTCTTTAAAAATATTCAAATGCCATTGCATTCCTGCAGCAAACCCATTTGTAGAGGATGTGTTTACCTTGTTGTATATTGCTAGATTAAATTTGATAATATTTTATTAAGGTATTTTGTTCTGTTACATGAGGCAAAATTCTGTAATTCTTTCTTTTCTTTTCTTTTTTCTTTTTTTTTGATTAACTCTACCAGGGTGCTGCGGCTCACACCTGTAATCCCAGCACTTTGGGAAGCTGAGGTGGGCGGATCACGTGAGGTCAGGGGTTTGAGATCAGCCTGGCCAACATGGTGAAACCCCATCTCTACAAAAAATACAAAAATAAGCTGGGTGTGGTGGCGGGGGCCTGTAATCCCAGCTACTCGGAAGGTTGAGGCATGAGAATTGCTTGAACCCGGGAGGTGGAGGTTGCAGTGAGTTGAGATCACGCCACTGCACTCCAGCCTGGGCAAGTGAGACTCCGTCTCAAAAAAAAAACAACAAAAAACATTAACACTACCTTAAACCTATGATTTTCTTTTCTTGTAATGTCGACGTAAGGATTTGGCTTCAGAATTAGGCTGGTCTCATGAAACAACTCCCATTTTTGTATATCCTATAAAAGTTTATACACTGTTGTTATTGGTTTTTGTGTGTGTGTTTTGTTTTTGTTTTTTTGAAACAGAATCTCGCTCTCATCCAGGCTGGAGTGCAGTGGCCAATCCTGGCTCATTGCATCCTGGAACTCCCAGGCTCAGGTGATCCTCTCGCCTCAGTCTCCCCGAGTAGCTGGGGCTATAGGAATGCGCCACCATGCCTGGCTAATTTTTCTGTATTTTTTGTAGAGACAGAGTCTCACTATGTTGCCCAGGCTGGTCTTGAACTTCTGGGATCAAGCTATCCATCTGCCTTGGCTTCCCAAAATGATGGACTACAGGCTAGTCAGCCACTGTGCCTGGCTCGTACTGTTTCTAACTTAAATGTTTGGAAGAGTTCATCAACAAAGCCGTCTGGGCCCAATATTTTTCTTGGACATTTTGTATGGAGATTTTAAGATACGACCTCAATTTCTTTGAAAGTTCAAAGACTATCCAGATTTTCTGTTTCTAGTTATATCATTTTAGAAAATGTGATTTTCAAGGAATTGTCCTTTCTAAGTTTTCAAGCTTGTTGTCCCTCCGAGTTATCATAATATCCTGTTATCTTTTTATTATCAGTAGATTTGGTGGTGATGTCCTCTTTTTAATTACTGTAATTTTTAATTTGTGGGTTTTTTCCTCCCTTGATTTCTCTTCTTAAGGGTTTATCAATTTTATATTTTATATTTTTGCCTTTGATTTTTTTCCTCTTTTCTAAGTCTGCTTTCTACTTTACTGATTTCTTCTCTCTTTTTTCCTGTTTAAGATTTTCCTTTGCCTGTAATTTTTCTAGCCCTTAGAGATGATGGTTGAGGTTACTAATATTAACCTTTCCTTATTATAAGATATGCATTTTGAGCTTTAAATTTTTCTCTTAATCATTGCCTTAGGTACTGCACACATTTTGTATGTCATTTTCCTTATCAGTCATTTAAAAATAGTTTCTAATTTCTATTGTGATTTGCTCATTGACCCATAAATTGGAAATACATTCCTTTTCAAACATTATTTTCTACTTATTTTTCTGTTTCTCTAGTGTGGTCAGAGTACACATTCTGCATAATTGAAATTTAAGTCTTGCCTTTTGACCTAATGTTTTCTTTTTCTTGGTAAATTTTTCATAATTTACTTGGAAAAAAATGTTAATCCTGCAGTTTTTGGGTTCAGTATGTGTCTGTTAGTTCAGGCTGCTTGAATATGTTGTTCCAGTATTTTATGTCCTTGTTAATTTTTTTGTCTGCTAATTCTATCATTTATTGAGATATGTATTAAAATAGTCACTAGGATTATAGATTTATTTTTCTCTCTTTTTTTAACCTTTGCTTTATATATTTTACAGCTATGTTATTCATTGTATACAAATTTAAAATTGTAAAAACTTCCTGGTCAGTTGACCTTTTCACCATTCTGAGATATTTTTATCTCTAGTAATGCTACTTGCCTTCAAGTCTCCTTTGTTGGATATTAGTATTAGTATGGTCACACCAGCTAAATTTGTTTGTTTTGTCTATCTTTAAAAAAAATCTTCTTAACTTCAGTCTTTTGGGTTCGAAGTGTGTCTTATAAACAGCATATTGTTGTGGTTTTAATATTCAGTCTAGATATCTTTTCCTTTTATTTAGAGTATTTTAAGCCATTATATGTAGTAGGATTCCTGATATATTTAATTTTATCACCTTTCTATTAGACGTACATTGTATTTATTTTTTATTCAAAAAATTGTAGTAAATATAACAAAATTTACCATTTTAATAATTTTATTTTAAGAGACTGTGTCTTGCTTTGTCACCCAGGCTGGAGTGCAGTGGTATGGTCATAGCTCACTGCAACCTTGAACTCCTGAGCTCAAGTGATCCTGCCTGAGTCTCCTGAGTAGCTGGGACTACAGGTGCATGCCATTGGGCCTAGCTAATTAAAAAAAAAAATTTTTTTTTTTGTATAGACAGGGACTCACTATGTTGCCCAGGGTGGTCTCGAACTCCTGGCCTCAAGCGGTCGTCCTGCCTTGGCCTCTCAAAGTGCTGGGAAATAGGCATGAGCTACCATGACCAGCCCATTTTAATCATTTTTAAGTATACAGTTCAGTGGCATTGGGTATATTCACGTTGTTGATCAACCGTAATTACCATCCATCTCCAGGCCTTTTTTTTTTTTTTTTTTTAAATCTTGCAAAACTGAAACTCTGTTCATTAAACAATAACTCTCTATTCTTCCCCTTCCTGATCTGGCTGCCAGCATTCTATTATACTTTTTGTCTCTATGAATTTGATTACTCTAAGTACCTTTAAGTGGAATCATAGAGTATTTGTCCTTTTGTGATTGGGTTATTTCACTTACCATAATGTCTCAAGGTTCGTCCACGTTGTGGCACATATCAGAATTTCTTCCTTTTTAAGGCTGAATAATATTCCATTGTATTATAGAATGTATTATGCAGTGTATTATACGTTTTTGTTTATTTTAGCATCCATGGATACTTGGGTTGCCTCTACCTTATGGTGATTTTGAGTAATGCTGCTGTGAACATGGGTGTTTGGTTTAAGTATCTGCTTTTGATTCTTTTTTTTTTGTTTTTTTTTTTTTTTGTTGTTTGTTTTGAGATGGAGTTTCACTCTTGTTGCCCAGGCTGGAGTGCAATGGCACAATCTCGGCTCACTGCAACCTCTATCTCCTGGGTTCAAGTGATTCTCCTGCCTCAGCCTCCCAAGTAGCTGAGATTACAGGCATGCACCACCACCCCTGGCTAATTTTTTGTGTTTAGTAGAGTTGGGGTTTCACCATGTTGGTCAGGCTGGTCTCGAACTCCTGACCTCGGGTGATCCACCCACCTCGGCCTCCCAAAGTGCTGGGATTACAGGCGTGTGCCACTGCGCCCGGCTGCTTTCGATTCTTCTGGGTATGCTCAGAGGTGGAATTTCTGGATCATATGGTAATTCTGTGTTTAATTTTTAAGGAACTGCCACACTGCTTTCTCCGGTGACTGTACCATTTTACATTCCCGGACAAATTCACAAGGGTTCCAGTCCACATACTGGGCAACTTTTGGCATTTGCATTGGCTGTTTTTGTTTTCTGTAAGGACCATCCTCATTACTGGAGTGTCAAATGGTTCCCCATTATAGTTCTAATTGATGTACTTTTATGTTCTTTTTTCTCTGCTTTTTTTTTTTCCTTCCTTTGGATCAAACATTTTGTATTGTTATTTCCTCCTATTAACTTGTTTGTGATACATTATTTTTTACTACTTTTATACTGTACTTATGGTTTAGTACTAAATATAATATGTATTTATAGTATCTTTTTTTTTTTTTTTTTTTACAATTCCTTTTCACTAAGTAAGTCTCTGGTGTCTCTAGAGATCATAGCATTCATTCATTTATCCAGCCCACCTCTTGCATGATTGCTCCCATGCATTTTAATTCTACGTATTTTAAACACCACAACACTGTATTTAATTGTTCTGTGTGGTCAATATTGATTTATCTTTACCCATCTTTTTTTTTTTTTATCCTGTACCTTTACTCTTCAATTCTTTCTGCATTTATATTACTCTGAAGAGTCCTTTTTGTTGTTGTTGCTGTCTTTTTTTTAACCGATCACACTTATTTAATAACAATATCTAGTTTAATAATTTTTTTGATAAGACATTTTATTAACAACATGTCTAGTTTAATAAACCGTATTTCTTTTAATGAAAGTCTGCTGGTGCAGAATTCTGTTTCTGTTGAAAATGTTATTTTTTCCTTCATGTTGGAGGATCTATTTGCTGTGTATGTCACTATAGATTTTCAGTTATTTTTTCCAGCATTTCAAGATACTCTGTTATCTTTCACTTTCTGTCATTGATGTTGAAGTTAGCTCTAGCTCTAAGTCTTGTCACTCCTTTGAAGGCTGTGAATCTCCCCTGTGCCTCCTCCGCCTACCCCCAGCTGCACATAAAGTTTTCCCTTTTTCTTTGGTTTTCATCACTGTTAACTATGTTGTGCCTTGAAATTTTCTTTGTGCTTCTCTTGCTTGGGATTCTTGGAGTTTCTTCAGTCTATCGGCTGATACTTTGATATCAGTTTTAGAAAATCCAGAATTCAAGATCTTTTCAATATTGCTTCTGCTGCATTCTCTCTTCCCTTTCTGGATCTTGCACTTACACTGTGTTTCACATGTCTCTTATTGGTCTTTTCTGTATTTTCCATGTTTTATTTTTGAATCTCTGGGCTTTAATTTGGTGTTTTCTTTTGACCTGTCAAGTTCAAAAATCCTGATTTCTGCTGTTTAATCTTCTTTTAATGCCATTTATTTTAATTTTTGGTTCTTCAGTTGTACAATTTTCATTGGTTTCTTCCTGTAGATTTCAGTTCTCTAGTGAAAATTGCTATTTTTAAAATATATTCCTTTTATCTTTTCCTCTATTTCCTTGAACATATTAATCATTATGTTTGTTAACACCAGTATCTAGATTGCATGTGTGTTTGGTTCTGTTTTATATATTTTTTCTTTTGACTTTTGGTCATATGATCCTGTTTCTTGGCATCCTAGTTATTTTTGACTAAATCCTGGGATTGTGTCTTTAAAGATTGTAGATATTCCTGAAGGTGATAACTTCCTCTGGAAAAGGCGCGTCCTTTCTTCTACTGAAGCAGATGCAGTGGGAGCTGGTCACCTTACTCCGGGCAGGTGCTGGGTGGAGTGAAGGCCAGGTTGTTGTTTTAGTAAGCCATCTGCTGCTTCTGGTTTCTTCAGGCTTTCATCTGGAAGCTTGATTTTGCTCACTACACCATATTTCCTTGGAGGCTTCTGAACTAATTTTTGTTTGATCCTGAGCTCTGCTTTTCAGAGTTTTAGTTTATCTTTTTGGCCTTCGCAGCTCAGAATTTGACAGATACCATGGGAGGGAAAGCAGTTGTATGCTTAAGACCTCTCTTGTGCTCTCATTTTACTACCATATAGCCTTGTCAGACTGCGCAAGTTCTGCTTGTTTCTTTCTGCTAGCCATGGCTGTCTCCTCAGGGCCCAACATAATTCTCAGCCTCTTGCCTGTGCCTCCTGTTGTCTGAGAAAAAAGTGGCTTCAGATGATCAGCTCACTTCTCCACAGTTCTCCCCTCTCTGAATCCTTGGTCCCTCTTGTCCTCACTGCTTTGGCAGCTCTTGGGTGCCTTTAAAGAGATAATTTTTGTATTTATCTGTCTGTCTCTTCTACTTTCTGAGAGTTACAAGCTTTTTTTGTCCTACTTGGAGGTATTACGCAAGTCTAGACTGAGTTTTGAATTTACATAGCTACTTGCAGTGATTTAGTGTGATTTGAGATTTTTACTACAGTCTCACTGACAGTGGTGGTTTCTTTTGTTTTTGTTTTTTGTTTTGTTTTTTTTTTTTTTTTTGAGACGGAGTTTTGCTCTCGTTGCCCAGGCTGGAGTGCAATGGCGTGACCTTGGCTCACTGCAACCTCTGCTTTCCGGGTTTGATTTTCCTGCCTCAGCCTCCTGAGTAGCTGGGATTACAGGCGCCTGCCACAACGCCTGGCCAATTTTTTGTATTTTTCGTAGAGATAGGGCTTCACCATCTTGGCCAGGCTGATCTCAAACTCCTGATCTTAGGTGATCCACCTGTCTCGGCCTCCCAAAGTGCTGGGATTACAGGTGTGAGCCACCACACCCGGCCAGTGGTGTTTAAAATAAAAATGTACTTCTTTAATTAATGCTAAATAAGATTGCTTTAATTTGACTTTTTTGTTACCTGGGAGTATATTTTCCTGTTTTTTTTTTTTTTTCTTCTACTTGTATTTACTCTTCAGTGGACTGTTTGTTTCCTTTGAGCCTTTCACAGGCACATTCTCCTCCTAACCTGTGTGGCAAGTTTGCTACTCTAAAGTTTTCTTAGTTGCAAATCATACAGATGCTTAGGAAATTATGAAATAATTTACTGTAAGAAGTCAGGAGGGAGTCAAGGGTAGGAGTTTTTTGGGTCTCTGTGTTTTGTTTTCTTGTACATTTATGTTGTTTCCTGTACCAGCTGCTTTAGATGGTTGGTTAGCTTGTGCAGATCCTATAGTGGTCTTTCTTTTAGGACCAGAATCTGTAATCACCTCAGGCTCTGATGTCCAAAGTAAATGAGGTTGGTCCAGTTAGCAGCAGGTATCTATCCTCTCCCTTTATTGTGGCTACAGACGGAGAAATGGGATTCTTTACCCATTCTTTATGGGAGAAGGGCAGGGTTTCTACGAGGAAGGCATGTGAATGGAGAAGAAATGATTGATAATCTCTGATAAAACAGTGGGCATGCAAGGTGGAATTCAGGCAGTATTTCAGATTCAGAAATGTAGGTCACAATTTCTTATCTGCAGTTCGGAAGCCTGAAAAGCACTGAAAACACAGTTATTCTTAAGTTTATGGCATATTCATTGTTGACAAAACTGGAACTTATATGGGTGAGGCATTTATTACATTTTGAATATTCATATGTTTCATTGCAAATGTTATGTTTACTACATGGCCCTACCTCATGGAGCTTTCAGCCAGAACAGTTAGAGTTCCTGGATCTCTAGTTCAAGTCACCCCCAAAACCCTCCAAACATGTAAACGTCTTCATTCTTAGAAGTATTACTGAATGTATGTGTCACCACTCTTAAAATATTTCCAATAGGAGAAAACTGTAATAGAATACTTAAGATAGTGAGTAATGATTACTGAAAGAAAAAAAGAGCCCAGTTTGTAGGTAAAGCCAACAAGGGAGGGAGATGTATAGTGCCAGAGCACGTTAGACATAGTCCGATATTTGTGTAAAACGAGACTAGATTGGCATACAGGAAAAAATGCTTAGAAGCCTGTGTAGGAGGAATCTGGCTAAAACATAAAGGTAAAGATTAAGGAGACTTTTGATTCCATCTTAGCTAACATTTTAAATAAGAACATGTAAGTGTTTTCAGAAGTGGCTCCATATAATTGGACTTAGCTTTCATTAGCAGTTTTGCTTTGCAGCATATTTGGAACATAATTTGTTTAAAATTGAAATGGTTTTCTTTACTTTTATGGTGGTTGATTTATTTATTTATTTATTTATTTTTGGGGACAGGGTCTCTGTCTGTCTCCCAGGCTGGAGTGCAGTGGTGTGATCTCGGCTCACTGCAACCTCCACCTCCTTGGTTCAAGCAATTCAAGCTACCTGAGTAGCTGGAATTACAGGCATGCACCACCACACCTGGCTAATTTTTGTATTTTTGGTAGAGACGGGGTTTCACCATGTTGGCTAGGCTGGTCTGAACTCCTGGCATCATGTGATCTACTGGCCTGGGCCTCAAAGTGCTAAGATTACAGGCGTGAGCCACTCTGCTCAGGCTATGGTGGTTTTTATACAGCAACACTCAGTTTATTACAGTTTATCCCAGTGCTTATTGCATTTTTTTCTGTTAGGAACCTGTAGTCAATTCCTCCCTTATTTGCAAAGGGGTTTACTTAAAAGATTTGTAATTTTTGTAAATTTTGTTGAAAGTACACTATTTGTATACTTTGGTAATGATATTTATACATCTACTTGACAAATCTATCTTTTAAGAAATTATTTTCAGCTTTTAAGTAACTGTCACATAACATGTATGTCCAGTATCCATTGGCTTCAGCTCCCACTGATACTATTTTCTTTTTGACTCAGCAGCTTTAAAACCAAAATAGTAAGATCTGTCTTGAAGCCACAGTCTAGCAGGAGAAGCAAACTATATAAATTTAGACAGCTCTGATTAGCACAGTTCCCAAACTGTTATATTATGCATTAACCCATACAGGAAGAATTTAAAATTGCAGTATGGTGAGACAAGTTTTAGAAGTGAAGCATTTTTGAGAAAAGTATCAAAGATGAAGAAGTACTCTTGACCTTTTAGGCTTTCTGTTCCAGTCTAGTTTTAGTGTGGCATTGTATTTAACTTGCCTTAGAAACTCATAGGTTTATGCCCTCTTGTGGTCTGTCACCAATATAAATAGCACAAATGAAAATTTTAAGTACTGGAGATCTTACTGCATGTTACTGCTCTCCTTTATAAAATAATTTTTAAAAAGCAGCTTCTGAGGAACAACAGCTAAGAAATTATTATTCCTGTCTTCCATATAATGTGTGGAGCTTAAAAGTTACCAAATGTTATTTTAACCCTTGGTAACAAAATGTATGTGTATGTTAGGTGGACACTAATGAACAGAAAAATATTTTTGGATGGGCTGTCCATCATTGTCCTTCTAGGTGTCTAACCCTATTAATTTATAAGTGTCTTAAAAATATGATGAGGTGTGATAGTAATTGTAGGGCTAGCACATTACCCTTCTACCTTCACCTAAACATACACAGATATACTAGTAAATGATGCTTGGGAAATGTGTTTATACTTGTTTCATCTGAAAGGGTCAGGAGCTGTAGGAGGCATTGGAAGAAATAAGGATTATAATGTTAGTGAATTGGTGAACTTAAGCTTACAGAATTTGCTTTTACTGACATGATTGGCAAGGTCTTATTTGTGAGTGTGGGACTGAGGAACTAACTAGTGGAGGAGAAACAGCAATAGCAGTCAGTGTTTTAAGACTGCAGCTGTAACCAGTGTTTTTCTGCTGTTATCCAGTAAGCCGCATGATGGTTGGAAGCAGGCCAGTATAGGGACTGTGCACTTTAGGATTAGATAGAATCCCTGATAGAAAGACTTGGTTTTAAAACTGGTCTCATCTCTTACCAGTTCCTGGACAGTTGTGTAATATTAAGTAAGTTACTTCATCTCTGAATACAGGTTTCCTCTCCAAATAAAGATTTAAACCGCCTCCATTGAACTCTTTGCAGTTCGTTTTGTCACATGCAGTGTTGGCATATACTCCTGTTGTTATTGCTCATAGGTTAAAGACAGTTTTGTGTTGCAAAGAATGGATACCATATGACTTTGTAGCCACTGGGTTGTTGGTAAAGACTCCTAAATAGTGGTAAATCAGCTCATAGTTCTTTTTCTTTACTGTGGACTTACTGCTGTACTTCTATGTAGGTACATACTTTATTATAAATTCTTGAGTGTAAACGAGGTCATTATGTTAAAGAATTTACTAGTTCAGGTATTTTAAAGTTGAAGCCTAGTAACTATTTTTAAGAAAAATGAAAATAATACAATAAGTTTTTTTTCTTTAGGGGCACTATTTGCATGTTTTGGCAGGTTTAAAAAATAAACAAAAACTAGTTTTGTTCTTCCATTGTGGTCTTACTTTTGTGGAGGACAACAAAGTAATGAAATGTTTTTGTTTCTTTTGCTGTGTTTTTCAAGTGTTGCTTGTAGAACAAGGCTCGCTGCCTTATGGTTACTTTTAAAATTTAATACTTAAAGTAATTAATCTGAGTCCCCTTTCAGGAGAAATAAGATTATTTAGAATAATTTAACTTAAGGGAAAAATATTTGTTTTTATAACACCTTCTAAAATTTCTAAGTTGTAGAAATTTACTAATTTTTTCTTTTTTTTTTTTTTTTTTTTTTTTGAGATGGAGTCTCCTTCTGTTGTCCAGGCTGGAGTGCAGTGGCGCGATCTCGGCTCACTGCAAGCTCTGCCTCCCAGGTTCATGCCATTCTCCTACCTCAGCCTCCCGAGTAGCCAGGACTACAGGCACCTGCCACCATGCCCGGCCATTTTTTTGTATTTTTAGTAGAGATGGGGTTTCACTGTGTTAGCCAGGATGGTCTCGATCTCCTGACCTCGTGATCCACCCACCTCAGCCTCCCAAAGTGCTGGGATTACAGGCGTGAGCCACCGCGTCTGACCAAAATTTACTAATTTTTTCTTTTGAATAACTTGCTGTGAAATAGAAGACAACTAAAAAAAAAACCCTCTAAATATAATAGAACTGCTTGGGCTTAAATCTTTTCTGCAAGTAGGTGGACCATAAATCATATAAACAAAGATAACCTAGACATGCCATCAGAAGGCTAGTCTATATATTTTTATATCTACCTCTTTCATCTTTCCCCTTATTTCTGATTTCCCAAATGTCACTTCTTTAGTTTACATTTGGATAGTGCTTATTTGAAGTCTCTGATATTCTACACACTATATGTAACTAATAAAGACTTTAAAATGTAAGGCAGCATTTTGGTAGTGAAAATTTCTCTTGTACATTGTGAAATGGATTTTGTTGTTCGTCTATCTTCCTAGGGAGACTGTTTAAGGGAAGTAAAAGGAACAGGGCAAGAATGGCCGGAACGAAGTGGAGGGTAGACTATGGGGAGTGATGGCAAGAACACATGCCATTCTACCAGTGACTTGTTTCTTAAACATAAAAAGCATATGTGCCAAATTTGCATATTTACTAATTAAAAAGGCTTCCTGGAAACATTAGGTAGACTATCTTCTATAACCTTTAACACCGTCACTAATGGATATAGCTTAGAAGATTTCCTCGAAGGTCCTTTAAATAATGTAAATGATTATGAATGTGTAACTAGTTAATATGCAGCTACGAAAGGATTATCATGTAGAGGTTAATGAACATTCTGCTCTTATGGTTTGCAGGGCTTTGCTTTCTGTGCTTTTGGCTCTCTTCATGCTTGGAAACACATGCATTGGGATTGGAAAACATCCTGACTGTTCTTGGGTCTCATCTTTTAATGGGGTTGTTAAATAGGAACTTTATGAAAAGGATTTCATGAGCATTTTTTTCCTTTTTCAATTTACATTTAATTCTATTTGTCTATTTTGTAATTACTGCCAAATCAGAAACAGTGAAATGGATTGATGTAGTTTTAGCTTGGCTCTTCCAGATGTAAAGTCAGTACTCTATTATATATTGCCACTGTTATTAAGTGTTGCTATGTGATTGATACTTACTGAGAGATCTTCATTCTAAAATGGACTTTTTATGCTGAGTTAATGTGTAGTATGGTTGGGTTTCTGATTATAGCATGTATTTTGGTACAGAATTTCTGTCTTAGTATTTAAAATGTCCCAAAAGAGGACATTTATTTCAGGAATTAAATGTTACAATAGAGGAATTTAGTGACAGGTCTAAAAAAAATCGTGTGTATTTTTTTTTTTTTTTTTTTTTTTTTTTTGCTGGGACGGGATGGTGAAACATTGAGCATATACAAGAGACAATATTGGTATTTAGAGCAGTGAACTAGAGCAGCGTTTTGCAAACCAGATAATGCTGCTCTCTTTTTCTCATGGCCTAGTCTTAAGCATTTTGGCTTTCATCCCCTAGTTTCTCTGTCTCTAAAATGGTATATGGTATTCTAGACTGCTGTTTAAAATTTTTATTAATAGGTAATTTAAAAGTAGATAATTAGCAATCCTTGAAAACAGTGTTAATTCTTAAATTGTCATTCAAAAATAGTGTTATTTTTTTAAATTGCATTTTTCTTTATTGTCTAGTCTTCTTATTTTCTGAGCATTTTGAGAATCTACTGACATATCTCCAAGGAAAACAAATAACTTTTGTACTTAAATTCATTGTTTTAGTATTATAAACATAGTTTAAACTGGCTGTGAAGTGCTTACAGTCTTGATCATAATTCACTGGGGAACAAATGAGCTGTTCAGAGCATCTCCTTATCCCAAGTATTTCTTCTTGAAAATGTAGTAGAAAAATATCACTGAATTCATTTTTTAATGCGTCAGAATAAAAATTACAGGTGAAAATGTTTGGAGATATACTGACAAAATAAAATATTGTCACTACAGTCATTTTTTTTAACTGACGAAACGTGGATGTTACATTGGTTTCTTGTTATTTATAACATTTATGTATTCTACAAAATATGTAATATTGAAAACAGGTCTGTAGATTGTACAAAATACTAGTTATCTTATATCATATGTCACCTAATAGTTATGAAGCGGGTTTTGTACCAAAGTATGAATCAGAAAGCTGTAATTTGTTCTGCAGTTATCAGCCTGCATTAGAGGGTTATGATAAAGTGTGCTGCTTAAAAACTAACGTTCACATCTCTGTGCATTTGACAAATAAAAATGTATACTGAGATGCTATTAAATCTGTAAAGCCAATGTTCTAGTTTTCAGATACACTGATTTTTGTAGCTCTGTGCATAGCTCTGTTTTTTCATGAGTAGTTATCTGTTTTCATGACAGGTGGTCACTAACTGCCAAGAGAGAATCCAGCATTGGTGAGTGAAAG
Organism: Homo sapiens; assembly: GCF_000001405.40. NCBI lineage: Eukaryota > Metazoa > Chordata > Mammalia > Primates > Hominidae > Homo > Homo sapiens. Next base: position 29,971,239 of record NC_000019.10, read on the forward strand.
ATGGTTTTATTACACTTCTGAAATACTGATGGGGTAACCTACTTGTGTTCAAATAATGTGTTTACTGTTTGCGTGTGTGTGTATGTATGACTAGTAATTGAATTCTTCTAGTAGTCTCCATTTTGAATGCCTTTAATACTAATTTATATTGTCTTTGACCCTTTTCTGAATTACACATTTCTGATTTCCTGACGTTGTGTTACCACTTGTATTTATTCTAAGTGCCTTTTCTTTTCTAAGAATAATATTAATATCATTATGAATTGGAGACTGAGACATTTTTGAATGTGACTTAGCTCTATTTTGGGGATATTTCTTACATTTTAGTAGAAAAATAATGGGAATCAGTTACTTTAAAATAATGATGGAAATAGGGCACAGAAATGTTTTCCCAAAGTTTGAAAAAAAAATCTAATTTTCTACTTTTCAGAGCTTGTTTTATTGACTGTACTTTTTTTTTTTTTAAGAGAGAGCATATCTATTTTAATGTGCTAATCTATAGTTAATAGGACCATGTTTGGTAAATAACACACTTTCCTTTGGCTTCTGAGGAAAATGCTCGATTTAATGGTGAATAAAATCTTATATTATGAGTTGTCATGAAGTATAGCTGTTGATCTTACAGATATCAAATTACAATATATCCATGCTGTGCTTACGAAGGTTTTACTGAGAGAACAACAGGAGCTGTCTTGATTATTGTCTGCAGGGTTATTGCAAAAATCATGGTAACTGCCCCTTTAGTGGTGAGATTAAACCTTCGGTTATACACCATCAAGCATATAATATTTTAAATTTATTTTAAGAGGCTTTTTCTTCATGCCTGAGAGATCTCCAAGGAAATAATTTATAGTTAGTGTATATCAAATGTTTTTTGGTTTAAATGCACATAGGCTGCAGGCAGTGGATAAGAGTGAAAATTGGTGCAATCTGTACACATCATCTTATTAAATTTTGACTATTGGCTTGCAGAAAATAATCTAAAACTAATAATATCCACTTTATAAGTAAAAATTCAGGACTTCATTAATTTTCAATAAATGCATCGTTGTAGTTGCTTCCACTGGTGGTGTAAGTGTGTTAGCATTTCCATAATGGACCATTCGCCTTTCATTATACATTCAGTTCAGGTTAAAACTTGAAATACAAGTCGTTGGCCAAAGAATTTTTTCCCCTGCACATTTAGTCAGAGTGGCCCATTTTACAAATAATTTCCAGAGGAAGTTTATTAACGTGGACTTCTGTCTATTGGTTTTGGTAAGAAGTTCAGGAAATTAGAAAGGTATTCACTGGAAATAGATGCTAGTTTACATAAATGGGTGAATGGTAACTTGCTTCTGGTTTGTTTTATAAGATTCTTATTAGAGTTCTTTAAGGATAAGGGCACGTTTTCATCCTTTTATTCACAGCCCCTACTGCTATGTTTGGCACAAAATAGGCACTTGATAAATGTTTGAGTAAATGACCAAATATGTGGTTATTTTCTATATAACATTTTAGTTTACAAATACTCTAGTAGTGCACAAGTCTAGTGAGCAGTGACAGAAATGTGACATTTACTTCATGGCAGGTTCATGTGACCCTCAATTTCACTTTTCAGTTTTGTAAAACCCTCTAAACTGTAGAAGCTTAGCATATTTGCCTACACATATCTTGAAGTAATATAGTACTTTATACATTTAAAAAATTATTTTTTTCCAGTTAAAATTTGCATTTTCCTCTGAATCATTTCTGGTTTGGTTCAGGAAACAGACTTTTCTCTTTGCTTTTAATGAAGATCTATACATGGTATATTGCTCAAATCTGAATGGCCAGTAAATTAATCAATTCATTATATCAAAAAATTGAAACCAAAGTGTCACCATTTCCCTGAAAGCAAGGAAATTGCTGTTTGGGAGAGTCGTGGAATTCTTGTGATATTTTTGCATTCTCTTAATTCCTCAAACAATAGTTGAGTTTCTACCATATGCCAGTATTGTGCTGCTGTTTGGAATTGAAAGACCCTGCCATAGAAGAATTCATAGCCAGACATATAACAGGGAAATCACGATAATTTTGTGCTATTTGCGGAGATATGAAGCAACTACAGGAGTTCAGAGGCTGGAGCCGTTCTTAGGGTGTCTCACACACTACTTTTAAAAGCATGTTGCTTTAATTCCTACTTAACCCTTGGTATTAGCCTAGTCTAAAATATAATTTCTGTTAAGCCCCTATTCTTTATGAGTACGCACCAGTATAGTAAAGAAGAACAAAATATATGGTTTGAAAAATGCATTCTTATGCTGGTGATGTTTATGCTTGTTTGTATAATTTTTAAGGGATTCTTTAAGGAACAAGTATATGTATTCTAGGCTCAGAAATAATCTAAATTGGTTTTTGTTTAAAAAAAAATGTAGGACAGGGAGTAAAAATATTTATAGAAAAATAGGAGTGAAAATGGTCTGGGACCACAGGATCTACCCAAAAAAATCTTTGAGAAAATTAATTTAAATCCTAGAACTTTGGTGAACGAAGAAATTTATAATATTTGTTTAGTTAATAACAGATAAAAAGGAAAGATTCAAGCCTATTGGATGAGAATTTGTACATTATTTTAGAGCTAATAATAATGGTTTTCAGTTTAGTGAGGATTTAAAAAATGTTTTTGAATCAAACTTTTTTTCTTTATAATCCTTTTTAACTAACTCAGGAAATAAGGTATTATGAAATCCACACACTGTTACCTCCTTAAAGTATGAGGATACTTCCCACTGTTTGGTCCACTAGTGGCTGATTATTTTGTTTGTGGATTATTTGTAATTTTCTTTTTAATTCTTCCTTAAAGAGCATGGCATTTGGAGTCACAGACCTATATTTGAATCCTGTCATTTACTAGCGTTTTGACCTTGAACAATTATGCTCAGAGTCTCAGTTTTTTCTTGTAAAGTGATGATGATACTACTTAACTCACAGGGTTGTAGTGAAGATCAAATGAGATCATGTCTGTAGAACACCCTGCCCGGCACTCAATAAGTATTAATAGGAACCCATATACCTCTTTTGAAAATTTTAATTGTCAGACAAATAAAAAAAAAAGCCAGTGCTTTGTAAATATTCGTGAATATTTAGTGTTCATTCTGTTTTTTTGTCATGATGGAGAGAGAGTTGGGTTTCTGTGAATTACTGTTACAGCTTTACATTAATATTTTTAAATCACTTTTTGGTATGAAGAATTTCAAATGAAAGGTGATAGAGTAGTATAGTGAATCCTCATGTACTCATCAGTCGGCTTTGATAATCATCAACTCATGATTTTCTCTAAACTGTTCATTTCAACATCTTATCTTGCCATCTACTCCTACCTCCAATTTTTTTTTAACTTTTATTTTAGATTTGGGAGGTACATGTAGAGGTTTGTTGCAAAGGTGCATTGCATGATGCTGAGATTTGAGGTACAATTGAACCCATCACCCAGATAGCATAGTACCCAGTAGGCAGTTATTCAGCCCTTGCCCCTGCCCTTTCTCACCGCTCTTGTATTCCCCAGTGTTTATTTGTTCCCATCTTTATGTCCATGTGTCCCCAGTGGTTAGCTCCCACTTATAAGTGAGAATATACAGTATTTGGTTTTCTGTTTCTGCATTAGTTCGCTTAGGATAGTGGCCTCCTGCTGCATCCATGTTACTGCAAATATTTCTTCTTTTTTATGGGTGTGTAGTAGTCCATAGTATATATGTATCACATTTTTGTTATCCAGTTCACTGTTGATGGGCACTTGGATTGATTCCATGGCTTTGCTATTGTGATCATTGTGGTAGTGAACATACAGGTGCATGTATCTTTTTGGCAGAATGCTTTTTTTTTTTGGGTGGTCTGTATTCAGTAATGGATTGCTGGGTTGAATGGTTGTTCAGTTTAGTTCTTTCAGAAATCTCCAAACTGCTGTCCACAGTGGCTGGACATTCCCACTAACAGTGTAAAAGCATTCCTTTTCTTTGCAGTCCTGCCAACATCTGTTCTTTTTTGACTTTTTAATAAAAACTATTTTGCCTATCCCATCTCCAGTTTTGAAATGAATCTAAGCCGTATCATTCCATCTGGAAATATTTCAGTATATATCTTTAAGAGACAAGAAAGACTATATATTAACTTTTTAAGATTTAAATAAAAAATATTTAATGAGACAATACATTTACATGTTTCAAAATTTAGGAGGTATGAAAGGATGTAAATGATGTATAGGTTCCTCCTAACTTTGTCCCCTAATTCTCAGTTCTGTTTACTTTTTTTTTTTTTTTTTTTTTGAGATGGAGTCTCACTCTGTCATCCAGGCTAGAGTGCAATGGCATGGTTTCGGCTCACTGCAACTTCTGCCTCGCGGGTTCAAGCTATTCTCCTGACTCAGCCTCCGAAGTAGCTGAGATTACAGGCGCGTGCCGCCATGCCCAGCTAATTTTTTTAGTATTTTAGTAAAGACGGGGTTTCACCGTGTTGCCCAGGCTGGTCTCGAACTCCTGAGCTCAGGCAATGCACCCTCCTCCGCCTCCTAAAGTGCTAGGATTACAGGTGTGAGCCACCGCACCCGGCCCCTCAGTTCTGTTTTCTGGAAACAGCAGTTTTTTACCAATTTCTCATAAATCTTTTCAGAAATGGTTTGCATAATGTAAGTGTTTGTGTATGTATGTGTGTGTGTTGTGTGTGTGTATTCATCTACATGTTTATATACGGCTCCCATCCTTTTGGACAAAAATGAAATCAGATTGTACCTGTTCATTTAATACTATACCTACCCTGTATCATTAACTAACAGTTCCTCTTTACCTCATTCCATACATTTTGCTGTATGTCAGACATTTAACTTTTAGGATTACTAAATGAGACCTGGAACTATTTTTTTTTAAATAAATAATTGCTACATGACTGAGAGTATAGCTCTGAACTCAAAATATATCCTTGCTAAGATGATATATCTGTTATTTTACTGCTCCTTAGTAAAATTACTGCAAAACTTAGTGGCTTGAAACAACCACCATTTACTTGCACATGATTCAGTGGGTGTGCATATTAAGCTGGGCTCACCTGTGTGGTTCTTCTGCTAGTCTTGTGTGGGCTCACTGCTTTGGTTGCAGCCAGTTGGTGGCTGGGTCAGCTTTGTTGTCCAGAATGACCTCACCCTCAAGTCTGGTGGTTAGTGCTGTTGGTTGAGCCTCTGCCTCCATGTGCTCTTTTGTCCAGCTTACTTTCTATGGGCATCTCAGCAGCAAGAATGGAAGCTGCAAGGCCACGTTATGTTGGTCAAAGGAAGGGCCAGCGCAGATTCACAAGGTGGGAAGATAACACCCACCTGTTGAGAGGAGGCGTGAAAAAGAATTAATGGTCATTTTTAATGCACTGCAATGACTTTATTGAATAGGTCCTACACACACAAAAAGGAAGTCTCCGTCCTTTATGTTGACTGGTGAGAATGAAATGAAATAGTACATGTGATGCCTGGCAGTTCATCTTTATGTTAGGCATTACTTACAATCGTAAATCGTATGCATGTGAGTTGTAAAAAATTTATTGCCTTGCTTCCTTTATTTTAAAAGGATTTTTGGTAAAGGTATCTTTGAAATTACATGAAACAGACTTAAATATAGAAGAAGATACTTTGTTCAGGTGTTTAATTTTGGAAAGAATACTTTAAATTTAGACATAAAAGTTCTAAAACACTTTGGCATGTGAGTTTTGAGAGAGTCTAAAGCAAATACTCAACATTTTTTTATTTTTCAAAGGAAACTGGACAAAAATAATTGTTCAGAGGAAAAGAGTAACTAGCTTCCATTAGAATTTATAGTTAAAGTATATAGTAGGAAATAACCAAGAAAGCATACCTGTATAGCTAAAAATCTCAGGTGAAGATTTGATTTTCTCTCTCTCTTTTTTTTTTTTCCTGTTGGAGCTACTCTTTCCTATCAGTCGGGATGGAGATACCTGCTTTATGCACACATTGTATATCTGTCTATATGTCTCATGTTTTTGAGGCATTCCTTGTGCACAGAAGCACTGAACTATATCATTGTAACAATGCCATGGTTTACAGTATATTTCATATGAATACCTGAAACTGTTTTCTTGAGTTGCCTTCACATGCTATATAAAATTTATTTTATTATGTATAATATGTGAAATATTGATCTGCATACCTTTAAAACTTGTAAAAGCCAATGACTTTTTTCTACAGTGTTAGGTAGATTTGTAAACTGTGTTTTTCAGAGTCTGTATTTTACTGACTACAAAGTTTTCAGTCACTGTTTTGTAGAGGGCCTTCTGTTTGGGCTTTTTCTTTATGTTATTTTTTCTTTTTTTTTTTTTTTTTCCCTCCTCTTGAGCAGAGAGCAACTGCCAAACTTTCTGGAAATTTTGCATGTTTTTGTTGTTGGAGTTTCTGTAGTTGTTTATGAAAGTCTTAGGGATAAGGGGGAAGAATCATATATGTCAAATCTTGTCATTAAGTTTCTGCACAGTTTTAAAAAATGGTGTGAGTTAGTACATGCGCTAGTGATTAAGTGAGTTTGGAACTCGTGTGTAATGTTTCAAAGCAAATTAAGAGGCAAAAAAAAAGATTCAAGTTGAATGTTTAAAGAATTTTTTTTAAATCTGAGTTAGGTTTTTAAATGTTTATTCTGAATATAAAATGAATGCATGCTTAGTTATGGAAAAGTTGAAATAAGAAAGGAATAAAGATAAATTTACTCATAATTGTAAAGAGAAGCTAATTCTCTCCCTGTTTTTAAAACATTCCCTTTTATTCCCTCTAGCTTCTTAATTCTGTATGTGTATTTATGTGACTAAGGTCAAACTGTAAATGCATTTTTCTTTTCCTTCTCTTTTTAAAGAGTTAAATGATTTTTAACTTGTAATTAGAATTTATTACTTGTAGGAGTCCTCAAGCTTTTATATCATGTTTTTGGAAGCAACCAGCTAGTTTAACGCACTTCTGAAAATGAAAGGAAAACTTACATGTTATAGGAGAGTTTTTTTCCCCTGAAGAGTTTTAAACTATTATTAAAAAAAATCCCTAATCACATTTCATCACCTAGAATAGTCCTTGATGACGACGTGTTTCCAGTGTCAATATGGTTTGGTTCAGTTTCCCATGACCAGCTCAAGTCCAGTATCTGACTGAGGCAAAGGGCTTAGGGCTTACTGCTTTGGGCACACCTCATGATTTTTTATCTTTGTCTCAACTGTATTAGGTTTGAAAACTGTACTTCTTTGTACTTTTTTTTCATTTTCCATTTTTTTTTATGAAGAGTAACATCCAATAAAACTCTTAAGCACAGAGTCCTGTTTGAGGATGAAGATGTGAATATTGCAACAACCACAGTGCTTGTCTGAGAAGTGCATCACTTGGTGATAATCCTGAGTGCTTGTTCTTATTTTGAGAAATATAAGTCCAGATTCCACTATACCAAAGACAGATTGGGGTGGGTATCAGTGTAAGACCTGAGAGAAATGTAGGCTGTGAAAAATGGAGGCATGCCTATAATTTACTTTTTACTAATTCATATTGAACTCATGATCAAATTGGTGAGGGTTTTCACATTTTTCTTTTATTTTTAAGTCAGTTGATAATTTTGAGGTTTTTAAATATTTGGTAGGTTCAAAACCAGGATTGCCATTTTTCACTGTTGTAAAACCTCTTGAGAAACTTTAACCCGGAGGTATCTATGATTGGGCCTCTGCTGAAACTATATGTAAAATATGAGTTCTTTTCTCAGGGAAGAGCCTAGAGTTTTTCTAGTTTCTCATAGGGATCAGTGACCTAAAAGGGTTTTTTAATTGCTACTGTAATTAAGAAAACCCACAAAATTACTTTTTTCTAAAATATGCTTTAGAAAGAAAATATAGAAAGTGTAAAGTAGCAAAACCTATGAATTACGGTAAGATTTAAGTAGAAATTTGCACAAACTTTCAAAGCTTAAGTCAGCTATAAACTCATCACACCTTTTCTAAAAGGTCCTTTCCTTTGATTTGTAATAGGAATTTATATTAGTTATAGAAAATTTGGAAAATAAAAAGAACAAAAATTACATATAAACTCATCAGTAAAAATTAACTAGGCACTTTAGGATATTTCTTTCAAACGTAGATGAATGTGTTTTTACATAATTTTAAAGGTTTTTTGCTTTGAATTCACATCTCATTTTCTTAGAGCAAAAGATTAGTAATGAGTGAAGAAACAGGCACCTGTGATAACTGACAAGTCTTCAAACACATGTGTATGGTTGTTGTAGAGAGAACAGTAGAACAGATTTTTCTGTCCAGGCTTACTATATATATATATCCATTGCACTGTTTTCTCATTGTTGAAAAGTTAAATTGAAGAAATCTAGTAGAATGTTAGCTGCATCTCTCTTTAGATAATTTTGTTTCATTGACTTGAAAAATTATGTTTTTATATGCGGGTTAATCTTGGTATCTATGTCTAATAGTAAAGTTTTCTGATGGACTCATAAAATATAAAGAACATAGATTATTTCATCAGCATCTTCTGATGACATAAATTCCTTGGTATAATAGAGTTATAAAAAAGGAATATACCACCATTCTGCCTGAATTTTGTGGTACATTTCAGTTACTTATATCAATTGAAATTACTGAATATTTTGCCATGACCATTTAGAAAAAAAGTGTAATGCTATTGATTTAATTCAAGTACATTTAAATTTTCCATGAGGAGTGTTCCTTTTCCCACCAAATTGCATAAAGCATAACAGTATAGATCCCTTTTTCAAGAATTTTTAAATAAAATGTAACTTTTATCAATTTGTTTAGATTGTTTAAAAGGATACTTTGAAAAAAATCATTATTTCTTGCTTTAGTAACTGGAGGACATCTCTTTATCTATATAGAATCCATGCCCAAACTTAATATTCCTCTATTTTCTTGATTTTAGAGGTGAAAAGCCAGGCATCCTTCAAGCTAGTGGATCTTTGACAAAGATGCATTGCAAAACAATCAACAAACAATCAGAAAGGCATGCTATGTGTGAGTGATGATCCCTGCAGCATATGCCATAGGCTTGTTGTAGAGGAGCTGCTCAGTAAATGGTGGATTCAATTGAAACAAGTCTTTTTTGGATGCTTAATGGGAAGTTGTAGGGTGGGTATGATGGACTAAAAATTATTTCTAAAGAAGGTTATATATTGTATATATTCCAGAATCTTCCGTTTTTATCGTTTCTTAAATTAAAAAATAAAAATTTAACTCTGTCCCAGGTTAACTCAGATGTTAACACTTATATAGAAATTTTTTTCCTCTTTCCCCGTTAGGCATCTCACAGTATTTTCTGCTTGTCTGTTTAGGATGTTAGGTAGAGGAAAAGAGAGTGATAGAAGATTTTTTTTCTTAAAAAAAAAAAAAAAAAAAAAAAAAAACTGGGCCAGGCATGGTGGCTCACACCTGTAATCCCAGCACTCTGGGAGGCCGAAGCGGGTAGATCACAAGGTCAGGGTTCGAGACCAGCCTGACCAACATGGTGAAACCCCGTCTCTACTAAAAATACAAAAATTAGCCGGGTGCGGTGGCGCGTGCCTATAATCTCAGCTACTCAGGAGGCTGAGGCAGGAGAATCGCTTGAACCTGGGAGGTGGAGGTTGCAGTGAGCCGAGATCACGCCACGGCACTCCAGGCTGGGTGAAAGAGTGAGACTCCATCTCCAAAAAAAAAAAAAAAAAAAAAAGTTCAATGTTAGTATTTGCTGTCTATTTTAACTTCTTACTTTAAAGTAAAATTAGCAAAGTCTTATTGTTTCAACCTGATTTAAATTTTATCTCCCTTTTTTATTATTTAAAGGTTGGAGTCTTTATCACTGGCCTCAAAGGATGTAGACTTTTTTTTTTTAATAGAGATTTTTATTTTTGTCAGTCACTTTTAAGAGGATTAAAAATGTTGATCCCTTTCATATTTCCTCGTCCCTTTAAAAATATTCTATTATGACAAATTTCAAACATATGGAAGAGTGAATCTTGATCACCTATCTGTCTGTACCCTAATCCGTTAATCCATTTTTTTCTGATGAATTTCAAATTAAGTTGTGGACATCTGTGTATTTCACCCCTAAATACTTGAGCATATCCCTCATTTAACTTGATTTCTCTCTTACTTTCTACAATTTTATGCAAATGAGCTGTTTCCCATAGGTTCTGTCTTGATCTTAATCCTTTAAGGGTAAGGGCTAACTTGTGGTTGTGTTAATGGTCTTCATCGCTGCTGCCTATTTTTTTTTTTTAATTTCCTTAAAACAAAAGGTACTCTCAAAAGGCATATTGCACATGATTAGCAAGATTCAGAAGGAAGTGGTTAAAGTTTCTTACATGCCTTATACCTATGCTTTTAGTTCTTGTTTTGTATAAGGAATGTTGCATGAGGATATTGGAAAAAAATTTAAAATTAAGAGTTGAAGGCGGAACCTGATCTATAAGGATCCATTATGTTGAAGCCAAAGAAGCAGGTCTAGCTATTCTAAGTAAGTAGGCTGGAGAGGTGTTTCTTAACTCTATCTGGGTTTTGTTTTCCATTTGAAGAAAAATTATTTTAAGCAATTACCATTTTTGATTACTGTAATGACTCCTGTGTCCAAAAATTAATTACGTTTCTAATTATTAAAATAGAAAAAAAAATCTGTTCAAATTTTGTTATAAATAAAGACCCCAGACTTAACCTCAGTAATGCATTAGTTCTTAGCATAACTTTTGCATTTTCTGTTGCATAGGCTTTGTGATCTTTAACAGGATTATTTAAGCCTGAAATAATAGAGATACTATTTGGAGATCACTGTTTGACTAAGCCCTGAACATTTCCACGAATGTAGCCTTTAGAGAGAGAGGGTTCCTCAAGCTGTAGTTTCTTCCAGAGACATTGCTTGACTCCTCCTGGCCTCCCTTCATAAAGGATTTCTACATGGGCTGCATTTTAAGTGATCTTCTACTTTTGTATTTTTAGAAAATAATTCAAAATTTATAAATAGCAACTCTAATCTTAAACTGCTCTCCAGTATGTCCGCATTTTTATTCCAGAGAGAATTATTAATAAGTTGAAAACTGATTATATTTGACTTGAAATATTGACATTGATCTCTGGTATTGCCTGTTTTTGAACGTACTGTTCTTTTAATGTACAAAATAGATGTTTTTTGTGAGGAAGTTGTTTTTTTTTCTCCTAAGCATTGTTACCAAAATAAGACTTATTGAATGGTGACTTTAATACTAGCTTCTTAATATTCATAGAAATATTTAGATATCTAGGCTGGTGTATTTAGTCCTTGAGCATTTGCAGAATTACTTATCTGAAACATAAATAAGCTGTTAGTGTTATGTTATTAATAGTGAGTGTTGACTGTCTAGGCACTGTACCAGTCAGTCCTATGGAGACATTCTCCCATTGATTGCTCACACCAGTCCTGTTTCCAAAGCCCCTGAATGGTTACATTCAGCTGTACTGTCTTTCAGCAAGTTATACTATTTGTATCAAATTGGTTAGTGAAATCTTGTAGGTAATAGTCTTTCTTGAAAGTTTTGGAATTGATGTTTTTTGATGCTTCATGAAAAAAATGAGTTTTGAGTTTTGGAACCAAAATAGTAGTTGCTCCATGCTGGGCAGTGTGTTAGACCTTTTATATTTAATTCTGTTGAACCTGTGAGATAAGTATTAGTCCAATTTTGCCATTGAAGTTACTAAGACTAAGGTGAATTTGTGTAAATTGCATGTAGAGCTTGGGATTCACTCTCTGGTCTGACTTCAAAGCCATGTTCTTTCTGGTACATAGCCTTGTGCATGAAGTTTTTTTGCCATTTTATCCATATAAAAATTTTCCAGGAGGAGGATTTTTGCCTTAAACAAAAGAATAAAACATGTTTCGTATTTATTTATAGAAAAGGATTTTTTTTGGGGAAAGTTATAAAGCAGTTGCACACTAGAAAATGAGAAAGCTTTCATGAAGGAATGCAGGTCAGAAGACCTAGCTAGGTTAAACTCATTGCTTACCTCATCTTGATAGAGGAGATCTGGCTTCTTGCTATGTGGTTTTTCCATCTTCCTTCTACTTTGTCTTCTGTAAGAGAAAAATACTGATAAGTGACATTTATTATAGGTTATGTAAAATAATATATATGTGAAATTCCTTAAGATCTTAAGACTGAGCTAATTTTTTTTTATTAATTATGCTACTGTTGCTTCAGGGAACTAAGCAGTAAGCTGAAACCAATTCTGTGATGTTTGTCATTTATATTATCTGGAGAGTTGTTACCTACATTGCAGTTTATCCTGATTTCAATTTGACAATGTCTACATGTTCTTTTAAATTACTTGCTGAGTTGGTGAATTTTTGTTTCTGTTATTTTTAAAAACTGACAACATCCTTCTGCTTAAAAAAAATTCAGTGCTGTAGTTTTGCTTGCAGCCTGTATCTTAGCAGGGAACCCTTTGGAAACCCAGTCTCCAGAGAAAGTTTGACGGGCATCTTGGCATAGGCTGCTGCCTGGTATTACTCAAAAAGAAGGGCTGTTCATTTCCAGCAGGTGTTAAGAGCTGAGTAAGGCCCATAGCATGGAAATACGATCATCTCTGCCCCTACAGAGTTACATATACCTTTTGGTTGTTTGAAATTACTTATTTGGTAGCTCTGTTTGATGTAACAAGAAACAGACTCCTAGGCCAAATTGAAACGCCTTTTGTATTATCTCTACTTAATTTCTTCTACCCCCAGTTGATTCTCTCTTACCTTAATCACATTATTATGAATAATTGAAGAGCTGATGATGCATTTTTCAGCCTAAGGTTTTCTGATGAGGACTAAAGCATCTGATCAAATTTCATGTTCATGATTTCAACTTCACAGCCAGTATCTATTCACTCAAAAGCTTTATTAAATCTCTTCTTTCGGCCGGGTGTGGTGGCTCATGCCTGTAATCCCAGCACTTTGGGAGGCTGCGGTGGGGGGATCGCTTGAAGCCAGGAGTTCGAGACCAGCCTGGCCAACGTGGCGAAGAAACCTAATCTCTATGGAAGATACAAAAATTAGCTGGGCGTGGTGTCATGCGTCTGTAGTCTCAGCTACTCAGGAGGCTAAGGCAGGGGAATCACTTGAACCCAGGAGGTGGAGGTTGCAGTGAGCTGAGATTGTGCCACTGCACTCCAGCCTGGGCAACAGAGAGAGACTCTGTCTTAAAATAAATAAATCTCTTCTTTTTTCATCTTGAGTCCCTTCTTCTCTCCAAATATCAGGCCCTCTTTTACTGTCTCCCTTAATTTTCACATTTTATTTGGTCCAGATAGTCTTGTATCTTAAAAAACAGTAATTCTCAAAATTTGAGTATTCTGCTTCTAAATGCCAGAGTCCCTGAAGAGTCTTAATTCTTCAATAAATGTATGGTAGAATAATGCCATTGCTAAACTGTATAAAAACAGGATTTTAAAACTAAAAATAAAACCACATTAATCTTGAATTTGCTAAAATTATGTTTTTGATTAGCTTGTTTTATGATACCTGGCCTACTGGGCCTCCCAAATTGCTGGGATTACAGGCGTGAGCCACCACACACGACTGAAAGAAGAGATTTAATAAAGCTTTTGAGTGAGGCCAGGTGCAGTGGCTCACGCCTGTAACTCTAGCACTTCAGGAGGCTGAAGTGGGAGGATCATGAGGTCAGGAGTTCAAGACCAGCCTGACCAACATGGTGAAACCTCCTCTCTACTGAAAATACAAAAACTAGCCTTGCATGGTGGCGCACACTTGTAATCCCAGCTACTCAGGAGGCTGAGGCAGGAGAATTGCTTGAACCCGGGAGGTGGAGGGTGCAGTGAGCCGAGATCACGCCACTGCACTTTAGCCTGGGCGACGGAGCGACACTCTGTCTCAAAAAAAAAAAAAAAAAAAAAAAAAAAAAAAAAAAAAAAAAAAAAAAAAAAAAAAAAAGAAAAATCGTTAATAATGTGTGTATTTGGTGTTTTCTGTCAACAGGAAGAAGGTAGATAATGACTATAATGCCCTTCGAGAAAGACTCAGCACCTTGCCTGATAAATTGTCTTATAATATAATGGTATGTTTGGTGTGTTTCTTTTAAAGTAATAGTTGTTTCTTGTAAACATATTAACTATGTGTCGGTTCACAGAATGTCAGGCTGATGGACTGTGTCCAAGGTAACTATGTAGCAAGGAAGATTTGTTTTGTTTTACTTTATAAGAACACAGTAATTGTAGTAATTGTTGGTATTTACCTTTTTTTTTCAGAATATATATGGTGACACAAATGACATAAATATTAGCACAAAATTGGACATATTTCAAATGGAAACTTACTATATAAAAAATGTAATTATGACAGAAATATGGTACTAAGTCGTTTCTTGTTAGCCAGAGCAGGAATAGGCCATAATGTTTTGTAATTCACAGAATTAAACCTTAGGACATTGATTTTTATATAAAAACGTGCTGCTAATTTTTGTTTTAATGATCTTCACATCGACATAGTGATCTGTTCATGAGCCCTGGATTAGAGCCTTTCATTGCATGAATGTTCTTTCTTATGAAGACTTTGTTCTTTTATACTAGTCCAAGTATTTTGTATATATAGCTAGATAGATCCATTAAAGCTATTTGTTTACTAATTCCTGCTTTGCAAAAGTGTCTACTTTATTGAAAATAATTTTTAGTTTTCTTTATCAAAAGTATTTTGCATTGACAATGTTTCACTACTAGTTGCTTTCACTTAGATTTGCAAGTGAATGAAAAGTATAAACATGCCGAGACAGTACTACTTTCTTTAAGAGCTATATGTAAATATGGTGTGGATTTATTTTCCTGTTTTAACATTGATTTATGAACATAAAGCAATTTTCTTTAGATTTTCCTAGTAAAATTTTAATATAGTGTTGAATTTCTGTGAAGCTGGCATTTTATTTTTCCCAATGTATAAATAAAAAAATTCAGTTATGTAAGGCTTTTAATGCGAAGTGTTTTATAAAATGTACTTTTCAGTGTTTTATGTTTTTTCCCTTTTTTCTTTTTTTTTAAACAATAGGTACCATTTGGCCCTTTTGCCTTCATGCCAGGAAAACTTGTCCATACTAATGAAGTCACTGTTTTACTGGGGGACAACTGGTTTGCAAAGTGCTCAGCAAAGCAGGCTGTAGGTTTAGTTGAGCACCGGAAAGAACGTAGGTACCCATTTTAAATGATGTTTCTTTGTTGTATATGTATCCATTCACAGATTGCCAAGCTGAAGGGCTGTTTCTTACCAAAAGTACCTTCCGTGATCTATGAATCCAGGCTGTTTGTGATTCTGTTGAATTGTAGGTAGTTTGAGTAGAACCAACATTTGAGAATGAGCTGGAGAATGGAGCATCCGGGTTGGAAATGTCACCTACATTGGCATGTTTTCAGAAGTTACAAAGTTTCAAAGTCATTATGTGATTTTGTAGTTAGAAGTTGGGAAGACATAAAAATTGGAGTCATTTTATACCTTATAATTTTTTTTTAGTTGCTATTATAGACTTATTTTTGCACTTAATACTTTAGTACACAGAAATAATGTGTTTTCTCCTTAGTGAACTAAGAGAAATACCTGTTTACATAAGTAGACAATTCTTAAAAATGCTTTTTGGTTTGGAAAAAAAACCATATTTTCATTTGATAGAGGAGACCAGGTGTGAAAAGGTGCTACCTAAAACAGCACCCTTATCCTTTTTCAGTTGTTTGAGTTCTCTGCATCCCTTTATTAGGGCAGCTCTTGAGTTTTGTTTATCCGTGCTATTATCTGTAGGTGTATAGAAGCCTACATACACACACACAACACACACTACACATTTTGCAGTTGGATGAGCTAGCTTGGGTTCTAGCTTAGTTATATTTTAAAATTAGGTTCAGTTTATAATCTGTTGTTATTTCTGTAATACGTATTTAGATTGAGAGTATAATATCCGCCCTACCTGCTTTTTAACCTTTTAGTTAAATGTGTATTTGAAAATAAATGATGGGAAGATCCTTTTTTATAAATAAGGTCATACTAAACAGAAAACAGCTGAGTTTTCTAAAGCTGAACTTGATTTCACTTATACATGAATGAGTACTAGAGAACTCATTTACTCAGTGAAATTCTGGGAACTATATTTGGAGACTCTAATTGCAAATCAACTCCTATAAGTTTATAATTGATATATATTTTGATCTTTTGTGACACTAATCAGAATCTTATTGTTAGGCCTGTATGTAATTTCTGGCAATGATAAATCTTTTGGCTTTGCTGCATTATTTTTGTCATGTATATTAGCGAAAGAGAATGGGCATACTTTTTTCTTAAAGACCTTACTGAAGACGAAGCCTCTCTTTATATACTGAAGTAGCTCTGATGTTATGAAATGAATCCATAGCCTGTTGAAGTTTGTTCACATTGATTTTCATATTTCAGTGAAAAAAATCTTTATAATTAGTTATAACTTAAAATATTAATGGGAATACTTATACTACAATAGAATAGAGCTCTAGAGTAGAGAAACATGTTTTTGTAAATCACTTTCTAGTAGTTAAATATGGTTTTGGAAAGTGACCAAACATAGATGACTTTTGGGATCAATATTTATCTAAAATAATTTTCAAAGTACATATTTCCTGTTACAATAAATTCTGGGCCGGGCGCAGGGGCTCATGCCTGTAATCCCAGCACTTTGGGAGGACAAGGCAGGTGGATCACCTGAGGTCAGGAGTCCGAGACCAGCCCGACCAACGTGGTAAAACCTCGTCTCTACTAAAAATACAAAAATTAGCCGGGCGTGGTGGTGTGTGCCTGTAGTCCCAGCTACTTGGGAGGCTGAGACAGGAGAATCACTTGAACCCAGGAGGTGGAGGTTGCAGTGAGCTGAGATTGTGCCACTGCACTCCAGCCTGGGCAACAAAGCGAAATTTTGTCTCAAAAAAAAAAAAAAAATTACGTAAAGCTCTTTTATTCACATGGTTTTATAATTTATACCTGAAGAAAATACTTAGGTATATTGTTGTACTTCACATTTATTAAGAAAAGGTACTTTATTTTTCTTAAGGCAGAGGAAATATAACCAGTTAAACACATAGTCATCTATGTCATGGTTGATTGGGGTAATTGGGGAAGGTCTGAGTTACAACACGGGTCATGATTTGTTTAGCCAGCACCACAGTCAGGACACGGAATAGGATACAAGATACTGCTCTCAGGACTCAGCTCCTATCAAAACCTCCCTCACACTGCCCCTTGGTGGTCACACCCTACGGCTGCCTACTGCTGAAGGATTGACGACTTCACGTCTGTGTCTTTTGAGATTAGCTTCTTCACTTGCTGTAACGCCTCATCCAGGTGGTTCTGTGTATTCAAAGTTCATTTCTTTTATTGCTGAGGAGTGTTCCGTTACATGCATATCTATTAAATGCACGTACAGCAGTTTTTCCATTCACCTTTTGAGGGACATTTGGGTGCTTCCATTTTTTGGCGGTTAGGAACAGAGCTGCTGTAAGCCTTTGTGTACAGGTTTTTGTGCGAACATACATTTTTATTGCTGTTGGTAAATACCTACAAGTGAGATTGTTAGATCATATGATAAATGTATGTTCAATTTTTAAGAGACTACCAAGCTGTTTTCCAAAGTGGCTGTATGATTTACATCTCTTTCAGCAGTGTGTGATAGTGGTATCTTTGCGTCTCTACCAGCCCTCAATATTGTCAGTTTAAGAAGTGTAGCCATTTGAATAGGTGTATAGTGATTTTAGTTTGCATCATTGCCTAATGATGTTGAGCATTGATTCATGCACTTATTTTATCTTTGTGTCCTCTTTTACCTGTTGAACTCTTTTGCCCATTTTAAAATATTGGGTTATATATGCTTTTTTTTTTTTATTTTTTGAGATGGAGTCTCACTCTGTCGCCTAGGCTGGAGTGCAGTGGGGCGATCTTGGCTCACTGCAACCTTAGCCTCCGAGGTTCGAGCAATTCTCCTGCCTCAGCCTCCTGAGTAGCTGGGATTACAGACATGCGCCACCATGCCCGGCTAATTTTTTTGTACTTTTAGTAGAGATGGGGTTTCACCATGTTGGTCAGGCTGGTCTTGAACTCCTGACCTCAGGTGATCCACCCGCCTCAGCCTCTGAAAGTGCTGCGATTACAGGCGTGTGCCATTGCACCTGGCCTGGGTTATATATTTTCTTTCTTTTTTTTTGAGATGGAGTCTCACTCTGTCGCCCAGGCTGGAGTGCAGTGGCGCGATGTCAGTTCATCGCAACCTCCGCCTCCCGGGTTCAAGTGATTCTCCTGCTCAGCCTCCTGAGTAGCTGAGATTACAGGTGCGTACCACCACGCCCGGCTAATTTTTGTATTTTTAGTAGAGACAGGGTTTCACCATGTTGGTCAGGCTGGTCTTGAACTCCTGACCTCATGATCTGTCCGCCTTGTGGTCCACCCACCTTGGCCTCCCAAAGTGCTGAGATTACAGGTATGAGCCACCGCACCCCGCTGCATTGTATATTTTCTTACTGTCGTTTTGAGAGTTTTTTTTTTTTTAATATATTCTGGATTTATGTTAAATAGGTGATGTGCAAATATTTTCTCCCACTTTGCATCTTGTCTTTTCATTCTCTTAACAGTGTCTTTCCAGAGCAAGTTTTTAATTATGAAGTTCAGCTTTTAGCTTTTTTTAATGGATCATATGTGTGGTGTCATATCTAAGAACGCTTTACCTAACCTTAGTTGTTGAAGATTTTCTTCTGTGTTTTCTTCTGAAAGTTTTATACTTTGATATTTTACAATTAGATCTGTGATTGATTTTAAGTTAATTTTTGTTTGAGGTGTGGGGTTTAGGTCACGGTTCATTTTTCTTGCATATGGATGTCCAGTTGCTCCAATACTATGTTGAAAATACTGTTCTGTCTCCATTGAAATGACTTTGCACCTTTGTCAAAATGAATTGGCAACAAGACCATCTTAGATACCACACTAGGATGGTTATAATAAAAAAGACAGTAACACTTGTTGGTGAGGATGTGAAAAAATTGGAACCCTCATTCATTGCTGGTGGGACTGTAAACTGGGGAAGCCACTTTGGAGAACAGTTTGGAATTTTTCAGCAAGTTAAACATTGTGTTTTACTGTGATCTAGCAGTTCCACACCTAGATAGTATTCTACCCAAGGGAAATAAAAATGTATGTCCACAAATACTTGTACATGAATATTAAGAGCAGCACTGCTTATAGTAGCCGAAACATGGAAACAACCTAAATGTCTATCAACTAATAACAGGTGAATAAGTGTCGTACATCCATGCAGTGGAATGTTGTTTGGCAATAAAAAGATGTGTACCTTGAAAACATTAGAATAAATTAAAGAAACCAGTCACAAAAGACCATATATTGTATGATTCCATTTACATGAAATATTCAGAAAAGGTAAATTTATAAAAGAAAGGAGAGTAGTGGCTGCTTAGGGCCAGGAAGGTGTGAGAGAGAATGGAGAGTGACTGCTAAAGAGTATGGAGATTTTTAGGGGCAATGAAAATACAAAAATACAGATTTTGGTAATGGTTGCACAACCCTTTGAATATACGAAAACCATCAAATTGTACATTTTAAATGGGTGAATTGTATGTTATGTGAATTATAACTTAAATTGTTAAAAAACAAATGAATGAGCCATTTTGTGTAATTGTGTTTTTGGACCATCTGTTCTGTTTCTTTATCTATGTGTCTGTCTCTTTGCTGATGCCACTCTGTTTTGATTACTGTAGCATTATAGTGTTCCTTACAGTGTTCCTTAAAGTTGGTAGTACGGGTGCTCTAAGTTTATTCTTTCCAAATTGTTTTGGCTGTTCTACCTCCTTTGCCTTTCCATATACATTTTAGAAACCACTCGCTTATGTTTACAAAAACTCCTAGTGGGATTTTGATTGGAATCGCACTAAATCAACACATTAATTTGGGGAGAATTGACCTCTTAACTATTAAATCTTCCAGTGTGTAAATACTTACAGCCTGTAAATACAGTGTATCTCTGTATTTAGGACTTCTTTAATCAGTTTTGTAGTTTTTGAGCATACAGGTCATATGCGTTTTGTTAGGTTTATATCTAAGTGTTTCACCTTTTGTGGAGCTGTTGTAAATGATGGCATTTTAAAATCTTGTTTTTCAAGTGTTCTAGTATATAGAAATAACTCTTTTTAAAAAAGAATTAACATTGTATCCTCCATTCATGCTGACCACATTTGTTCTCTGAACTTTTTTGGGGTAGATTCCATGGGATTTTCTATGTAGACAATCATGCCTTTTGTAAATAGCTCCTATTTTTTTTTATTCCTTTCCAAGGTGTATACACTTCATTTCTTTTTCTTGCCTTACTTCCTTGGCTAGGACTTGCAGTATAATATTGAATAGGAGTGGTAAGAGTAGGTAGGTGTCTTTGTCTTGAAACTGATCTTCTGGGGAAAAATTTGGCATTTTATTGTTAAGTGTGTGTTAGCTGTAGGTTTTTTAAAAAAATTAATACTCCCTATAAGTTTAGGGAACTTTCTACCTGGTTCTAATTTGCGGATTTTTTAAATGAAAATATGTTGAATTTTGTCCAGTGTATTTTCTGCATCTATTGATATGATCTTGTAGTTTTTCTTCTGTATCTGTTAATGTGGTGGATTATATTGATTGATTTTTCTTCCCTGGATGAACCGCATTTGATCATGGTGTATTCTTTCATGTATTACTGGATTTGATACATTGAGCTTTTTTTGTTTAATATTTGCATGGCGTATATTTTTCCATTTCTTTTACTTTTATGCTAACTATATCATATTTAAAGTGGGTTTCTTTTTTTTGTTCTTTTGAGACAGAGTCTTGCTCTATTGCCCAGGCTGGAGTGCAGTGGCCTGATCTTGACTCACTGCAACCTCCACCTCCCAAGTTCAAGTGGTTCTCCCGCCTCAGCCTCCCGAGTAGTGGGGATTACAGGCGAGTGCCACCATGCCCAGCTAATCTTTGTATTTTTTATAGAGATGGGGTTTCACCATGTTGGCTAGGCTGATCTCGAACCCTTGACCTCAAGTGATCTGCCTACCTTGGCCTCCCAAAGTGCTAGGTTTACAGGCGTGAGCCACTGTGCCTGGCCTAAAGTGAGTTTCTTATAGGCAGCATGGATCTTTCCTTTTTAATTGATTCTGATAATTTCAGTCTTTTAATTGATGTACTTAGACCATTTACATTTAATGTAATATGTTTGGATTCAGGTTTGGCATTCCCCCGTTTTTGTTCCTCTTGTTACCCTTTCTTGTCCTCTTTTAGATTATTTAATATTTTTAGTATCTTATTACTCTGTTGTTGCTGAAATAGGAACTTCTTAAAGTATTTTTAATGTTACAAATTAGGGATTAATGTATTTCACGTGAACTTAAAAGTTTTACTCTAAATACTTGCTTTGAGATTTGCTGAATTCTTTTTTACGTTAGAGAGCAATTTTTGGCTTAGAAAGGAGTACATCTTCAATGAGACTAAGTGAAAAGACCAGGATTTAATCAGAGGTTTCTACAGTATAGACAAGTTTTTGGTAATTTTGTTTCTGCATGTCTCTGTAATCTACTTTTGAACACCGGTATATAGAATGACTTGAAATTCTAGTATCTAGGCACCATGTCTTAGAATTTTTGGCTGTGACAACAGGCATTTGGCCACATTTCTAGTCATTAGTCCAGTGATTAATGTTAAACAGTTTTACTTATAGGATGATCTTAATAGATTTTCCTTTCAAAGATAATATGGGGAGAATTATTTTACCGTGTGTCTTTTGTTCAGAATTGTATCTGACACATTTATTTTATCTTATTTTTACTTTTGTCTTAAAAATGCATACTTAGTCTTCATTTTTACAATAAAGTTATTTTTATTAAATGGAAGAGTGGACATGAAGGGATAAGAGCATGAACTAGGGGTAATGGCTATAGGCTTAGAGAAGAGATCAGAAGCAGGAAGAATTTCTGAGCCTGATAGGACTTGGCAACTGATTGAATGTGAAGGTTGAGGGGAAGCATTGGATGAGTGGTGACCTAGAGGCAATGTTGTTGACATAATCAAGTAAGTTTGTAGATCACTGCACACTACTTTCCCTCTACCAGAGAGTAAAATGCACATAGGCACGTTACTTAGAAGCCCTGTAATGAAAAATATCCCTTTAGTCTTGTTTAATGTTGTGGTTCCCAAACTTACTTGATTTTGAGAAACTTTTAAAATGTAATGTCTGTTATCTTACAGAGCATTCTAAAGAAAATCTTGATTTAGGAATACATTTTTAGGCAGATTTCAGAAGAAAGTGGGTGATAAGACGTTAGCACCGAATACAGCTTTTTTTTTTAAGTGATAGGAGAAGAAAGATTGTATGAGGTGCATCAGGTCATTCACAAGATGGGCTTTTTTAAAAATTATTTTTTTAGTAGGTTATATATGGACATGATACAAAATCTAAAGGATATTTATTAAAAAACAACTATGCTTCCTTTTCTTGTTCTTTAACATCCAGTTTACCTCCCTGGAGGCATCGCTGTTATCAGTATCTTACTCATTATTCCAGGGATATTCTGTGCATTTACAGCCATAGACTTATGCATTCCTACCCCACCCTATACACCTCCACTCAAATTGTAGGCACACTTTTATTTTTTTGTTTTGGCAGCTTGCTGTCTTATTCTTTTCATGGCTATATAGTATTATATTGTACTCTATTTAGCCAGTCCTTTACTGATAGGCCTTTAGATCGTCTTCCTTTTTTTTTGCTGTTAAAATCAATGCTGCAGTGAATAACCTCTGTGTGTATGTGTGTGTGTGTGTGTGTGTATCATTTGTACTTGTGTGTATCTGTAGTATAAATGACTTAAGATACAATTGCTGGCATGAAGTGAAGTAGATTTTTAACTTTGACAGTGCTGGCTTTAACAGACTGACTACACCTTTGCCAACCCAATGTGTTTGCAAACTTGTTTTGAAACTGATACCTTATTGTAGGCCCCCTGGCACTGCTAACTAGCTAACTTACTGTCTTTTCCTCCTTTTCCTCCCCTCCCCTCCCTTCCCTTCCCCTCATTCACATGGTTGGTCAGCTATAACCACCATCCATCTCCAGATATTTTTCATCTTCTCAAATTAAAACTGTACCAGTTAGGTGATAACTCCCCATTTTTTCCTTCCTCCCCCCATCCCCTGGTAACCACTATTCTACTTTCCATATGAATTTGGCTATTCTAGATACCTTACATAAGTGGAATCCTACAGCATTTGTCCTTTTGTGTCTGGATTATTTCACATAGCATAATGTTTTCTAGGTTCATCTGTGTTGTAGCACGTGTCAGAATTTCCTTTTTTTTAAGGATGAACAATATTTTATTTTGTGAATAATGTGAATTATTCTGTTCGCTATTGTGAATAGTGCTGCTATGAATATAGGTATACAAATATTTATTTAGTTCCCTGCTTTAAATTATTTGGGGTGTATATCTGAAAGTGGAATTGCTGGATCATATGGAAATTCTGTGGATTTTTTTTTTTTTTTTTGAGGCAGGGTCTCACTCTGTTGCCCAGGCTGGGAGTGCAGTGGTGCAATCTTGGCTCACTGCAGCCTCCGCCTCCCAGGTTCAAGAGCCTTCCTGCCTCAGCCTCCTGAGTAGCTGGGACTACAGGTGTGCACCACCATGCCCGACTAATTTTTTGTATTTTTAGTAGAGACAGGGTTTCACCATGTTGGCCAGGCTGATCTTGAACTCCTGACCTCAGGTGATGCATCTGCCTCAGTCTCCCAAAGTGCTGGGATTACAGGTGTGAGCCACCACGCCCGGCCCTATGTTGTATTTTTTAAGGAACCTCCATTCTGTCTTTCACAGCAGCTGTACCATTTTATATTCTCAACACCAAAATACAAGGAATCCAGTTTTCCCACATTCTTGTCAACACTTGTTACTATATTTTTTATATATAAAATAAATATATTTTGAAGTGGCATATCATCAAGGAATATAGTTTGAAGTGGATTTGAAGTGAAGTATCAGCAGGGTTTTGATTTGTATTTCTTCAGTGATTAATTATGTTGAGCATCTTTTCATGTGTTTATTGGCCACATGTATATCATCTTTGGAGAAATGTCTATTCAAGTCTTTTGCCCATTTTTTATTTGGGTTGTTTGTTTTTCTTGTTCAGTTGTAGTTCTTTATATATTCTGGATATTAGTCCCTTATCAGAAGTGTAATTTGCAAATATTTTCTCCTGGTCTGTTGGTTGCCCTTTTACTTTCTTCTTTTATTTTGTCTTACTTAAAAAAAAAAATAGCTGCCAGGTAGAGTGCCCTTTTACTTTCTTGATAATGTTGTTTGATGCACAAAAATTTTTAATTTTCACTGTCCAGTTAGTGTTTTTTTGTTTTTGCCTATGCTTTTCATGTCATATCTAAGAAATTGTTGCCAAATGTCATGAAGCAGCTTCCCTGTGTTTTTTTTTTTGAGTTTCCTAGATTTAGCTTTCATTTAGGTTGCTGTATCCATTTTATATATGCTTGTAAGGTAAGGGTCCAACTTTATTCTTTTGCATGTGGTTCCAGTTTTCTCAACACGATTTGCTGAAAACACTGTCCTTACCTTTTTGAATGGTTTTTACACTCTTGTCAAAAATCATTTGGTCATACATTTATGAGGTCTTATGTCTGAGCTTTGTATTCTATTTTTTGGTCCGTAAGTCTGTATTTATGTTGGTACCACATTATTTTGATGAGGGTAGCTTTATAGTAAGTTTTGAAAACAGAAAGATGAGACTTACAACTTAGTTTTTCTTTTTAAATATTGTTTTGGTTATTGGGGAACCCTTGAGACTCCATGTGAATTTTAGAATGGGCTTTTCTGTTTTTGCAAAAAAAAAATTACTGGATTTTACTGGGAGTTGCACTGAGTCTGTTGGTTGCCATGGGTAGTATTGACATCCTAATTATTAAATATATTCACTCCGTGAACATAGGATATCTATTTATTTGTGTCTTATTTGTTTTAGCAACACTTTATAGTTTTTAGTGTGCAAGTCTTGCACCTTCTTAAGAGTTTAGTCCTTTTGGTTCTAGTTTAAATGAATTGCTTACAAATTTCCTTTTTAGATTGCTCATTGTTAGTGCATAGAAATGCAGTTGATTTTTGTGTGTTGATTTTGCATCCTGCAACTTTGCTGAATTTTTTTTATTAGCTTTACAAGGGTGTTTTGTGTGTGTGTGTGTGTGTGTATTCTTTAGGGTTTTCTGCATATTACATATAAGATTGTATCATATGTTGGTAGTAGAGAGAACTTGACTTCTTTCCAATTTGGAGGCTTTTTATTTGTTTTTCTTGCTTAATTGCTCTAGCTAGAACTTCTAGTATGTTGTTGAATAGACATGTTCATAGTGAGCATCCTTGTCTTATTCCCAATCTTAGGGGAGAGACTCGCAGTCTTTCATCATAGAGTGTGATGTCAGTGTGGGGTTTTCATATATGGCCTTTATTATGTTATGGAAGTTCCCTTCTGTTTCTAATTTATTGAGTTTTTTTTTTTAATCATGAAAGGTTGTTGGATTTTGTCAAAGGCTTTTTTGGATTCAATCGAGATTACCATGTTTTTTCCTCTTCATTCTGCTAATGTAGTATATTACATTGATTTTTATATGTTGAACCCATCCTTGCATTCCAGGGTGTGGCAGAGATCATTCTTGGTCATGATGTATCATTCTTTTAATGTGCTACCGTATTTAGTTTGCCAGCATTTTGTTGAGGATTTTTATATGTATATTCATAAGAGAAATTAGCCTGTAGTTTTCATATTTTTATCTGGCTGGCTCACAGAATGTGTTCCCTCCCTTTTCATTGTTTAGAAGAGTTTGAGAGGATTGGTGTTAATTCTTTGAATGTTTGGTAGAATTCATCTGTGAAAGCATCTCTTCTTGGTCCTTTCTTTGTTGGGAGGTTTTTGATTACTGATTCAATATGCTACTTGTTACAAGTCTATTCAGATTTCAGTTTTGGTAGTTTGTGTTTTTCTAGGAATTTGTCTATTTTATCTAAATTATCAAACTTGTTGGCAGTCAGTTGTTTGTACTATTTCTGTATAATCCCATTAATTTCTGTAATAGTTTTTATTGTTCCACTTTTGTTTGTGATTTTAGTGATTTGAATCTTCTCTTTTTTTCTTAGACAGTCTAATAAAGATTTGTCAATTTTGTTGATCTTGTAAAAAACCAACTTTTGGTTGCATTAATTTTTCAGCATTTTATAAAAATTCTGTTTTGTTTATCATTCTCTAATCTTTGTTATTCCTTTCTTCTGTTAGCTTTGGGTTCAGTTTACTCTTTCTTTTTTTTCCAGTTTCTTAAAGTGTACAGTGAAGTTACTGATTTGAAGTATTTCTTTTTTTTTGATGTAGGTATTTACAGCTATAAATATCTTTCTTAGCATTGCTTTGCTGCATCCCATAAATTTTCGTTGAGTTTTCATTTTTGTTGGTCTCAGGGTATTTTCTCTTTTCTTTTGAGACAGAGTCTCACTCACTCTGTTGCCCTGGCTGGAGTGCAGTGGTGCAATATCGGCTCACTGTAACTTCCATCTCCCGCGTTGAAGGGATTCTTCTGCCTCAGCCTCCCTAGTAGTTGGGACTACAGGTGAGGGCTACCATGCCTGGCTAATTTTTGTATTTTTAGTAGAGTCGGGGTTTCACCATGTTGTCCAGGCTAGTCTTGAATTCCTGGCCTCAAGCAATCTGCCTGCCTCGGCCTCCTAAAGTGCTGGGAGCCACTGTGCCCAGCCATATTTTTTAATTATGCCTATGATTTCTTCTTTGACCCATTGACAGATTATTTTGTAAAATTTTCATATATTTATGACTTTTTCCAATTTTCCTTCTATTAATGATTTTTAATGTTATTGAGCATTCCAGTTAGAAAAGATACTTTATATGATTTCAATCTTGTTAAATTTTTCGAGACTTATTTTGTGGCCTCTCATATGACCTATCCTGGTGACTGTTCCATGTTTCCCTTAGAAGGTGTGTATTTTTCCTGTTGTTGGGTGGAGGTTTCTATATATGTCTATTAGGTCTAATTGGTCTTTAGTGGTGTTCATGTTCTTTATTTCCTTCTGGCTGTTCTGTCCTTTATTGAAAAGGGGATATTCATGTCTCCTCCAGCTATTATGGTGAAATAATTTCTCCCTTCTGTTCTGTACATTTTTGCTTTGTACATTTGAGCTCTGTTAGGTATGTATGTATTTATAATTGTTGTATCTTGATAGATTGAACCTTTTATCAGTGTGAAATATCCTTTGTCTCTTGTGACTTTTTTAATTTAAAGTCTATTTTGTCTGATACTACTATAGCTACTTCATTTCTTTTTTGGTTACTATTGGTATGGAATATCTTTTTCATTCCTTCACTTTCAACCTATTTGTGCCCTTAGATCTACAAGTGAGTCTCTTATAGACAGTATATAGTTGGATCCTTTTTTTAAAACAATTGATTCTGCCAATTTATGCTTTTTGATTGGGAAGTTTAATCTGTTTACATGTATAGTAATTACTGATGGGGGAAAGACTTTCGCTGTTTTGTTATTTTCTGCATGTTTTATAGCTTTTTTTTGACTCATTTCTATATTACTGCCTTCCTTTGTGTTTGATTTTTTTTTATGGTGAATGGTTTTGATCTCCTTTTCACTTCTTTTTAAAATATAGGTATTTTCTTTGTGGTTACCATGGCGATTACATAGAACATCCTAAGGTTATAAAATGTATTTTGAATTTATACCAACTTAACTTCAATCACATACAGAGGCTTTATTCCTGTTCAGCTCCTTCACCTCTTTATATTATTTGTGTCACAAATTATATCTTTATATATTGTGTCTCCATTAATATAGATGTCCAGTGATGTGTATTCATTTTTCTTTATCACATAGAAAAGAAAAAAGTGGAGTTACAAACCAAAATGACAGTAATACTTATTTTTGCCTATGTGTTTACCTTTATCAGAGATCTGTGTTTTCATATAGCTTTGAGTTACTGTCTTTTCATTTCTACCCGAAGAACTTCCTTTAGCATTTCTTGGATTGCAGGTCTAGTGGTGAGGAATGCCCTCAACTCTTGTTTATCTGGGAATATCTTAAATTTCCCCTCATTTTTAAAAGACTGTTGTTTTGCTAAACATAGAATTCTTGGATGAAGTATTTTGTTTCTCTCTCAGCACTTTTTAAATATATGTCATCCCATAACCTTCTGTGCTTCAGGGTTTCTGCTGAGAAATCTGATAATCTTGTTGAAGATTTCTTGTTTGTGATGAGTGGTTTTTCTCTTGATGCTTTCAAGATTCTCTCTTTGTTGTTGTTCAACAGTTTGATTATAGTGTGTCTTGGTGTGGGTCTGGGTTTATCCTACTTGGATTTCGTTGAGCTTCTTGGATTTGTAGATTCGTACCTTATCAAGCAATGTGTATGCTCTTGAGTATCTCCAATAAGGCATTTCAAAATACAAATTTATGATTTTAGTTTATGATAGATGTATATAGCTTTAAATAACCACAAACCATCTTAAGACGTTATTTAAAAAAAAGAGCAGCATTCACTTATCCCTTTTGGCTCACAGTTCCCATTCCTCAGATGTAATTACTTTCTGTTTTTGGCTATTTTTACTCTGCTCTTTTTATTCATATTTTCCAGTGGTTGGCATATCCTGTTTTTGTTTACTTCTTTTTTTTTTAATTTTATGTATTATTAACTACCTGTCTATAATTTAAGAGGACCATGTAGCATTTTTACATGTCCTCCCTGTCTCTGCTTCTCTAATCTTTTTGCTATTGTTGTATCACAATTTTTGTTGAATCAGTATTCATGCTTAGATATTATGTAATTCCATTTTGTTCTTGTACAGGCTTTTAGTTGAATTTAACTGCTTTTTTTGTTGCATAGTTTTCTATGTGTCTGTCATTAATTCAGTCAGATACTTTTTTTGTTGTTAAAAATTTTACTGCTGGAGTCTTTCATTGTCTTGCTTCAATTTGGACTGGCTTCTCTCCTGATCAAAGGAGAGCCGTCTTCCTGGTGTCTTCTTACCCTGTTTTTGCCTTTTATTTATTTCCTGTTTTCTGTTTCCCAAAGCACCCTTTTTTCAGGTTCTATTTAGTTTGTTGGAATATTGCTTTAAGTAACTTTTGGGAACCTGCTCGGAGGTACTTCTTTGAATTTTTATGTATCTGAATAACTCTTATATTCCTTATACTCCTGCTTCTTATTGTTAAGTAGACTGTTTAGAATTCTAGGTCTTAAGTAACTGTTGCCCTCAGAATTTTGGATACATTATTCTGTTACCTCCTGTCTTTAAGTGTTGCTATTGAAAATCTTGATGCTATTTTCGTTTTCTTTGTATATAACTTGTTTTTTTGTTTTTAAAGCTTTGAGATTCCTTTTTGGTCCTTATTCCCCATGATCTGGAATACAACAGTGGTACACCTTGAAGCCGTGCTATGGATCCTTTAAAATTTGTTTGCTAGTGCTTAGTAGGCCTTTTTTGAGTGGAGGCTTAAGTCCTCCAGCCGTGGGAAATTTATATTAGTAATTTGAAAATTTCCTTTTCTTGTTGCCTATTTGTTTGTCCTTGTTGTAATTTTTGAAGTGATTTCTTCTGCATACTCTTTTAAATCATGTATTGACTTTAAAATTTTCCTGTACATAGTTTCATTTCTGGAAGCACTTTTTTTTTGTTCTTTGGCTGTTTCTTTGTTACAGCATCCTGTTCTTGTTTCATGGATGGAGGGTCTTTTTTTAAGGAGTATTTGTTTTTTCTTTTAAAGTTTTCATCTTTAAACATTTCCTCCATGTTTCTTTTTTCTTCTCCCTCTTTTCTCTCTTGCTCTCTTTTTTTGGTCTCTAGCATTAATGTTCAAGAATTTCTTCAAATGTCTGGTGATCCTTGGCTAACCATTTATACTTGCGTTGAGTACTGTCAGGAAGCTCTGTGTGCATAGGCAAGGTTTGTTGACTGATAGGTATTTTTTGTAGGGATTTAAGGTAGCAAGCTGATTTATTTATTTTTTTTAAATTGAGCAATCTTTAAGTATCAGCAGATTCTACAAAAGAGTCTTCTGATCTTCTTCATCTAGTGTTCTGAGAACCAGGCTGGGCGTTTCAAGGTTCAGTATGTTCACTTGGAATTAATCCTCCTGGTTTCACTAAGACATTTTCTATTCTCTTTCCACTTCCCTATTCCCTACCATCTCTACAAACCACTCTAAGCTGTGAATCTTTTGTTTAAGCAAGAAAGGAGAAACCTTTCTTGTGAGATTAGGGTTTGGGGACCTGTTCTTTTCAAACTTTTATCTAGATCTTTGGTTAAAGTTCACTCTTCTTTTGGAAATACTCTCAAGTGAATTGCCTTTTCCAGGTCCGATATCCCAGATCGACTTGTAGTAGCTTTTCCCAGCCACAGTTAGGTTCCATTTTTTTCTGTTGTGCAAAGTCCATTATCAGTTGTGCAGTTTCCAAAATTTGGTTGACATTTCTTGTCTATTTTCTCTTCAAATGTATTTGTCTTTATGGGTTTATGCCTTTAAAAATTTCTTAGTTGTTACTTTACCTAAGGTATAGGGGAAAGGCAAATACTAAGTACATGTATTCAATGTGCTATTTTAAAGCAGAAGTCCAAACCTTTGTACTGGTTTAAGAAGGAGTACATCCTGTCCAGAGGTTTGTGAGTATTTCCACCAGGGGGCACGTCCTGTTGAAGCTGTCGAAAGAATATTTAAAAATTCCAGCACACAAAAGAAACGAGGTTGAGAATAGAGTGGTCACAAAGGATTCAGTAGAGAATTGCATATTTACAGGCTTCATACTATTCAGTACATATGAATATATGGCTAAGTAAAAAAGACTCCTTTCACGAATGATGTTCATAACTTTTATTAGTGTTTTGCAAATAATTTTTATTACATCTGCATTTCTGTTCCTTTCAAATATATACAATTCTACAAACTGTTAACTAAATGTTTCTAAATATTTGGTCTTACTTAGTGAGTAGGCATATCGTTTATCTTTAGGTGAAAATGACTGCTTAAGTTCTTATGAGGTTTTAAATTTTCTTTTTTGGTTTAAACATGTCTTTGGAATTTGCACTGTTAATTTGCTTTAAGTCTCCTTTTTCATAGCTAACTCAAAGGATTTCAGCCAGTTCTGGACAAAGATTCTGAATTAGTGAAGACTTTAAAATATTAGCTTATGCTTGCTGCACATTTAACCTGCAGCCTGGTTTTGTCAGCTAAATAAATAAAAACTATACCTCATTCTATACTTCTGAAATCCTAGAAAATTTAACTTCTGATTTTTAGTTAAAATAACCTGTGTTTGAAAACAATCTTCTGTCCTTCAAATTACTAATTTTTTTCTTCAATTTTAGTTTTTATTTTTTGGGGTGGGGGGAAGTATCTGTGGAGAACTGTCTTTTGTACATTTTCACAGCTATTTCTTTGATCCCATTGAATTTGTTTTCTTTTTTCTATAATAATTGGTAACTAAAATGTTTGAGATTAAAATGAATACAGATATTGTCTATATCACAAAGTATATTTCTTTTTCTCTCAGTAGTGTTATTTGCTATAATTTCAGTGTGGTTTGAAATTTTGCTTAATTAGATTTCAACTTAGCCATGTTTGGAGCGTTAAAATTGATTGAGTCTGTTTAAATGATCCATTTTTAGTGACATGTATATTTCACCTCTTAAAATAAATTTTTGGAGAATAGAGTACAAAAGCTTTAGTGAAAAATGTAATAGCATGGTTTCTAATGTTAAATCTCAGAGTTATAGAAAGAAATGGAATTAAATTCTCATTCTGCTTTTTTAACTGTTGTTCTTTTGAAACAACCTGTAGATACGAATTTAGACTTGTTATTTACTTTGTACAAAATCGAAATAGGTGCTTACCATTCTGCTGTATTTTATGTTATTGTGAGCACCAGGTTCGTTTGCCTTGCGGTTGCCCAGCTTTCTTTTGTCTTGTCTTAAATTTTCTGTATAGCTATCTAATTTTTTGTTGCTCTAGGACATAGGACTTATGATAATTTAATAGAGATATATATCTGCATATATAATGTGTATGTGACGGTGTTGGTGCTTATCAGTTTGTGGTATTTCTGAGATTCTGATATAAAGTATATGCTTTTGAGATCTGATTTCTTAACCTTGTGATAGTGGTTTATATTAATGTATGATTCAGAAAGCTTTCTTGAATTTAAAAATGGAACTGTGCAATCGTATTTCAGTTTTTCATAATTACCCTATTTCCAAAACACTTTGTTTCTTAAATGGAATATTCACACAACTTTTTCTTACATGCGTGAGTTATGATGAATTTTTTTTAAAGTCAACAATAGTTGATTGAAAGTAACTCCTATAACATCAGTGAACAATCAATTCTTTACACATTGACAACCCAAGGCTTTCACTGATACCTTTAGCTTAGTTGCACAGTATTTATATGTGGATAGACTTTTAAAAATGTACTTAGCTTACCTACCTGCCATTTTTAATATTTTCCAGTCTTCTTGAAAAAAGTTATTGATTTGACCTCCTACCTAAAATAATGTTCTTTAGATCTAAAGCTGGTTAGACACATTATCTGACTGAGTTTACTGAAGCAAAAACATTCCATAACCTTAACCTTTTCCCTGACCCCCTGCTTTTAACAACTGCCGACATAGTTTTATGCTGTTATGTGACCATGCTCGGATGAAATCTGTCAAACAGCTCCTTGAGTTATTAGGCTGTCTGAGTCTGACCTTTCTGCAATCAAAGATATATGACTTAAGGGCTCAGATTTGCCATGGCAACCGGTCCAATTTGCTGCCGTGAGAAAAGGTCTAATTGTTGCAGAAATTTAATGATCTAGAGCGACATCAGGGCTGTGAGATTTTATGAACTGTTTACACCGTAATTTTCATTTTGTTAATGCAGTCTTTTTTTTGTAACCCATTCATGGCTAGAGCATAAGTGATTGTGTTTTATTTAAAATAGCATTGCATAGCATGAGAGCCGTATCGGAGAACATGTGCCACTCTCGAGAAGCCCTTCATATGTGGTGATATTTCACTTTTAACTCCCTTCCTTATTTTCATTCTTTTAAAAGATATTTTAACTGCTTAGACCTTTGCCAGACCTGCATTCATCATTGGTAGAGAAAGAACTATGTACTTTTCTCCTCCATCCTCTTCTGATCTGCTTACTGATTGAGTGCCTGTTGTAAAACAGTAGGAAATCACAGAGCATCTGGGGGAGGAGGTATCATATCACTGTCTATTATTCTTTATCAGCGCTTGGCCATAAAAATTCTGTATTTGGAGAAAAGTAGGATATTGTTCAGCATATAATTATAGTTAGAAACCCCATGTATTTTTTAGATGGTGCCATTTACTGCTTAGCAGAGATTTCTACTCTGATTACAGAAACATGAATTACTTGTTGCATTTGTCCAGTATTGGGTAGAGAAATGTTTGTGTCTATTCTCAAATTAAAATTTTTCCTCAAATAGGTTAATAGAGGGTGGTATTTAGGAGATGTTGAAAGGCTGTGTGTTGTGTTGTTATGCAGTTTAACTTGGAAATGGTTGATTATATACCGTAAAAAATGTGTTGTATTTTCAGTCATCTAATTTAGGAATATTTTCTGTTCAGGAACAGAATAACTTGTCTTAATCTATGTTATCTATGCATTATCCAGCTGGACAAAAATTACCTGTGCAACAAAACTGTTATGAAATACTGCATTTTATGTGATGATCCAACTAGATATTTATCCTATAGAAACCTGGTAGCACCAGGCAGCATCTACAATCTAGTTCTGTACTCTGTAATAGAGAGAAAATATGTTAGACATTTTATTACGAACAAAGTAATGTGCTATATATATAGCACAAAAATACACAGTATAACTTATTAAAAGTCCATTTAAAAGGAAAATAGTGTAAGATTTTTGAAAAGCATTACTGTTAAATCATACTTGTAGTGTGATAGGACTACAGTTAAAATATTCCTACAGGTCGTATATATGCCATGCTTTACATAATGGTTGTGTTCATTGTTTCAGATGTAAGAAAAACAATAGATGACTTAAAAAAAGTGATGAAAAATTTTGAATCCAGAGTTGAATTCACAGAAGATTTGCAGAAAATGAGCGATGTGAGTATTTGTTTTTAGTCTTCTATATTTTTAGAAAATATTTTCAAAGAAATATGAAGCTATCTTACAGCCAAGGAACAAATTAATTGAAGTTTAAAATGCTTTCAGACATCTTAGGTTGAATAGTTGCTCTTTGGATAATTTTAGTATGCTGGAGATTTGTGTTGTTAATACGCTTTTTTTTTGTTTAAAAACCAGGCTGCAGGTGATATTGTTGACATACGAGAAGAAATTAAATGTGACTTCGAATTTAAAGGTAAGCAGTAAGATTGTTTTATGTGTAGCTGTTTAGATATTTTGATTTTTGTTGATTTTCAGTGGGCTTTCTGTGAGATATTTGGGATTTAGAATACACTTTTAAATTCATAGGATGCCAACATTTTTCTACTCATTGATTTTTTTTTATGTGAAACATTAATGGATAAATAACTTTTGGTTAAAAATGTGATTCCTGACTGGTCTGTTTTAGTGGTGGGATTACATGGCTTTTTTCTCCCAAAGTTCTCCAGTGCTCCAAACCTCTAAAACTCAGAAGATGTATATTCTAGACATGGATCTGCTCCTAATTTGTTCTCTGACCATGGTGAAGTCCTAAGATATCTTTTGCTAGTTTTTCTTCTTTTAAAACTGCAGCTTTGTAAGCTGTTTTTGGAAGAATGAATGAATGTGGGTGTATTTCAGCCATTCCTCTTATGGTGCCTGCAGTGGCTTTCCCTGCGCAGGTTGTTCCCATCTCCACCCAGTAGATTTCTTTTGCCAAGGCTGGCTTATGTGTTTGGGTTTACTTCTGTAAAGCCAATGGTTCCTTCGTCAGTTGTAAAGTGTTAACGGTAGTGAAATTGTAAAAAGTATTACAGATGGCTTATTATTTGCTACTGTAGAAGACTGTACAGTGTCTTAAACAAATGTACTGAGCATTCGTTTTGACTTTCAGCACTCATATTTTGGTGATGAACTCTTAAGATAACTTACTGGTTGAAAGAAGCCACATCACAAGTAACAGGAAGTGGCTTTAGAAGGTGAAATAAAGGATATGTATATTAAAGTTGAACAGAAAGACAAGATTTTTGTTTGTGGTGACCAGTGACAAATTATGAGCGCTACAGGTCTGAAATAAAAATTGTTAACTACTGTCTTATCAATAATAGTTACAGAGAATAAGGCTGTGAAACATAATTTGATATTTTCAGATGTATGCAACAATGCAGCAAATTTGAATATATGATGGACTCGAGGTCATCTGGTAGTGCCATATCTCATAACAGGACGCATCTTAGACTTCTTCCCATTACTTTCCCATTACTTTGCTTTAATAAAGCAAATAAAGCCTTAATTTGCTTTATTAAAAAATAATCTATTTTTTAAAATGAAAAGCAGATACCTCTGAGTTCAGATTTGACCCATCTTTTTTCCTCACATGAAGATTACAAATGAAGCAGTTTAAAAAGTAGAGATGTTCATATGTAAAATGATAATAGAACTTTACAGAGATGAGCCGCCGTTGTTTCCTTGTAGGGTACTCATTCCTTGGCAGTGCCCTGGAGTTTAAAGTATCCTGTCACAAGGCTTTTGCACGTTACTGTAGTAACTAGATTTCCTTGAGTAAGGATGGTAAATGGAAATTTATCATTTATGTGTTGCATTTCGCCTTATAACCAGGGTGCATTGTGGCCATTTCTTATGCATTTTTGAAGCTCTTCTCACAACCTTGAATGTGTATGCAGGTTCTCTGGGGCTCTTGTTGAAATACAGATTCTGATTCAGTGGGTCTAGGGTGTCCTTAGAGCTTACACTTCTGAAGTGTTCCCCAAGGACGCCAGTGCTGTTGATCCATGGACCACACTTTGAGTAGCAAGGCTGTAAGAGACATTCATCCTTGGAGTTCTGTTTGGCTTAAAAATTGTGACCCCTCTGTTTCAATATTTCCCTTGCCCCAAAAGAAAGTCTCATTAAGTCTGGGTTTGTGCCTTTTTTATGTTGGCTATTAACAGCCACGTCTTTTCCTTTTTCTAAATAGCAAAACACCGAATTGCTCATAAACCGCATTCCAAACCAAAAACTTCAGATATTTTTGAAGCAGATATTGCAAATGATGTGAAATCCAAGGATTTGCTAGCTGATAAAGAACTGTGGGCTCGACTTGAAGAACTAGAGAGACAGGAAGAATTGCTGGGTGAACTTGATAGGTACTTGATGACAAATTATCTTTCCAAGATAATTTGTTTCTATACACATTTCCTCATTAATCTTTTTCTTCATTAATAAAATAATATGTGTTCATTGAAGAAAATGCAGGGAAGCATAATATATTATCAATAATCCTTTCACCTCAAGATGAACATTAATTCTCTGGAATATTTTCTTATAGGATTGTGTGTTTGTGCATATTCCCATGCATGTACATGTACTTAAATACTTAAGATCAACATCTTCATTTTTTATTATGGCCTATTTTATATAATTAATTATACCAGATAGTTGACTTTTAATAATCATGGATTTAATATATATAATGTTAAATTTTAAATGAAGTATTTTTATGCCACACCCAGGATAGTGCTCTATCTTTGAATGTGTTGTGAAAAACAAAAATACACTTTGAATTTAAATTTGATACAGTAAAATGTTTATTCTTGCTTTCCTTTTATAAACTTTGGAGCAGGTAATTTGTAATCTGGTCAGATAGCTATATGTATGAGAAACTTTACGAAATTGCTGTTTGAAATACACATTAGCACACACTTAGAATTGTTAAAATGCTAAATGAAATCTGCTACTCGAGAAGTTCTATATTATTTTGCTTAAATGATGTACCATATGCAATAATTAGTTTCTGTGAAAAATAGGGCAGGAAGCATAAAAGTTTCTTTTTCCTAGTGTTTCACCTATAAATTCTTAGGTCTTTTTGATTAACTAATACTATTCATTTTTTAAAACCAGTTTTGGATCTTGTGATTTTTCTTGGTCATGATTCTCTTTCTATTTTTTGTATGATGTTATTTCAGTTCTGTTGCATTTTCAATTTTGTTATTTTTGTAAGGTCCTCACATCTTTTATAGAATCAAGTATGATAAATGTTCACTCATGCATATAGATATATTCGTGTGCATATGTATAAATCCTTTATTTTTAAAAATTACAATAATACATGCTCATTGTAAAATATTCTGAGTATAGGAGTAGAAAATAAGTGTGTATTATGTGGTTTCAATTTCTGGTCTTTAGAGATAAATGTTCTCTGAATTTCTTACAACTTTATTATTATTGATACTATATTTATATTGCATATGGCCAATATCTTTCTTGCAAAGATAAAAAAATTATCTTCTATATTCTACTTATGTCTGAATAACCTCAATATATAGAAGCAGCATAGGAACTGTTTTTTGTTAATTTATTTCAAAACATTTTTTTGTTTTTGAACTTAGAATTCTAGTTTTAAAAATACTTTATTCAAGATCTTAGTATTTACCCATGGAAACTAACTGGAAATTTAAATAATGTAAAATTCTAGTATGTTTGTTTGATCTTGTTAATTTTCTTCCTTGCTAGTAAGCCTGATACTGTGATTGCAAATGGAGAAGATACGACATCTTCTGAAGAGGAAAAGGAAGATCGTAACACAAATGTGAATGCGATGCATCAAGTAACAGACTCTCATACTCCTTGTCATAAGGATGTTGCAAGTTCAGAACCATTCAGTGGTCAAGTGAATAGTCAGTTGAACTGTTCAGTGAATGGTTCCAGTTCTTACCACAGTGATGATGATGATGATGATGATGATGACGACGACGACGACAACATTGACGACGATGATGGTGATAACGACCATGAGGCTTTAGGGGTTGGAGATAATTCTATACCAACAATATATTTTTCACATACTGTTGAGCCTAAGAGGGTTTGTATACTTTTAACTTTACTAATTTTGCATATAATTTGAACATTAAGCATTATGATATTTTTTAGAAGAGCAATATTAACAATCATTATCATTGTGGATAGTGCCAGACAGGAAAATCATCTTTTGCCTCTTGTTCTGACCAATTTAAGAAGAAAAAGGGAAAAAAAATTTAGTTAGCTGGTATTGGTCCATTGTTCTCTGAAACAATGCATTGTTTGGGGTCTGGAAGGGGATCAGATTTGAGTGGCAACTACTGTAACTTCACCTGTCCTTCATTCAGAGAGTTTTCTTAAGAATCCTGGAGTTAATTATATTGTGGACATTTTGGTGTGCTTAGGATGTTGAAAGTGACTGCATTAGTTAAATTTTTAATTATGCCAGGTTGTTTTCTATGGACATAAAATGAATACTTCATAGGCACAAAGGGAAAATGTAGGAGGAAGTAAAAATTAGTTTCTTTTCTGACAAAGTAAATATAAACATCTGTGGATAATCATGACTTAGAATTTTGGCATTTTAGAGCTGGGGGTGACTGGAGATTTTCTAATACAGAGTTTTAAAGCTTTTCTCTAGTATGAAAAGCCTTTTGTTCCCTCCATACTTACTGTAGAATCCCAGTATTTAAAATAGATCAAAGCAGCTTGGCTCTGATTGAAGGAAGGATAGGCTGCCTTAAGTCCATCTTTGCCCTCTCTCTGCTCCATGTACTGCTCTAAGGGGACACTGGGAATTCGTCTAATTCGTCTTTCTCAGGGAAATTTAAGGCCTAGAAGACATAGATCTGGTTGGTAACAAAACAGGAACTCTTTCGCCTCTGAGTGCCCTTTCTACACAATATCCCGATTGCCTGTATCAGTTAAGGGTCTGTGGTATCATTCTTAAGTGTGTGTGATTATTATTTAGTGAAATATGTTTAAAACATATTTGATATTTCTTAGCTTCCTAAAGTTATTCCTGCTCCTATATGAAGTGAAATAATTGTTTGTGTTTTTATATTCTAATATGTCAGACTGAAGGGGTCTTCCCCTGATTCTTCGGGAAAAGTTGACTGAGATGATTAGCCAGAAAAAAAGGTCGCTTTTTAATCTTTTGCCAGGCTTTTACTTTTTTCCTGTTTTCATTTAGATAAAACAGAAAGAACAAATATTATTTGCAGGAACGTTACAGGTAATAGTGGTCATTATTGTGGAAAGTATGCTCTAAGTGCTGACTAGGGATAGAAAAATAACATGTTAACCCCATGTGAACCCTGAACAGGCTTGGTTTTTATTTTTTTACTCCTTCAATTTCTAAAAATTAGAGATGTTTTAAAAATTCTAAATAGGCATTATTTAATAGTACTTTTATGACTTAAAGGTTGTATTCTTACTGAATTTTTGTTTATACTCTTTCTTTTGAAATACATAATTCAAGCCAAACACTTATATCAAAGGAATGGGGTGATGGGAAGTTTATAAGAAATCTAGCATTTAGTTCAAATGTATTTTGCTTTCTCTACAATAATAAAGACACTGAAGACTAGGATTTGTTAATAAAGAAGATTTTCTTTAGATGTCATAGATCTATGAGATAAGGACTTTTTAAAAAATTCCATCTGATAATGCACATCATTTCAGCATCAGAAAATTTCAGCTGCCTCTCTTACTATTATTTTTTTAGTTATAGAGTTTATTTGTTTTGGTTTCACTTTGATTTAATTTGTCAAAAGATTCTTAATTTCTTGCTCTGAAATTTTAGGTCCGAATAAATACTGGAAAGAATACCACTTTAAAATTCAGTGAAAAGAAAGAAGAAGCCAAACGTAAACGAAAGAACAGCACTGGCAGTGGCCACTCTGCCCAGGAGCTGCCGACCATCAGGACGCCTGCAGACATTTACAGGTGGGAGGCGCTCACAGCTGCAGGGCAGTCTGCTGGGCTTGCCTCTCTTTCTGCCACTGAACCTTTACTGGAGAAAGTTGACTGTAACACAGAAGACCCTCACTGAAAAGTGAAGTGTTCTGAGGAGTTAACTTAGGATCTGATAGGCTGACCGGCTGTAGCTTCCCAGTCCAGAGCAGTGGGAATGGAGGATTTTTTTTTTTTTTCACTTTCTCCTCTTCACCAGTGCTTTTGAAACATTTCCAAATGGTCTAGTCAGAAAATCTTGTATCTTCAGAAAGCATTTTTGTTTCCAGTGGGCTAGGTCCCTACGTTTCTACCACAGCCGTAACATGCTTGGCATGCAGTTTACCTTTTCAGAGTAGAAATTATACTGTTGCAGGTTTTTTTTTTTTTTCCTTTTTTTTGGAATTGTTTGTTGAGAAAACTATCACTTGAAAATACCTACTGTTTTTATGACCCTTATTTATAAATCAGTGAAAATTGCTAAATGTATACGTGGGTCTAAAACTTTATGTAGAATTTTGGCAAACCATGCTATTGCCACCTAGGACATGCTTAAAAATAACATGCTGTGTTTTTGTTCTCACTCATAGGTGGGAATTGAACAATGAGAACACTTGGACACAGGGTGGGGAACACCACACACCGGGGTCTGTCATGGGGTGGGGGGAGGGGGGAAGGATAGCATTAGGAGATACACCTAATGTAAATGATGAGTTAATGGGTGCAGCACACCAACATGGCACATGTATACATATGTAACAAACCTGCACGTTGTGCACATGTACCCTAGAACTTAAAGTATAATAAAATAAATAAATAACATGCTGTGTTTTATTATTAGGCCAGAGAAATAGCTTTCAAAATAGTATGAAGATACCATTTGAGGCTATAAAATTATTGTGATTGTGACTATTTTAGATATAAGATTGTAATAAAAATTTTCAGATTAATTTCTAGAATAGATTCAAGGAAATTTTCAAAAAGTTGTTCTCAGTTTTATGAGTTACGTATAGTGAATGCATATGTGTTTTGAATATCACAGAGCCTTTGTTGATGTTGTGAATGGAGAATATGTCCCTCGCAAATCCATCCTGAAGTCTCGAAGTAGAGAGAATAGTGTGTGTAGCGACACTAGTGAAAGCAGTGCTGCTGAATTTGATGATAGGCGGGGAGTTTTGAGGAGTATCAGCTGCGAAGAAGCCACTTGCAGTGACACCAGTGAGAGCATTTTGGAAGAGGAACCACAAGAAAATCAAAAGAAACTTTTGCCCTTATCAGTAACACCTGAGGTGTGTGTGTGTATCTTTTAATTCTTTATTTCATATAGTATCTTTGACCAGTTTTAGCTATTTAATCTGAAAAGTCATAAGATTAAATTAATTCTAGGTTTTATACTTTCTTGGTACTAATTAATAAAAAATTAATAGTCACAAACAGTACAAATATTGTGATAATCAAATAGTTTATTTTTTGATAAACACATTACTTGTCTTAACGTTCTATTTCAGCAAAATGGGAAATTTAAAATGTCTTACTTGGCATTATGTATTACATTTGTAGCTAGGAAATTATTTCGCAGTTTATTTTAAATAAATTACCAGTAGGTCATTTTCTGATAGTGTAAGGAGCAGATTACATTATTCTCTTTTAAATACCTTGGCTAAGTTAAAGAAAAATAATGCATGCATAGCAGATAATTACCTAAAGTCTAATATTTTACCTTGTACCAGTGAAACTTAACTCTTGGGGGATTATGGAATTGTTTTATAATCTGATGAAAGCTGTAGACCCTGTCCATAGAAAAAATAGTGCACACTCAATACACTTTCACCCACCACACTTCTTACAGTTTTTGGTGGTGGTGCAGGGGAGGTTAGGAAATCCCCAAATAAGGATGTCTGTGAAATATAAGGCTATTGATTTCTTCATTCTTGTGTTTTGGTGCGTATTTGAAGTTTTCAATTTAAAAAGTATTTAGGAAGATTGGGGAACCCATGCCTGGATCAAACCAGTGTACACATTTGTATATACAATAAGATACATGCATATATATAACCTTATCTAAAAATTCCATTGCTTTTACTAAATGGTATTATACTCAGTGTATTAAATGGTAATTGGGGATGGAGATTGGTAGCATTTAGGGACAGTACATATGACTAGAATGTTTTCTTCCCCTCTTCTTAGTATAATGATCTTAGGTGACCTGGAAAGTATCTTACCTTATTTGATAGTCTTCCATACTGTTAGAAAACAGGTAATGGATGTTATCAGGTAATTGCTGATAAATGTTTGAAAATTAGTTTTTTGTAAGGACTTAGTGTATCATGGTACAGCTAGAGTGTGGAACCTATTTTTTATTTCACCCTTAGTAGCTTTGCATTTTGTATGGAAATGTTTAATAGTAGTTGCTATACATTTTTTAACATCAAAGAAATAGTTCATGATTATGGTAAGTACTTTGGAAGATATCCTTTTCAGTATCTTTTTAAATGCTAAAATACCTCTTTTTCAAAGGCATTTTAAATAGAAGAAGGAGAAGAAGGCTCTATGCTCATCGTGATAAAGTGGAGTTTTTAGGAAAGTAAGCTTTAAGCTGCTTTTACCAGTTGAACTCCAAAAATAATGTAGGAGAGAGATGGCTTTCTTTGTTTTTGTTTCAGTGGTGGGGCAAGGTAGAAGAAGGTGGCTTTTTAAATTATTTAGGTGTTACGTTGTTTTAACTAATTTTGAGCACTTGGTAGACAGAGGAGAACAAAATGTACATTAAAGTTCACCTGTCAAATTTTCATTTGTAGAGGGAAGGATGGAGGTTCTAAATACCAGCAATCTTAAAAAAAAAAAAAAAATTAACTCCTTGTGTCTTACCTATTTTTGTATAAAACGACATGTACAGATATTTCCAGCAATTTATGCACATTCTTTAATTCTGTTCCAGTTGAACATATAGTTGACCAGATTAAATGCAGCAAACATCCAGGTGAAATTGAGTCATTTCTTTTTTTGTGGAACTTCTGATTTCTGTCATTGAGTTAATTATATTAAAATTTTGAAACCTGTACTTATTCCTACTAGTATCAGCACTTTTATTTTTCAACTTCCACTGATCTTTTAAAATTGAGGCAATATGCAGTAAAATATTTAAATAATTGCATAAACACCACCAAAGAGATATCAGTTAGAAATGTCAGTACTGGTGAAACTAAGCTATTGGCTAGCAGGCAGCAAGGCCATCATAGGATAGCTCATTCATCAACTGATGTACAAAAGTCAGAGTTTGACACCCTAATAGCATTTTTATTTTAATACATTATTTTTCACAGCATGGGCTGGACATGAATGGAATGTATGAAAGTTTGAAGACCTTTTATTTATCCATTTCTTTTTTTTCCCAGATAAAATTTACATTTTACATTTTGTTTTCTTGCATGTATACTGTAAAAATTACTTCTGTTTGGTGGTGAAATTAAAACTTAATGGTGTTGGTTTCTCTGAACAATTAGTATTTTGGTGTAGTAGTGTTGTCTAGCCAAAAATCTCGTGAATTTACTTTTAATGAAAAGAATTGCCAAATGAGTGAATGGGAAGATTTTGTGGGTGTCTTATTTGCATTTTATTACCATAACCTGACTTTTGTTTTCTAGGCTTTTTCTGGAACTGTTATAGAAAAAGAATTTGTATCACCTTCCTTAACACCACCCCCAGCCATTGCTCATCCCGCACTACCCACTATTCCAGAACGAAAGGAAGTTCTGTTGGAAGCATCTGAAGAAACTGGAAAGAGGGTTTCAAAGTTTAAAGCTGCCAGATTGCAACAGAAAGACTAGGCCCTGTCTAGGAAATGGGAATTTACATCCTAAAACCTAGTTGTTCATTTGTTTAGAGTATCTATAGCAAAATAGGTTACATGTAGTTTGAAATAAGGTATCCTGAGTTACTTTGGCAACAAGTTCTTTTACCCTTACCCGTGGTA
The DNA here is from genome assembly GCF_000001405.40 of Homo sapiens. Taxonomy (NCBI): domain Eukaryota; kingdom Metazoa; phylum Chordata; class Mammalia; order Primates; family Hominidae; genus Homo; species Homo sapiens. The sequence goes on from NC_000019.10 coordinate 30,015,216, forward strand.
TTTGAAAAAAATCAAGGTAACTGTCTGAATACTTTAATATCAGCTTGTTTTGTGAATTCTCTGAATACTGTCAACACTCTTATCTAAGTTTGCCTTTATGATGCAGTGGCAGCATTTTGAATTACTTTTCAAAGAATACTGTTCATATGCATTGTTTTTGTGTTTCAAACTAAATACAGGCAGTTTTGTGCCAGCTGTGATATTGTGCATACCATATGGACCATTTTAAAGAAAATTTTAAAATTTCAAATAGATTCAACAATTACATTACTTGCTTTCACATTTTAAAGGCACTTTAAAAAAATCTACTTCTCTTGTAGGTTTTGCGGCTAGTTGGCTATTCAAGAAACCTCGCCCCTCTGAATGTCATACTGTAATCTTTAAGGAAGAAAGCTACATGAATTAATTGTACTCTATGGGAAAATTTCTTTGGAAAGATATTTTGTAAAACTTTTTTTTCCAAGTAAAAACTTTATGAAACTTGGTCTCAAAAATGTTGTGAACTTTATGATTCAAAATTGAGTACAGATATGTCCTTGATTCATATGTATGCTACATGTATCACACAACAGATCTGGAATTCTTTCAGTTCCTCAGATACTTCTCCCTTAGTTTTTGCAGTTTCACTGGGATTATGTTTTGGGAAACAAGGAAAGGTCTAGATGCTTAAACATTTTAAATAAAAATTCCTTACAGTTTCATCTTCCCAACATTTTCATTCTTTAAGGCTACTTTCCTACTAACTGAAATAACACATTTACTTTTACCACAATTCCTCAAAATAAATTTATTCTAACATTGAAAATAACATTACAAGTTAATCATTAGCTTGATGCATGCTAAAATGTAGCTTTTAAAAAGCATTCTGCATTAGTACTAAAATAAGCCATCAATGCCAGTCCACCCTCTCTATTCATGGCTAAATATTTAAAGGTTATTTATAGCTTCTTTAATGAATTCTTCTTAAACAAAGTGAAATTATGTCCTAGAAAAGTAGAAGCTATTCGTAACTAGAGCAGTGCAACTTTAAAGTTTTATGAATATGTATTTTAATGACAAGGGGGCGAGCTTGCATCCCCACTAGTTAATGGATAATTCAAACCGAGGACTGATTTTGAAAGATCACCTAAAAATGTAGATTTGTTCTTTAGTAAATTTAGATCAACTATGCATATATTTTGTAGGTAAATCTTTCAGTCCATGCCCCAACCCTCACCAAAACCAAAGCAGAAATTACACACACAAAGATGCTCCCGTTAGGAATTGCTATTCACATGAGGCTTTCTGTGCTAGATTTTTTTCTCAGAAACAAACTTTACTGTAGGACTATTGTGGTGTTCTTAACAGATTTGTAATTTCAAGATGCGTGTCATTAAATAATTTTTCATGTTCACAGACTTGATTTTGAGCCTGTCTATGTTACATCTTTCAGATAGGTTTTCCCTCATAGAACAAGATGGTAGTAGAAGCAGATAAAGTGTTTGATAACACATTTTTGCGTGTTCTGCTCTGGAGACCATGAAATAGTGTTGCCCCATTTCATAGCTTCAGTCTTATAACAGAGTATTAAATTGTAATTTAAAATTATAGCTTTTTTATATTAAAGTTTGGGACAAAATGAAGCTGTCTTACCTGTTCTGTTTTAAACCATTATAAAACAGAACAGCAGACCAAGAGATTCTCTTTTAAACTTTCTATTTTGAAATATAATAACTTTAGTCTTTCAGAAAATTGCACTAAATAGTACCAAGAGTTCCCATATACCCTCATTTCATTCAGCCTCCCTCAATATTGTAATATAGAACCGTAATATAATTATCCAAATCAGGAAATTTATGTTGGTGCAATAGCGTTAGACCTAAATTACAGATCTTACTTGAATTTCACCAACTTTTCCACCAAATTTTCCATTAGAAAAAGAACTAGTGTTCTTCTGTTCCTCACATCTTGTCTATGACCCTATCTTGCATTTATTTGTTACTTACTGCTCCTTAGTCTTTCCTCCAATCTCAGACAGTTCCTCAGTTTGTCTTTCATAACTGATACTTTTGAAGAGTACTGGTGGGATATTTTGAGGATGTTCCTCAGTTTGGATTTATTTGATGTACTCAGATGCCTTGAGGTTTTGCAATTTTGAAGAGAATACCACAGAAAATGCATCATATCAAGAGGTGCATTCTAGTGTGTCATTTCAAGTTCCTTATTTTGGTGTATCAGTCTTAATCACTTGGTTAAGGTGGTGTCTGCCAGGTATCTCCACTGCAAAATTACTGTTTCCCTTTGTAGTTAATATCTTGGGAGAGATACATGAGACATGAAAATTCTTTTCTCCTCCAACTTATGCTAAGTTTTGCATTCATTAGTGGATCTTGTCTGTAACAGTTACCGCTGTGGTGTTTGCCTAAAGGTGATTTTCTGTTTTGCTCTTTTGCACATTTATTTCTTGAAATTCTTTTATAATAACAAGCTTTGCCTCCATACCTCTCTCTCCAAGTTTATTTGATTATTTATATCTGTGGACACCTGGATATTTTATTATATGGGTTAAAATTCATTACTTACTATCATTGTTTTGTTGCTCAAATTCTTCTGCATTTGCCCATTAGGAACTCCTTTGAGTTAACTCCTAGGTTCTTTAACAAGTTCCCATATTTTTTTGAACACTTTCTTACTGGCACCACAAAATACTACAGGACCATCTATTTTTCCTCTCCCAGCCCTGGAAACAACCACTTCAAGGAACCCTGGTTCCTTTAATTGGAAAATGGTATTTAGAAACCAACATTTGTTCATTTAAGTATACTAATTGCCAATAGGGTGTCATTGCCTCTTGGGCCTTTCAGGAGATACAGCTGGGAAATATATGTATGTGTATTAATGAATATACATTTATGTGTCTGCTTATTAAAAACTCATGAGTTTTGTACTGATACTTCTGATTCTAATTTAACACCACAGGATTAATTTCTGGTTTTCCTTATTTGTTATTTTTTCCAATATGGGTAACCTGCCTCTTGTCTGCAGTGTATTTACTTACTGTTTTTTTGTTGTTGTGTCAGTGTAATATACATGTAGTTTCAGAAGAGCTAATTCATACCCTAGGAGAAACACATTAACTACATTGCACTGTTCTGCAATTCTTTTTGGGTTTTGCCTCATATATCAGTCAAGAAACAGTTTTTCAAAGTTACTGACGTTCTTTTCTTTCCCACCCTCTCTGATCTGTGGACTGATTTGTACTCTTGGTCCTTTTTTTACTGTTTGAGCGTTCTCTCCACAGCCTGGTTGATTTTAATGGTTTATTTTTTCAGTATGTGAAACGTGGTTTTCAGAGTGTGAGCTTTGTAAAAGGATATACATGGAGAAGTGTTGTTCGTACCTCATTCCTACCACCCCATTCCCGTTCCCAGCTGCTTTCTCTCACTTTCCCACCTGCCCATAGTAAGTAAGCTCTAGTTTCTTGTTTAGCCTTTCTATGTCTCTTTTGCACAAATCCCCACCTACCTACTATAAAGAACCAATATTTTTAGCTTCTGGTTTAACTTTTCTATATTCTATACTCATAGCAAATACATGTATATTTTCTTTTTCCTTTTTTTCTTTTCTTTTTTCTTTTTTTTTTTGAGACAGGGTTACTTTTGCCCAGGCTCAAGTGCAGTGGTGCAATCTCGGCTCACTGCAACCTCTGCCTCCTGCGTTCAGGTGATTCTCATGCCTCAACCTCCTGAGCAGCTGGGACTACAGGTACGTGCCACCATGCGCAGGTAATTTTTTTTTTTTTGTATGTTTTGGTAGAGACAGGGTTTTGCATCTTGGTCAGGTTGGTCTAGAACGCCTGACCTCAAGTGATCTACCTCCCTCAGCCTCCCAAAGTGCTGGAATTACAGGCGTGAGCCACTGTGCCCGGCCAATTTTCTTACATGCATTTATTTCTTACATGAAGAAAGACATTGTCCATTGCACTTTAATTTTTTCAGTTAATATTATGCCCTTGCGATCCCTCTGTATCAGTTTTTCTGCCTTCTTTTTTTTTTTTTTTAAACAGCTATAGTACTCCGTTGTATAGATGGTACATAATTTGTTCAGCCGCTTTCCTAGGTATGGGCGTTTAGGTTGTTTGTGATGTTTGGCAATTACATATAATGATGCAATGAATAACTTTATATATGTATTTTTGTATCATTAGAGGTATATCTTCAGGGTAGATTTCTAGGAGTAGGACTGTTGGGCCATATGAACACTTACTTTGATTTCTTTAAAACATAGTAAAATCTGTTTTGAAGTATATTTGTTTTGTTCCCTTATTGAGGACATAGTGGTTTTTTTTGTTTGTTTGTTTGAGACGGAGTCTCGCTCTGTCGCCCAGGCTGGAGCGCAGTGGCCCGATCTCGACTCACTGCAAGCTCTGCCTCCTGGTTCACGCCATTCTCCTGCCTCAGCCTCCCGAGTAGCTGGCACTATAGGCACCTGCTACCACGCCCGGCTAATTTTTTGTATTTTTAGTAGAGACGGGGTTTCACTGTGTTAGCCAGGATGGTCTTGATCTCCTGACCTCATGATCCACCCGCCTCGGCCTCCCAAAGTGCTGGGTTTACAGGTGTGTGCCACCACGCCTGGCCCGAGGACATAGTTTTAACATATACGTATGTCTGCATATCATTGATGATTTTTTAGAATGATTCTGGGGCAGTATGGTATCTTAAAGGGGTTTCAGAATCATTAAAAACATTGTGTTACATAATGATTATGTTCATTTTACTAAAATGTGATTTTTTTAAAATTGGTCATGCATATTTAAGAGCTTTCCATTCATTGAAATAATTCCTAATTTGTGAAATGCAGGTGTCTATTTTACAGATTTGTCTCCTCCATAAGAAACAGGTTTTCAAGGGTAAAACTGATCTTTATCTATCTGTTCTTTAGGTGGTGGCATGTAGGCTGTCAAGCAAAGGCCTATTAAGTGAATTCCTCAGTTAAAATAAATATGATTTATATATTTAATTGGTCAGTATTAAATTTTTACATTTTAAAATAATTTAAATTTCATTTTAGAAGAATATCATTTAGGATTAAAGAATGTTTTTGCAGTTCCCTTAACCAATAAGTCACAAAGAGTTAAATATTTTTTTTAGCACTTACTATGTGTCATGCATTTTTAGCACACTTGGTGTGGATTATCTCATTTAATTGCTCACAGCATCCCAGTGAGGTAGGCACTATTGTTTTATCCTTCACCCTCATCCTAAGACAGAGACTAACATTTTAAGCCACACAACTGTTAAGTAGGTTACACTCAGGCAGCTTTGCTCCAGAACCAGCACTCGTAACACATTTTTTTGACTTTTTTTTTTTTTTAACATTGCCATCTAAACAAGACACTCAGCTAGTGAGGAAATATGTGATCTATATGATGTCTCCATAATTTCACCTACTTACAATGAGGCCACCTTTTAAAAAATCTGAATTTTTGAAGCCTGTTTTGTTTGTTAAACTTTCTACATAAGAAAATTAATGTTGACTTGGTGGAATAGGGTGGAGTTTTTCAATGATGTTATTTGGCCATATACACAAAAGGAATATGATAGGTGGAGAATAGTAAAATTAAGAAGTAATCAGTGTAACAGTATTTCTCTGAAAAGCTGCTCATTTTTTTATGTGAATTTAGGCATTGTGTGCATGTGAGTTTAAAATTAGTGTGTTCCTCATCAAGTGACCTCATAGTGACCGTTTTTATCCCTAATCATGTTTTTTCCTTTAGAGAGTAATAGAGCTAGATATTTTCCTAATATAACAGGTTCCATCTTTTGTGTGTGAGACAGCTTTCTGTTTTGTTTTTGTTTATATGCATACATGCACCTAATACAATTATGCTATTATTAGCGTAAACAGTTGTTTCAGTACCTTTAGTGATGTTTGGTTACATGGATGAATTGTGCAGTGATGAAGTTGGAGATTTTACTGCATCTGTTACCCGAGTAGTGTACGTTGTACCCAATATGTAGTTTTTTATCCCTCACCCCACACCCGGCCTCCCCCTTCTGGGTCTCCAGTGTCCATTATATTACTCTACTCTGTATGCCTTTTCGTACCCATAGCTTAGCTCCCACTTATAAGTGAGAACAGGTGGTATTTGGTTTTCCACCCCTGAGTTACTTCACTGGAGGATAGTGGCCTGCAGTTCCATCCAAGTTGCTGCAAAAGACATCATTTCATTCACTTTTATGGCTGAGTAGTATGCCATGGTGTATATGTACCACATTTTCGTTATCCACTTATTGACTGACAGACACTTAGGTTGGTTCCATATCTTTGCAGCTGTGAATTGTGCTGCAATAAATGTGCAGTTGTCTTTTCGATACAGTGACTTCTTTTCCTTTGGGTAGATAGTAGTGGGATTGCTGGATCAAACGGTAGATCTACTTGTAGTTCTTTGAGAAATCTCCATAGTGTTTTCCACAGAGGTTGTACTAATTTACATTCCCACCAGCAGTGTATAAGTGTTCCCTTTTCATCACATCCATGCATTATCTATTGCTTTTTGACTTTTTAGTAATAACCATTGTAGCTGGGGTAAGGTGGTATCTCATTGTGGCTTTAATTTGCATTTCCCTAATGAATATTTTTTCATGTTTGGCCATTTGTTTATCTTCTTTAGAGAAATGTCTGTCATTTGCCCACTTTTTAATGGGATTTTTTTTCTTGTTGATTTGTTTGAGTTCCTTGTAGATTCTGGATATTAGTCCTTTGTCAGATACATGGTTTGCAAATATTTTCTCCCGTTTTGTGGGTTGTCTGTTTACTCTGATGATGATTTCTTTGACTGTGCGGATGCTTCTTAATCTAATTAGGTTATTTTTTAAAATTTATTTTATTTTATTTTTTATTTTTTTTTGTGACGGAGTCTTGCTCTGTCACCTAGACTGGAGGGAGTAATCTCGGCTCACTGCAACCTCCACCTCCCAGGTTCACGTAATTCTCCTGCCTCAGCCTCCCAAGTAGCTGGGATTACAGGCGTGTGCAACCACACCTGGCTAATTTTTGTATTCTTAATAATAGAGATGGGGTTTCACCATGTTGGCCAGCCTGGTCTCAAACTCCTGATCTCACGTGATTTACAAAGTTGTAAAAAACCCTAGCTGAAATAAAATAAACTACAAGGGTGGCTTTAATACTTCTGAAGACACAATAGCACTCGCCTTGGCCTCCCAAAGTGCAGGGATTACAGGCATGAGCCACTGTGCCCAGCCCTAATTAGGTTCTATTTATTCATTTTTGTTTTTGTTGCATTTACTTTTGGGGTCTTAGTCATAAATTGTTTGCCTAGGCCAATGTCTGGGAAAGTTTTTCTAGGTTTTCTTCTAGAATTTTTATGGTTTCAGGATTTATATTTGTTTTTAATCCATCTTCAATTGATTTGTGTATATCGTGAGAGATGAGGATCCAGTTTCATTCTTCTACATGTGGCTATCCAGTTTTCCCAGCACCATTTATTGCATTTATTGACTAGGGTGTCCTTTTCCCCAGTTGATGTTTTTGTATGCTTTGTTGAAGATCAGCTGGTTCTAAGTATTTGACTTTATTCCTGGGTTCTCTATTCTGTTCCATTGTTCTATGTATCTATTTTTATACCAGTGCCATGCTGTTTTGGTTACTATAGCCTTGTATTATAATTTGAAGGCAGGTAATGTGATGCCTCCAGATTTATTATTTTTGCTTAGGATTACTTTGGTTATTTGGGCTCTTTTTTGGTTCCATATGAACTTCAGAATTTTTTTCTAATTTTGTGAAAAATATTGTTAGTATTTTGATAGGAATTGTATTACGTCTGTGAATTGCTTTGAGCAGTATGATATCGATTCTTCCAATCTGTGAGTATGGGATATATTTCCATTTGTGTCATCTGTGACGATTTCTTTCAGCAGTGTTTAGTAGCCCACCTTGTTGTGATCTTTCACCTCCTTGGTTAAGTATATTCCTAAGTATTTTATTTTATTCTTGTTTTTAGCAGTTGTAAAAGGGATTGGATTTTTTATTTGATTCACAGCTTGGATGTTGGTGTACAGCATTGCTACTGATTTGTGTAGATTTATTATGTAACCTGAGACTTTACTGAATTTATTTATCAAATTTAGAAGTGTTTTGGAGGAGTCTTTAGGGTCTTCCAGGTGTAAGATTGTATCAATGGTGAACAGAGATAATTTGACTTCCTCTTTTCCAATTTGGATACCCTTTATTTCTTTCTCTTGCCTGATTGCTCTGGCTAGGACTTCCTGAAAACAGTTTTTAACCTACTCTGACAGTGTCTTAAAACTGTCAAGTATAGTCTGTATTTTATTGTAATTACTCTTACTGGGAGGACTTTACTAATTTGCTTTGGGCATTTTATTTACCCTGCTTGTTGATTGCCTTTCCTTTTCTTTTTTTTTTTTTTTTAACTGTTGCTCAGACTTAAGTACTTCCCTCTTCCTCTACTGATGGGGAAGTTACATATTTGCTATATTTTAATGTTTTGGCACTTGAAAAGTATGTACTATTATCACTTTATTGTAGCGTTTATAGTACTTGGTTTCATTTGTGTCTAACAGCTTTATTGAGGTATAATTTACATTCTGTAACATCCACTTTACAGTATGCACTTTGGGGTTTTTTAGTAGATTTTGAGTTGTGCCATGTTGACCACAACTCAGTTGTAGAACATTTCCATTGTTTTAAAAACATCCCTTTTGCCTATTTACAGTAAATTCCTGTTCCTATCCCCAACCCCGGGACACCTTAACTAATATGCTTTCTCTATAGAGTTCTCTTTTCTGGACAATTAATAGAATCATACAGTATGTAGTGTTTTGCATTTACCTTTCGATATAAGGTTTTTGAGGTTCATCCATTTTTTAAAAATCATGCATCAGTAACTTGTTTTTTCTTATTGCTGCATGGTATTACATTGTATGGATATACCACATTTTGCTTATTCATTCACAAGTTGATAGACCCTGAATTGTTCAGGCTATAATCAATAATGTTGCTATGAACATTCATATATCAGCCCTTGTGTGAATATGTGTTTTTATTTATTTAGGGTAAATACCTAGGAGTGGAATTGTTGGGTTGGATGGTGAATTCAGGTTTAACTTTTTAAGAAATTGCACAGTTTTTCAAAGAGGCTGTATAATTTTATATTCCCATCAGCAATGTTTGAGATTTCCAGTTTCTCCACATCTTTGGCAGCACTGTTACTATTTTGTCTTTTTTATTATAGCCTTTATAGTGGCTGTGGAATATAATAATTGTATTAATTTACATTTCTGTAGCGACTAATGATGTTGAAGGTCTTTTCATGTGCTTTTAGTTCTATTTACATCTTCTTGGAAGTATCTATTCAAATCTTTGGCTCAGTCTTTAATTGGTTGTCTTACTGAGTTATAAGAAGTTCTTTTTAAAAATTTATTTATTTTAATTAGAGACAGGGTCTTGCTCTGTCACCCAGTAGGGTGCAGCGTCATGATCATGGCTCACTGCAGCCTTGACCTCCTGGGCTCAAGTGATCCTCCCACCTCAGCCTCCTGAGAAGCTGGGATTACAGGCACGTGCCACCATGCCCAGCTAATTTTTAAATTTTTTGCAGAGGCAGGGTCTCGCTGTGTTGCCCAGGCTGATCTAGAACTCCTAGCTTCAAGCAGTGCTCCTGCATAGACCTCCCAAAGTGCTGGGATTACAGGTGTGTTTAAGAGTTCTTTATATAGTCTAAATACAAGCCCTTTGTCAAATATATGAATTGCAAATATTTTCTCTAAGTCTGTGGCTTGTCTTTGATTTTTTAAATGTCTTTTGAAGCACAAAATCTTTAGTTTTAATGAAGTCCAATTGATATACCTCAATATATATTATACCTCCATAAAGCTGTTAGATACAAATGAAACCAAAGTACTATAGACACAAATGAAACCAAAGTACTATAAACACTACAATAAAGTGATCATAATAGTACATACTTTTTAAGTGCCAAAACATTTATATATATATATATATATATATATATATATATATATATATATATATATATATTTGTGGTTAGTGTTTTTGGTATCTTATCTAAGAATTCTTTAATCCAGAATAATAAAACTTTTCTCCCATGTTTTCTTCTAGAAGTTTTATACTTCAGCTCTTAAGAGTTAGGGCTATGATCTGTTTTGTGTGTGGGGTGAGTCCAGGGTCTAAATCTGACTTTTTGCACGGATAATTTTAATACCATTTAATAGTTCTAGAGCTGTTGAAAAGACTGTCCTTTTTGCAGTGAATGCTTTAGCATCTTTTTTTGAAAATAGTTGACTATAAGCATAAGGTTGTTTGTGTACTGAGTGCTTGTCTGTCCTTATATCACTTCCAGTGGTCTTAATTACTGTGGCTTTACTTACAACAAACTTTCAAATATGGAACTGTTAAACCCTTCAATTTTGTTCTTTTTCAAAATTTTTTTGGGGTATTCTGAGCCCTTTCCATATCCACATAAATTTTAAGGTCAGCTTACCCACTTCTGCAAAAATGCCTTTTGGGATTTTTACAGGGATTGTGTTAAATCTGTAGATGAATTTGGGGAGAATTGCCATGCTTATATTGAGTCTGCGAATCTGTGAACATGGAATGTTTATTTGTTTATATCTTGATTAGTTTCTCTCAGTGTGTATAAAAGATTACTTTCAAAACATTGTTTTCAGTTTACAAATCTTTCGTTAAATTTATTCCTAAATTTTTAATTCTTTCAGGTGCAGTTGTAAATGGAGTTTTTTCCTTAATGTCATTTTTGAATTGTTCGTTGATAATATATGTATAATTAATTTTTGTATATTGGCTTTGTATCCTGCAACCTTCCTGAGCTCATTTATTAGTTCTTGTCAAGGGGGTGTGTGTGAGAGGGAGAGTGAGTGAGTGTATGTGTGTGATTGTATATTCTTTAATATTTGCTACGTATAGGATTGTGTCATTTGTGAATAGAGAATCTTACTTCTTTCCAATCTTGATTCCTTGTCTTTTTCTTGCCTGATTATATTGGCTAGAGTCTCTAGTAAACCTTGAATAGAAGTGGGTGAGAACACCTATCCTTCCTTGTTCCCAATCTTAGGGAGAAGATATTCAACCTTTCATCAGTAGGTATGATGTTGGCTATAGGTTTTCTGTAGCTGCCTTTTATTAGATTGAGAAAAATTCCTTTTATTCGTAGGTTTGTTGGAGTTTTCTTTCATGAATGGAGTTGAATTTTTCAGACGCTTTTTATGCAGCCCTTGTTCCTTCTTTAGTATAATACATTAATTTTCTGATTAAATTTTCTGATTAAATTAATTTTCTGATTAAACCAATCCTGCATTCCTGGGATAAAGCCCATTTTTAATGTGCGTGATCCTTTTTATATGTTACTGAATTTGGTTTGCTGATGTTTTGTTGAGAATATTTGTGTATATATTCATGAGGGATATTGATCTGTCATGTTCTATTTTTGTGATGTCTTTGTTTGGTTTTTATATAAGGATAATATTGACCTCACAAAATCAGATGGGAAGTATACTCTTCTGGATGAATTTGTGAAGGACTAGTACTATTTCTTCTTTAAATGTTTGATAGAATTCATCAGTGAAACCATTGGGCCTGCAGTTTTCTTTGTGTGAAGATTTGTAATTGCTATTAAAGTTCTTATTTTAAGTCTATTTAAGTTTTATATTTCTTCTTGAGTCCATTTGATAATTTGACTCTTTGTAGGAATTTGTCCATTTCATGTAAATTATTGCATTTGTCATCATAAAGTTGTCCAAAGTATTCCTTTATAATCCATTTAATTTCTTAAGTTGGCAGCAATTTCCTTTTTATTTTACTTTTTTTGTAGAGACAGGGTCTCACTATGTTGTCCAGGCTGGTTTCAAACTCCTAGGCTCAAGTGATCCTCCTGCCTTGGCCTCCCAAAGTGCTGGTATTGCATGTGTGAGGCACCGTGCCTGGCCTGTGATTTCCTTCTGATTTTGCTAATTTTTGTCCTATATTTTTTGTAATTCTAACTATAGGTCTGTCAGTTTTATTGACCTTTTCAGAGAAACTTTTTGATTTTGTTGATTTTCCTCTAGTTTTCTATTCCAGTGACTTTTACTTTAATCTTTATTATTTCCTTTCTTCTTCCTTGCCTTTTATAGTTTTTAAAGGTGTTAATCTATTGATTTGAGACTACTGTCTTCTAATGTAGGTGTTTAAAGATATAAATTGACCTCTAGGCACTAACCCTTAGCTGCATCCAGTGACATTTGATTTGTTTTAATTTTTCTGTAGTTAAAAATATTTTCTAATTTCTCTTGAGATGTCTTTTTTGACTCATGGGTTACTGTAATATGTATTGTTTAATTTCCAAATATTAGTGGGTTTCTCAAGTTTCTTTCTGTTGGTTCCTGCTTTAATTGTGTTGTGTCTGGAGAAAACATTTATTATGTCTTTAGTTTTTAAAAATTCATTAGGACTTTTTAAAAATGGGTAGCATATGTTCTCCTGTGTGTGCTTCAAAAGAATACGTATTCTGTTGTTTTATGGAGTGTTCTGTTGATGTCATGTCAAGGTCATTGTTATTGTTGTCTTCTGTATTCTTGCTGATTTTTTGTCTACTTGTGCTATCCGTTATTGAGAGTGGGATACTGAGGCCTTACACTATTATTGTTAAATAGTCCTACCTTTCAAGTTCTGTTAGTTTTTGTTTCATGCATTTTTTTCTCTGTTGTTAGGTACATATATGTTTGTCATTGTCATATCTTCTGATTAATTGAAGCTTTTATTATTACAAAATGTCCCTTTTTTCTCTAGTAACATTTTAATTTTAAAGCCTATGTCAGTTTTGTCTGATATGATTATGACCACTCCACCTTGGTTATGGTTATGCTTATGTGGTATCTCTTTTTTCATCCTTTTTAGCATTTGTATCTTGTGGGCAGCATGTGGTTGAATTTTGTTTTTAAAAAGTCTATTTTGCCAGCCTGTCTTTTTATTGAAATGTGTGTTAATTCATGTAATTGTTGATATGGCTCATTTACATATCAATAGCTCATGCCATTTTGTTAGTCATTTTTTATATGTCATGTCTTTTTTGTTCCTCTGTTCCTCCTTGGTTACCTTTTTTTGTGTATGTTAAATAAATCTTTTAGTATAAACTTTGAATTCCTTTACAAAAAGAAACTGTACTTTTTTTTTTTTTAAACCCACAAATTTATTTCTTACATTTGTGGAAACTGGGAAGTCAAGGTTAGCAGCTGATTTGGTTCCTGCCGAGGGCTCTCTTCCTGGGCTGCAGATGGCCTCCTGTGTCCTCACATAGTAGAAGAGAGCTTTACTCTTTTTTATGAGTTATTTTATAGTGGTTGCTCTAGAGTTTATAGGATGCATTGTAACATTATAACCTGCGTCAGAATAATACTAACTTAATTCTGGCAGACTTTGCTTCAGCATAGCTCTAGTCTCTTTTTCCTTTGTCCTATTATTGTAATATATTTTATAACAGTACAGGTTTATTATTTATAACTATATGGGTTCATTATTTTTCCATGCAATTATCTTTTAAGTAAGAGAAGAAAACTTAAAAAGAGTATTTTTTCTATTTTTTACATTTGCCTACATAATTACTTTTACTGGTACTTTAATTTTTTATGTGGATTCAAGTTACCATCTGGTGGTGTTTCCTTTCAGCCTGAAGTACTTGCTTTAGCATATCTTGTAAAAAAAATTTTGGTGGCAACAAATTCTCTTTGTCTATCTGGGAAGATCTTTATTTTTGTCCTCTTTTTTGAAGGATAGTTTTACTGGATTTAGAATTCTTGTTTGACAGTAGAGTATGTTATACCACTTAATTCTGGCCTTCATTGTTTCTTTTGAGAAGTCAGCTGCTAATTTTACTGGGGTTCCCCTGTGCATGATAAGTCCATTTTTCTCTTGCTGCTTTCAAGATTTTGATGTGTATCGGTGTGGATATTTTAATGTTTATTCTACTTGGATTTTATTGAGATACTTGGATATACAGATTTATACTTCTTACTAAATTTGGAATGTTTTCAGACATTAAAAACTTCTATGACTCTTCAAAAGATGTCAAAACTTGTATGGCCCTCACTATTCTTTTCTTCTGGGATTCCCATTATGCATATGTTGGTATTGATTGTAACCCACAGATTTCCTACTTGGTTCATTTTTCATTCTCACTTCTGTTCTTCAGATTGTGTAATTTGTATTGATTTATCTTTGAGTTCACTGATTCTTCCTTCTGCATTCAAGTTTGCTGTTGTCCCTCTAATGAAGCTTTCACTTTAGTTACTTTTCAACTCCAGAATTTCCATTTTTTAAAAAATGTTGATCTCTTTATTAAGTGTTCTCTGATTAGTCATTGTTTTCATGCTTTGATTAAACACGGTTTTCTTTTGTTCTTTGAAGATGTATTTTTATTGGCTGCTTTGAAGTCTGTCTGTTAAGTCCAACATTTGGGAACCCTTGGAAATAGCTTCTGTTTATACTGAGTATTTTTTTTTTTATACTAGATAAGCCATACTTTCCTGTTTAAAACTGGACATTTTAAATAATACATTGTAACAGCATTTATTTCTGATACTCTCCTGCCAGGGGTTATTGTCCCTTTTTTTGTTTGTTTTATGACTTGGCCAAGATTAATAATGAGTTTTTCTCTACAGCGTGTGGCCTCTGATGTCTCTCCTCAGTTATGTTTGACTACTTATGGGTCACCTTGGATCAATATATCTTAGTGATCAGCTGGTGACTGGTCAGAGATTGTACTTAGGCATCTTGTTTTGGTAAGACTTTCATCCTTTGTCAAAGTCTCTGTTTTGTTTGAGGAACACACTGAAAATTTATGCAGTTTACGAGTCTTCCCTGGGGGTATGTATATAGTTAGAGCCTTCTCTGGTCTCTCAGCATGTTCATACCCTAATATGCCCATTACCTTTCAAAATGTAAGCTTATCAAGGACTATGATTGTCTCACTTCCTGATTGTTTCTGTTAAATCTCCAGGCAGAAAATTTTTTTCTTCTGATCTCTTTTTTGGCCCAGCTATAGTATTTCAGCTTCAGGTCATCTATGATGTATGTGGACCTCTCCTATGTTTGGCACTGAAATTGCTATATTTAACAAAGCCCCTGGGCGTTGGGTTTTTCCACGTTGTTTCAGATTGAGTCAGCTCCCTACAGTATAAATGCTTCTGGTTTTACAAGCTGTCCCACCCTGTTAGAACTATTGTCTGAAGGAGCTGGGGTGAGGGAGAGTGGTCACAATGCCACATACTGTCATCATTTTTACCCAACTTTCAGTAGTTTTCTTGAATAAACACTTCTCCATTTGTCCTATGTTTTGGTCAATACTCAGAGGTGAAAAGTAGTTGTTTTTGATAATTTTGTCTAATTTTTTTAAAAGTCTGTTTTTTAAGAGCAATTTTAGATTCACAGCAGTACTGAGCAGAAGGTACAGAGATTTTCCATATATCCCATGCTCCCACACCTGCATAGCCTCCCCTATCATCAACATCCCCACCAGAGTGATACATTTGTTACAATAGTTGAATATCCATTGCCACAGTAGTTGAATATCCATTGCCACATCATCACCCGAAGTTGATAGTTTGTATTAGAATTCACTCTTGGTGGACATTCAGTTGCTTTGGATAAATATATAAGAACACATATCCACCATTATAGTTGCTGAGTAGTCTCACTGCCCTAAAAATCCTCTGTGCTGTGCCTATTCATCCGTCCCTATGCCCCAATACCTGGTAATCACTGATTTTTAAAATTGTCTCCATAGTTTTGCTTTCTCTGGGATGTCATGTAGTCGGAATCACATAATGTTTAGCTTTTTAAGATTGGCTTCGTTCTCCTTTGAGTTTCCATAATGTCTTTTCATGGTTTGATAGATCTGAAAATAATATTCCATTGTCGGGATGTACCGCAGTTCATCCATTCACCTACTGAAGGACATCTTGGTTGCTTTCAAGTTTTGGCAAGTACAAGTAAAACTGCTATAAACATCAGTGTGTGGCTTTTTGTGTGGACATACGTTTTCAGCTTCTTTGGGTAAATACCAAGTGGTATGATTGACAGATCATATGGTAAGACTATGTTTTGTAAGAAACTGCCAAACCGTCTTCCAATCTAGCTGTACTATTTTGCATTCCCACCAGCAATGAATGAAAGTTCCTGTTGCTCCACATTCTAGCCAATATTTGGTGGTGTCACTGTTCTGGATTTTGGCTATTCTAATAGGTGTGTAGTGGTAACTCATTGTCATTTTAATTAGCATTTACCTGATAAAACATGATATGGATCATCTTTTCAGATGCTTATTTGCCATCTGTGTGTCTTCTGGTGAGGTGTCTGTTAAGGACTTTGGCCCCTTTTTTAGTCAGGTTGTTTTCTTATTGTGTTCAATTTAATACTTATTTGTGTATTTCAGATAACAATCCTTTGTCAGAAATGCCTTTTGCAAATATTTTCTCCCAGTCTGTGGTTTGTCTTTATATTCTCTTGACAGTGTCTTTCACACAGCAGAAATTTTAATGAAGTCCAGCTTATCAGTTTATTCTTTCATGAATCATGCCTTTGCTGTCATATCTAAAAGGCCATTGCTAAATCCAAAGTCATCTAGATTTTTCTCCTATATTCTAGAGTTTTGTAGTTTTGCATTTTATATTTAGGTCTGTGACCAGTTTTGAGTTAGTTTTTGTGAAGGGTGTATGGTCTGTGTCTAGATTTGTTTTGCATATGATGTCAGGTTGCTCCAGCACTATTTGTTGCAGACTTTCTGCTCCATTCCATTGCCGTTCCTCCTTTGCCAAAGATCAGTTGACTGTATTTATGTAGCTCTGTTTCTGAGCTGTCTGTTTCATTTCATTGACCTGTTTCTCTCTTATCAATACCATACTGTCTCGATTGCTGTAGCTTTGTAGTAAGTCTTGAAGTCTGAAAATGTCAGTTAACTTTGTTCTCCTCCCATATTGTGTTGGGTATTCTGGGTCTTTTACCTCTCCATGTAAACTTTAGAATCAGTTTATTGGTATCTACAAAATAATTTGCTGGGATTATGAATGGGATTGCATTGAATCTATAGATCAAGTTGGAAAGAACTGATATCTTGACAGTTGAATCTTCCTGTCCATGAACATGGAGTACCTCTCCATTGATTTAGTTCTTTGATTTCATTTGTCAGAGTTTTGTATATAAGTCTTGTACATAACTTATTAGATTTAAACCTAAGTATTTCATTTTGAGGGTGCTACTGTAGATGGTATTGTGTTTATAATTTCAAATTCCACTTGTTCACTGCTGGTGTATAGGGAAGTGATTGACCATTGTAACCTTGCTATAATCACTTATAAGTTTCAGGAGGTTTTCTTTTTTGGTTGATTCTTTCCAGTTTTCTACAAAGATGACTGTCATCTATGTACAAAGACAGTTTGGCTTCCTCCTTCCAAATGTGTATACCTTTTATCTCTTTTTCTGTATTATCAAGGACTTGCAATATGAAGTTGAAAAGGAGTGGTGAGAGGGGATATCCTTGCCTTGTTCCTGATTAGTGGGAAGGCTTCAAGTTTCTCACCATTAAGTATGATGTTAGCGTGGGTTTTTGTAGATTTTTAAAAATTAAATTGAGGAACTTCACCCTATTCCTAGTTTACTGTGAGTTTTTATTATTAGCAGGTGTTGGATTTTGCCAAATGCTTTTTCTTCATCTATTGATGTGATCATGTGATTTTTTTCTTCTTTACCTTGTTGATGTGATAGATTACATTGATTTTCAAATGTTGAACCACCCTTGCATACCTAGAATAAATCTCACTTGGTCATGGTGTATAATATAATCCTTTGCATACATTTTTGGATTCAGTTTAATAATATTTTCTTGAGTTTTGCATCTGTGTTTATTAGCAATATTTGTCTGTAGTTTCTTGTAATGTCTTTGCCTGATTTTCATATGGTAATGCTGAACTCATAGAAGTAGGGAGTACTCCCTGTGCTTCTATCATCTGAAAGAGATAGGAGAGAATTGGTGTATTTTTTTTTTTTCCTTAAATGTTTCATAGAATTCATAAGTGTATCTGTCTGGGCCTGCGCTTTGTGTTTTGGAAAGTTATTAATTATTTAATAGAGATAGTCTTATTCCGATTGTCTGTTTCTTCTCGTGTGAGTTTTGGTAGATTGTGCTCTTCAAGGAATTGGTCCATTTTTTCTAGGAGTACCATATTTGTGTGCATAGACGTGTTCATAGTATTTCTTGGTTATCCTTTTAATCTCCCTGGGATCTGTAATGACATTCTCTTTTTTTATTTCTGAAATCAGCAATTTGTGTCCTCTCTCTTTTTTCTTAGTTAGCTTGTCTTACTGATTTTATTTATCTAAGAACCAGCTTTTGGTTTGGTTGATTTTCTCTACTGATTTTATGTTTTCAATTTCATTGATTTCTGCTTTAAATTTTTATTCTTCTCCTTACTTTGGAATTAATTTCCTCTCCTTTTTCTATTCTTATAAGGTGAAGGCTTAGATGATTAATTTTAGATCTCTCTTTTCTGATATATGCATTCAGTGTTAAAAATTTTCCTTTAAGCACTGTTTTCACTGCATCCCACAAATTTTGATAAGTTGTATTTTTTATTTTTGTTCAAAATATTTTAAAATTTCTTTTGAGACTTTCTTTGATCCATGTGTTACTTAGAAGTGTGTTGTTTAATCTCCAAGTATTTGGGAGATTTTCCAGCTATATTTGTTATTGATTTCTAGTTTAATTCAATTGTGATGTGAGAGCAGACACTGTATAATTGCTATTTTAAATTTGTTAAGGTGTGTTTTATGACCCCAAGTGTGATTTGTCTTGGTTAATGTTCCATATTAGCTTGGAAAAAATTATGTATTCTGCTGTTATTGAATGAAGTAGTCTGTAGATAACCATTATATCAAGTTAGTAAATGGTGTTAATGAGTTCAGCTGTGTCCTTAACTGATCTTTTGACTGCTGGATCTGCCCATTTCTGATAGATGGGTACTGAAGTTTCTAGGTATAATAGTGAATTCATCTGTTTCTCCTTCCAGTTCTGTCAGTTTTTTCTTATGTAGTTTGATGCTCTGTTTTTAGATGCATACACATTAAGGATTGCTATGTCTTCTTGGAAAATTGACCCCTATGTAACTGTAGAATGCTCCTTTTTTTTCCTGATAACTTTCCTTAATCTGAAGTCTGCTCTATCTGAAGTGAATATAATGACTCTCACTTTCTTTTGATTAATGTTAGCATGGTATATCTTTCTCCATCCATTTACTTTCAATTTATATGTGTCTTTAAGGTTTTTGTAGACAGTGTATAGTTGGGTCTTATTTTTTGGTTCATTCTGACAATTTATTTGTCTTTTAATTGGTACTTTTAAACCATTGGCATTTAAAATGATTATTGATATCGTTGGATTGACATCTACCATATTTTTACTGTTTTTATATTTGTTGCCCTTGTTCTTTTTCCTGTTTTTGTCTTCCACTCTTTTTCTGCTGTTTGGGTTTTTTTGTTTGTTTCTTTTCTCTTATCGATCCCTTGCCTGTTAAATACCCCTTTTGATTTTAATTGAGCATTTTTTATGATTCCGTTTTCTCTACTTAGCATATCAGTTATACTTTTTAAAAGCATCTTTTTAGTAGTTGCCCTGGAGTTCGGAACATCTACAGCTAATCCAAGTCCACTTTGAAATGATGATACTATACCATTTCATGGGTAATGCAAATGCCTTACAACAATCCTTATTCCTCCTCTCTGCTGTTCCTTGTATTGTTGCTGTTATTTATTTGACTAACACATCAGTATACATAAACATGTATATGTACATAGGTATACAAAATCAAATGCATTGTTGGTACTATTATTTGGAACAAATTGTTATCTGTTAAATAGGTAAGAATAAGAAACTAAGTTTCTGTTTTACGTTTACCTCTTCCTTATGCTCTTTATGAAGATCCGAATTTCTGAACTATATGATTTTCCTTCTATCTAAAGAACTCCTTTAA
Organism: Homo sapiens; assembly: GCF_000001405.40. Taxonomy (NCBI): domain Eukaryota; kingdom Metazoa; phylum Chordata; class Mammalia; order Primates; family Hominidae; genus Homo; species Homo sapiens. The sequence goes on from NC_000019.10 coordinate 30,035,273, forward strand.
CACTTCTGGAGTGCAGTGCCATGATCATGGCTCATGGCAGTCTGAATTCCTGGACTTCAGCGATCCTCCCACCTTGGCCTCCCAAAGTGCTGGGATTTCGGGTGTAAGCCACTGCACCTGGCCTCTCTCCTTTATTTTCGAAGGCTATTTCTCAGGATATAGAATTCTAGGTTGATAGTTCTTTTCTCTTGGTGCTTTAAATATTTCACTCCACTCTTCTTACTTGCATGCTTTCTAAGAAGTTGGGTATAATTCTTTCTTTTGCTTCTCTATAGGTAATGTGTTTTTTTCCCTCTGGTTTCTTTCAGGATTTTTCTTTATGAATTCTTATAGTTTGAAAATGATGATGCCTAGGTGGAATGTTTATCCTGCTTAGTGTTCTCTGAGCTTCCTGGATCTGTATTTGGTGTCTTATAATAATTTTGGGGAAATTCTTAGTTGTTACTGTTTCTGATATTTCTTCGGTTCCTTTTTTTTTTTCTTCTACTGATTTTCCCATTTTGCATATGCTACCCCCTTTGTAGGTGTCTTGCAGTTCCTGGATATTCTGTTCTGGAGTTTGCAGCCTTTTTTTTTTTTCTCTCTCTCTGTTTCCTTTTCAGTTTGGAGGTTTCTGTTGAGATATCCTCAAGCTCAGAGATTCCTAGCTTTATTCAGTCTGCTAATGAGCCCATCAAAGCATTCTTCATTTCTCCTGCAGTGTTTTTGATCTCTAGCCTTTCTTTTTGGTACTTTTTAGAATTTCCATCTCTCTGCTTACATTGCCCACTTGTGTTTGCATCCATCTAGTTTATTCATTAGAGCCTTTAGTATATTAATCATAGCTGTTTTAAATTCCTGGTCTGATCATGTCAACATCCTTGCTATATCTGTCTTGTTCTGATGCTTGCTCTATCTCTCAAATGACCTTTTTTGCCTTTCAGTATGCCTGGTGATTTTTCCTTAACAGCTGGGCACGTTCCTGAGTAAGAGGAAAGGCTGTAAATAGGCCCTTAGTAATGTGGATTTCTTTAGAGTTCTATAGTCCTGTGATCAGGTCTTAGTCTTTGAGTGAGCCTGTGCCTCTAGACTGTGTACATCACATGTGCTTCTCATTTCCCCCATCAGCCTTACTGAAGACACGATGACTAGAGGGAGCTGGTGTTTGGTATTTCTCTTCTCCCACATGGAAGGCAGGAGCTGCCTGAGGTTATTTCCCTTCCCCTAGGTCAGTTTGGCCCTGATAAAACCCCAGCAGTTTATCTTCCGGTTAAATAGTTTCTCCTGCGGGCAAACCTTGTTAAGAAGAACAGAGTGTTTTGGCATGTTTTTAAATGGTTCCTTTTCCTTTTCCCCTGCTGCAAACACAGGGGGATAGTTCTCAGATACTTGCTTTGAGAACCTGGTAGAGCTCCTGGAGGTAAAACTCACAAAAGTATGTGTGCCGGGGAATGACTGAGTCCCCCTGGAATTTTCAACTCAAGACTTGTCCACACTGTGCAGTTAAGTTAATTACAGTTCAGGTTTCCCTAGCCTGTCAGTTTTCCCTGGAGGCCTCTGTCTGAGGGTCTCGGCTCCAGTTACTTGTGCTTCTCTGCCTTTGCCTGCCGGTCACTCCAATTTCAGGGGCCATGATAGTTTGCCCTGTGGCTTCACTGTTCTTAACTAAGAATTGATTTTTCAGTTTGTTTAGCTGTTTACTTATTAGGATGTAGTGACAACGTCCAAGCTTGTATGCCAGGCCAGAAACTAATAGTCCAACTTTATCTTTGCTTTTTAGGGAAAGTATTTACAAAGGTCCTCACTTTGTCATTCCTCTCAATTACCTTTGAAACTTTTTCTTTAAATGTTAAATTGTCTACCTGTGAATTTACCATGTTGAGTGCTCTTCATTATTTTCTGTACATTGAAGTTGCCACCTGGTTTTCTTTTCCTCCAGCCTGTAGAACTTGCTTTAATCACGTTTTAAATGGTCCTTCCCGTAATGTGAAGGGCGGGTGAGCAAGGCGCTCAGAGCCGTCGTGGGGAGGACCATGTTGCTTCCAAGCATCCTGCTCACCAGTACACCAGGGGTTGGAAAAACCACACTAGGCAAAGGACTTGTGTCAAAATCAGGACTGAAATACATTAATGTGGGTGATTTAGCTCAAGAAGTCTGATCATCGTATATCATGGAGTCTGGCAAGATGGCTTCTCCCAAGAGCATGCCGAAAGATGCACAGATGATGGCACAAATCCTGAAGGATCTGGGAATTACAGAATATGAGCCAAGACTTATAAATCAGATGTTAGAGTTTGCCTTCCGTTATGTGACCACAATTCTAGATGATGCAAAAATTTACTCCAGCCATGCTAAGAAAGCTACCGTTGATGCAGATGATGTGCAGTTGGCAATCCAGTTCCACGCTGACCAGTCTTTTACCTCTCTTCCCCCAAGAGATTTTTTTATTAGATATCGCAAGGCAAAGAAATCAAACCCCTTTTCCATTAATCAAGCCATATTCAGGTCCTAGATTGCCACCTGATAGATATTGCTTAACAGCTCCAAATTATAGGCTGAAATCTTTACAGAAAAAGGCATCAACTTCCACGGGAAGAGTAACAGTCCCGCAGTTAAGTGTTGGTTCAGTTGCTAGCAGACCAAGTACTCCCACACTAGGCACACCAACCCCACAGACCATGTCTGTTTCAACTAAAGTAGGGACTCCCGTGTCCCTCACAGGGCAAAGGTTTACAGTACAGATGCCTACTTCACAGTCTCCAGCTGTAAAATCTTCAATTCCTGCAACATCAGCAGTTCAGAATGTTCTGATTAATCCATCATTAATTGGGTCCAAAAGCTTCTTATTACCACTAATACGGTGTTATCACAAAATACTGCCAATGAATCATCAAATGCATTGAAAAAGCGTGAAGAAGATGATTATGATAATTTGTAATTTAGCCTTGCTGCATGTAACATGTATACTTGGTCTTGAATTCATTGTACTGATACTAAACATGCGTGCTGGATGTTTTCAAGTTGTATTTTAGAAAACTTTCATATTTAATGAGTAAATACAATTACCATACTTTTCAATTGAAATGAAGGTTTTTCATCAGCCTTAAAAGTGTAAGAAAAATCAAGTTGTCATTAATTTGAAAAAAATAATGTTTTAAATGTTGGTGTGCTAGATCAAGTTCTTTCAACTTTTCTCTGAAATAATATTATTTTGCCTTTATATTTGAAAGATATTTTTGCTAGGTATAGAATCCCAAGTTGACAGGTTATTTTCCTCCCTCCCTCCCTCCCTCCCTCCCTTCTCCCCTCCCCTCCGCTCACTCGCTCGCTTTCTTGCTTGCTTGCTTGCTTGCTTGCTTGCTTGCTTTTCTTTCTTTCTTTCTTTCTTTCTTTCTTTCTGTCTCTCTCTCTCTTTCTTTCTTTTGAGACGAGGTCTCGCTCTGTCACTCAAGCTGGAATGCAACAGCATGGATCATAGCTCACTGCAACCCTTGGGCTCAAGCAGTCTTCCTGCCTCAGTCTCCTGAGTACCTGGGACTACAGACACATGTCACCAGGTCCAGCTAATTTTTAAATTTCATGTAGAGACGGGGTCTCACAATGTTGTCTAGGCTGGTCTTGAACACCTGGGCTCAAGTGTTCCATCCTCCTGCCTTGGCCTCCCAAAATGCTGGGATTATAGGCATGAGCCCCACCATGCATGACCTGGTTTTCTTCTCTAGCACTTTGAAGATGTTTTCCCTTGTCTTTTGCACTTCGTGGTGCTGTGTTATCTTTTATTAGTCTTATTTCAGTTCCACTGTAGGTAGTATGCATTTTCCTCTGGCAATCTAATTATGATATGCATAGGTATATTCTTTGTGTTTGGTCTTGTCAGGGCCTGTTGAGTATCTTGGATCTGCAGATTTAGAGTTTTCATCAAATGTGGAAATATTTTGGCCATATTTTTTCCAATTTTGCTTGGGCCCCAATCTCTTTTTCTCCTGTTTCTGGAACACCAATTACATTTATATTGTATAGTTTTTTTTCTTTTTTTTTTTTTGAGAGCGAGTCTCGTTCTGTCACCCAGGCTGGAGTACAGTGGTGAGATCTTGGCTTACTGCAACCTCTGCCCCCAGGATTCTAGCGATTCTCCTGCCTCAGCCTCCCGAGTAGCTGGGATTACAGATGCCTGCCACCATGCCTGGCTAATTTTTTTGTACTTTTAGTAGAGATGGGGTTTTGCCATGTTCGCCAGGCTGGTCTCAAACTCTTGACCTCAGGTGATCTGCCTGCCTTGGCCTCCCAAAGTGCTGGGATTACAGGTGTGAGCCACCATCCCCAGCCTATTATATAGCTTTTATTGTTCCATAAGGTCACCGAGGCTTGGTTCATTTTTGTGTAGTCCTTTTTCTTTCTGTGTTTAATTATGGTTAATTTTTATTGATATATCTTCATGTTCACTAAATTTTTATTTTTATTTTTTTGTAATGTCTGATTTACTCTTGCACACATCCAGTAAATTTTTTGTTTCAGATATTATATTTGAACATGCCTACAGGAATATACCTGTATACCTCTAGGATTTCCATTTTTTAAATAAGATTTTTAATTTCTCTTTATTATGTTAATGATTTTCTTTAAATTTTGAAGCATATTTATAATAGCTGTTTTAAAGTCCTCATCTGCTCATTCTATCATTTCTGTCATTTTTGTGTCTATTCCTACCTGGCTGTGGGTCATAATTTGGATCCTATTTTCATGTTTAGTAATTTTTAATTTGATGCCAGAATTTTTGTTAATCTTTTTATTTTGGAATAAACCTAGATTTACGGAAAAGTTTAAAGATAATGCAGAGAGTTCTCATACGTTCCTCACCCAGTTTTAGTGTCCTCTAATGTGAACACACTACATTACCAAGGTACATGTGTCAGAACTAAGAAATTAGCACAAGGCAATACTATTTACTAAAGTATAGACTTTATTGAAATGTTACTAGTTTTTCTACCAATGTTCTTTTTCTTTTCCAGGATTCATTCCAAGATACCTGTTGTATTTTGTGGTCATGTCTTCTTAGTCTCATCCTATCTGACAATTTCTCAATTTTTTCTTTTTCATGACCTTGTACTTTTGAAGAGTATTGGCCTGTGGGTGTTTTACAGAATATTCCTCAATTTGAGTTTGCCCAGTGTTTTCTTACAATTAGCCTGAGGTTGTGAGTTTTCAAGAGAATACCATAGATGTGAGGTGTCTTTCTCTGCACATAATATCACTGCGTTAATCTTGATTACTTTGTTGAGTTGGTACCTGTTTGGTTTCTCCACTATAAGACCAGTCTTATTTTGCTTGGATTCCTTCTCTCTGTGCTGTGGTCCAACAAACCTCTCAAGACAAAGAGTGATTATAGGACTTACCTCATTTACTTAGGAATCTTAGTCTTATATTTCTTGGTCCTAGTGTCTGAAAACACTTGTTTTCAGTTTTCTAGCTGTTTATGGCAGAAGAGCAAATTCTGTAGCCCTGAATCCTTCAACACTAGAGTCAGAAGTCCTTGGCAGGACCTCTTCTTGAGTTCCTTGCTTGCAGTTTCTCAGTTAATTTCATAGCTTGCAGTTCCTCTGATCTTGACCTACATGAAGGCCAACTCACAGCTAGCATTCCCAAGGGAGACTTGATATGGTTTGGCTCTGTGTCCCCACCTAAATCTCATCTTGAATTGTACTCCCATAATTCCCACGTGTTGAGGGAGGGACCTGGTGGGAGATAATTTGAATCATGGGGACTGTTTCCCCCATACTGTTTTGTGGTAGTGTGTCTCATGAGATCTGATGGTTTTATCAGGGGTTTCCACTTTTGCTTCTTCCTCATTTTCTCTTGCCGCCACCATGTAAGAAGTGCCTTTTGGCCGGGTGCATTGGCTCACACCTGTAATCCCAGCACTTTGGGAGGCTGAGGTGGGCAGATCACAAGGTCAGGAGTTCAAGACCAGCCTGGCCAACATGGTGAAACCCTGTCTCTACGAAAAATATAAAAACTAGCTGGGCAGGGTGGTGCATTCCTGCAATCCCAGCTACTCAGGAGGCTGAGGCAGGAGAATTGCTTGAACCAGGACCCAGGAGGTGGAGGTTGCAGTGAGCTGAGATCACACCACTGCATTCCAGCCTGTGCTACAGAGCAAGACTCTGTCTCAAAAAAAAAAAGCCTTTCACCTCCTGCCATGATTCTGAGGTCTCCCCAGCCATGTGGAACTGTAAGTCAAATTAAACCTCTTTTTTCTTCCCAGTCTTGGGTATGTCATTATTAGCAGTGTAAAAATGGACTGATACAGTAAATTGGTACCAGTAGAGTGGAGTGTTGCTGAAAAGATACCCAAAAATGTGGAGGCAACTTTGGAACTGGGTAACAGGCAGAGTTTGGAGGGCTCAGAAGAAGACAGGAAAATGTGGGAAGGTTTGGAACTTCCTAGAGAATTGTTGAATGGCTTTGACAAAAATACTGATAAAGGTGTGGACAATGAAATCCAGGCTGACGTGGTCTCAGATGGAGATGAAGAACTTGGGAACTGGAGCAAAGGCGACTCTTGTTATGTTTTAGTGTAAGAGTCTGGTGGCATTTTGCCCCTGCCCTAGAGATTTGTGGAACTTTGACTTCAGAGAGATGATTTAGCGTATCTGGCAGAAGAAATTTCTAGGCAGAAAAGCATTCAAGAGGTGACTTGGCTGCCATTAAAGGCATTCAGTTTTAAAAGGGAAGCAGAGCATAAAAGTTTGGAAAATTTGCAGCCTGACAATGCGATAGAAAAGAAAATCCCATTTTCTGAGGAGAAATTCGAGCCGACTGCAGATATTTGCATAAGTAACAAGGAGTTGAATGTTAATCCCCAAGACAATGGGGAAAATGTCTCCAGGTCATGTTAGAGAACTTTGTGGCAGCCTCTTCCATCACAGATCCGGAGGTCTAGGAGGAAAAATGGTTTTGTGGAGAGGACCTAGAGTCCCCGTGCTATGTGCAGTCTAGGGACTTGGTGTCCTGTGTCCTAGCTGCTCCAGCTGTGGCTGAAAGGGGCCAACATAGTGCTTAGGCCGTGGCTTCAGAGAGTGCAAGCCCCAAGACTTGGAAGCTTCCATGTGGTGGTGAGCTTGCAGGTGCACAGAAGTCAAGAACTGGGGTTTTGGAACCTCTGCCTAGATTTCAGAAGATGTATGGAAATGCCTGGATGCCCAGGCAGAAGTTTGCTGCAGGGGTGGGGCTCTTATGCAATGCAGAAGGGAACTGTGGGATGGGAGCCCCCACAAAGAGTCCCTACTGGGGCACTGCCTAGTGGAGCTGGGAGAAGAGGGCCACCATCCTCCAGACCCCGGAATGGTAGATCCACCTATAGCCTGCACTGTGAGCCTGGAAAAGCTGCAGACACTCAATGCCAGCCTGTGAAAGCAGCCAGAAGGGAGGCTGTACCCTGCAAAGTCACAGGGGTGGAGCTGCTCAAGACCATGGGAACCCACCTCTTGGCATCAGTGTGGCCTGGATGTGACACATGAAGTCAAAGGAGATCATTTTGAAACTTTAAAATTTGATTGCCCCACTAGATTTTGGACTTGCATGGGTCCCGTAACCCCTTTGTTTTGGCCAATTTCTTTCATTTGGAACAGCTGTATTTACCCAATACTTGTACCCCCGTTGTATCTAGGAAGTACCTAGCTTGCTTTTGATTTTATAGGCTCATAGGCAGAAGGGGACTTGCCTTGTCTCAGATGAGACTTTGGACTGTGGATTTTGGGTTAATGCTGAAATGAGTTAAGACTTTGGTGGACTGTTGGGAAGGCATGGTTGGTTTTGAAATGTGAGGACTTGACATTTGGAGGGGCCAGGGGCAGAATGATATGGTTTGGCTCTGTGTCCCCACCTTAATCTCATCTTGAATTGTATTTCCATAACTCCCACATGTTGTGGGAGGGACCTGGTGGGATTGAATCATGGGGACTGTTTCCCCCAGACTGTTCTTGTGGTAGTGAGTGTAAGTCTCATGAGATCTGATGGTTTTATCAGGGGTTTCCACTTTTGCTTCTTCCTCATTTTCTCTTGCTGCTGCCATGTAAGAAGTGCCTTTTGCCTCCTACCATGATTCTGAGGCCATCCCAGCCATGTGGAACTGTAAGTCCAATTAAATCCCTTTCTTCCTAGTCTCAGGTATGTCTTTATCAGCAGCGTGAAAACAGACTAATACAAGACTCCACCCTTATCTAGAGCTCAGGCAGATAGGAACAAGTTTCCTTGCTGTGGTTCGTGTTTTTGACAGTGGGAACATTTGTTCTAGTCCAGCCGTTCACTCTGGCATTCTGGCAGCCTTTCCGGGGTCTGGTCTTCATGTATGATCTTAGTTCTACCATCTTGTTCGAGCTCAAGGACTTGCCGCTTATTTCCTGGTGCTTTTAAAACATAAATTTCTTGGCTAGGTCCCAGGACAGCTCTAACTTGATGCCAGTGGTTTTAGCTTTTTCTTTTCCTTCATTTTTAGCCACTGGTGATTTCTGTTACTTTCATGCAAGTAAGGCTCTGTATTTGAGAAGATATTTATTACATTTTATCCAGCATTTATAGCAGGAGAGTTGGTGGAGTACACTGTCTGTAGTGTTCCTAAGCAATTCCTTGGTCTGCTGTTCTGCTTTATAATGGCTTGAAACAGAACACTTAAGGCCAGCTTCAGTTTGTCCCATTGAAACTTTCATATAAAAAAGAAAGCTGTAATTTTAAGTTACAATTTATTTTTATTTTTATTTTTTTGGAGACGAAGTCTCACTCTGTTGCCCATGCTGGAGTGTAATGGCGCGATCTTGGCTCACTGCCGACCTCTGCCTCCCGGGTTCAAGTGATTCTTCTGCCTCAGCCTCCCGAGTAGTAGCTGGGATTACAGGCGTGCGCCATCATGCTTGGCTAAGTTTTGTATTTTTAGTAGAGACGGGGTTTCACCATGTTGGTCAGGCTGGTCTTGAACTCCTGACCTTAGGTGATCCACCCGCCTTGGCCTCCCAGAGTGCTGGGATTACAGGCATGAGCCACTGTGCCTGGCCTTAAGTTACAATTGAAAACTGTAAGGTACTGTGCTAAGAAGGCCTTCAAGTAACTGATCTTCATTGGGAAGGCAGGTTAAGTGTATAGGTCGAAGGAGAATACCAGAAGTGTTCCAGGAGCTGTACACTGAGAGTTATAACTTGGGAGTCATAGTATCTTCTTTGAGGTAAGAAAACTGGCAACTGCTTCACGTCAGAGGAGGTACTCTAGGTAGGGTTAAGGATCAAGTGGATTTCTAGGATGGAAAAAATTTGAGTGTTGGGGACAGAGATGATGAAATTGAAACCTACACGGGTTTTATTTATGCCGTGTTCGAGTAATAAGAACTCAGAGCCTATTATCAGTAAAATGTATTTTTGGAGATTACAGATATTTTCTTGGGCTCCAAGATTTTCTTGGTAATGTCTATTTGGGATCTTGGAAGCTAAACTGAGGGTAAGAATGGACTGTCAGTGATGATTTGTTGGTGAATCGTATTTGCAAAGAGGGAATGGTTCAGTCTGATAAGAATTGCAATAAAGACAAAAATGTTGTGGCTTAGGGCAGACTTGGCTATTCTAAGATACAGAGCGGTGTCTAGGCTAGATCCACCTGTAGTCACAAAGACGTAAGTTTAATTTTTTTACAGTTACTGGAAATCTTTCAAGGAGCACTTGTTAGGAGCTAATTGAGGTGCAACCAAAGAGCAGCACTCAGAACCTCTTCAGAAAAGTGAAGTTTGCAAATACTTGCTTGAAACTTGAATGTGCTTAAGAGCACGGAGCCGAATGTGACCTGTGCAGGTTTTCCACACGGCCAGGACTCAGACCTGTGTGTGTCTTCTGTGCGGTTGTTGCACACTCCAAATCTGGTCTGTGTGGGTTCCTTAATAAGAAAGTCGCTGTAGGAAAAGCTGTCCATGTTGGAACTATGCAAAAATCTCTGAGAATTGGAAAGTTTTCTGGAAATCTATTGATTTTTTTGAAAAGTAAGGAGGTCAGTTTCCAATAACGATGAAAGGGAAGAAAACCCAACCAATGAATCTATGATTACTACCACAGTGGGTGTTTAAAACAGAAATATTTTTGGAACATGACATTTTATGTTGCAATGGAATCAACTGATGAGGGCTTGGGATGGGGGATTCCCTGATGGTTAATATCAGATTGACTAGGGACATTCTTCCACGCCAGCCAATCTCAGGAACACGGGAAGACGTGAGGGCTCCACAGGGTTAAGTGTGGACTGCCCATGGAAGAGCTGAGGGTTTCCCTATAATTATTCTTCATACTCTTCATCTTGGTGATCATTAACTTGGCATCAGCACCCTTTGGGGGCTATTTGTCCATTTTCAGCTGTTTCCTCTTGAACTATAAAGGCTCTCTCAACTTTGAAATGTACTGACCAGGCCACACTAGTAAGTTGTGGAGCCTGAATATATGGCAGCTGATGAATACAATGATGATGGTAGACATAGCCTTCCTTACGACGGGAGCCGCGGAAACCATCAGTCAGTCGACACCTTTCTGGTAACCTGGGCGTGGTTCATTACCCAGGTGGCATTCTCTTGCTTTGGAAATTTAAAAAATGGCAGATTTCTGTGTCCTAATAGTGGCAAATGCAGCTGTTTTTGTTGTTCATTTTAGCAAACTAATGACTTCTGCAAAAAGACGAACCAAGATTAAAAGAAATCAGATGTGTGTATTTGGTATGCAATATTTTTGTATTACAAATAGCTACATTCTAACCCACATTAACCCCATGATATGTGAATTTTGCCAACTCCTGCTATGTCTTTTAAATCAAATCCGGTAAATCACTATGAATGTTCTAATTTCTAAACAAACTAGTCTTCCAGTAGAAGTGCTTTAACACTGTACTGCAAATTAGACAACCTAAGATAAATGGACCATCTTTGTTAATTGTGTAGTTTAATTGATCAAAACTACCAGATAGGATTTTTATAGTGATTTTGCTTAGTATCAAATTCTATACTATTAAATAGCTTGTGAGTCATATATTTGGGGTCATTAAGATATATGCTGTTATTTAGCGTCTGTTAACCTTATTAAGCACCTTCTTTTTGGTCTAGTTCATGTCACAATATGAAATTGCTTTTAATTGAGATGACCAACTTCCATTACATTGTTCAACCCCTGTACAAAGCACTTTTCATTTTTGCTCTATTGATCGAGCAGCAATTGACTTGAACTATATTCAGAACCTGGTGGGGGAAGATGGGAGAAGATTTCTTGAAATGTTCTTTTTGCTGGTGGTTTTTTTCTCTGCATACCCCGCTGTTTGCTTGTAACTAATTTTGCATGCCAGTAGGTAGCAGTGGTGAGCAGAGGCACAGACAGAAAGCTGCCAGTCAGCGATTATAAATTATTATTCATTTCTGTTATAGGTGGGGTGTGCAGTCAGTTACAGTAATAATTACCAGGACTAGAGGGTTTCCTAGGCAACCAATTTCCCCCCTCATTCATGCTGTTGCTGAGAGAGTTCCTGTAAAGCATGACATTGCTGTATTCTGAGGTTTGTTGCCCCCCTGCTGCTCCAGGTTTGAGGTTAGTTACAGCATCATAAGACGCTCTCAAGCATAGAGAACTCAGGCTGGGCTTAAAAAGCATGCCGGCAGCAGGGCCTCTCCGCTGCTGCTTCACTTTTAAGGGACAGGGTTCCAAAAATGCAAATCCTGCATCTTGCTTGGTAACAGGAAGATCTCTTTAAGTTGCAGAACCTTTTATTTTTTATTATTTTGAAGATAGTGGATCATTTCATTTTTATAGTTTTATTATTTGATAAAAACGTGCAGAGACAGACCTAAAACTAGACTTCTCCTTAGGATTTGAGTCTAATAAATCAGTGGGGAACTGTCACAGCTAATCATGGTTGTGTTTGTTGTTTATTCAGTTTTATGAAAATGGCTCATGAAGAGAAAGGCAGCACTCTTCCTGCAGCAGCAGAATTAGTCCTTTATGTAGTAGGAAAATAATGGAAACCACATCTATTATCCGGGATCTATACATGAATCATATTATCCTATATTTGGGGGCTCTCCAATCTTTCATTTTAATGAACTTAACATCAAGTGCTTTGCAGTGATAAAAAAGTAGTATTTGTTTGTGTCTGCTGTGAAAAAAGATAGGGGTTCATGTTTCAGTCTTACGTGGAGATGTGAAATGTTTATCCATTTACAAGGCAGAAGTCACAAACCCAGACACAAGGCATCCGATCTCGTCCTCTGCTAGATGATTACAGACATGTTCAGTGCCTCACATTGGACCTGTGTATTTATCACCGCAAGTTCTCAGCAGGATGTAAGTTGTCTTCGTCAGTGTTCTTGGTGGGGACACCACCAGCGCTAGGCATGACCGATGAGTTCCTTGTCTGTGAACCATGACTGGGCTCTTGGACTTCTGGAGCTGCTTATACTTCCTGCAGGTGCCTGCTGTGTATTCAAGGGTGTGGTGGGGAACCTGCAGTCAAGTTCCAGGAGCAGCGAGGCTGCATGCAGGCTGGCTTGGTCCTGCAAGAGGCCACTGCTAACAACTCTATGCCTTTAGCCTTCCCTGGGTTTCTGGAGGAAAGCTGCCTTCTGCCCTGGACCCAGCTCCATCCTGCTCCGGAAGTGGCCCTAGGGTCCAGCTGTGCTGGGCAGTGAGACCTGCCAGTCACCATTTGTCCAAAACGTCTCACTGAGAATTGGCTTCCCACTTGAGAAAATCTTGAGGTCTAGGCCAGGCGCGGTGGCTCATGCCTGTAATCCCAGCACTTTGGGAGGCCGAGGTGTTTGGGTTACTTGAGGTCAGGAGTTCAAGACCAGCCTGGCCAATATGGTGAAACCCCGTCTCTACTAAAAATACAAAAATTTAGCCGGGTGTGGTGGCGGGTGCCTGTAATCCCAGCTACTAGGGAGGCTGAGGCAGGAGAATTGCTTGAGCCTGGGAGGCAGAGTTTGTAGTGAGCTGAGATCGGGCCACTGCACTCCAGCCTGGGTGACAGAGTGAGACTCTGTCTCAAAAAACAAAACAAAACAAAAAAAGGAAATCTTGAGGTCCAGTTTCTTGAAAACATCTCAAAGGTACTAAACATAAGTGCTCAGTCACCCTGTTAGATGTGGGCTTATGGAGTGATTCATAAAAATGAAATATGGACTATGTTTTTGATATAGATACTGTAAAATGTAATTGGCTACATGAATCCATCAGGCTGGGTTCATCTGTAGTTTAGGTTTACTTTAAATTGCTTAATAATCTTTTTAAAAGTATTTATAAGCCAGAACTATGAGACTAGCACCTGCCAGCCCAAACAGTATTATCAGGGAATCCCAGTTTTTTTTTTTTTCCCCCTGAATCGTTTAACAGCCTAAGTAGTAGAGTGTCTCTTGAAACGTAGCAGTCTGCTATACTTCAGGTGGGGACTTCCACACAATTTAGCAAAGAAAATAATTTTTAAAAATGTTCCTATTGCATACTACTCTGTGGCATAAATTATTTAAATGCAGTGCTTAGCCAAACTAATGTTACAGATTAGATGATGAACTGATAACGTCATATACAGTAAGTTAAAGACATGCAATGAAGTCGTTATTTACTTATGGACAACTACCCTTGCAAAACAAAGTCAGGAAAAGTGGGTGATGTTCAAATGAGGCCATTTGAACTGTAGCTTCAAAATAATCCCCTTTAATTTCATTCTCTGCATCTCTAAATTCTGGAGAAAGAAGGAATGTCTTCATCATCAGAAGGACCAGTCTCCTGTTTATAAAATGATAAAGAAAGTTGGGCAGCTCCTCCATCATAAGCTTGCTCTTCTGGTTTTTTTTTTTTTCCTTTAAATAATTGAACTGTTACAGGAAACATTGTTAAAATCTTAAGGTTAGGGCATGCTTTCATTTTTTTTTGTCTAAAGATTACTCTGCACCCTAGACAAAGGAAATATTTAAACTGTTAAATTTGAACAAAGATACAGTCTGCATATGACTTCTCTGAAGCCCTATAAAAATTCTTTAAAATTGCCTATTCACTCAAATTTACTGAGTGTAGCAAAAATGTCAAAGGCATAAAGTCAGAGAAGATTGAATAAAATAATGCAGAAAGACAGATTAGTCATGCACAGACCCACACAGCCTTTCAGAGCACACAATACCGCTCTTTATTACCGTTCTATCTTTACAAAGACTACGTTCAATACATAGAAGATGATACATGGCCAGCCATGTCATCTGCCTGTGATTCCAGAACTCATCTATCTGGGCCCTTTTCACAATGACATTGATGAGAGATCGCAGTGTTTTCAGAGCATTGTTTTATTTATCATATATAATGGCTGGTGAAAGAAATAGGAATTATGTCACCGATAGCACATAAAAGAGTTGCATAGAAGATTCTGTGACAAAGTTTGGTAAAACCCAGAACAAGGAAGCTCATGGAAATGTTCTTTTCTCTGTCTTCCCCCACTGCTGTGTCTTCTCCCCCTCCGTTCAAGTCCTCCAAAGATTTGCACGCTGATAACTGTTGAAAAATATCAAGAAAATGTTTCATCAAGCCAAACGTCGGGGACCCTGATCCTTTGTTAAAAAAAAAAAACTCTTTGGCGATTACATTTTTGTTTAAATGTGGAGCACATTTCAATGACGGTAGAGTTGCCGGCCGTTATTTACGCATCTGCTAAGGGAAAGGAGACTATTTGTCAGTCACAGTTTTGTATCTTGCAAATTTAATAAAGAGCCGCCCTTAAGATAGAATTTCTTAGGCTGCCACAATTGACAAAAGCCAGCTAATGTTGAAATGTCAACAGCAAACCTCATCAGCAGGCCTCACTGCCGTGCAATCAAGACAGCGCCATAGCTCCATATAAACAAATGTATATAATGTGCCTGTGTTGGGGGTGGGGGTAGGGAAACTGGGGATTTCAGTGCTGTGGGGACACACAGCACAGGCTTAAAACAGTCCCTTCGACAGCCTTTAAATGTTAAGGAATCAGTGCTGTGTATATTACCCAGAGAGTCTCAGGGAGCGTGGACTCAAATGTGACTGGCAGCTGCCTTACAAAAGGTTATCTTGCCTGTGCTCCTTGGGAGGACTGTCAATCCCATGCCCATGGGGGAATTTCTCTTCCTTCCTTCCTTCCTTTCTTTTCTTTCCTCCTTTCTTTTTCCTTCCTTCCTCCCTCCTTTCCTTCCTTCTTTCCTTCTTTCTTCCCTTCCTTCCCTTCCTTCCTTCCTTCCTCCTTTCTTCTTTCCTTCCCTTCCTCCCTCCCTCCTTCCCTCCCTCGATCCCTCCCTCCCTTTCTTTCTTTTTTGGAGACAGAGTCTCCTTATGTTGTTCAGGCTGGAGCACAGTGGCACGATCACGGCTTACTGCAGCCTCAAACTCCTGGGCTCAGGTGATCCTCTGGCCTCAGACTCCTGAGTAGCTGGGACCACAGGTGCACGCCACCACATCAGGCTAACTTTTTTTTTTTAATCTTTTGGTAGAAATGGGATCACACTGTGTTGCTGGCCTCAGACTCCTGGGCTTAACCAATTCTCCTGCCTCAGCCTCCCAAAGTGCTGGGATCATGGGGGAAATTTCTTTAACTTCCTGTGCTTTTGGTGGTGTCCAAGAGAAAGCTAAAGAACAATTTTGGGGAGTTTCATGTTTTGGAGCCATGAACCAGCCATTGCACTGAACTTGAAAGTTTTTCCTCAGAACCCTGATCTGGGTGTTCATCCACAGCCATCTCCTGCTTTGCTGAGCTGTTTCCTTGTTTGCAGAAATCAGCACAGAACCACGCAGAAGGCAGTGTGGCTGCGGTGCAATGCTGCATTTGGAAGTGAGTAAATGGAAGATGAGACGTGCCTGCCTTCACTGTGGGGGGAGGATGAGTTTCCCTTGTCCCTGAGGAAGATTGGCTTTGGTCCTGTGTTCTCCATGGAGAGATCTTGCCTTTTCCTATCCCATCACTATTTCCTTTATAGATGGTGGGCTGAAGACCCAGAAGACCTGCAAGTGAATGGAGGCTCGGATCCAAAAGCTACCCCGAGACCCCAGGGTCTTCACTCCTTTATGGCAGTGTGAGTGGGGCAGACAGGGAAGCTAAGGACTCCCTGCTTAGGTGGATGGATTCGAGGGATGGAGAGGCTCAGAACTGAGGCCCCTGTGTTTGTGCTGGCCACAGCTCTCCTTTCCTCCCAGCTCATTGCAACCTCAGAAGGCCTGTCGAGTGCCTGTCAGCCTCCTCCTCCTCCTTTCCTTCCCCCTCCTCCTTTTCTGTTTCCTCTTCCTCCTCTTTTTCTACTTCTCCTCTTTCTTCTTCTCCTGCTTCTTTTTCATTGTCTTCTTTCAGCTGCTGCTTGACCACCCAAGTCAACTAGGGCAGGACAGCCTCCGCCCAAGCTCCCAGGGACTCCAAAGCTGGCTGGTGCAACTCTCCCACCCTCCCTGTCCTGCATGGTGAGGAAGGCCCAGCACACTCGCTGTGCACAGCTCATTGGGTCCTGGAAGACAGAGGCAAGGGGGCAGACCCAGGGGAAACAAGGCGTTTTTGGAGAGAGCTGTGTGCCATTTATCGTCTGCAGCCAGGACACACGTTTTGCCTTGGCCATCTTTGAGTCGCTAGGCAGTGCTCAGATGCCCCTAGATGGTCTTCCCTGCCTCAGAGAAGGCTCCTGCAGGCAGATGTCCAAATGTTTAGCAGAGAGGTGGGGTTGGTGAGAGGCAGCATCCTCATTTGTGGCTTTCCTGCCCCAAGAGGAACCACTGCTTCTTCAGCCTTGGATTCCTAACAATTCATTTAAGGGAGGAACACTTATTTATTCTAAAGGTTTACTGAGCCCCGATTATGCAGTAGACGCTGGGGACAGAATAATAAACAAGACAGGTTTGGTCACTATCTGCATGGAACCTAAGAGTCTACTGAGAAAAATAGCATAATGCAAAATGGGCCCAGAGGGTAATGGGGTGCGGCGGGGGAGTTGGGAAGTCCTCTGGAGGAGGCAACAGTTACCCTGACCTGAAGGAGGATAGGAGCAAGCTGTGAGGGGGAGACAGCGGGGACCAAGGCTCAAGGCAGGAACCCCTGGGGAGTGCTTGGTGAGGCTAGGGTTTAGAGCACAAGGCAGAGAGATAGCGAGACCATGGGAGAACCTCTGGGGCCTTGCTGGCCAAGGGTGGGATTTATTCTCATGCAGTGGGAAGCCCATGGCGGGTCCTGGGCAGGAAGAACTGGCTCGCATTAAAAGAAAATCACTAGGTCTGCCTTCTTCAGAATTGATTGCAGGAGGCCTGGCATAGAAGCAGGGAGACCAGTTATTACAATCACTCGGTGAGAGGATGGTGGGGACAGTGGAGACAGAGGGAAAGCACACATGTCAAATACCATACGGATTCAGGACTGATGGGCACGGGGGAGCAGGGCGGGCGAGGACCATTGCTAAGCCCTGAGATGGAGGATCCTGTGGAGAGGCTGCAGGGACTCGGTGACACCTGGATACTCAGAAAAGAAAGGGCCCCACGAGACATTCCGCAGCCTCATCCCAACCTGAGGAGAGATCCACAGGGGACTCACACTCCTGTTTCTACCTCACAACTCACACCCAGGCCTGGCACGGTGGCATGCACCTGTCATCCCAGCGCTTCGGGAGGCTGAGGTGGGAGGGTCGCTTGAGCCCAGGAGTTTGAGACCAGCCTGGACAACACAGCAATATCCCATTTCTACAAAAAATTTAAAAATTTATATCTATGAGTGTGTGTGTGAGTGTGTGTGTAAAACAAAAGATCCAAGCTCAACCCTGTTTTGTTACTTTTAAATTTTTTTTTTTTTTTTTGAGATGGAGTCTCACTCTTTCGCCCAAGCTGGAGTGCAATGGTATGATATCGACTCACTGCAACCTCTGCCTCCTGGGTTCAAGTGATTCTCTTGCCTCAGCCTCCCGAGTAGCTGGGATTACAGGGGCCAGCCACGACGCCCAGCTAACTTTTGTATTATTAGTAGAGACAGGGTTTCACCATGTTGGCCAGGCTGGTCCTGAACTCCTGTCCTCAGATGATCCACCTGCCTTGGCCTCCCAAAGTGCTGGGATTACAGGCGTGAACCACCGTGCTTGGCCTACTTTTTAAAAATTTTACAGCCCTGTTTTTGGCCCTGCCCCTTCGGAGCTCCCTGGCCTGCTTGGATCTGCTTCCTGGATGAAGTGGAGCCCAAGTGAGACGTTTCAGCCCGTGGAGTGGGTGTGCTGCGTGGTGATACTCAACACATAGAGGACATTGATGAAACACGGCACCGTGGCCCCTCTACTGTGTTTGGGAGGCGGTGTGTGTCCGCAGAGTAGGTGGTCACTGGAGTCATGGAGGCCAGGGGTGGGCAGAGGATGGGGAGAGGGAAGCAGGTCCCTTTGGACTGAAGTGGTCAAAGGACTTCGCTGAGAGGGAGGAGGTGGTGGGCAGGCTGCGGAGGGCAGAGTGGCGGGCTACGAAGCGCGCAGCAGGGTCACACGAGTGACGCCCGGGGACAGGTGCAGAGGGGCCGGGCTGGCTGCTTCCGAGGAACAGGGAATGCAGTGGCAGGAAACGCTCGTGGAAGTCACATAGGTCAGCCCACTGAGGCCACGGGAGGCGAAGCCCCACAGACGGCAGACAGCCCTACTCTAGAATCCAGGCTTCTGATCACTATATTTTTCAAAAATAAGTTGTATCAGAGATGGAGAGATGATGTTCCCGGTCTGTTAGTTGCGATGTGACTTACAACAGTGAAAAATTAGGGACAATCCAAGTGTCTGACAGTAAGGAACTCGTTAAGAATAAATGATTATAAAAATATGTGACCATTAAGGTTTTTTAAGGACTTTAAAAATAACACTGGCTACTGCTCATGATTTATTTAATATTTTGTGAAAACAGGATATGACTACCCTATTTTGTGAAAAAGACCCAAATGCAAAAATATGTAACTGTACCAGTATGTTTTAGAGTGGATCCTCCAGAGAAGCTGAACCAATAGGATGGAGATCTCTTTCTCTATTTATCTATCTAATTAAGTATGTATGTATTATGTATGTATGTATCTATCTATCAAATCTACTATCTATGTAATCTCTATCTATCATCTATCTAATCTACTATCTATGTTTATCTATCTATCTATCTATCTATCTATCTATCTATCTATCTAATCTATTCATCCATCTCGAGGTTGATTTTAAAGAATTAGCTCATGCAATTGGAACAGCTGGCAAGTTGAAATTTACAGGGCAAGCCGGCAGCCTGGAGACTCAGGGAGGAGTTGATGTTGCATTTCCAGTCCAAAGGTTGGCTGGAGGTGGAATTCCCTCTTCCTTAATTCTGTTAAGATCTCCAACAACTGGATGAGGCCCATCATATTATGGAGAGCAATCTGCTTTATTCAAAGTCTAGTGACTTCAGTGTTTATCACTTCTAACAAATACCTTCAAGACAACATGTAGACTGATGTTTGACCAATAACTGCTACCATGGCCTACCCTAGTTGACACATGCGATTATCCATTACTGATCAACCCCAGCTTCTACTTTTGCTTTTACTTTGGAGGAGAGGACTAGAAAGAAGACTGTCAGAATTCATTGGTGGGATTCTCAGGTCACTTATTTACATTTCTGTCTACCTTCCCAACTATCTGATAAACATACTTTAAATAATTTTAGTATATAAAATATAAAACATTACAATAATAAAAGTGTTCTCCTTGCCCATCTGAGGAAACTGTCCTTTCAATATCTGCAAAAGGGCCATCCTTGTTTGTATCAATTGCTCCTCTCCATACCCTAGCCATGGTATCGTTTCTTTTATTATCTCTCAAATTTACCTTTTAAAATTACAGAATCATATCATATGACAGGAAAGATGAAAAAAGCAAAAATCACCTGCACTCCCACCAAATGATCGGCATTGTAGTTTTATTGCCATTTCGTTTTAGATTCTTTTTCACAGTGTGTATATGTACAAAACACCATCCTACTTTTGGAAACTTTTTAAATATTCCATCGCATGACGGTACCATATGTTTACTCAGCCAATCTCCTATTGTTGGACACTAATGTTCTTTCCAGTTTTCTGTTATTAGAAACAATTTGGTCCTAAACAGCTTTGTATACAGCTCTTTGCACACATCTCTGGTTATTTTCCTCAGGATTCATTCCTAGAAGAATAATTGCTGGGCCAATTGTACTTTTGAAAAATTGGACCTGAGTACATAGAATGGCTTTATCACAATACTTGGTTCACATACAGTCTTCCTTGCTCTATGCATGGCCCATACACAGTATAATTATTTAAATGATACTTTCTTTTTGTTTTTGAGACAGAGTCTTGTTCTGTCCCCCAAGCTGGAGTGCATTGGCACAATCATGTCTCACTGCAGCCTCGAACCCCTGGGTTCAATCGATCTTCCCCCTTCAGCCTCGCAAGTAGCTGGGATTACAGGTGTGTGCCACTACACCTGGCTAATTTTTGTTTTTTGGGATTTTTTGTTTTTGTTTTTTGTTTTGGTAGAAATGGTCTCAAACTCCTGTACTCTATCAGTCTGCCTGCTTCAGCCTCTCAAAGTGCTGGGATTACAGCCACCATGCCCGGCCTAAATGATACTTTTTTTTTTTTTTTTGAGAAAGAGTCTTGGTCTGTTGCCCAGGCTGGAGTGCAATGGCGTGATCTCGGCTCACTGCAGCCTCCACCTCCTGGATTCACCCGATTCTCTTGCCACAGCCTCCACACAGCACCACCACACCGTCTAATTTTTGTATTTTTAGTAGAGATGGGGTTCCACCATGTTGGCCAGGCTGATCTCAAACTCCTGACCTCAGGTGATCTGCCTGCCTCGGCCTCGCAACGTGCTGGGATTACAGGCATGAACTACCGTGCCTGGCCCTAAACAATACTTTTAATAACATAAGCCCATCACCCAAAACACAAACTAAGAACTTGACGATAATCTATGGCTCCCCCCTTCTCTATGTCCCCACCTCTCTTACCCAAGGTAACCATCTTCTCAATTCTCTGTTCATTCTTTTGCTTTTCTTTTTACATATTTCTCTTGTTTCTACATGGTATTTCCCAAAGCATGTGTTTTCATTTAGTTGTTTTTAACTTTAAAAGGTACCATCTTGTATATAAATTTTGTGACTTACTTTTGGAATTAATATGATAATGCTGAGACTCTTTCATATTGTTACATCTCAACATTGTTCACTCAATGTAGTGTTCCACTGGGCGAAAATACAAGCTAGCTATCTTGTATCTTGTAGCTCCTGTTCAAGGGTGTTTGAGTGTTTCTAGGATCTTGATATCATGAACGGTGCTGGCACAGCATTCCTGCATGTCTCTCCTTTTGCACATGTGCAAGATTTCATCTTGGGTATATACACATAGGAGTGGAGTTGCTGTGAATATTCAACTTTAGGAGATAATTTCAAGCTGTTTTTCTAATGTGGTGAGCCTCTCCAACAACGCATAAGAAATTCTGTGGATCCATATCCTCTCCAACACTTAGTGTTATTAGACTATTAGTATTTATTAATCAAATAGGTACAAAGTAGTCTCTCATTATGGTCTTGATTGTATTTCCTTGATCACCATTGATGTTACTCTTCTTTTAATATGGCCATATTTATTTACTCTTCTGTGAAATGCCTATTTATGTCCCTTGCCTATTTTTTCATTGTATTGCTTATGTTCTTATTGATATGCAGTCCAACTTTTTTTTAGTTGGAGTCTTGCTCTGTCACCCAGGCTGGTGTGCAATGGCACAATCTCGGCTCACGCAACCTCTGCCTCAAGCGATTCTCCTGCCTCGGCCTCCCAAGTAGCTGGGACTACAGGCGTGTGCCACCACACCTGGCTAATTTTTGTATTTTTTAGTAGAAACGGGGTTTAACCATGTTGGCCAGGCTGGTCTCGAACTTCTGACCTCAGGTGATCCACCTGCCTTGGCCTCCCAAAGTGCTGGGATTACAGACTGGGATTATAGGCATGAGCCACCACAGCCAGTCCCAGTGTATTTTTGATATTAATCCTTGTCAGTTGCATGTGTTGCAAATATCTTGTGACTTGTCTCTACTTTCTGAGTTGTCTTTTGATAAATATAAAGTTCTTAATTTTAATATAGTCAAATGTGTTAATCTTTTTCTTTATAGTCACTGATGTTTGTTTAAGGAAATCTATTCTTACCCCGAGGTCTAAATGATATTTAGCTATATTTTCTACTAAGAAGTTTAAAGTTGTGTTTTTAACATTTAAGTCTTTAATCCATCTGGACTAGATTTGTCAACATCGTGTGAAGAGAAGATACAATTTCTTCTTTTCCCAGATGGCTAATCATTTTTCAACTTCACTTCTTCAATAGTAAATTTTGTTTGTTTTTCCCCTACTGATCTGACATATAACTTTTGTCACATACCAAATGCCATAAACCTTAATGTGAGGTTCCCTTTCTAGACTATCTCTCTGATTGATTTCTTTTTCCCTGCACTAATATGACACTGTCTTAGTTACTATAGGTTCATGCTAAGTCCTAAACAAGGTGAGGAAAGGCTTTCCTCCCTCCTTTTCATCTTCAGAAGCATCCTGCTTATTCTTGCCTGCTTGCTCCATATCATTTAACAAGTTTCTTTAAAAATCTCTGTTGGGACTTTGAAATAATATTGAATCAATAGATCCGTCTGGGGAGAATTGATATCTATATAATGTTCAACTTTCCTATCCATGAATATGGTAAATTTTTCCATTTAGGATTTCTCCGAGAACTCTCAGATAAAATTATATAATTTTCTCTGTAGAGATTATGAACACAGTTTGTTAGATTCCTTTTTTTTTTTTTTTTTTTTTTTTTTTTTTTTTTTTTGAGACAGAGTCTTGCTCTGTTGCCCAGGCTGGAGTCATCTCGGCTCACTGCAAGCTCCACCTCCCAGGTTCAAGCGATTCTCCTGCATCAGCCTCCCAAGTAGCTGGGATTACAGGCACGCACCACCACACCTGGCTAATTTTTGTATTTTTACGGGGTTTCACCATATTGGCCAGGCTGGCCTCAAACTCCCGACCTCGTGATCTGCCCACCTCAGCCTCCCAAAGTGCTGGGATTACAGGCATGAGGTTTGTTAGATTCTTTTGTAAGTACTTGATATTATCTGTTGATGTGGATCTCATTGCCAGGTAGCTCTTCTAGCTGCTTCTGTTTATTCTCCTTTTCTCTTAGCAGAGTATTGGAATGAGGCTGTTGAGAGCTGGGCTGAAGGAATGTTTTGGGAATGGATGGTCTGGCCCATTTGCTGTTGCCTGAGCAAGCTGGTGAGGATCTCTGCTCTGGGCTCATTTGGGAGGAGAGCCTCTCCTTTTCTCTGGGGAAGTGTCGTGGGTGCCCTGGGTGAAGCAGGGAGGAACTGGTGAAGGGAGAAACACCCAGCTAGGAGACACTTTGTAGGGAGGAGGTAGGGGCTCCCAAGATTCATGCTTGAGTACTGGCCCTGCAGTCTACCAGCTGAAGACTTCAAAAAAAGACTTAACCTCTTTGTCCTCTATTAGCAAAGGCGCTCAAAGGTGAGGTTCACAGGAGGAGATTTCTGCACAGAGTTTAGAACAATATGAGGGATTTTCTTTTTATTTCCTTACCAGCTGAGATTGGTGAGCCATTCACATTGACAGAATGCTCATGACAAATGAACAACCACAGAGGCAAAGCCAGGCTAAAAATCGTCACAAAACAGAACAGATGTTCCCACCCTCTGAAGACAGAGTTGTAGTTTCATAGGCCTCAAGATGGAAAGATTCATCCGGGGAGCATAAACTAAGGGGACACTGAGCAGTGCCGCTTCTGGGGCTTTGAGAAACTGAGTACTACTTGTTCCCTTCTATGGCAGAATGCTAAGGAGAGGAGCCGTCATTGCAATGTGAATAGAGGCAACTGGGAATTGCATTAAAGGGACTTCAAGGATCTCCCAGCTTCATTCTGCGGACAGCCAATGTAGAACCCTGCCTCAGTCCCAATCTATGTAACATTCATCTCTAACCCTTTCTTGGCCTCGTGGTAGCTTTCCTCCAATACTCCAATTGGGGCCTTTGCCATGATGACATCAGGATATTTTTTAAGTTCCCCTTGGATTGCATCGAGGCTTCTCTATGTTGCTTGAGAGGGGCTGCCCATCTTGCAAACTTTAAAGCACAGTGAAAACAACCTTCCACAAGCTCCCGGAAACTCCCTGATGCCTTTCTCTGAGGTAAAGGTCTTTAGATGGTACCTAGTTTTGTGTTAGAAGCTTTCACACCAAGCAGCCAAAAAGGCTCCATCCTCACCTGATTTGTGGTCCCCAGAAAGGAGCCTGCATTAGGCCGATAAGTCATCATCCAGAGAGGTGATGACAGTCGTCTCCATGACCATTGATTAATGAAAACAGGGCTAGTTGGACCCAGAGTAGATGGTTATAAATGGTGCTGTCAGAGAAAAATAATTATTGTATTAATAAGGAAACAGTCCAAAACCAGGCTCTAAAAAAAGAGAACTGGCAACTTAGCATCTCCATGGATTTCTGAGGCAGACTTGACGGAATAGTGGGGAGGTTGGGGGAAGGTATTCTAGCTCCCCCACCACCCGCCTCTCCAGAAGGCAGCCCCTCCTTGCCTGTGCACGTGCCCACGTCCACGCGTGGATGCGCGGTGGGTGCGCTCGACCTGACCCAGCTCTCCCGGGATGCGGCAGATGAGCCGGGGTTGCGTGGAGGCTTTCGGTACCACTTCCAGCAGGAACGGAGAAAAACGAGCATATCTTATTGTACCTGAAACACTCTATGATATGTACTAAATATTATGACTACTCGGGGCCTTGCAATAATTGATTCACCCACACAGCCATTTAGTCTGCGAGCTGTTCGTTTTACAAATTCTACAATCTTTTAGAAATTCTTTCAGTGCGGAAGATTGCTGCCTGGCCTCAGATTCATTATGGTGATTGAATCCTCTTCAATAGAGAACGGTTTAAAGAGAGCACAGGCCCCGTGCGTCTCACTCAGAGTTAAGGCGCATAGGTTAAAAGCTTGTCTGGTGGCATAATTCACTGCCGCTATGCCAAACAATCACGTCTTATTGTGACCTTCATAAGATACAAAAAGGCAACAGGATAGAGCTTGGCTTTTTTTTAAACCCACTCACAGATTTAGCTTCCCAACATCTGAAGCTTGGAGAATTCCTAATTAAATAACCAATTAATAATGTAGAATAGAAAAAGCTATTTTTTTTCTGAAATGCAAAATCATAATTAATCAGAGTACAAAAAGCTGCCTGTCTTTATATCAGAAAAATATAGACTAGGTATTTAAATATTCCACCACACCTGAACCCTGGCCATCCGTCATTGCTATGACTTAAAACATCTCAGACTAAATTAGGTTTTGTTTGTATAGAGCAGTGAAAGTCAGATGGCTTGAATGACAAAATTAGAACATGCTCAAATCACTGAGACAAAACCGCATAAAGAGAAAGATGTGCAGGAAAAGGGCTGCCAGTATGAAGCAGAAATCTTCCACTGATTTTTTTTTTTGAAAAAAAAAAAAAAAAAGCGTTCTTTCCTATTTACCCAACCACTTGGTGTAAGTATAAATTTTTGACCCCCAGGCAGACATTCCAGGAAAAGAAAAATTATCCCCACCCCCTTGTCAATTGCCCAAAATAGCATGCACAGCTCTAAACAAGTACCCTCCCCATCACGTCCCCCACCCCAGTTTCTCCACCCCGGGTTGGCCCTGGCCCTGGTGTCTACACCCTCAGCAGACCCGCCCACCGCTCCAGCCCACGCCCAGCCCCCGCCCACTGATACTGTCAGTAACACCAGACACCAGCCGCTAAGGTTCTCCCCCCACCCACCCGGGCACTCCGCACCACCTCCAAGCGCATTTATAGTTGGAAAGAAAAGCTCATTTTTATAGGTGGTGCCACCTCCACAATTTATACTTTGCCCATGAAATACCAAAACCAGGGAGTCAATTTTCCAAGGAAGAAATTTTATAAAAACACTTTTATTGATGGAAGAGATCTGCAGAGACGGTCGCCATCTGCAAGGAAGCGAAGGCTCTTGCAGGTGCGGGTTGATCCAGGGCTGCCCAAGCGTCCCTCACTCAGGACCACGCGCCCAGGCACTAAGCATGTTATTTCTGTGTCTTCCGAACATGCTAAGCATTTCCTTACCCTCCGGCTTTTGCTCCTGCCGTTTCTTCCTCGTGGAAGTGAATATTTGAAACCTACCTGGTCTTCCCAAGGTGGCCCAGTTATTACTGTGTGACGACTTCTTCCTGGCTTCCCTGGTGAAAAGCTGTTCCGTCCTGCCTGCAGGTCCCTGTGTTACTTTGCTGATCACATTCTCCCTCGTGTCTGTGGGTGTGGACTCTACCCATGACTTCCCTGTCACCTGGGGGCCGGTGCCCTGAGCCCAAGCCAGCCCTGCATCGGGGCTGGGCACAGGGTGTACTCAGGCGATGGTGGGGCCACAGTGCAGGTTTAGAGGGGCCCTCTCTCCACCCACGATGCCACCAGCCTCTGTCCCACCCTACGCCACAAATCTCCTTCAATATATAATTTGCTGTTATCATAGCAATAAATAATTTTTGGTGACGTTTTTACTGTTGAGACTTTGTGCGGTGTTTTTTTATTGACAAAACCGCTATGAATCAACATGAACACAATAAAAACGTGAGAGCTATCTGCATTACGGCTGAGGTTTTGTCAATAGGGCAGTGCATTGATCTCCGTTCCTCTTTGGGGTTATTTGTGGAGCTTCAGCGGGTGGGTTTAGGAGCTACAGTGCTCAGGAGGTGCAGCCCCGGGCCTGGCGTTTCCTGCCACACTCCCCTGGGCACTGCCTCCCTGAAGATGGCACAGCCACAGAGAAATCTCAGCCTTGCGGGGCAAAGGGAAGAAGACAGGGAGCTGGGAGAGAGTGTGCTCACCTATCTTCCTTCCTTCCCTCCCTTCCTTCCTTCCTTCCCTCCCTCTTTCCTCACCTCTCCCTTCCTCCTCCTTTCCTTCCCTCCCTCATCAACCAAAGCAACCAGTCCATTGCCTGGCGCATCAGGAGCTGTGTCCTGGGGGCCTGGGGATCAGCCCTCGCCAGCTCTCAGGGTGCTCCCATCTGGAGGAGGCACAGACCTGCAGACAATGGGTCCTCCTGATGGGCACCGTGTCCCAGGGGGTATGGGGGTCAGCCCTGGCCAGCTCACAGGGTGCTCCCATCTGGAGGAGGCACAGACCTGCTGACAGTGGCCCCTTCTGATGGGTGCTGTGTCCTGGGGGAATGGGGATCAGCCCTGGCCAGCTTGCAGGGTGCTCCCATCTGGAGGAGGCACAGACCTGCGGACAGCGGCCCCTCCTGAAGGGGGGTGCTCAGGCACTCACCGCCACCATTGACCGAGTGCCTCCTGCACACCAGACTTGGGCTGGGGTCTGGCTGTGACTGCGGTCCCTGCTGTCAGAGCAGGGCATGGAGGGCAGGCGACGTTAAAAACATAATCACCCATAAAAGCCTGTTGCTCCCCAGAGTGGTGAGGTATCTAAGGGATGCCCCGGGGTGCTCTTAGTAGAAAGCGGGGGGTCTGCCCTGGTCGGGAGTGGGAAGGCTCCTAGATGTGGTGTCTGTACCAGGCTCACAGGAGCCTGGAGTGCTCCTGGCAGGCACAGCACCTGGAACAAGCCCAGTGCCTTCGGGGAGCTGCGAGGGGGGCCTCTGGCTGGAGCAGGTCAGGGCAGGCGAGGAACAGGGAGCCAATTGTGGTCAAGAGGGTGGGGGGTGAGGCTGGGACGGTTTCTAAAGGGGCTGGGGCCCTGAGTTTTTCCGGGCAGCAGGAGCCAATGTGACAGGGCTCCATCCCTCTGCTATCCCCACCTAGCCACCCCCTTGCTGCCACCATGGGCCTATCCTCTCCGGGATCCCTTCAGACCATCCCTGCCCAGACCCAGCCCTGGGTTACCCTCCCCGCCACCCTCCAGGTGGGAGACCAGGCCTGTACACCCTCCAGGGCACACGTCTGCTCCCCACTCTCCCCCCAGGGCCTCGCAGGGGAGCCTGCCCAGCCTCACCTGCCCACAGGCGGGAAGCACAGGGGACTGTCCCCCCATCACACCATCCCTGCACTGGGGTTGCCTCTTGCTTACAGCCCCCATCCAAATCCTACCCTCTATGGAGGCCCAACAGAACCACCCTCCTCCAGGCAGCCTTCCTGGATTGTGCTGCCTTCAGGGCAGGGCCAGGAAAGCCAAGACTCTAGGGAGGGAGAAGGGGCCTGTCGCCAGTGGTGTGGTCCCCAACCTGCCCAAGGCCATCAGATCCACCTCCCTCCCTCCCTCCCTCTCTGTCATTTTTAGGGACTGGGCTTGCCACACTAATGATGTCTGGGGGCTGCTGGTTCATGTCCCCAGTTTAGTGAGGAAAACAGACCCTGACCCAGGCCTGGGGGTCCAAGCGAGGGGCCAGCAAGGGCAGGGTAGAGCGTGGTGTCCCCACAGACCCGGGGTCCCTCCGGAGTTCAGCAGGCTGTGGAGTCGCTGGCCAGCCAGCCATGAATCCCTGCACAGTGCCTGTGCAAGTCACCCACTTGCCTGCCCTGTCACGATGCTCCATGAGGCCGGGTCCGCTTTTTCTGGGAGTTATCACTGTCCAGCTTGGTGGTTTACTCGTCCTAGGTCTGTCTCCTCCAACCAGACCTTAAGCTGCTGGGAGCAGCAGGAGCAGGGATGTCCTCCTGGAAGGACATGGGCACAACGGACAATCTCATCAGGAGAGAGGGGACTTGCAGTGGCACCTGCATGGAAATCAAAAGAGCACCAGCTGTGTGCTGCAGAGGAGGGGGTCCCTCCAACCTGCTCCACTTCCCACCCCCCATCCTGTCTGTCCAGCTTGGCACTGTCTTGCAGCACCTAGAGACGCACCGGCCCAGGATCAGCCACCAAGCACAGAGTAGCACTCACTGAAGATCCAGGCACTTTTTGGGGCACACATCAAGCCACCCCAGGTGGGGGTCTTCCTACTTCACCCGCAAGGGTAAGGCCTGCCCTGCTGAGGGTAGTCACCCTTCCCCAGTCCCCCGGGAGCTGGCTAGGAAAGCAGGGTTTCCCTTTAAGGGTGATGCCTGCAGCAGCCACTGTGGCCTGCCTGGCCCAGCCCCCACCCCGTGGCACCTGCCCACGCGGCACCTGCCCAGGGCGGCCCACTGTGCTCCCGGCAGCCCTCCTGACGTCAACGGCAGCCGCGGGGACGCTGCCTCCTCTGCCACACGTTGCTCACAAAGTGTAGGCAAAAGGCAGGCGTCCAATTGCTGCGGATGAGGAAGAGAAATAATTTCGTTTCTAAATCAGGACTCAGTACCGGTGGCCAGGCCCCGGAAGGGGCATCTGTCGGCTGCACGGCAGCCACTCCTGCAATGGAGGAGATGGTCCAGTTCTCCATGGGGACTTGGGGGGCTCCCCAGCTCTGGCCCTGGGTGCCGAAAGCCCTGAGAACAAGCCATCTGAAAATTAGGATTCTGCGTCGCCTGTCAATCCCCAGAAGCCCACAGCCTTTCATTAAGATCCGCCTGACATTTCTGTTATGCTCAGAAATCCCGAAGACATGCCAAGTGCCTGCTATTTGCCATCACATCCGCCTGGGAAGCCACGGGGCCGCCAAGCCCATTGTGCTGAAGTGCCCCCCAGGAGGGGGGATGGCAGGACACGCAGGCCCTGGCAGGGGCAGAGGGCGGCCTGCCCCAGGGGCAGCTGACAGAGAGCCCAACCTGGGGGGCCCTGGGCCTTGGGTTCATGCCCTCCAGGGGGCCGTGGGCAGCTTCTCCTCACTCACATTCCACGAGGGCGTCTGTGTCCACAGAAGCTCCTGCAAAACCAATCAGGAGCTGTGACATCCCTCAAGCTTGCATGGAACCCTTCTGTGTGCCAGTGCTGTGTGTGCCCCGGGGCACCAAGGCCTGGTTTTTGGACTCTGGGGCCTCACGTCTAGGAAGGGAGGTGGATGTGGAACAGGAAATGGGTGAGAGAAAAGTCCAGGTGTGGGGGGAGGAGGCAGGCAGGCTCTGTTGGATCAGGGGCTTTGTGGATATTGACCATTGACCCGGGCGTCTCAGAGGGAGGACCTGTCATTTGGCCAGCATGCCAGGAGTAAATGTGCCTGAAAGGTCACAGAGATCATAGAATGTGTGCTATGGAAATGCAGCCTCTCCAGGAAGGTTGGGGCAAGCCTCGGGAAGGGAGGGAAGGACCACATTGTAGAGTTAGGTGATGTGGTCACATCTTAGCTCTGCAACCAGGTACCACGGGGCAGTGTAGGACAAACCACGCCTCTGTAGCGAAGTGCATGGCCGTCCCCAGAAAAGCATGGGGTAGCAGGAGGTATGTGGAGGGAGGAGGGCCATGCAGAGGCTGAGGAGGCCAGTCCAGCATTGCTATGGGACTGGCTGTAACACTTTGGATTGAAAAAACCTGTGGTCATTCAGGAATGCCCATAGGACATGAGTGAGACTGGCCCTGAGGCCTGTATGGTTCCAGGAGTCTGACTGCAAGTGACATAAACCCAGGTTTCTGCCTCCACCAAAAAGCAGAATGTATTGGTTCATGTACCATGTTGCCTTCAGGCATGGCTGGATCCAGGCTCCTAAAGAGTGCAATTAAGGTTCTGCTTTTCTTGAACAGTCTTAGCTCTGCCTTCCTCTGTGTTGGCTTTATTCTCACCAGCAACTACCAGCAGCAGCTCCTATCATCTTAGCAACCCAAGGACAATTGCTCCTATAAAAGTCACAGGTAAGGCTTTGTTGGCTGGGCTCCGGGCATGTGCCTTTCTCTGAGCCAATCACTGGCCAGGGCGATGTGGTGCTCTGATTGGTTAATCCTGGGTCATGTAACCATCCCACAGAGAGTGAGCTGTTGCCTGAAGAAGAGGCATGATGTGGGACTGGGGGATGGGGAGGGAGGCAGAGACAATAGAAGTCACTGTGGCTTCCCCAAAGCAGGTCACACATTCATCGTGCCCTTGAGCTTCCACACTTGTCCTAGAAACCTTGCTCCTTCTAGGGTCTTCTAGCCTCATGCAGCCAATCCCAGTGAAGCCATAAGCATCACATACCCTGTCCCCAAGCCAGGCTGAGCCTGGGGAATCTGGATGAAAGGGCAGGTGGAGCCCGAGCATCAGCTCCTCACCCCGGTGCAGGAGCTGGTGAGCCCAGGACAAGGAAGAAACTGAGGTGAGGCTATGCAGCCATGCTGGCTAATGCCTGCAGTGATCAGGATAGGCTTCCTGGTGGAGGTGGAAGCTGGAGACAGAACATGAGAGGTGGACAGAATATGGCAGACAGTCCCATTTTCAACCTTCCCCAGGAGAGTCTCTTGCACAACCTGGAAAGTGATTGGGCTCAGACCTTCACCTGGAACCCAGGTGCAGCCATGGGGCTGAGGTGAGACAGTGAGAAGCAAGTGCAGAGGCCCTGGAGCTTGGAGTGGGGTCCCGGCCAGCTGTCCCTCCAAGGGCGATTGTGGGTGCTGCTCACAGGGCTCTGTGTACCCATGGGGTGGTGGGCCCTGCATGGCGCCCTCAGAGCTCACTCCACAGGACCAGCCATGAGGCCATACTTTGCCTTGCCCACCTGCTGTTTGGAGAAGCTCGTGGTACTGCCTTGGGGCGACCAAACCCCCACTTCCTGTGACACAGCAGCTGAGGGACCTCAGGTGGCTTAAACAGTCAGGCTTGATGAGACTGAGTAACTACCTCCTGCCAGGCCCTGGGAGAAGAGAGACCTTCTAGGAAACCTCCCCCAACCCTGGCCACCTTCCATCTCCCTTACCACCCCGGCCACCTGGGAGCTTCCAGTCATGTGCATGAGATCAGGAGCTGTGTGAAGCAAAGGGGGATGGGAATCACACCTGGTCTAGCCTTGCAGGGTGTGGGGCCTGGAGCTGGGGAAGGGAGAAAGGTCTCTGGAGACTATGCCTTGTCACCACAACCCCTGCACTCTGCCAGAGAGTCTATTCCTGGAAATGAAATTTCAAATCTGCACTCTTAGGCTTCCCATTTCTCGAGCACCCCTGGCTCAAGGCACAGGGATCCCATGGAGCAGTGGTTCCTGCCCCTGGCCTCACCTTTGGCAAGGAGAGAAGATGGCAACAAGCCCACCACCATCTGAGAGCATGCAGAGCTCCGGGTAGGGAGAGGCCCAGGAAGCTTTCTGAGAAGGGACACACATACAGTATTAGTGATCCCAGTGTGTGGGAGGGTGGGGAACAGGTTACGAAAGTGTGTTGTGGGCAGTGGCAACAGACTCAGTCAGGCTGGGCAGAGGGATCCTGGAGGGCAGTCAGGGGAAGGCAAGACACAGAGGCAGGGCTTGACTGGGAAGGCCTGGCATGCCAGACGAAGCTACCAACTTCATTCCGTAGCTCGCACAGCAGGAGAATGAAAAGATAAAGCAAGTCTCCAGAAAAGGAATCTGGCCAAGCTCACTGACCCCTGCCATCCATTCACTTATCTATCTCTCCATTAACCCATTGATCTACGTATCTATCCATCCATCCATCCATCCATCCATCCATCCATCCATCCATCTATCCATCCATCCCTCCATTCACCCATCCACTTACCTGTCCATCCTTCCACCCATCTATGCACCCACCCTATGCATCCATGCACCCATCTATCTATCCATTCATCCATCCATCCCTCCATCCATCCCTCCATTCACCCACCCATCTACCTATTCATCCATCCACCCACCCATCCATCTACCTATCCATCCATCCATCCACCCATCTATCCCTCCATTCACCCATCCATCTACCCATCCATCCATCCATCCATCCATCCATCTATCCATCCCTCCATTCACCCATCCATCTACGTATCCGTCTATCCACCCACCCATCCATCTACCTGTCCATCCTTCCACCCACTCATCTATCCCTCCATTCACCTATCCATCTACCTATTCATCCATCCATCCACCCATCTATATATCCATTCATCTATCCATCCACCCATCTATCCATCCATTCATCCATCTATCCACCCATCTGTCCATCCATCCATCCATCCATCCCTCCATTCACCCACCCATCTACCTATTCATCCATCCACCCACCCATCCATCTACCTATCCATCCATCCATCCATCCATCCACCCATCTATCCCTCCATTCACCCATCCATCTACCTATCCATCTATTCACCCATTTAACTATTTATTCATTCACCCATCTATCCACCCATCCTTTCATCTCTGCATCTCTTCCTCCATCCATCATCCATCTATCCATCTCATCCTTTCTCTATTCTCTCCCTCACCTCTCTCCCTTTATTCACCTATCTATTAATCCATCTACCCATCCCTCCCTCTCTCCATCCATCCATCCACTCATCTATTACTCCATCCATTTATCTATCCACCCATTTTTCCATCTATCCATTCATCCATCTACCCATCTATCTATCCATTAATCCCCCATCCATTTATCACCCATCCACACATTCATCCATCCACTCACACACCCATTCATCCATCTACCTACCCATCTATCCTTTCATCTCTGCTTCCATCTGTCCATCCATCCATCCATCCATCCATCCATCCATCCATCCATCCATTTGTCCATTCATCCATCCACCCATCCATTAATCTATTTATCCATCCCTTCATTCCTGCTTCCCTTCCTCCATTTATCCATCCACCCTTCCACCACTGATCTACCCATTCATTCCTCAATCCATCCACCCATCCCAAGAGTTCACTCACTGGCATGTGACCTTTTGAAGGTCTTAGTCAATGGGGTCTGGGGCCTGAGGACAGCAGACTTTGGCCTCTGAGCATGGTTTTCACTTTTGTTACCACCCTCCAGCCAGGAGACTGGGCACGTGGAAAGCCAAGGACTGTGCTGTGTGGCAGACAAACCTCTCCCCTCACCAGCTGCCAGGCAAGGGTGGCACTCATACCTCAGCTGGATGATGCAAGAGGAAAAGCTGGAAACAGGACCCTAATCCTGACCAGGCTGGGTGGGCAGGGTAGGGGGCCTGTGTTCCCTGTCAGTTCACCCTGACCACAGAAGACGACATATTCTCATGGCTGTGCCCAAATGGAGTGAGTGTCCTGAGACAGGACAGTTGGAGGACAGAGGATCACTTCTCCCCTCCCTCCCTTTGAGAGTTATTAGACAACTCCCCTGTGCCAGACCCTGGTAATACAGTGGTAGGCAAATAAGACTGGCCCTGTCCCTGGGAGCTTGTAGCTCAGAGAGGGAGATAAACAGCAGTCAATAATCACCCACCTTTAGTTCTGCCCTGCACCAGGCCTGCTCATGGGCAGACACTCAGGGAAGGAATGAAGGAAGGAATGATGCCTGCCCAGCAGGATCAGTGGCATGTGGCAGCCTCTCCATGTGTTATCCACTCTGTGTATTATGGGTTGAATTACGTCCTCTTCAAACTCATAAGCTGAAGTCCCAAAGCCCGGTACCTCAGATGTGACCTCACTTGGAAATAGGATCATGCAGATGTAATTAGTTAAGGTGAAGTCATTCTAGCGACAGGTGGCATCCGAGACACATGCACTTCATCTTTGAGGGCAGGGGCAGGCCTAGCACCCCACCTTTAAGGACAGGGAACAGGCTCAGCACCCCACCTTTGAGGACAGGGAATGGACCCAGCATCCCAACTTTGAGGGCAGGGATGGGCCCAGCACCCCAACTTTCAGGGTAGGAGGTGGACCACCTTATCTTTGAGGGCAGGGGATGTGCCCCACCTTTGAGGGCAGGGATGGGCCCAGCACCCTATCTTTGAGGGCAGGGCTAGGCCCAGCACCCCAATTTTGAGGCCAGCACAGGGCGCCTCCTCAGCTAAGGGGCCCTCGCCGGCCCCCTCCTCCCAGCTTGGCCTCAGAGCTGCAGGAAAAGCCTGCCCGGGCCTTGTTTATTTTTGGAGAGTTTTAACTGGTTGGGCGAGGAAGTGAGCCTTGTTAAAAGGGATTTAACTGTGGGTCACCGCGAGTTTGAGGGGCTTAGGAGGAAAGAAAGAAAGGGCTTTTCCCTTCATCTTCTCCGGAGCAGGGGCCCCTTCCTCACAAAGGCCCGGCCGGAGCGGGGACCTCAGTGCCAGCCCAGCTGGAGGGAGCGTTAATGGGGAGAGCTTAAGTCACTTTGGGAACAGGAAAGGTTTCTCAGCGGCAGGAAAGAAAGGCCTCCCAGAGCCAGAGGACCGAGGGGCTGGACGGGAGGATCTCCTGGGGGCTTCTTTCACTGGCCCCTCGAGGGAGGGCTTGCCCTCTGCTCTCTGAAACCTGGAGACAGCTCGGGGCTCTACAGCACACTCAAGATCCACCCACCACCCCAAATGAACCCCAGGAACGCGGCCTCAAGGCCCAGGGGGCTGCAGACACACCACTGGGTCTTTGCTCCCAGGGAGCCCTGTCCAGGGGACGGGAAAATGACCCACAGCCCGGCCTGGGACCTGCTGTTCAGGGTCCTGGAGATGCCGCACCACACCCCTGCCCCTGCCACTCCCTCTGTGACTGAGGATGGGTCCGTTTCTCTGGCTGAACCTCCTCTGTGTGGGGTCCTGGGGTGCTGCCACTCCTCACCGAGGGAGGAGAGGCGTCTTCCGCGTGCCCCGAGGTCCACCTTCTTGGTCATTGTCGGCGGCCCTGTTGGTAGCTTCTCCATCACGCCGCACAAGCGGCTGAGTCCCAAGATGACCTTTTACCAGAGCGGGTAGAGTTCACAGAATCGGATCCCATCCTGGCCTAGCAGAGCGTTTTATTATTATGGGAAACAGCAGAAGTGGGTTGGAGGGGGGTCCATCATCTCCTGCAACCAGATAAAATAGAAACAACTAAATAAAGCACCCTTGCCGCTCAAGGGAAAAATTATGCTTGTCAATTATGATTTATGAGCGATTGCCAAGCGGGGAATGGGGCCTGCCCGCCTTGGAGGCCACTCTCTGCCTCCCCCCAGCTTGGTGGGTGAGGCTGGGGGTGGCGAGGCTGTGCTGGGAGAAGGTGGGTCCTCCTGCAGCTCTGACTGTTAACCCCTTGTTGCCTGCAAGGTCAGTGCCCGGCTGCTAGAGGGGAGGGAGGGGATCTCGTGCCCCCGATCTGGCACCGGGGTGGGCAGGGCATATGGACGGCAGCCATTGGCGAGGTGCCCACACCAGGCCCTGGCTTCGGGCCCAGCATGAGCCTGGGCCGGCGGTGGGTAAGCTCTCTATCCCTCTCTGCCCTATAAAAATCCCTGGCAGAGCCTCCAGTCCATGCCCGCACCGCCTCCGCGTCCTCCCGGGCTCCCCGTGGAGGGGCACCAATTTGTCCTCGCCTGCGCCTGCTCGGGCCAGATGGTGGGTATTTCCAGGCCACAAAGTCCTCTGACCTTTGAACAGTTGCCGCCGAATTTCAATAATGAAAGGGCCTTTTTTGAATATGTACAAATGAGACGTTATATTTCCATACATTTTATTTCCAGCCTCATCTGCGAATCTAATATTGACCCGGAGTTATCTGTGATGGGGAAGTTATTAATTCTGACAGATATAAGGGAGAAGCTAATATTCGCCTTTTACAAACACCTAATATTAATCTCAGGCGCTGTAAACGAGTCCCGCACGCCGGCATGGGGGAGATGACACCAGCTCGGAATTTGATAATGAAAAACGGGGAAGTTTAATTTCAGGGAATGGATAAAAATGTTTGCCCGCTGAGAGGTGAGCAGCGCCAAAAGCTCTGGGAGGGCGGGATTCCCGGAGGACAGGGTGGAGGTCTGGGAGGTGACCTCCATCCGAAGGTCTGCGATTTGGGGCATGGGCCCAGGTGCCGGAGAGGGAACTGAGGTTGGAGCCCTCCATCCCTGCGGCCCTCACTGTTCGCACCTTTAGGAGCTGCCTCTGGACAGGTCTCTGCCCATTGTTTTGTTCAGAGCTCAGCCAAGGACTTCTTACACTTTTTGTTTGTTTGTTTGTTTAACATTCCATGGTCCTGTCTGCTCTTTTTTGCCTCCTCCGCCTCATTCGGCTTCTGGGTCAGGCATCTGTTGTAGGCTGCCGTACTGCCACAGGTTGAATCATGTCCCCCAAGCTTAGATATTGAAATCTTAATGCCCAGTGCCTCCGGTCGTGACCTCATTTGGAAATAGGATCATTGCAGAGGGAATTTGTTAAGATGAGGTCACCCTGGAGTAGGGTGGGCTCCTAACCGGGTAAGATGGTGTTCTTATAGAAAGGGGAAAGTTGAGGCCGGGCGTGGTGGCTCACGCCTGTAATCCCAGCACTTTGGGAGGCCGAGGCGGGCGGATCACGAGGTCAGGAGATCGAGACCATCCCGGCTAAAACGGTGAAACCCCGTCTCTACTAAAAATACAAAAAATTAGCCGGGCGTAGTGGCGGGCGCCTGTAGTCCCAGCTACTTGGGAGGCTGAGGCAGGAGAATGGCGTGAACCCGGGAGGCGGAGCTTGCAGTGAGCCGAGATCCCGCCACTGCACTGCAGCCTGGGCGACAGAGCGAGACTCCGTCTCAAAAAAAAAAAAAAAAAAGAAAGGGGAAAGTTGAGCTGAGCATGGTGACTCACACCTGTAATCCCAGCATTTTGGAGGCTGAGGCAGGAAGATCACTTAAGCCCAGGTGTTTAAGACCAGCCTGGGCAACACAGGGAGACCCCATCTCTACAAAAAATAAAAAAAATTAACTGGGCATGGTGGCACAAACCTGCAGTCCCAGCTATTCGGGAGGCTGAGATGGGAGGATTGCTTGAGCCCAGGAGTTGGAGGCTTGAAGTGAGCTATGAATATGCCCCTGCATTCCAGGACTGGAGACAGCACAGTTTTGTTGTTTAAACCTCCCAGTCTGTGGTACTTTGGTACACAAGCACCCAAGCAGGCCGATACACCCACGTCTCCTTCATAGCGCTTGACACCACAGCAATTATGCACTGAGCTGAATGAGTTTTGTAAACTCCACGAGGGAAGGGACAATGTCTGCAGTTGCCTGTGCACTCTGCCATATCCCAGCACCAGGCACGGTGCCTGGTGTATCCTAGATGCCCAAAGAGTGGCTGCTGGATCCATGGCTGAGTACCTTGCTATCTCCAGCCAGAAATACATCCGTAAGCACTCACTGGTGGATCCCTCTTGTATGCCCAGGACTGTGCCAAGGGCTGGCTGTGTATGTGGGGCACACCCAAACAACCTGCCTCAGCACGTCTTGATGGAATATTATTTTTATTTCCTGCAGACCGTGGGTGCTAGGAGTTGGGTGAGATGGGGGCTTTGCCAGGGGTTGGGAAATTCAGAATGGAACCCTGAAGGTAGCCCTCACCTTGGCAAGAGGGGTGGTCGTGGAAGACCTGGGACAATGGAAAGCTGGGGTTGCTGCTGGGGGCAGGCAGGGCCTTGTGGCCCCTAGCAGCACTGACTGGCTGTCATCATCACAAAGGATCCTTACACTGTCTGGCTGAGCAGGGCATGGAGCCGCAGCTCCGGGGACACCGCAGGGTATCACAAAGGATGGTTCCTGTCTCTCCCGAAACACAGGTGCACTTGGCGCTCCCTGCTGGAGGGGGCTTCATGGTGGAATAGACTTGGTGCCCTTAGATCACCAGCTGCCAGAACTGGGGAGGACTTCAGTGATCATGGAGTTCATCCCGCGGCCAAGTTGTCAAGTGAGGAAACAGAGGCCCAGAGAGGGGTAGCAACTTTTCCAAGGCCACACTGCAGCTCAGGTTCAGAGCATGGGGAGGACCCTGCCCCGGCCCTGGACTTAGGGGTCAGATGCTTTTCCAGGAAGCAGGGATTGAGGAAGCACTGGCATTGATAGGCAACTCAA
This sequence comes from Homo sapiens, assembly GCF_000001405.40. Classification (NCBI taxonomy): domain Eukaryota; kingdom Metazoa; phylum Chordata; class Mammalia; order Primates; family Hominidae; genus Homo; species Homo sapiens. The sequence continues at coordinate 30,074,099 of NC_000019.10, forward strand.
GATTTTTCCTTTCTTTTCCCCTCATTTCCCCTCCATGAAAACCTGAGTCTTCAGCATTTGATGGGACCCCAGGAGCTGGTGGCTCTTCTGCTTCCCCACGCTGCTCCTTCTCGCTTGCTCCTCTGTCTGGCCACCCTGGTCCTCACACTAACCCATATTCAAGCCCTCGCAGCCACACGCAGTGATCCTTGGGGTGCCCACACTCAACCAGGCCATATACAAAGTGCATCTTTGTGCTATGCTTGTGTGTCCACAGGGCCACACACAGGACACACCCCACACACAGGCACCTCAGGCATAGCGTGAACACGCACAACCCCGCACACACACACACACACACACAGCCCCCCCCCTTCACCCCTCACCATTCCCACCCCAGGCAGTTCCCTGCCTCTCCTCAGCACAGTGGGAACAAGGGATGCTGACTCTAGATGAGCTCTAGGGAAGGGGTTCCCTAGGAATAGACCACTGCAGACCAGCTTCTCAAAATCATGACATGAGCCAGACCCACAAACCCACATTTCAAGCAGAGCCTGAGGACTAAGGCTTGGAGGCTGGGAAAACCAAGTGCTGTGGTCTCCTTCCTCCTCCAGTCTCTCCTGGTCACGTGGATGCCTGGCCTGTGGACACGCCATCCACTCCCATCCTTTCCCATCCCCTGCATGGCTCATGATCAAGGTGACGGGGGGAAGACAGCTGTCCCTCTGCAACTTCTGCAAACTGCAAGCCAGGCCTCCTCCACTCCTAGCCTCTGGCATTCCTGGAAAACTGGGCTCTCAGCAGGAACTTCCAACAGGTTCTACCCCAGAGAGCTGGCCCCGACTCCACCTGGATCCAAGCCCACCGGCTGGCTAATGGGCTGGGAGCAGGTCCTGCCCTGCCCCGGGAACGGTCACTGTGGTTCCATCTATCCCAGGGCGGTTTCCCCCCTGGAGCCCTTCTCCAGCAGGAGAGCACTGAATGGCGAGCCACTGGCCCCTCGCCCGACCTTCGTGAGCCAAGGCTGAGTTTATTGTCAGAAAGATGACTAAGAAATCCCCGACACAGTGTATCATCAGCATTATGATTGGAGAAACAACACCTACAAAATCTATGATTCATTAAGTGTAACCAATATATAATTTAAAACAGTGGGTTTTGTCAAATAATGTGAGGTCAGCATAATTTTCTGCCTATTACTAATATCTATAACATCTTTGCCTTAGTCAGCTCTATTTAAATATGCAATCATTTACAGCTTTTGAGAATATTTCTGTGTACTCCCAATTTCCAATATTCAACTACGACAAATTTTATGCTGACATCAATAGCAAACTATTAAAGACAGTATTTCATTATTGGTTTTTCATCCCAAAAGTTATTTACAATTATATACTAAGCACTAATATTAAAGGAAACCATTTAAATGAGGTGCTATCTACTTTAACAATATGTCTGTCACAGAATGAGATTGTGTTTAAAGATTTTATCAAGAAATGGTTGTTTGCTGAGGTTATGTTTTGTCCATGAAATATGCATTTCATATCTCTTTCATTTCATTAACATAATTTAATTTGTGCTTTGCATTTTGTGCATAATACATATTTGATTTACAAAACAAATATTTCCATTAGAAAATGAATTTCATGCAGGCAAAAAAGCAGAACCAAATGATGTATTGAAGGAAAATAAGAAGAAATGAAATGCATTTTCTCAGTCTATTAAAAAATCTATGGCATTGACAGAAAGTGCACTTAGTGTTACGTTTAAAAAATAGCACATATGTCAATGTATTAACAAATAGAATTGGAAATACAAATATTTCCCTATATCAAGCCAAGAATCTCTTTATTTTAATTGAGTTGATTTAAAAGCCCAACTACAATTTAATTTTTATTTCATGATGTGGTGCTGGGGCTGGTGCTGTTGGAACTGCGTGGGGTTGGCGGTTGATGGAAGAAGATAGTTGACCTTAAAAATGGCTTTTATTGACAATGGAGAGACATGGTTGAATAGGAAGGAAACGGGAAGCGGGGCCTTTGTGATCTGGGGGGCTGGGAGTGGTGAGCGGGGCTGGCGGGCTCCTGAGCCGCTCCTGGCTTGGCTGTTCCTCTGCCAACCCCTCCCCAGCCCCTCTCATCCCCACCTGGGGCTGCTGGGCTGTTTGGGGACCCAGGAAGTGAGGAACGTGAGTCTCCCTTAGCCCACGCCCGTGATGGGGGCTCTGGAGTTAGAGGAATGTAGGAGCTCAGGGCTCAGGATCCACTAGGACCTTGCTCCCCCTCCCAGCCCACAGGGGAGCCCCCTCCAGGCCAGGAGCGGGCTGTGTATGCTGGGGGCAAGTGCATCTCAACCTTATTTAAAGGGGATGTGTGGGGCTGACAGTGGTTATGTCAACAATGGAAGAAGTGGCTGAGATGCCCAGGTCGGTCACTGACACAGGGCACCGGGCAGGACCCCCAACCCACTGGCCCAGGCCTGCCTCTCCCACCCCTCACTGTCCCCACCCTAGGCAGTCCCCTGCCTCTCTTCAGCCCAGTGGGAACAAGGGATGCTGACTCTAGGTGAGCTCTAGGGAAGGGGGCCCTAGGAATAAACCACTGCAGACCAGCTTCTCAAAATCAGATGAGGAAACTGAGCCCCAGGGCATGATGTTGCACAGTGGGTCTGTGGCCAATCCGTCTACACTGGCTACCGTGACTCTGCTCCTATTCCCTAATCTGAAAGCTCTTTCCTGTACCCCGCTAATCCACACCCAGCCTACCCTGGGCCCCCACAGAATAAGGAAGTAGCCCTTGGCCTGCCAGCCCCTGGGACCCACGAAACCGGGTGGGAGGCTCTCACCTGCCGGCTCAGCCTGTCGGGAAGATCCCAGTGGCCTCTTTGTTGGGGAGGGCTCCTCAGGGCGCCTGAGAGCCTCTACTTTATGTATGCAGAGGGCAGTGGTGAGCATGCGGATCTCAGTGTGGCTGAGGTGTACAGTTGCACAGGCTGTGCACTGAACCACAGTAGGAGTGTCTTTCACATGGATGAACACGAGAAGGGCTCCCCCAGGAATTGTGCAGTGCAGTAGCTCTGGCTCTGCACCAGGGCTCTCAACCAGAAGGTAACATCACACCATCCTCAGTCATGGGACATCACAGGCAGGGATGGGGCTGCTGCCACACTCTCATACACATTTACACATGCTCAGACACACTCTGACATACTCACAACTCACACTCTCACACATGCACACTCCTACCCACCCACATGCACACACACTCATCCATGCTCACCACCCTTTCACAACCTCTGGAGGCCCTGAGGGCCAGCCTGCCCACCTGTGCCCAACCTGGCTTGTGCTCTCCCCATCGGAACGGGGCTCCCCTGAGGCTGGGCCATCCCTCCCTGACAGTCTCCCTAGAACCTCCAGGCCAGAGGAGCCTGGGCCACCGTGCATGTGGGCGATGTTCACAGGCCTTTTGGCCACAGGTGCCAGGCCAGGGGCTGAGGGGGACAAGGAGGGCTTCCCCCAGTATCTGGATGGGATCTGTGGACTGGGGGTGTGTGCTGGCCAGCCCTGGGATGCCCTGGTTCCTGCTTAAAACCTTGCCCCACTTCTCCAGCCTCTGCCCCTCCCATGGCCTCTCTGCCACCCAGGGCCAGAGGAGAACGTGGTTTGTAATTAGAAAAATCTCTTTTCTTTCAATCCCAAGGACTGCAAAAAATAGAGAGGGAGGAAAGCAGCAGAGAAACCAAGAAGCTGAATTTCCACTCAGGAGAGGCATGAAGGGGAGTAAAGAGGGTTGGGGCAAGGCCTCCCATCTGGGGCCGGGATGCCTGGCTCTCCTGGTGCCTGTCTTGAGACACTGTGTGTCAGGAGCTCCTGGACAGCAGCAGATAGCTCTCTGATTGCCCACCATAGTGGGCACCCAGCCCCAGCCTGGGCTCCTAGCTGCACTGCCTGGGGCTGATGGGGAACCAGAGAGCCCTCTCGGCCTCGCACATCTCTGTTACACCACGGGGCTGCTGAGGCCACTGATCCTGGAGGGGCATCACAGAGGGTGAGCCCCGCCCATTCAGATCCTGTCCCAATGCCCACCTGTGGTAACACCTTCCTTTCTCTCAACCTGGCCTTTCTCACCCACAAGGTGGGAATGGTGATTTCCACCTCTCGGGAGAAGAGAGAATGGGTAAGAACTGGCTCACTGGGGACTGGCCATGGGCTGTGCGTGAAGGGAGCTGCCGGGACAGAGCGGGAGGTCCTGGCTCCCCGGAGTACCTGGCCAGCATTCCCTTGGCCAGGAGGAGGCTGGGAATGTGCTGATACAGGAAAGCAGCCTGCTTTCTGCCTGGTATATTGGAAAGAAATCCATCTCTCGGGGAGGACAACCTCATCATATTAGAGGTATAGATTTCTGGCTTCAGCTGGGACAGAAGTCCTCCTTCCCGAGAGGGAAGGGCAGTCTTCCCTACCTTTTACAGCTCCTTCAGAGACCCTGGGGCTGCAGGGGCCAGCGTCTCTGGGAAGGGCTCACCAAGGTAAGGTGGTCAGGACCCAGTGAGCCTTTCCCAGAGAGGGTTCAAAAGAATGTCTGGGGCCAAGTTCAGGTCTGGGGCCATGTCCATCCCTGAGGAATCTGGGAGCTGTCTCCTCCCCAGCCAGGTGCCATCTCCTATGGCCCCGACCCAGCCACACATGAGACAAGGCATCCCATGCTGATGTGGACAGTTAGTGTGTGTCACATGACAACACGTGTCTGCCTCACCTGATGCCAGGCACTGCAGAGACTAAAGCCTGGGACCCCCTCCCCACCAACAGTGAAGCACATTCCCCAAAGGGAATTTATCCTGGAGCTATTTTAACGACAGTTCGATTGCAATACTTTCTTTTATTATATATATTTAATTTGTATACAACTAATATAGGTGCAGAATTTTAAACAGCATGTCACACATGGAGTGAAAAAAAAAAGCAGTCTCTGTTTTATCCCTTCTCACCCTGATTCTGGCTCCCCTGGGGGCCACTTTCCACTCTTTGAGCTGTTCTAATTGCCCTGGGTTTTTTTTTGTTATTGTTTTTGCTTTTTATTTTTGTAATGTACCATTGGTAATTTATGCCAGATTTCTCACCAGAACGGTGAACTCTTATCATGATTGTTGACATATTCGGCTGTGTTCTGTTTCTATTTTTTTCTCGAGGATGTCCTTCTGACAGTGTTTGGATCTGCTAATTGCTCCCAAGAATTGGGGTTCAGCTGCTCTCCCGGTGTCTTCCTTCAGTCTCAGCCTGCAAATCGCCTTTGCCATCTCTGTTCCATAAGCTACCTCTTGCTCTTTCTTGGTTTACACCTTTGTTTTGGTGGTGCACATCCTCCAGTGGCTTTGGAAAAAAGGAGCTTGGAAAATGGCCTTTTAAAGACTTTGCATATTTGAAATGCCATTTGTCCACCATCCCTCTTGATCAACCCATTCAATTGGATCTAGAATTCTAGGTTGAGATTATATTTTGTCAATGTTGAAGGCATTACTTCATGGCTGTCTTAATTCCTGGGTAGCTTTTGAGAAGCCCAATGTCTTCTCTCTTTTCTAGTCCCAGTCTTTTGACTGTGGCTTGTTTTGTCCTCTGAAGCTTTAAGACCCTTTCCTTATTCCTGTCATTCTGAAATCCTGCAAGGATGGGCTCTTTCTATCTGGAGACTCATGTCCTGTAATCCTCCGATGCCTCCTTGAGTGATTTCCTTCGAAGTGCTCTACCCAGACTTTTCTCAGTCACATCTTTCTGGGACTCTTATGAGTCCTCTATTTGAACTTCTAACTCTGCTATCCACTCTCTCCTTGGATCTTATCTTTCCTCTCCTATTTTTTATATTTTTTCTTTCTGTTCTACTTTGCAGGGGATTTCCTTAAGTTTAATTTCCAACCACTCTATTGATTTATTTTTAAATTCTGTCCTCCTATTTCTACTTTTTAAAACACTTTTTTCATTCTTTCTTTTTCTTTTTCTTTCTTTCTTTGTTTTTTTTTTTTTTTTTTTTTTTGAAATGGAGTCTTCTTCTGTTGCCCAGGCTGGAGTGCAGTGGCGCCATCTCGGCTCACCGCAATCTCCACCTCCCAGGTTCAAGCGTTTCTCCTGCCTCAGCCTCCTGAGTAGCGGGGACTACAGGTGTATGCCGCCATACCAAGCTAATTTTTATATTTTTAATGGAGATGGGGTTTTACCATGTTGGCCAGGCTGGTCTTGAACTCTTGACCTCAGGTCATCTGCCCACCTTGGCCTCCCAAAGTTCTGGGATTATAGGCGTGAGCCACTGTCACCCAGTCTTTTTCTTTCTTTCTTGTTTATTTTAGCAAATGTTCTTTTTGTCAATCTCCCATTCCTGTGTCATGGAATCATGTCCTTTCTTCCCTCTCTGGGGGGTTCATGATGACTTTGTGGGTGTTTCCTCTTGCCCCTGCATTGCCTGCAACTCTCACAAGTTGCTCTTTTGGCCTCTGCCTCTTGCATTGGAGGCTTTCCTCAGACATAGTGGCCGTCTTGGAATGAAGGGCCAGAGGAATTAACCAGAAGGTTTGCAGACAGGGCTGGCTGGCTGGGGCCTTGTGGTGGGTGACGGGGAATGAATGCCTCCTTCCCTGGGAACTGTCACATGTGGCATCCACTAGTCTTTCTTTTGGGCCAGTCATTTTTTGTCAGTGAGAAGTCCGCTGATGTCCTGTGGGCACGGAGGTCAGTTCTGGGGTCCTGGGGGAAGCTGGGGCTCACCATTCCCTAAGAAGCATTTCTACATATCTTGTTTTTGTCAGGGGGTACTGCCTCTGCTCAGCTTCAGAGAAGGAACTCCACTTTCTGCTAGGCTGATGGCCCCCTCTTTTGGCCACAGAGGGCTGGGAGATTACTGGGGTGACTCTGGCTCTCAGCCAGCCCTCTGGTTTTAGCTCTGTCTACACCCCATGCTCAAACGTACCTGTTGCCTCCAGTCCCTGAGTGTCCCCTGCTGCAGCTGCATGGCTGCTCTCACTCACTCGGTTGCTGCTGCTCATCTGCTTTCTATCTGCCTCAGCCTGTTTTTTCTGCTTTAACAAAATCCCCAAGACTGGGTAATTTATAAACAACAGAGATCTATTTTCTCACAGTTCTAGAGGCTGGGAAGTCCAACACCGAAGCACTGGCTGTGGAGGGCCAAGTCTCTGCTTCCAGGATGGTGCCTTGTTGCTGCATCCCCCTGGAGGGAGGAACGCTCTGTCCTCACATGGCAGAGGAGCAAAACAGCAAAAAGGCCTGAGCTAGTGCCCTCCAGCCCTTCTAAAAGGCATGGACTCACCCCAAGGGCAGAGCCCTAATGCCCTGATCACTTCACAAAAGGCCCCACCCCCCAGCACCACCACAATGAAATTAAGCTTCAACATAGGAATTCTGGAGGAGACACATTCAAACCATTGCATCATCTCTCCAACTTTTTGTCAAAATCCCTTTTTGTGTTGTCTCCCTTCCCATTCTCTCTGCTTTGTGGACTTGAGCCTTTTTTATTCTCTTACTGTCAGCTGTGGGATTTGACATGAAAACAGAGAGGTACTTGCATGGCGACTCTTCCCCTTGTACCCAGAAGAACACGACTGCTGGATAGCTCTGTGCCAGTCCCTTCCTGTCCTTTGGACCCAGGTTGCTCATGTGAGGAAGAGGAAAGTGTTGGGGAGATGGCTTCTCAAGTATGGCTGGCTCTGGTGGTGTTTCTGGGCTCTTCTAAGGTCTCCGGAAACCTTCATAGACTCTGCAGAATGAAGCACCACAGCTTGGTCCAGGGCATCTGCAGATTGAGACGGCCCTCTCTTCCTCCCAGTCCCAGCTGACTCCACCAGGATCCAGCACCCAGCAATGACCACGCAAGGAGCCCACTGGCCCCCTCCCCAGATGCTGGGGCATTCCTTCTCTCACACTCCGGCCACCAGGGTAGGAGTCTCCCAGCTAGGACCCTAGACTCCTAAAGCTTCATGCCCAGCAGAGATGTGGGTGTGACAAAACAGGGAGTGGTAGAGACCGTGGCTCCAGGCAGCTCATGTTCCCTCAAAAGACATGCATTTCGAAGCTTTCGTAACACTAAGCTGTCTTGTAATTACCTACGTAACACTAAGCTGTCTTGTAATTACCTACGTCTGCCAGCTGTATGCTTTGTTTTAAAATATAGTATATTAGCAGGAAATTTAAGGTGCAATACGGCCAATGGATCAGGAGACAACTGCCCCGGACAAGGTGGTTAGTTACTCACAGTCCCCACCAGGAGGGGGCATGCCACACCCCCAGGGCCACGTGGGGCAGCACCAGGATGGGTCAGAGGCAGAAGGAGAGAGGGGAACGCCAGGCCAGGACCTCCATTGTGGTTTCCATGGGCAGGAATGGGAAAGGGAGGGTAAGCAAGTCTAGGAGGGCTAGTCTGTGTCATTTCAGCAGCTCTGGGGCACAGGGACTGTCCCTGGTTCTCTGGTACTTGGCCCTGGGGTGATGAGAGCAGGTGGAGAGTGGCCTGGAGGACGAGAGCCAGCAGAGGAGGTGGTAGGATTGTGGGCTCTGGATCAGTTGGGTTGCATTTGAAAGTGCCTTGCTGGTGGTGAGCTGTTTACCTTCTCTAAGCACTGGCTGGCTCTGGCAGGGGCAGCCCCTTCTGGGCCAGCAAGGCTCCACATGTCCAAACAACAGAAATACAGAAAATAAGAGACGTAACTCATGCGTTCCTCCCTCCCGGCTGCTGGTGAGGCACCGCTGCTGGGCATCAGGGGGCTGGAGAAGGTGCAGACCTGGCCATGCCAGAGGCCGTATGCTGGGGGCTTCCTCTTGGGCTGAGGGGGTTCTGGGCTGTGTGGGGGAAGAGCAAGTTCTGTTTAGGAAATCCTAAGTAAGGACTCAAGAGGGAACAGGCTGCATTGGGTGGTAAGGGGTTTCTGGGTGAGGGCTGTGAGCTGGCTTGCAGAAGAAGCAGGACTTTGAGATGAGTGTGGCTATATGAAGGAGACACCCCTAAAGAGAGGGGGGATGGTCACCAAAAGCTATGCCATAGGACAGCCCTGGCCACTGAGGGGTGGGGCCTGTGGCTGTGGGAAGTTCTTCCTCTTCCACTTCTCTGCCCACCACCCGTCCCTGCCCTCTCCTCCTCCTTATCTGGGGCTGTCAACCTGTGGCCCAGTTCTGTGTGTCAATTGGCCTCTCGGAAGTACCCAGCAGCCCCTGCTCAAATCCCCTCTCCCCTTGTCCGGTGTGACCTGGCAGGTGAGTCCCTGCCAAGGCCTTAGGGTGATGGGGTACTGTAGAAAGATGGGTTTGTGCTCCCCTGTTAATGCTCCTGCTGGCTGGGAGAGGCTGGGTTACCACCCCATGGTTCCCAGACGTTGGTGGGTGAGGGAGCCGGCGTGGGGCGTTGCCCAGGGGAGGGATCTCCTCAAGTGGTTCCTGATGGCGGGAAAATAAAAATGGTGATTTAGAGGCCGCCCCCACTCGACGGGCTTTCTTAGCCGAAGACGTTCAGCTAATGAACCTCAAGCAGATTCATGGCCGGGTGTGAAGTCAACGGAGTCCTCACTCCGTGGAGACGAGCAGCATAAATCTTTGTTTTTAATGTCTAATGATATGTAAAATATTTAAATTTGCAACGCAGAATTATTAAGCTGCCAAGGTTTTTTTTGCCTATTAAAGTGTATTCTTGCCTGAGAATTTATGGGGCACCCTGTGGCCGCCGCCAGCCCCCGTTAGGGGACAGGAGGTATAGATTTGTGGTCTCCTACTGTAAAAAACTTCAGGATCGCCTGACCCTGTAAACTGAAAATTCATGTCTCTCGCCCGGGGACAAATGCATTCTTTGTAAAGGCGGCCCGTGGCCAGCCTTGGGCTCATGTTAGTTTATTGTCACTGGTTGATAACGTTTAATGGAAAAGATACAAGAGTGCCAAAGAATTTTAATTATTTTTGTGATAAAGTTATATGTTCGGCCTTGAAAAAGTAGAGATAATGCAGGGATTCATTATTATTCCCAGTGTGTTTAAACAGACAACGCAGAATGCAAACAAAAGCAGATGAAATTTGAAAAGTATTATCAATATTGCAGATAGCAGATGCCCTTTCGAATCAGAACAAGCATATCTTCTATAGCAACTTTATGGTTGAGTAGTTTATTCATTTCCATTAGAAGGTTGTACGTTTCTAAAATATGTAGATGGTATCTAGAAAAACCAACCAACCAGACGGGTCATTCTGCTTGTTTTCCTAAATTTATTATTTCACTTTTGCAGGCCCGGATCTGAGGGGCATTAACAGGGGAGCAGAGTCTTACTGTGTCAAATTCTATCTTGTCCGTGACCTTTGGCGGGCTATGTGCTGGCACGGAGAGGAAGTTGGAGCGAGGTGTCTGGACCATGGCGAGGTTTGCGTTTGCCGTTATCTGGGTTGCATTGGCGAAGCTGCCAGTCAGGGTCTGCCTGCCTGTCGTTAAACTTTCCACATTCCCTGGGCTCCCTCTGGCACCCGACGGAGGGAAACAGAGTCCAGGAGAAAACTGCACACACCCCTCACCATCCATTTCTTTTCCCCGTGCCCTCTGCCCTGGATTCAGATGTGCAGAGGTGATTTGGGTCCTGCCTCAATGTGTAGAAATGGACCTGACTTCTTCCCAGGGCTGTGGGCTTCCTTGGCATTGTGCCAGGGGATAGAGTTCTGGCTTTCTTGAGCAGTCAGGGCTTTCCAAGTTGTGCCAGTTTTTTTTTTTCTTTTTTTTTTTTGAGACGGAGTTTCACTCTTGCTGCCCAGGCTGGAGTGCAGTGGCATGATCTCAGCTCACTGCAACCTCCGCCTCCTGGGTTCAAGTGATCCTCCTACCTCAGCCTCCCGAGTAGCTGGGATTACAGGCATGCACCACCACGCCCAGGTAATTTTTGTATTTTTAGTAGAGACGGGGTTTCATCATGTTGACAAGGCTGGTCTTGAACTCCTGACCTCAGGTGATCCACCTGCCTCGGCCTCCCAAAGTGCTGGGATTACAGGCGTGAGCCACCATGCCCAGCCGTGCCAGTTGTTTTTTGAGGTTAGGAGCAGTCCCTAGAGAACCAACTGATCCCAAAGCCCCACCAACTCCTCTTGGAACCTGATCGCCTTCCTATCTTGATTTTTGTTTCTAGGAAATGGATCAATTCTTGCCCTCGTGTTCACTGAATGAAGTAACTTACAGCCCCAGCTTTGCAGCCAGACAGAGCCCTGGGCAAGTTACCCTGGCCTCGGAGCCCCCACACCTGACACCCCACGTGTTCTCAGCTGTAACGTGGGTTGCAGACACCCGTGTTGCCAATGTTATTACCATGATTGTTGTTTTCTTCCACTGGCAGATGCACAGGAAATGGCTCTCTCTGCTGAACTGAGCACCTCTGGGGCTCCTTCCTGGCCTGGGGTTTCTTTGAGACAGGCCCAGGAGAGTGACAGCCGGGCCTGAGAGGGAAGGACAGGCTGTGACTCACAAAGGTGCAGGAGTCCTCTCCCCGGGTTCACCGGGAGCTGACGGGCTAGGCCGTGGGAGGCCTTGAGACCAAGCTCCGACTTTGGAGATGGGCCAGGCTTGGCTGGGCGCCTCCAGTGGTTTTGAACAGGGGGCGCCATGAGTTAACTGGTGCTTTCAGAAAGCTAAACCTGGCAGCAAGTGGCTTCTTCAGAGAAGGGACTCACCCAACATCAGAATGTTTACCAAAATCAATCACGCGGTGGGCCATAGAGAAAGTCTCCTTACACTGCAAAGAATCTGTGTGGTTATACCGTGTCTGCGATCACAGTGAAATACAACTAGATATTAAAAGCAAAAGAATAGCTCAGAAATTCTGTTTGGAAGCTAAATAGCATGTTTAAAATAGAAACAATAAAAGAAATCAGAAAAATCAAGGATGGCATGATTTTGAGGATGCTACATGCCCAAATGTGTGGCACACAGAGAGAGGGAAATCTATGCCTTTAAATCTATTTATCAGGAAACAAGAAGGGTTGAAAACAAACCAGCTAGGTGTTTGCTCCTAGAAACTGGAAAAAGAGCTACAGAGCAAACCTAAAGGAACAAGAAAGATGACAGGAATAAGGACAAGGGCAGGCACAAATAAATAGAGATTAGCAAAGGTGCAGACAGGTTTTTTGGAAAGATTAACAACGACAGAGGGAGGGCCACGAGATGATGCTGTCAGGAGGGCGTGCAGGACACAGGATGCTTTGGGCTGTAGGTGTGGGGAAAAGGCAACCAGGTTTTTCCATGCATCTCACAGGACTGGTTTGCCTGGGACAGCCCTGGTTTCTGCCTGTTGTCCTGGCTATCACTCATGGCATCTCCCATCCCCTCAAAGGGTCCTGCTTTGGAAGGTAACTGACACCAGTGCTGTCCAATAGGAACTGAGACCCTTATGTAACTACTGAGATGTGTGGTTGGTGCAAATTCACATCAGATTTTGAAGACTTAGTATGAGAACAAGAAAGTAAAACATCTCATACATACGTGTGTGTGTGTGTGTGTGCGTGTATGTTTTATTTTTATTTTTATTTTTTTGAGATGGAGTCTCGCTCTGTCACGCAGGCTGGAGTGCAATGGCACGATCTCAGCTCACTGCAACCTCCTACTCCCGGGTTCAAATGATTCTCCTGCCTCACCCTCCCGAGTAGCTGGGATTACAGGTGCCACCACCACGCCCAGCTAATTTTTGTATTTTTAGTAGAGATGGGGTTTTGCCATGTTGGCCAGGCTGGTCTGGAACTCCTGACCTCAAGTGATCCAACTGCCTCGGCCTCCCAAAATGCTGGGATTACAGGTGTGAGCCACCACACCTGGCCTCATTAATATTTTTTATATTGATTACAAGTTCAATAATATTTTAGATCTATTGAATTAAGAATTAATACATCACTAAAATTATTTCCACCTGGTTCTTTGATGTGATTACTAGAAAATAAAACATTACTTCTGTGGCTTGCATTCTACTTTTGTGTTCAGTGCTGATTGACACGGTCACCCCAGCCATGGGCGGGACGCTGGGATGGGCCTGGTTAAAGGCAAAGGCTTCGGTTCAGATGCAGACCCCAGCACTAACTTGTCTTAGTCAAATAATACCAACTCCTTACGTTTCAATTCCCCCTTCTCTAAAGTGGCAGTAGGATGGGTCTCGGTCTCCTAAGATTTGGGGAAGTTCCACTTAGGTAACTCGCGTAAAGCACTCAGCGCTGTGCGGTTGGCATTCATTAAGTATTAGTTGCCAGTCATAAAACAGCATAACGATGAGATGCTTTTCCCCCCACAGCCCTGTGATGCCACTTTATTGCTTAGGAAGTGATGGTACATGAAATGTTCAGTGGCTTGCCCATGGCCTCAAGAGAGCAAAGCTGGCCTTCCCACCTCACCACATGACACTGGGGTAAGATGGACAGCGGGATCTGTTGCCTGTGCTCCTGTGAGCCGGCTGGCCTGGCAGAGGGGGCCTCTTTGCTTCTAACCACCCTTCCTTCCGCCAGCTCATCCTACTCTTCCCTAGAAGCCATCTCTGCCCACCAGCCCCCACTAATCTCAGCCCATCCTGGCCTCGAGTGAGGAGAGGATGTTCTCTTGGCCTTCTCTGCACACTCCGGGTTCCCCAAGTTTGGACCTTCGACTTTCCCCCTCTTTCTCCCCACTTGGTGCCCCCAGCACGTAGCATGAAGTTTGGTCCTCCACAAAGCTTGGCTGGGAGCTTGACAAATGTTCCTTGGTTTGTCAAACAAACTCTCCGGCTTGAACTAAGTGCCTTTCTTTCAGATTTCAGAATGGATGGGCCTCAGCCATGGCAAATCTGAGAGTCTTTGTGTGCAGAAATGCCCTTGGATGCCCTTGTCTGTGCATGGTTGCCAGAGCTGGTCACCCCAGCCAGACATGCTGGTCTGGGCACCTCCCGGGAGGAGCCCCGGGTGATGGCACCTGTTTTCATGAATGACACAGCAATCTCCACTTCAGTAAGGGCCGACCATACTGTTGATTCCTGCCCTGAGACCCTTCTCCCCTGCCCTGGTTCTAAGTGTAGATCCCTGGAGATCTGGGACTGACCAGATGAGACTAAGAGGGAGCGTAGACAAGGAGCCACAGGAGGCGACACTCCCGGTGGTGGATTCCTGCCTAAGTTCCAGGGAACTCAGAATCTGGGGGCCACGCTGGCAACATCTGTCTCTTGGCTTCCCAAAGAAAGACTAACATGCCAGCAAAGCCAGGAAATGTCAAGACCGAGAGCTCATGTGGATGTAGAACTTCACAGTTGACAAAATACTTTATGCTCTTTTATTTAATTTTCACAAAATCTCTGCTAAAGAGTGGTGTTATTCCCATTGTATAGCAGAGGAAGCCCAGACAAGCGAACTTGGCCAAGAACTCACAGGGCTTGAAAGGGACCCGCCTGGTCCCAGGGATGGGGTGTCACCAGCTCGGGCTGGGCAGCCTGCTGCCTCGAAGTCTACCCTGTGTACCCTGTTGGGTGAAGAGCATCAGGGATGAGAGGAGATTCTTGGGAGGCAGTAGAAAGGGTGGCAAGAGCTTGTGCTCAGGAGTTGGATAGGAGTTTAAACCCTGGTGCTCCCCGTTGCGTGGAAACTAATGAGGCTGTGGACAATCTCTTCGTCTTTGGGGGTTTCCATTTTCTCCTTGGGGGTGTTGCTAACACACCTCACCTGGCTGGTGTGAGGGTTTGGATGACGTAATGCATACCAGTGCCCAGGACAGAGGAAGCACCCTGTGAATGGTGGCCACTGTTGTTACCATTGGGCCAGAGATGTTGGAGAAGTCCCTGAGTCCAATCAATTACCTGGGAGGTTGAAGCCACATGCCCTGGGAGAGGGCAGGTGAAGTGCTGTTGACGGAGGCCCGGTTCCCTCGAGGCTGGGGGGCACCTCCAGCTTCCGACTCCTCCTGTTCTCCAGGTTCCTCCAGGACCAGACCCTGCAGCCCAGTCTGTCCCACTCTTGCAGGGTCTCTGAACCTGAAAGCAGCTTGGGAGGGGCGTTCTGTTGCGAGGCGTAGAGTGTTTATAAGAGGAGCCTGGAGAACTGGAGGAGTCCGAGGTTGGAAGTGCCAACCAGCCCCCAGGGAACCGTACTGCCTTGGCAGCATGTCACTCACTCTCTCCCAGGGCTGCATCGCTTCACACTTCCAGTCCTCTGTATGTCTTCTGTCTCCTGTCTGTCTGCACCAATACGGTGGCTCGCCCAAGCCCCATGACCGTGCAGGGCCGGATCCCACCACTGTTGCACTGCTTGGCCAGCTCAGTTCCAACAGGCTGTCGTCTGGCTTCCTGGGCCCTGCATCCAGCCCTGAATTAGCCACGTGTCATGCTACACTCAGGCCTAGCCATAATTTGGAAGGGGACAATGGCTAGCTTGACGGGGCGGACACACTGAACTGGGTCCTAGGATCAGCTTGCGCACCCCGTGGCGTGATCAGAGGAGACTTACGCCTACACATTTTAGGGACCAAGAAGGGAGGTGGCCACTTTCATCATGCAGCTGTCTCCACAGCCTGCATCCTCGGAAAGGAGCCACGATTTCCCTGCCTGGCTGCTCCCAGCCACCGTGGGTGAAGACCCCAGCGGCTTTCCGTGGGGACCAGCTGAAGGGACTTTCTCTGAGTGCCAGCAGAGGGAGGTGCCTCTGTTTTCTAAGCTCTGCCCTTCTTTGAAAATTGAGCTGCTTAAAATCAACCCATTTGGGACAAGCGGCCTTGACTCTTCTCCCATGATGTGCAGGGCTAATGTTAAAAGGTAAAATTGTGTGCGGGTTCCCAGGCAATCATAATTAGAGTAATTGTCCTGTGTTGCAGGCACCCCTCTTTCTTGGAAGCTTAAAGCACTCTGTGAGCATTATCCAATTAAATCTGGAAATAGCCGGGTGAGAGAGGTGGGGACAGACCATGCACTGTTTCTGGCCAGAAAACAGCAGCCGTGAGAGGTTAAGTGACTTGCCCAAGGTCCCAGAGTCAGAAACTGAGACCTGTTCAGCGCTCAGTGGATTAGCATCCAAAAAGCATTTACTCCACAGCTGCAGCTCACACGGCAGGTAGGAAGACCCAGTTTCATATGAGCGGCAGAAATTCCCCATCCAGCTCCCAGGTTGCAGTTTGCTCTGAAACCCAGCGGTGTAGCCCCCACCCTGCCCACCTTAGCTGACTACTGGGCCTCCTGCCCTCCTCCCAGCTCCTGCAGACCTTTGAAGGTACTGACGAGCCTAAATAAACCTTCCTGTAGATAACAGGTGGTGGTGGCCAAGAGAACTAACCAAACCAGATACATTTTATGGGTTGCAGAACAAATTAACTATGAGGAATAACTGTTTTTGAGAAATAACAGAGTTATAATTGTTTAAGTAGCTCTCTTGCTGGTGTGGTTTTATGGCTAGCCTCTGCTGAACTATAGACACCCCAACCCACGGGGCAGATGGGCAGTGGGACCCCCACAAGTGGCTTTGACCCCAAGTTCCATGACAGAAATGGACTGTGGACACCCCAGGTCATGCTGGGGAAACCGGTGGGAGAGGGTGAGGCCCTGCTGGCGACCCGTGAGAGCCCCAGGGTGTGCTGGGACACGGGTGGGAGAGGGTGAGGCCCTGCTGGTGTCCTGTGAGAGCCCCAGGGGGTGCTGCCATGGACAGCAGCTTTGCTGGAAAGTCTTCTCCATGTCTGGGATGATGACTGGAAAGACGGAGATGTGGGAATCTGTGAATGCTTCTGGGGATGGCCTCCATGCCAGAGTCCCAGAGCAGGAGTGTCCTTAGCAAATGTTGTACCCAACCAGGAGAAGGGACGGGCCAAGCCCTGTAAGGTGCATCAACATTTACACACTCATCACAACACAGGAGTGCCAGGCTCTGGAGAGGTTCCAGGGAGCCAAAATGAAATAACAAAAACCAAACAAAGCCCCAGGTCCTTGCCCTCCTGGGGCTTGTTGTCTCACGGGGGAAGCAGACATCTATTTTTAAGAGCCACACGGATACATGTATTATTTATGTGGTGAATTCCAGGAGGAGTGGGGCCCGGGAGATGTGTGGATAATGGAGCTGGGGGCGGGGACCGGCAGGAGCTGGGGATGCAGGAGACTCCCTAGGAAAGGGCGGTTGAGGAGGACCTGGTGGGTGTCACCAGGTGACACCTGTGAAGTGGCATATGTGTGTGTGCATGGGTGTGCATGTGTGTGCATAGAAAGGACCGGAAGGAAGCTGTCCCAGATACAGGGAATAGTAAGTAATAGTAAGGCTCCCCAGTGGGAAGGAACCAGAGAATGCATAAAGGGTAAGGGGTCTTGGTGCTGCATGAAAAGGAACCCTATGTTCAATATACCTTTTTTGGGGTGATGTAAATCATGGAAATTCAAGTCCATCTAAACTTTCCTTATGGGACTGTACAAGGGAGAGCATGGAGAGGCTTAATGGGGGCAAGTGTAGGAGAGGGTTAAACCCAAATGGCACGGCCCTTCCGGCTGGTCCCTGGTTACTAAGCTGTGCCTGGATTACAGCACCTGGGGCCATGGGGCCCCCACCCGGAGGGCTGCAGAGTGAGGGTCCCTGGAGCCTGAGTCCTGGCTGGAGGCCCAGAGGCCAAGGGATTACATGATGACATAGGGGATTGGCACAGAAGAGGTGCGGCCAGCATGATTACATCGTCCGTCCCTCGCAGCCTCCCAAAGACCACGGTCCACCTTGACTGCGTCTGCTGCCAAGGATGAGGCCTTTTGAGCATCTGCCCCAGGCCTGTCCCAGACACAGCGAGTGAGAGGGAAATCTTCAGAGGGCTGTCAGGGCCTTGCTGCTGGAGTGTGGCCCCAGGAAGTCATTGGGTGGGCTGTGGGGGCCCCAAGTGTCCTGTGACAATGTCGTCTAGGGCCTCTGCAGGTCCTTCCAACAGTGGGTCTGCACTGCCAAGCTCACTCATTTCGGCTCCCCCCACTGGCCCCCGGTGACACAGGGAGATGGGCAGGTTTGCCTTTCACAGGGTTCATTACTTTGTTATCAATGCCTCCTGCCCCTGCCCCCCACTTCCTGCTTGCTGCAAGGTCCCCCATCTTCAACAGTGGGTAGTGGGCCTGCTGGCCTCTGAGGCTCAGCCCCAGCTCTGATTGGGACCAGGGCTCAGTGGGCTCCTTCCTCAGGGGGAGGTCTCAGGCTCCTGGTGAAGCCCCCTGAGCTTCAGGAAGGTAAGTGCAGCCATTTGAACAGCCCTCATTGGCCGCCTTCCCATTGTGGAGAATTAGGTGGCCGGGCTCCTCCCTCCCACCCTACGATTATACAATAGATTTAAAGTCTCTGATATCCACAAATCTACATCAAAATATATTCTCTAGCTGTAGGGAACGTCTCAGAATTGTTAACCTTCTCCCCAGGTATTAGAGGTAACACACTGTGAGATTAGATGTATATTTTCTTCAAGATACACCACCCATTGAGGGGTTCATATTTACATCTTTTGTTGATATTTTTTATAGATTAAAAGCGCCTCTTTGCTAGGTGATAATTCTGCTAAGTACTGTAATTTGCTGCCATTAATATTTGTCTGAGTCCTAGTTTGCAAAATATATTTGAAACCACGTTAGAAAGTCGCATAATTGCTTCTTTAAGCTGGGGAAATAAGCAGTTTCTTTACCCAGCCTTTATCCTGTTAACCTCAGAGGGGAGGGGTGTTCATGGAGTCCTGGAATCGGCTGAGCACATCGGCCATTGAATTCCAGTGCCTACTGGGGGAGACGGTGCGGCCCGGCTGGGCCCAGCTGCGCCCAGCTGCTGGTGGCTTCTGGGCTGCTCCTCCCTGGGCCACCGAGGGACAGGAGACCCATGGAGAATGCACCACCCCTGCCTGGGTCTTAGGCCCTGGGGTGTAGGGAGAGCTGCCTAACCCCTGGGAGCCAAGACACCGCTCTTCCTGGGCCTCTCTTGGGTCCTCATCTGGAAAATGGAGGCACTGGCCTCCCAGCCTGACTCTCCCAAGGGAGGGTGTGGAAAGCCCCGCCCAGCAATCAGATGGCTCTGTGCCTGTCCCATTGTGGGCGTTCCACAAATGTTCAGGGCATGTGTAAATGACACAGCTGGTGGCCTGGCCAAGCCTGATCCCTGGGAGAGTGGGGCTTACAGGGGCTGAGCATGCCAGGACTCACAGGGCTGGGTGGTGGGGCAGGGGGCTCTCTGTGATCAAGACTAGGGGCAGGAGGCCCAGGGTGACCAGCACCTGAGCCTCTGGTTTCCAAGGCAGCTGGAGACCCCGGCTGTCTCCTGTGCTCCCCACACCACACACACCCACCCTCCAGGCCTCCCACCATGGGAACAGGCAGCTCCAGGCCCTTGCGAGCAGGTGGATTCTATAGTCATGGGACTGCTTACAAGAGGCTGCACCACACAGATAGAACATCCATCTGTTTCCAGTTTCTGTGCGCATTCTTCGGGGTCTTCTCTTGCACCCCAAGGTGGCAATCAACTGGGATATCTCTAATCAGAAGAGCATTTTGCCTTCTATTGATCTGAAATCTTTCCTCTCCAACTACCCAGCAGCTGTTCCCAGGTGTGAGCTAGGGCACCATGGAGCAGGACTGAGCTCTCACCTCCAACTCCACCTCAGCCATCAGGAGCCTCCTAGCCAGCCTCAGTTTATCCAGTAGTGAGATGGGGGTAATGATAGCCCTGACCTAACAGTGGTGTTTGTTGTGAGGATTAAAAGAGTGAAGGTGTGGCGAGCATTTGGAATAGCACCTAGTGATAGTATAATAGCATTTGGTAAATGTTATTGGATATTATTATATGGTACATCCATCAGCGTGTAGAGCGTGTATCTTTGTGTGCAGAGCCTGTGTGAGTGCGTGTGTGTTCTCACTATGTGCACCCCTGTGGATGTGTGTGACACACAGTGCACATATCTGTGTCTAGAGGGGTTGCCCATGTCTCTATGTGTGATCAACCCAGGCCCACACGCTTCCTGGGGTGCCCACAAGCATGGTTTCCTAATGGCTTCATCTCCTGCCCCTCAAGTTCTGTTCTTTCCATCTCCCCATGTCACCCTCCTGCCTTGGCTCCCAGCCCAGCCTGCACATGGCCTGTCCCTCCCAACCCCTCCAGCCTGCCCCCACCTCCTGCCATTGCTCGAAATACCTTCAGGGATGTTCAGGCTTTTGCCCTGCCATTCTCCCGGTCTGGAGCATCCTCACTTCCTCTTATCTGGGCCAACTTCCACTCCTGCATGGATTCTGACTGAAATGTTGCCTCCTCTGGACCGTCCTCAATCTCTCAGGTCCCCTGCATTGCCCTCATCCTGCAGCCCTCTTCCGCATGGTGCCAGCAGCTACCTGCTCCCCTGCGTAGGTGCAGATGCACCTAAGTTGGGAGCCCTGTGGCTGGGGCTCACTCCCATGGCCTCCCTAACTCCCGTCCTGGCTGAGCCCATTGTGGTCCACACAATCCTGTCCTCTGTGGCTCCTGAGAGTCTTGGACCCTCAATTCCCTTGCTGAAGGTGGAAAGGCTGTCTCAGGGGTGGGGCCAGCCCTCAGACACCTGGTCATCACACACCTGGTTATCAGGCACCCGTCCATGCCCCAGCATGATGTAGTGGAGGGTGGGGTAGTAAAGGGATAGTTTGGGTGAAGTCAGTGAGTCAGCTGGCTCTGCTGGGCTGCTGGGCTCAAGACAGTCGGGAGCAGGTGCCCAGCTCGAGAGAGGCCCCTCTAGCCTAGGCTGGTGCCTGGGCACAGCATAGCAAGGCAGATTGTTGTAGGGTCCAGCCCCTCTGAGCTGGGAGTACAGAGACTGCCCTCAGCTTGCCTGGGCCTCTCTGCCTGCTAAGAAGCTTCCACCAGTGGCCAGTGCCCCTCTCCCACCCTGCAGTTTCTGGTATTTGGAGGGCAAGTGCTTGTGTCTTCAGGCGTGACCCCCATCTCCTCCTCAGATTCCTACAAGATAGGGAGGGTACCTGGTGGATCCCTACTTGGCTGAACAAGAATTTAAGGCTCAGAGAGAAGTGAGTGACCCCAAGTCACAAGGCTCACTGGGCCTTGGGCTTCTGATGCCAAATCGGGTTGTTCCTGAGACCCACAAAAGGTGGTACAGCCACCCAGGTCCAAAGAAAAAAGCTCAAGGCAGGAAAAATTGGGGTGATTGAGCTGGGTGGGGGAGGGGCTTTGCTCAGCAGATCCTGATGCAGGCCCAGCCCCAGCGAGGCCCTTCTCTGTGCATACCCACTGGCCTTGCCCTGGCCACACAGGCCACAGAATGGGCTCTGCACACTGGGCTGAGGGAGGGCTGGCCCTGGCCCTGGAGGTGCAGTGCCGATGACCCTACAGAAGCCTGTCCTGAATCTTGAGGGGTTGGGAGACTGGGTCATCCACTCTGATGGGGTGAGGCCTTGGGGCAAATCCCCCAGCATCAGTGAAGTGAGCTGGAGCCTGCAGTGGGGCTCCGGCCACCAGCTACATGCACTGCACCTTCCCTCACTTGCCAGCCCTGGGGTGAAGGGGACTTACTTCTCTGAGCCTGATTCCTGTCTGCAGAGTGGTGACCGTCCTGGCACCTGCTTCCCAGGAGCGTGGCGCGCATTAGAGGAGATGTGTTCATTCGGGTTTCCACAGAAGTAAACTCTGAGAGGAATCTGAATGTATTTGGGAGGAAGTGCAGGGAGGGAGTAGGAGAAGAGAAGACGGCCAGGCGCTGTGCTCAGAAGCAGCTTAGGGCCACTGGTAACGGGGGCTTGGGTCTGCTGGGGACCTCCAGGGAACAGCAGAGCACAAGAGCCCTGGGAGTTATCTTCCCAGAGGGCAAGGACTCCAGGTGATTATCCAGCAGTTTCCCTCACTGGCAAGGGCTGCTTCCACGGTGTGAAACCCCAGGATGCGTGGCCAGTCCCATGCGCCTGCTGAGCACAGTCCAGGGCCAGTGACTGTCCTCAGCACAGTGGCAGATGCTAGTGGTAGGAGGCCGGGGGCACTGGGAATATGGAGGGAAGGGGTGGGGGTGGTGCATCGACATTCTAGAAATATAGGCCGGGTGCGGTGGCTCACGCCTGTAATCCCAGCACTTTGGGAAACCGAGGCAGGAGGATCACATGAGGTCAGAAATTCAAGACCAGTCTGGCCAACATGGTGATATCCCATCTCTACTAACAATACAAAAATTAGCTGAGTGGCGCGCACCTGTAATTCAGGCGACTTGAGAGCCTGAGGCAGGAGAATCGCTTCAATCTGGGAGGCAGAGGTTGTAGCGAGCCGAGGTGGCGCCACTGCACTCCAGCCTGGGTGACAGCGTGAGACTCCATCTCCAAAACAAAAACAAAAACAAAAGAAAAAAGAAAAAAAATACGCCTGGCGGAAGTTAGTGCTTCATAAAGGCTGGCTTCTGCTATTATTATTTCACATTGGAAGGGCCTCCAGAAATGGTCACACCTGATTTGTGTATTTTCATCAACAGAGGGAAACTGAGGTCCAGGGAGGAGGTCTTACCCAAGGCCACGTGACATGCATTGGTGGCAGCGCTGGTCCTGCACTCTGGGAGATTCCTCCGGGGCATCCTTGGGTGTTTGCCTGTTTAGCATGAGTTTATGGGACAGTCCCTCTGTCCTAGGCACCCCACGCACTGTGTCTCATCAAATCCTCACCAGGCGGTGTGCAATAGAAATCACAATCCCCATTTCACAGATGAGAAAACCGAGGCCCAGGAAGGGCAGAAGAATGGCCACGGCCACACATGTTAGGGAGTGGCAAAGCTGCAGTTTGAGCCCTCCACACAGGTGTTTAACTCTAGCACACATGGCCTTTCACGAGCATTGAAACTGATAAAGGGGAGTTGCGGGAAGCTCGGTAGTTTCAGAGACAAATACATTTTGTTGAGTGGAACAAATGTTCTGGCTATAACCAAGCTGCAAAGCTGTTGGAAAAGCACAGGTCAGGAATGGACACGGCTTCCAGGGAAGCCAGGGCTCAGAGCAGGTTCAACAGATGGAGGGGTCGCGGCCCCCAGAGCTGGGGAGCCCACTTGAGAAAGGGTTGAGGGAGCAGTGGGGACTGCAGAGAGAGGCTCCTGGATTGAGGGTGAGATGACCAGGGAGCTGGGCACACCCGCCACCAGTCCGCCCGCTGCCCATCTGCCTGCTGACTGCCATCTGCCCACTGGCCTGCTGGGTGACAGAGGTCAGGAGTTCGAGACCAGCTTGGAGCTGAACCCTGGAAGACACGCCACCCCCGTGCAGTGGGACAAAGATTTGGGCATGGATTCGCTCAGTGACTTCTGGAGGGAAGAGGCAGTCGCCTTCCTTTACTTCCTCCAGATCAGTCTTCGAGCTCCGGCACATGGGGAGATCACGTTGGCTGTTAATGGGGTGTCTCTTTTGTGTTTTCACAGCTGCAGACACTGGGAAACCAGGGCGAGGCTTGCATCCACTGCACTAATGTTGCTTTTGTGGTCACTTGGCTTGATAGTGTTTCTCAGGCTCTGTCTCCTGGGTCAGGCTGGGTCCTTGGCAATCTCTGCCTGTCCCCTTCAGTAGGTTTGAAAAACCAAGCCTGGAGGGATGCGGTGGTGATAGACTCACCTTTTTGGTCTGGGAACAGGAACGAGAGATGCTTTCGTCTGTTTTGAGCAGACCCAACACAACTCCCCATTTCCCCAAAACCGACACAACAATGCAGCATACCAACACTGTTTTTGTTCTTTTCAACACCTCATTTTGACGCAAGAGCTTCTCACACACCTTGGAAGGGGCTTCAGCCCAGATGAGGGGTTTTCATTAGCGTTGGAGAGGTTGGGGGCCTCAGACAAATCCATCCTCCAAGGCAGTGTATTCTGACGCCGCAGCTGGGCTCTGAAATGGCTTAGAATTTTAGGTTTTCAGCTAAATGGTGACCAGGGCGGTCAGTGTGTGGCCAAACTCATTGGAGGAGAAGCGGTCAGTTCTGCCCTCTTGGGGCCTGTGGCTAGGTGGGAGGTGAGATGGTCTCAGGGAAAGGCATGAGAGACCTGCAGTAGCAAAACCTCCCCCCACAAGGGGCAGCCTGCCCTCTGCAGCTGGGTGTGCCAGAGGAGGGGCCAGCACCCTCAGGGAGGGCGGGACTGAACAAGGGACCTCCTTGGGCTGCCCAGATGTTACTCTCCAGGGCCTCAACCTAGTGTCAGGCCTGCAGCGTGGCCTTGCGTCCTTGATCCTTCAGATTACCCATCTGTAGCAAGGAGATGATCATGTCTCCCCTGTCCACTGACTGATGGACCACCTGATATGGGCGTCTTTGTGTTTCCAATTTCTTGTCCATCCTCTGCTCTTGGGTGTCTAAGGTCCTGGGATCTATTGTCTTGTCACCAGTGGCTCATTGACTCCTGTAGCCCAGGATTCCACTTTTGTCCCTGTATTTCACCCCCCCTCATGCTCTGGTCACTGGTGACCTTCACGTCCATGGACCTAATAGGCTTTTCTGCCTTCATCTTAGTTGACCTCTTAGCCACATGCAGCATGAATGTTTCCTATTTGAAATACATGACTTTCTTGGCCTCCACACTCCACGTCCTTTCTTCTGTCTTTCTGCGAAGTCATTCTTGGGTAGCTCTTCCTCCTTATTCTAAATGCTAGAGTTTATCATGTTTATTCCTTGGGCTTCTTTCCTGCCCCTCCTTCTCCCTGCATGATGCTACCTAATCCTACAGCTTTAAAACTCACCTTATCAGTTAGCAATTGCTGCAATATTACTGTGAGATAAACTTCCCTGCCTCTCATTGTCAGACAGCAGTGAGCATGCATCTCTGGTCTGTGCCTCTGTGGGTTGGCTGCAGTAGCTCTGCTCCATGCACCTCCTTCTGGGGCCAGTTACATGGGCTTGATCTTCTCATAGCATGTATTAGTCAGGGTTCTCCAGGGAAACAGAAGCAATAGTACATACACAGTCATGTGCCACATAATGACATTTCGGTTAATGATGCTCTGCTTATACGATAGTGATTCCATAAGATTATAATGGAGCTGGAGAATTCCAATTGCCTAGTGTTGTAGGCATTGTAACATTATGGAGCAACGCGTCACTCCACTGTTACAGTGATGCTGGTATAAACAAGCCCGTCATATTGTACAAAAGTCTAGCACATACAATTACATACAGTACATAGTACTTGATACTGATAATAAATGACTATGTTACTGGTTTACGTGTTAACGTACTTCTAATTGTTATTTTAGAGCCTCATCTCCAGAGTTGAGTCTGACCTCCTACCTCACAACTATCACAGAGTAAACTTGGGACTCAACTCTAGAGGTGGGGCTACTTATATAAAAAAAGTAAGTGTCCTATACAGGTATACCATTATTTACACCTGAGCTGTAAAACAGCCTCAGACAGGTTCTTTAGGAGGGATTCCAGAAGACAGCATTGCTATCAAGGGAGGCAACAGCTCCATGCGTATTACTGCCCCTGAAGATCTTCCAGTGGGATGAGATGTGGAGGTGGAGGACATTGATGATCCTGCCCCTGTGCAGGCCTAGCCTCATGTATGTGTTTGTGTCTCCATTTTTAAAAAAAAGTTTAAAAAGTTAAAAGAAAAAAGCTTATAAAAAAGATATAAAGGAAATATTTTTGTGCAGCTCTATAAGTGTTTGCGTTTTAAGCAGTGTTATTACAAAAGAGTCAAAAAGTTAAAAAAATAAAAAAGTTCATAAAGTAAAAAAGTTCCAGCATGCTAAGGTTAATTTATTACTGAAGAAAGAAAAATATTTTAAAGTAATTTAGTGAAGCCAAAATGTGCAGTGTTTATAAAGTCTACAGTCATGCCCTAGGCCTTCACATTCACTCACCACTCACTCACTGACTCACTTAGAGCAGCTTCCAGTCCTGCAAGCTCCATTCATGATGCGTGCCATTTTTTATCCTGTGTACCATATTTTTACTGTATCATGTGTATGCTTAGATACGGTTTTGATATACAAGTACTTCCCTTTGTGTTACAATTGCCTACAGTATTCAGTACAGTAACATGTTGTGCAGGTTTGTAGCCTTGGAGTAATAGTCTACACCATACAGCCTAGGTGTGTAGTAGGCTGTACCATCTAGGTTTGTGTAAGTTCACTCTGACAGTTGTGAGATAGTAGGTGGGACTCAACTCTGGAGGTGGGGCTTAGACATTGGACCTAATTGAGAACTAGTTAAAACAGGGACGGAGTGGAAGCACCTTTCCATAAGACATGCCCATTCGTGTGCCATATTGGTTTACCATTGCCATGGCAACACCTGGAAGTTACCACCCCTTTTCTAGGGATTTCTGCATACGCTGTCTCTAAATTTGCACGTGATTGAAAGTGGATATAAATCTGACTGCAGACCTGCCCTGGATCTGACTGCAGACCTTAGCAAATGAAGTGGGATAACCCTGCTCTGCAGAAGCAGTCACAGAGCTGCAACACTGCCTCTTCAATAAAGCTGTTTTCTTCTACTGTATCACTGACTTGGCCTTGAATTCTTTCCTGGGCAAAGCCAAGAATCCTCCTGAGGCCCAAATTTGGAGCTCGCCTGCCCTGTGTCAGTTGCACAGTGGCAAAATTGCCTGATGATGCATTTCTTAGGCTGTATCCCCATTGTTAAGTGCACATGACTGTATAGAGACACAGAAAGAAATTCATTATGAGGGATCAGCTCACATGATTTTGGAGGCTGAGAGGTCCTATGATCTGCTCTCTGTGCTGGAGGCCCAAAAGCCAGTGGTGTGGTCCCAGTCCAAGCCTGTAGGACTGAGAACCAGAGAAGCCCCCAGTCTGAGTCTGAAAACCTTGAGAACCAGGAATGTTCGTGTCCAAGCACAGGAAAATATGGTGTCCCAGCTCAAAGAGAGGGAGAGCAAATTTGCATCAGATGAGGACCATCCACATTGGAGATGGTGGTCATCTTCACTCGGTCTGCTGATTCAAACGCTCAACTCTCCAAGAAGCATCCACAGACACACCCAGAAAGAAGGTTCCACCAGCTACGTGGACATCCCTTAGCTCAGGCAAGGTGACACATAAAATTAACCATCACAAAGAAAATGCTGGAGCTCAAGAGAACAAGATGATCCAAGCTTCTGCTTCTGCTGTGTCTGCTACTGCCTCACTGGTCTGCTTTGGGTTGACCCCAGAGTCAGGGGAGAGGAAGTTTGCTTGGCCCACTGAGAGCTGGGACAAGGATGTGGATGGATGGTTCCATTACAGGAGAGTGAGGGGCTGAGATAAATAATTTGGTCTCCCCAGCACATCTGTGCCAGCAACTCCCAAATATGTTTCTAGGCCAGGCTGTGACCTTCAGACTCACTCCACACCTCCCTTGACTTCTACACTTGACTCTCCTGAAGGCTACAGGGGATGATTACTCAGTGCATCTGGTCTTCCCTTGAAGACTCAGTTTCCCTGTTTGTCATGTGAGCAGGTTGATTAGATGAGCTACTAGTTCTGAGAGCAAGTGTGGGACTTAGGGTCCTGCATC
This sequence comes from Homo sapiens, assembly GCF_000001405.40. NCBI lineage: Eukaryota > Metazoa > Chordata > Mammalia > Primates > Hominidae > Homo > Homo sapiens. Next base: position 30,101,523 of record NC_000019.10, read on the forward strand.
GCCTGCGTCACTCTAGACTTTCTTTTGGCTTTATGCCCCCTTGGGATTTACCTGATGGTTGAGAACATGAACATTTAGCCAATGACCCATATGGGGAGATGGAAGAAGCTTCTGTTGACCCCTCCCAGGTCTGTGAGCCTGGCTCTCCACAAGTTCTCTGGTTCCTTGTGCAGAAGGTTAGCTGGGCCATGCTGAGTGAGTGGATGAGGTTGGTGTCCTAGTTCACTTGTGTTGCTATAAAGGAATACCTGAGACTGGGTAATTTATAAAGAAAAGAGGTTGATTTGGCTCATGGTTCTGCAGGCCATACAAGCATGGTGCCAGCATCTGCTTGGCTTCTGGTGAGACCTCAGGGAGCTTTTACTCATAGCAGAAGGCAAAGGGGGAGCTGGCATGTCACATGACGAGAGATGGAGCAAGAGAGAGAAGGCGGAGAGGGGCCATACTCTTTTAAACAATCAGATTGCGGATGAACACAGAGTGAGAACTCACTCATTACCCCAGGGTGGACAGCACCAAGCTATTCATGAAGGATCTCCCCGCATGACCCAAAAGCCTCCCACCAGGCCCCACCTCCAACATTGGGATCAAATTTCAACATGAGATTTGGAGGGGACAAACACCCAAACAGTATCAGATGACTTTGCCATTCAGGCTGTTCATGGAATGAGGGACCCTCACGATGGCCACGAATCTGTCTCCTAGCTCAGGCTCTGAGTTCAGAGAGACAGGACTGAACTTGGAGGCTCTAAGCTCAGAAAGTAGGATCTGTGGGGCCACACTTTGGGCAATGTCTGGCCCTGCAGTTCCACCGCTACCAAGGTGATCAATTCTTCTGCAGTCATTCTTGTAGAGGCAGGTGTGGCCTGGGGACATCGCGTCCCAGGCAGGCCGCCCTCTGTCCTGAAACAGGCTTCCCGGAGCCCTGCGCACCCCAAACAAAAGCTGCCTCTGACTCCTCAGCCTTTGTGCACATCTGCATTATTAGCAATGCTAATACCATTCTGCAATGATAAATAATTAAACAATTATGGTCATGAATCAATAAGTTTAGCACATTTTTTCATCAGCAAATTGCACTGTATAAACAAGAAATATAAATTACCAAGTCTAATTTCCCCCTAAAATTATAAGCATTTTATATCTAATAATTAAAAAAGTGTTAGAATTCAATTTTGGATAGTTAGAACTTTAAAGAATTTTCAGTTTCCACCAAACACCATTAAATTGTCATGTTTTATGTCTCTGAATCTGATTAACATTTTGAGATCTGGCCTCAGAAATCTTTCTTTGTTAGCTCCCAGAGACGCTCCACCCAGGCTCCAGCTTCTCACCATCCTCACAGACGGCGAATCCACTGGGCTCCGGCTTCCAAGGGTCTGGATCTGCGGGTTCCACTGGAGAGCGAGGATTTATAGGAATTTTTGATTGAAAGCACAGGTGACAAACCCAAGGCTTGTGGGCTCTGCACACCCTCCACAGTCTTTTGTGTGGCCTGTTGGCAGTTTGATTTTTACGTTTTTGGGGGATGTTGTTTGCTTTGTCTTTAAGTTTAGATGTCCGGGTTTTGTTGAGGAAAAAGAAACCCACACCAGATTTACAGTCCCCTAGATCCCCCATCTCATTCTGTGCAGCAGCTGCCCCGTCTCAATGGAGCATGTATGGTCCAGGTGGCTGCAGTCTCCACCACTCCCCACAGTGTCTTGCTGTGGCTGAGGCCACCAACAATTGTCTCAGAAGGCCACATGCTCTTTTTCTGACCTTGGCCCCGGTCTCTTTTGCAATCCCCGATTTAGTGGTTAGAATTTGATGACCCCCCGACCCCCCACTCAGTGGCTCACACCTGTAATCCCGGCACTTTGGGAAGCCAAGGCTGGTGGATCACCTGAGGTCAGGAGTTTGAGACCAGCCAGGCCAACATGGTGAAACCTCGTCTCTACTAAAAATACAAAAATTAGCCGGGCGTGGTGGCACACGTCTGTAATTCTAGCTACTCAGGAGTCTGAGGTGGGAGAATCACTTAAACCCAGGAGGCAGAGGTTGCAGTGAGCCCAGATTGCACCACTGCAGTCCAGCCTGGGAGAAAGAGCAAGACTTCGTCTCAAAAAAAGAAAAAAAAAAAAAAAGAAATTGATGCTCTAAGCATGTAAGATAAAGTTCACAAAGGCCCAGAATCCCAGCATGTTTTACAGGGGGGAACACTGAGTATAAGATGGGTAGTGGTTAGAGAGTCAAGGTCACCCCCAGGCCAGCTCCCTTCCAAATGCTGCCAACTGCTTGTTGCTGCCGTCCCACCCACCTCCAGCCCGAGTAGCCTCTCACCTTCCCTGGTGTTCCTGCTGCCTCTGGAGAACCAGACCTCTCCGCTCCAGCCCCTCTCCTTCCCTCCCTTCTCCCAGGCTCCCAGAGCAGTGTCCCAGCCTCCAAAATGCTCTCTTTCTTGGCTTGACCTGTCCGCTACCAAAAGATGAAACTCAACCAAGAGAACATCAAGGAACGCCAGCTTCCTACCTCCACTCTTCATGGCTAGCTGCATCGGTCCCAATCACGTGGTGGGGGCAAGTAATAGGATATTCCATCCATTAGTGGCTCATCCACGGCTCCTGCAATGCCTTCCACCCTCGTGAAGGGCGCCACCAGGTACCCAGGGGGCCAGCCGGGTGCTAGGGGTCATTCTGGCAGTTCCCTCCCTTTCCCTCACCTGACAACCCCCCACTCACCTGGCCCCCCTGCCTCCCCTTCCTCAGTCCTGTAGATTCCAGCTCTCTCCCACCCTGTATCCCCTCCACACACCCTCTCCACAGCCCCAGCTGCACTGCTTTTTCCAGCCTCTTAACTTCTTTGAAAAAACATTTTCAGCACAGCTGAAGAAGGGAGGTTCTAAATTGAGAATCTGATGAGGTACCCCTGGCCCCAGTTTAAAATAGTCAATGATCCCGCTTCCTCAGGACCAAGTCCATTCTCCTTACTGCTTTACAGTGTAGGTGTGCTGGAGGCAGTGCTGAGAAGTCCACACAAGGTAGTTCATGAATAGGGAGAATGAGCCTCAGGATAAGGCATCCGTGTGTCGGAAGTGAAGGCTGGAGGCCATGCAGGGTGGTGGCCTTTTTGCTGGGCTCTCTCGGCCTTTGTTCTGGTGAATCCCTCTCACCTTCTGTTTCTCCCAGGTCCACCTCATCCTTCCTGACCAAGTTCTTCACCTCTCCTGAGGAGCCTTCCCTCCCTACCCCAGGGCCTGTAAGTGATTCCCTCCATCCCCTCTGTGTCCATGCAGCTCTGTGTGGTGGGGATGGACCCTGGTGACATCCTGGTCCCCACAGAGCTCTGTGTGGTGGGGACATATCCTGGTGACACCAGGACCCGTCCCCACAGAGCTCTACATGGTGGGGACGGGTCCTCATGACACCCCTGTGTCCATGGAGCTCTGTGTGGTGGGGATGGGCCCTGGTGACATCGTGGTCCCCACAGAAGCTCTGTGTGGTGGGGATGGGCCCTGCGGACACCCCTGTATCCATGGAGCTCTGTGTGGTGGGGACGGGTCCTGGTGACACTCCTGTGTCCATGGAGCTCTGTGTGGTGGGGACGGGTCCTGGTGACACTCCTGTGTCCATGGAGCTCTGTGTGTTGGGGACGGGACCTAGTGACACTCCTGTGTCCATGGAACTCTGTGTGGTGGGGACAGGTCCTGGTGACACCGCTGTGTTCATTGAGCTCTGTATGGTGGGGACGGGTCCTGGTGACACCCCTGTGTTCATGGAGCTCTGTATGGTGGGGATGGGTCCTCGTGACACTCCTGCGTCCATGGAGCTCTGTGTTGTGGCCATGGCCATGGGTTCTGGTCACTCTGTGGTACTGGGAGACTCAGCAGCCACTGTGCCTTTTGGACTCTGGATCTCCAGTCCTGTGGGACAGCAAGCCCAATGCCCAGGTGAACAGACCCCAGGCCCCGGAAGCAGTACACTCACCCACGGAAGCATGTGGAGTGCAGACGGGGGCAGAACTCTCACTCCCACCATGCCCGGTGGACTGGGATGCACAGACATGGTCCCTGGTAGGCCCCAGCCCTCCCTCCCCTCAGGGCTGACCTGTCCGCCATGTGCCTGGCCACACCTTTCTTGAACCTGGGGATATTTTCAGCTCTGCCACTGCCCTGGGTGATGCACAGTTCCTCGTTTTTCCAGGTCCTCCTCGAAACTCTGACTCTGGAGTAAGGTTTGGTGGACAGAGCTCTGTTGCCTCCTCAGGCCCATTGTGAGTTAGGATCTGTTTTCTTGCCTGCCATCTTCCAGAGTTGGGCTGGGCACACAATGCGGGCTCAGAAGGGATCCTGTGCTTGAAACATGAAGGGCATCACGCAGGATGACTGAGACTGAAACTAACGAGGTGACTGACAAGTACACAGATGTGTTAATATTTCACCATGGCCAGAGTCCAGCCAGAGGGCCGGTGCTGAGATGCACTGTTCCTGGGGCCCTTCCAGGGCCGGTCTGGGTCTCTGTGGAATGTGCGGGCTCAGGAATCATTGTTCCTGGGGCTGTTGTCACAGTGTGTCAATGATATTCATTGAAGAACATCTCTTTGAATGAGCTAAGAATGCTTAAAGAGAACAGTAGCCGGCCGGGCGTGGTGGCTCACGTCTGTAATCCCAACACTTTGGGAGGCTGAGGTGGGCAGATCACATGAGGTTGAGAGTTTGAGACCAGCCTGACCAACGTGAAGAAACCCCGCCTCTACTAAAAATACAACATTAGCTGGGTGTGGTGTGGTGCTTGCCTGTAATCCCAGCTACTCGGGAGGCTGAGGCAGGAGAATCACTTGAACCCAGGACACGGAGGTTGTAGTGAGCCAAGGTTGCGCCACTACACTCCAGTCTGGGCAACAAGAGCGAAACTCTGTCTCAAAAAAAAAAAAAAAAAAAAAAAAGAGGACAGTAGCCATCGGTTAAAGACATGCACCTCTTGGTTGAAACAGACTGATCAGTCCCAGAAAATCCCTGCTAAGCAGTCAGCTGCCGAAAGCACCTGCCTGGGGCCTGGACCCTCGCCAAATGTCAACATGATGTTGGGGACCAACAGGAACACTGGAAGCACAGTGTTGAGGAGACTGGACATGGAGATTGCCTCAAGCTGGGTTTCTCTTGGAATGCAGAGCCTGAGGTCAGGCCTGAGGGCGTATAGCTTACTGGGGACATCATCCCAGTTGATGGGGGCCGAGGGAGGTGGGCAGAATTGTCTAAGGAGTCATATAAAATGCAGCTCTCAAGTGTCCATCTGGAGAAACAAAGTGGGGACTCATTTACCCATTGGTGCCGTCCCCCTAGGTCGAGGTGACCCCCGAGGGCATGGATTCCTCTCCATACTCAGGTTGCCCACATGTGCTCTGCAAGAGATCTGGGCATGGGCTGGGTGAGTGGGTGAGAGGGTCTCTCACTGCCCCTGGCCCACGAGGGGTATCCACTGCAGGGGGATGCGGGGTGATAGTCCATGGAGGGTGAGAAGCAGTGCTGCTTCTGCCTGCTCAGGGGCTCAGGTGATTTTGGAGGAGACGAGACATTCCAGGCAGAGAGGTCATGCCCACACGTCGTGGCTGTGTCAGCGTCTCTGAGATCAGCCCCATTCCAAGGTCCCAGGTGGACGCGGACACCTGGGAGCTGGGGCAGCCTTTGAAGATGTGCAGCGTGGAGGGCGCAGCCAGGGGCTGAGTGGCCTCCGCTCAGTGTCGCCCCTGCAGCAGGGCTGGCCTTTTCACCTTGCTGCCGTCCCTGCCTCCATTTGCCTCCATTCGTGGGTGGAAGTTATCAGGGCCATGGGTGCCAACGCCAGGATGCTGGGGCTTCCAGATTTTGTTTCACTCGGTGGCTCTTAGCAACATGTTTCTTGCATTCTGCTCATTCTGTTTCACATTTCACACTTCCCCAGGCTGAGCGAGCCATCCATCTAGTGCAAACGCTTCTGACAGGGCTGGGGTGGAGGACGCCCTGCTGGCCCCAGCAAGGGGAAGGAAGGGGGCTTGCTGGGTGGGTGTGGGTGGCGCATGCTGGTCAGGACAGCCTGGGGTCGATGTCCCTGCACCCCCGCCCCCCGCCTCCTTCCCTGTCTTGCAGAGCCCTCTTGGAGCTGGCGATTGCTCTGAACAGACCTTCCTCCTCTTTTCATTCCAGTCTCTCTGATCACCTGGGGAGATACAGACCTTGCACCTTCTCCCTCACAGCCCAGACACCACCGGAATCACCTCACACACCACCTGAATCACCAAACATCTCCAAACAGCCCTCAGACTTTTACTCTGCAGGGGCAATTTTTTTAAAAAAAATTTCTCTTCAACCTTCTCAAAGCCTCTAGTCAGCCACTTAGAGAAGAACTCTCCAAATTTCCTATCTCTCCCTCTATATTTATATTGATTTACATTTAAAATTATTTTTGCACAGGGTTTTCCTTGATTTTCTTTCTTTGGCAATTACAGATTAATCTGAACCCCTAGATTTTTGAGTATGTATCTATGTCTCTATTTATCTATCTATATTTTATTTTAAATCTGTAATAATATTCAGAATTAGCTCACAAAACTGGATTACACAAAGCCAGCAGGTTTAAAAATATTTCAAAGATGTTGCTTTTATGCTTCAAATCCTTGAAAAGCCAAATACATTCACTTCTGAAACTAAGTCTTGGGTTTTGCTGAAAAAAAAAATAAGAAAAGTGTTTAATAGCACATATGGCATAATTTTATTTGACATCTGTTTTGTAACAAACAATATTTAGCTCACTTATTTGCTGAATGATACAGTACACAGTGCAAACAAAAAGTCCAATGAACAGTTTTTCCAGAGTTTGTAATATATCAATATTTATTGCAAAAGAATGCAAAACTTAAACATTTAAGTGTGTTATTGATTGTAATATGCAAAACATTGATTACTGTATGTTGCCACTGCAAAAAAAAAAGTGTACTAAATGCCTTCTGGGGTATGAAAATGAGGTGCATTTCAGCAAGAGGAGCTCACTTGCTCCCTTTGGTGACATTTAGTCTTAGGCCTGCCCCCCTTCCCCCGTTTGTGTCATCCTATTGAAGACAGCTGTCAATATATTTAGGATGCTTTAGCTCATAGCAGCAAAAATGGTGAGACTATTGGCTTAATTGTGAGGAGTGATTGATTTTAATGGAAACAACATTTAAAAACTCAGAATGCACTTTCTGTTGGCAGTGCTAATAGAATCCTCTAATGAATTGAAGCTTCACACATAAATGCATGGTACTTACTGCAACAATTAGCAAAGGACAACAATGGTTGATGCATTAAATTTTTTTAACTCAAAAGTTGAAATAAATTATTTGTTTACATAATGGGACCACGGGAACCAAGGCAGAAGCAGAACTGGCTATCACCTGATACACAAAGCACACACCAACAAAACTGTGGTCAAGTGAAGCCACGAGCAGGACCCTGGTGTTGTTTTCTGTCCTTGCCATTATTATCGGAAAAATAATATCAGAAACAATATTTAAACAGATCCTCCTTCAGGTTGTTGGGCAGAGGGAAATGGCGAGGACTCCCTGTCCTGTTGAGGTTCTGTGTGGTGGGCGCATTTTTCCTTGGGTTGACATCAGTACAATGACAAATGCAGCCAGGAGGGGTGAGCTCAACTGGAGGGTCCTGAGGGATTGCCTGGAGCACACTCAGAAGCCCCCAAAACAAGGCTTGGAAACTGCCCCCCAACCCCAGAACAGGAAAGTTACAGATTTAATTAGATTTTTCAAAAGAATCATAATCATGAAAGTAAAATAAACAGCAGACATTTACTAAGCATCTCATGTTCCAAACCCCACGTAAGAGATTTCATGCCTCTCCTCAGGCATCCCTGACCTTGACCCCTGAAAAGCAACCTGCAGGTTCAGAGGGCACTTATTTGGACCTGCACTGGGGCTCTAAGCGCTTGGAGGAAGCCATGACTTGTGTCTTCCATTTTGCAATAGTTCTCATTAGCGCTTGGTGCCCACTGTGTGCCTGGATCCCCACCGGGTCGGGGGTGGAGTGAGGGCAGAGATGGAGAGACCAAGCTCCTGCCCTCTAGTGTGCTGAAGACGAGGGCTTCCAGGAACCCAAATTTGTGTATGGGGCAGTATAGGCTCAGAAAACAGCTTTGAGAGGTTCAGAAGGGAAGAGGAGGATGACCTTGAGCGTGTGATGGTTCTCAGGGCCCAACAACTTCCCCTTTATAGGGGCATCCTCTCAGAGCTGAGAGACCAGAACTGCAGACAGCCTGGGCATCCCCTGGTTCTTAAGCTCCCCCTATAATTTCCCCACCAGTCCCCTCGGCCTCTGGCTGAACTGATGGATTCTCAGTCTAACTGGCTGCCTCTACCCGGGGTGGCCTTCATCACCCTTACTCTTAACTTCTCCAAACCTCAGTCCTCACGTTTTTCAAAGGAAGGTTAAAGGAGGGCCCGGTGTGGAGGTTCACGCCTGTAATCCCAGAGCTTTGGGAGGTCAAGGTGGGAGGGTCATTTGAGCCCAGAAGTTCAAGACCAGCCTGAGTAACATAACTAGACCCCATCTCTACAGAACATAAAACAATTAGCCGGGCCTGATGGTGCATGCCTGTAGTCTCAGCTACTTGGGAGGTTGAGGTCGAAGCATCACTTGAGCCCAGGAGTTTGAGGCTGCAGTGAGCTGTGATTGTGCCACTACACTCCAGCTTGGGGGACAGAGCCAGATCCCGTCTTTAAAAATTAAAAAAGGAAGGTTAGAGGATAAAGGAGATAATATGTGGAAAGGACTAGACAGTACCTAGCACAGAGTAAGCGCTCAGAAAATACCAGTTTTTGTTTGTATGCTTCTTATTCATTGTTAGTGCTCTAGGCTTCTGTGAGAACTTGACTACTGCATAATCTCTCTGAGACTCAACTTCCTTACTGTAAAATCGAGAAAGCACTGCATTTTATTCTTCAGAGGGCTACTGGGGTTATTAGACCGAGATGATTCGTGGAGAGTGGCCTGCCCTGTGCCCGATACAGAACAAACACTCAGATGTTAGGTGACAGTAACAAGAATAATGTCAATATCTTCAGAAACAAAGAACTAACCCTGGCTGTGAAAGGGTTTGTGCTTTGGGGTCTGTCCTTGCAGAGACGGTAGATGGGAGACCCAAGGAGACACTAGCATCCTCTTTTGCAGAAGGTTCTAGCAGATGTTGTGGTTGCAACAATTGGCATCAGTGACTTGGAGCTGAAACCTGGCTTGTGGGGTGCTAGGGGAGATCTAGGGGCAGCCTAACTCACCTACCCGCTTCCTCCTCCGTCCTCCGCAGCAGTGAGAAACGATCCGGGAAACAGAAAGCAGAGGCGAACAATATATGTCACGAGGAAATAAGAACACTGCACCACTAGAATAAATAATAATATTTTTTCCCTGGCTTTAATGAAACTCTATAGATATAAAAAGCTGGAGAAAGGGATTTTTTTTTTACAGACCTTAATTATAGCAGGGTTGTTAGTAAATTTACTGAATTGCAAATGTAAAATATTCTGATGGCCTGAGTAAAACCACATATTTAAGCCTTCTAAATGAACATTTCTGTTTTTTGAGTAATTTGTACCATCTGTGTCAAAATTCTGAGTCTAAAAAAAAAGCAGTGGAACAAATGTTGGTTCCATAAAACAGTCCTAGTTCATTGTTGAAATTGTCACACATTAACATTGCAGGCCATCTGGGAAGACAAAAGCCTCTAACCAGATTGCGGAGATGATTTTATTGGTCTGGTATTAATCAGGATATGGCATAATATTTAAGCAGAAAGGAGAGATGAGGTGAAGTGGGGCCCTTCATCCACCCCAACTGCGCGCGAGTTGTACCAGAGCCCCCTCCACTAGGGCGTGGGGCATTTTAAAGCCGGTTTCATCATCAGAAAATGTAAATAAAAGCCAAGGTAATATTTCCGGTTTGAACAGAGGCACACAAAACACAGAAACTTCATGGGTTAGGCGGCTGGCTCGGGGGAGGGAGAGCTCTTGTTCAGCGGGGTCTACCCAGAACCACGCCGAAATGAGGTGGAGTGGAGCTTCCCTTTATCACCGCGCATCTGACCCTGAGCGTGAGAGTCCTCATGCCCAGGACGGTCCCCTGCTGCTCACCGTCCCCGCGGGTGCACAGTGTCGAGGCCAGCCTGGCCTGCGGCAAGACTCACCACAGCCAGGGTTCAGCCCTGACAGCTCCAACCCCTGCACCTTGGGTCCCCTTCCTCTTTTGCACTGAGGCTGAGGGCCCTGGGCCACAGCAGATCCCAGCCTTGGTCCCGCTGGATCCTGGCAAGTGCCCAGGTGCAGCTCCCATCAGCTCAGGGGTTGGTGGCTTGGTGGAGGCAACTCTTGAGGCAGGTCACTTTAGGATTCACCTCTGAGTGACAGGGGGGTTAGAGGTCACAGTTTAGATTATGTGCGTCTTCCTCCGGCCACTCCACTTGGGCACACGCCCCTGGGTGAGTGGGCTGGTAGTCAAGGATCTGACATTCGCCCGATGGGTCCCACTTTCTATGTACCTCTCAGATCTCCGCGCGGATCATCTCACAGCGCAGAGAGATGCCTGGGCTTAAGGACGTATTTTTCATACAACTTGCCCCTAAATGCAAGCCATCAATTTCATCAAGTGCTTAATGGAAGGAACATGGTCTGCCCCAAATGCTGGCTTGTGTTGAACCCACTGAGGGGAGGGAGGTCGGCGTCCTGGGTGATGGCTTCCTGAGAGACTTTCAAGGGAACTTCTGACTTTGTGCTAACTTGTACACACTGTACCCTCCTGTGCTGTGTGGCCCTGTGTGATTGGGGACTCAGGCGGAGGTGTCCAGGGTGCTGCTGGGAGTGCGTCTCCTGGGTCCGCTGCGGGGTGGAGAGCTGCAGCGGCCAGGTCTGCCCTGCCAGCCTTAGGCCTTCCTGCCAGGAGAAGATGCCACCCCTTCTGGGCAGCTTTCAAGGCTGGGGGAACGCGGTGCTCCCTGTGGAACTGCCTTCATACTTGGTTCTTTATCTTTGTCCATCTGGAGGTTATGCACAAATAAATGCCTTATGCAGACTGATGGCCTTCACCTTTGCTCCAAATGCTGGCATATGTAGAGTCTCTTCTCAGCATCTCCTGCATGCTGAGCCCTGTTGCAGAGGGAAGGGAGAGCCCTGGCCACAGGGCGTTGAGTCCAGTTTTCAGGAAAAACTTACCGGAAACAGTGAAGGACGTCACAATGGGAAATGCAAGTTGCTGGGTCCCCAGAGCTCAGATAATGAGCATGAGAACTGTGGGATGCATTAAGAGGGACCTCCTAAAAATAAGAACCTGAAGGCCGGGCACGGCAGCTCACGCCTGTCATTCCAGCACTTTGGGAGGCCGAAGGCAGGCAGATTGCTTGAGCTCAGGAGTTTGAGACGAGCCTAGGCAACATAGTGAAACCCCAACTCTACAAAAAATAGAAAAAAATTATCCAGGCATGGTGGCATGCACCTGTGGTCCCATCTACTTGGGAGGCTGAGGCAGGAGGATTGTTTGAGCCCAGGAGGTTGAGGCTGCAGTGAGCCAAGATGGCACCTCTGCACTCCAGTCTGGGTGACAAAGTGAGATCCTGTCAAAAAAAAAAAAAAAAAAAGAAAAGAAAAGAAAAGGAAACATGAGACCTTGTCTCTAATAAATAAATAAATAAGGCTCTATCTCTGAAAAAAAAAGAAAGAAATCAACAGCCCATCTCTTAAAACAGCAGCAACAAAATGGACACAGATCACACTTCTCTGCTATATAAAACCCTTTAGTGGCTCCCACTTGCCCCGGAAAGAGAGGCCAGAGTCCCTGAGAGGCCCTTGCCCCCTGGGCTTCCATGGGAGGGGCCTTCCCTGCTCCTCCACACCGCAGGGCCATTGCCCCTGCTGTGCTGTCTGCCTGGAAGCCCCTTGATCACCAGCCGGGTCAGCCCGGCCAATCTCTTTTCTTCTTTCAATACCAACACAGGCAGAGCTTCTTTAAGGATTTGTTCCTCTGGTCTCATAGCACCTTCCACTCCTCCCTTGCTGCTCGTAACACTGTTTTAATTAAGTGGTTTATGATGTAATTATTGTTTGTGCCTTCATGTCTGAACACAAGGAGATCAACTATTTTCCCAATGAAAAGATGAGAACTTTTTTGGTGGGGGTCTTGTTTGTATATAGAAACTCATAAGGACGAAGTCAAAATAGTCCAATGCTTCTTTATAATAGTTATTAACTATGTTGCAATGCATACTTGAAATCACTTTTTTTGAGCTAGGGCTTTATTCTGTCACCCAGGCTGGAGTGCAGTGGTGCAATGGTAGCTGACTGCAGCCTCGACCTCCTGGGCTCAAGTGAACCTCCTGCCTTGGCCTCCCAAAGTCCTGGGATTACAGGCATGAGCCACTGTGCCCTGCCCCGAAATCAATTTTTTTTTAAAAAAATTTTCTTTCCATAGGTTATTGGGGAACAGGTGGTGTTTGGTTACATGAGTAAGTTGTTTAGTGGTGATTTGTGAGATTTTGGTGCACCCATGTCCGGAGCAGTGTACACTGCACACAATTTGTAGTCTTTTATCCCTCACCCCCTTCCCATCCTTTTCCCCTGAGTCCCTGAAGTCCATTGTGTCATTCTTATGCCTTTGCATCCTCATAGCTTAGTTTCCACTTACGAGTGAGAACATAGGATGTTTGGTTTTCTGTTCCTGAGGTACTTCACTTAGAGTAATAGTCTCCAATCTCATCCAGGTCGCTGTGAATGCCATTAATTCATTCCTTTTTATGGCTGTGTAGTATTCCATCATATATGTATACTACAGTTTCTTTATCTACTCATTGATTGATGGGCATTTGGGCTGGTTCCACATTTTTGCAATTGCGAATTGCGCTGCTATAAACATGTGCGTGCAAGTATCTTTTTTGTATAATGACTTCTTTTCCTCTGAGTAGATACCCAGTGGTAAGATTGCTGGATCAAATATCCAGTATCTACAACGAACTCAAACAAATTAGCAAGAAAAAACAAATGATTCAATCAAAAAGTGGGCTAAGGACATGAACAGAGAATTCTCAAAAGAAGATATACAAATGGCCAGCAAAACATATGAAAAAATGCTCAACATTACTAATGATCAGGGAAATGCAGATCAAGACCACAATGCAATACCACCTTACTCCTGCAAGAATGGCCATAGTCTAAAAATAAAAAAAAAAATAGATCTCAGCATCGATGTGGTGATCAGGGAACGCTTCTGCAGTGCTGGTGGGAATGTCAACTAGTACAATCACTATGGAAAACAGTGTGGAGATTCCTTAAAGAACTAAAAGTAGAACTACCATTTGAAATCACTTTTTATGCAAGGAAGTACACTCACTGGGAATGCTTTTTTATTCTCCCATGCCAGGAATAAATTGCACTAAAATTTTCACACAGTGCCCCCTCCACTTTCACTGCCTTGGCTCTCGGGGGAGCTGTTTTCTCAGGCTCCTGCCTTCAGTGGTATGGATTCATTTGAATCCCTAAAGATGCTTTGGCTCATGCCTGTAATTCCAGCACTTTGGGAGGCTGAGGCGGGCAAATCGCCTGAGGCCGGGAGTTCAAGATCAGCCTGGCCAACATGCTGAAACCCTGTCTCTACTAAAAATACAAAAATTAGCTGGGCGTGGTGGTGTGCAACTGTAATCCCGGCTACTTGGGAGGCTGAGGCAGGAGAATCACTTGAACCCAGGAGGCAGTGGTTGCAGTGAGCTGAGATCGCGCCACTGCACTCCAGCCTCCAGAAATGCATCCAAAGCTGTGAGCTCCATTTGGGATCCATATTCTCCATAAAATAACCACTTGACTTATTTTCCTATGTGACCCTTAAAAGACTGCTTTCCTGTGACACCTCGCAGCTGCAGTTTTGAGACCACACCCCCTCCCCAGGAATAGGTATTTTTGTTCTGTTTATTTTCTTTCCCCGTTTTTTTTTTTTTAACCTATTCCATCAGGTGACCTCTATAAGCATCCAACATTAGCACTGACGGCGGGGCTTGTAGGATGAATAGGTCTCTTCCTTTAAGTTCAGGCTGAACGGAATTGGGAGCAGAGCCCTGCGGTAGGACAGAGACTTCGCAAAGCCCGGAGCACACAGCAGCACCCCGTCTTCTAAAGGACAATTTTGGGAAAACTCTTGCCTAATATTCTGGCACTAAGGATCATTCTGTCACATCCCCGCTCTGGACTACAAGCCTGCAAGCCCCATCCGGGGCAGGGCTCCTCATTCCTGTGCACCGTGGAAGCCCTGTGCCTGCCCAGGGCCTGGCACTTGTACGTACTTGAAAACCTCGTGTGGAGTAAAGAGAGGGGTGATGTGCAAAGGCCTTGAAGTGGGGAAGGGTAGTTGAGGTGGCTCTGGACTCAGCATGGTGACAAACGGAGTGGGGAGGGGATGGTCCTTCATGAAGCAGAGTGAGGAGGCACTGTCACACATGCATACACACACACACAGAGACATCCACACAGATACACACAGACACAGACAGACACACAGACACAGACACAGACACACAGACATATAGACACATAGACACACAGACACACACGGACACATATATAGACACACAGACATGTACAGACACACATACAGACACACAGACACACACATATAGACAGACACACACAGACACAGACACATACACAGACACACCGACACACACAGACATATAGACACAGAGACACACACAGACACACACACACAGACATGCACAGACACACATATAGACACACAGACACACACATATAGACACACAGACACACACACAGACACATACAGACATTCACAGACACACAGACACACACACAGACACACAGACACACGCAGACACACACAGACACAGGCACACACAGGCACAGACACACAGGCACACAGACACACAGACACACAGACACACACACAGACACACACAGACACACAGGCACACACACGCACAGACACACAGACACACACACAGACACACATATAGACACACACACAGACACACAGACACACACACAGAGACACAGACACACAGATACAAACAGACACACACCCCCACACACACAGACACAGACACACACACAAACACACATATAGACACACAGACACACAGGCACACACACAAACACAGACACATAGACACACACACAGACACACACAGACACAGACACACAGATACAAACAGACACACACACACAGACACAGACACACACACACAGACACAGACTCACAGATACAAACAGACACACACCCACACATACAGACACAGACACACACACAGACACACACATGGATACACATAGACACACAAAGATACAGACATGCACAGAGACAGACACACATACACACACACACACAGACACACACACACACACACACAGACACACACACACACAGACAGACAGACAGACACACACACATGAGAGCTCCAGAGGAAAAGTGATCCCAGGCCAAACAGAAGCCTCTGGAAGCTGGAGCAGGGGTTCTGGGATTGTACCCCTGCCTGTGGCCACAGCCCTTGCTGGGCTTGCCCAGTGATAAGCGCGGACCAGGAGCTCTTCTGAGAAGCCCCTCCTGGCGAGACGTTGTTGTGAGCCTGCTAATGTCTTCCACTTAAGCAGCAGCCACCGAGGTGTGCCGCTTCCTGGTGCCTAATGGCCCGGGGTGTCGCCGAGCACTATTAATCCCGCTGGCCATTAATTCCGGGAAATGCTCAGGGTCATTACAGGCTGTGTGGCTTCCAATGAGAAGTAACTCTGCAAGGTGAGCGCCCAGGCCACCGGCCCCAGGAATGGCCTCCTGCAGGGAGGCCTGGTAACCAGGGCAGGAGGGGGTGCCTGGCCTTTGCACGTGTGTGTGTGTATGTGTGTGTGTGGCGGGGGGAAGGGGGTAGCAGGCATGCACCCAACATCAGGGGACCACATCAAAATGGGGAGACAGAGATGTGCAGCAAGGGCTGTTCTCTGCAAGGACCCAGAGAGTCATCCCCTAAGTGCTGCCTTGAAGCAGCACGTGGCTTGGATGTGGGGGTGCTGGGGCAAAACCGGAAGGAAGGATTTTTGCTGCTGCGAGTGGAGGGCCGGGGACAGGGAGAAATATTGGAGAAGGGTTCTAGGTAGCCTTGGTGTGATCTTCAAAGTGTTAGGTAGAGAGTGCTCAGTTTCCCACTCTGGTGAAAGACAAGGAGGCACAGAAGGGCTGCAGCAGTGCCAGGCAGAGCCGCAGGCTCGGGCTATGGGTCAGGACAGGCAGCAGTTCCGCCAACAGCGGAGGGTCTTGTGCTTTTGCAGGGCAGCCACTGCGTCTCACTCTGTTCCTGCTGTCCCGCTGGCCCAGCCACTGGCTCTCAACCTGGATGGCCTCTGCTGTCCCGTGACCTCTGCTGCCCCATGGCCTCTGCTGTTCCATGGCTTCTGCTCTTTCATGGCCTCTGCTGCCCCATGGCCTCTGCTGTCCCGTGGCCTCTGCCATCCCGTGGCCACCACTGTCCTGTGGCCTCTGCTGCCCCGTGGCCTCTGCTGTCCCGTGGCCTCTGCTGTTCCGTGGCCTCTGCTGTTCTGTGGCCTCTGCTGCCCTGGGGCCTCCACTGTTTGGTGGCCTCTGCTGGCCTGAGGATTCTGCTACCTGGTGGCCTCTCCTTATTGTGTTTTCTCTTTATAATATGAGATCTGGAATCAGGCCTCCCGGTTTCAAGCCTTGGCGCTCCTGTTTCCTAGCTGGGTGGCCCCGGGCAACCGACTGACCTCCTCTGAGCTTCAGTTACATTACCCATAAAATGAGAAAAACAACAGAGCGTTATGAGGATTAAAGATGACAACAAGTAGATCATTTGGGACCAGCCTCGAACACAGCAAAAGCTCTGTAAATGCTTCCTCCTCCTCCTCCTCCTCCTCCTCCACTTTTCCTCTCTTCTGATTTTATTGTTTCTGTTATTCTCTCTGTGTGTCTTCTGGCCTCGATCCCTGACTGTGAGGCTCATGGGTGTCCTGTCACTGCCTCCGCAGAGGGGCTGGGCTGGGCCATTATGCACTTTCCAGAAATGAACGTCCCTGTTGACCAGAGTGGCCTGTCCTCGGGCCATCGCTGGCCACTTGCGGCAAGTTCTCTTTGGAAGAAAAGCCAACCTCCAGTTTGGTGAAAGTGTCAGCGTTTTGGGGTGCAGAGCATGTGACCCTAATGTAAGCCAGCACCCCTGGTCCCTGCCTTGGGAGCACTGTGGTCCTGGCGCAAACCAGAGCACAAGTCCAGTTCTGTCCCCTCCAGGGTCCCTCCCTATTCACTGCCTCAGTGACCACCACATGGGCAGAGCTTGCAGTTTAGCCAGCACTGTCCCAGTTCACCTCAAGTCTGAGAGGTCGGCCTGGCCAAAATTCAAATCCCCACTTTCCTGATGCAGAACGGACTGCCAGAGCTGGATTTTCAACACAGGGCCGCCAAGACTGGGGCCAGCTCCCGTCCCACTGTGCCACACCGTGTTTGTGCGTTTGTGACCCCGTGAAAGGCAGAACCGGCTGCTGTCGTGTGGGTGGATGGAGATTTGGGACAAGGACACAGACACAGTCGGCAGAGAGTTTGACCCCAGATGGAGGAATCGGGTTTGGCTAAATTTCTCTGGAATCCTTCAATGAGTCTGGCTTGCTGCTATCTTTAATTTCGAAGACCCTGCTGAGGGCTGGCCCCACCAGGACGTGGTGCTCGGGGACAGCAGCCCCCAGGGTCCTGAGGCAGCTTTTCCTCTACCTGGACCCCGTTTCTTTCTGGGCTCAGTGGTGCATCTCAGCCAGGACTCTGCTCAGGCTGACTTTCCCGAAGCCCAGAGAGCAGGGAGCGGTGGCCCCCACCATGAGTGGGCTGGCAGTGGGTGTCACATGGGGGCGGAAGAGAGGGAAGTCTGGGAAATAATGCCCAGCCCCACCCACTGAAGGACCGGGATGCAGAGAAATGTCACTGCTGCTACACAAAAGTGCGGCATTATCAGCCCCTTGCAAAGGCAAGTGGATTAAAATGCCATTAACACAGCAAATTAAGCTTACAGTGAAGTAAACAGGAATTAAATCAATAACCAGCACAGGGGACAGCTGAATTTTTCCAAATGGTCCCCCGGGGATTGGGGCTAGTGGGTGCATAGGGTAGGGGGCAGGGTCTGGCTGGAGAGGGGAGGGGGTAAGTGACATGCTTAGAGATTGAAGGTCCGGGCACTGGCAATGGGTACTTGGAGGGTTCAGGCTGAGACCTGTCCCTCCAGTGGGGAGCAGCTTCGCTTCCTGTTTCCACCCAGGTGGCTCCCCCTGTTTCACCAGCTGTCCATACTTCTGAAAGTGATGCCAGATAGATGTCACCTGCTTGGCATCCCCCCACTCTTCCTTTGTCAATCGCACCTAGATTCTTCTTCGGGGACACTCCATGCCCCCAAAATCTCTTAGTCTGTCCTGTTCAGTTAGACCCACTCTTTGGCCGCAGGCTGTCCCTTGCCCAGGCTTATAGCACAAGAGAATTGTGTCCCTATGGTCACAGCATTTGATTTGGGGATGTTCAGCCAATCCACATCTGTGCCAAGAGGCAACCCAAGGACTTTGACTGGAGCCTTCTAAAATGTCCTGAGGGGCTGCTAAGCTGATGGGATCTGGCATTCTATTGCACCAGGAGAGCTTGGGCTGGGAGTGGGCTGAGAGGTAAGGAGGTAGAGGCTGGATTTGAGTGCCTGGATCCAGCTGTGCCTGAAGCTATGCTGGATTTTCCCCTGCATTCTATTTTTTTTTTTTTTTTTTGAGATAAGGTCTTGCTCTTTTACCCAGGCTAGAGTGCAGTGGTGCAATCACAGCTCACTGTAGCCTCAAACTCCCTGGCCCAAGCAATTCTCCCACCTCAGCTTCCCAAAGTGCTGGGATTACAGGAGTGAGCCACCGTGCCCGATCTCTCCCTGCATTCTTCAGGAATCTGAACCTCTCTGTCTCCCATACTTTTATTCTTAAGCTAGTTTAAATCAGAATGTGGTCATTTGCAACTGAAAGAGTCTAGCTTGAAAAATAATTTTATTTCTTTTTTTTTAAAAAGAAAATTAATTTATCAAACATCTCTTAGGGACCATTGAGCATGGTGGTGTCCCTTGGTCTCCCTTGCCTGTCTTTTGCAGTCTGGATGCTGTTTCCTCATCTACCCTATGGGGTTATTGTGTTATGCCCTACCAGCCTGTGTGGCTGTCCCTCCTCAGGCCACCCATACATGCATCCATCTATCCATTGACCCATCCACCAATTCATCCATCCATCCACCCATCCATCCATCTACCCACCCACCTATCCATCATCCACTCATCCATCCATCCATTTATCTATCATCCATCCATCTATCCATCAGTTCATCCATCCAGCCACCCATTCATCCATCTACCCATCCATCTACCTGCACTCCCGCCCTCCTCAGGTGTACATACCCATCCATCCATCCATCCATCATCCATCCACCTACCCATCCATCCATCATCTACCCATCCATCTATTAATCCATCCATCCATCATTCATCCATCCTTTAATCCATCCATTCATTTATCCATCTACCTATTCCTCCACCCACCCATCCACCCATCCATTCATCCATCCACCCATTCATCTATACATCCATCCATCCACTCATCCATCCATCCACTCATCCATCCATCCATCCACTCATCCATCCATCCCCCATCAATCCATTCATCCATCCATCTATCCATCCCCCATCCATTTCTCCATCCATTCATTCATCCGTCCACCTAATGGAGCCCTCCTCTGGGGCAGGTGGGCTCTATGCTGGGCTATCTCAGCCCACTACCTTTCAAGCCTCTGATTTAATACATCTTAGGCAAAAGAAGAATCTTTAATGGGGGACACACGGATGGGTTCTTATTCCTTTTCCTTTCAGGTCTCTTATTCACCTGCCTTACCGCAGAGCTCCTGGAGAAGGGGTAAGACCCAGGACTGAGAACGGGATGACTTTTTCTCCTGGCAGCTCCTACCGAGATCCAAGCCACCTCCATCTGGAAGCCTTTCATGACTGTCCTCACATCTGGGAAGGCACCTGCCCTCTCTGTGCGTCTGGGGCCCCAGGGTCTTCCTTTGTCAGGCTGCTCTGTGACTGACACTTCCCGATTCTGCCCCCTCTCTGTTTTGTGAGCTCCTTGGAGGTAGGGATCGAAGCTTTTCCCTCCCTCTGGGCTCCAGCACGGAGCTCAGGGTGTTGTGCAGAGCAGGCCTCAATATGGGCCTGCTGAGTAAATGAATGAATGACACCCAGTCGCAGATGCTTTTCTTGAGGCTCTGATTATAGGTTCTGACCTGCGCTTGGGGCACTTTTTAGGGGCCATGGCTTCCCTGTGGGGATCTCTGCCCCACCATCCCCACTCTCTCCACCTACCCCCCCTTGTTTCCTCTTTTCTAAAGAGACTCCTTGGCCCTGCCTTGTCCAGGGCAAGTTCCCACGGTTTCAGGCAGTGGAGTGGGCTGCCTTGAGGAACTGTGTTTTGGGGATTGGGTGGCGGTCAGGGTGGAGGGTGCAGGGGACTCCCCAGACCAAGGTGGCATGATCAGGACACGCTTTTCACTTTGCTTGGTTATTGGTTTTCCAGAGATGCTTCTAGGAACACTTCACACAGATGGAGGGAGGCCATTACAAGGGTGATTGTTACTGTTCTTACTTTTTGGGGGAATGGTGGGGGTGAAGCATGCAACTGCCTTGCACCTCATAGGCAAGGGGTTCGCTTGCTAAAATACCCTTCTATTTCCCTAGCTTGGCTCCAACTGTCTGGTCTGTGGCCACCAGGGTCTCTGGAGGCCTGACACCCCCAGTCTGGACACCTCGAAGTGAAGGGGAGACCAGGGGCCGCCCCCACCCCAACTGCCCCACGGACGCGATCCCTGGCCAGGTCAGGGAGGGAAAAAGAAAACGGGTCCAACTCTGAAGAGTTCTGCATTCCTCTGTTGATTTTTCCCCTCTCCCTCCCTCAGGTTCCAAATCCAATTCTAGCTCCTGGCCAACTGGTAGAATTAAGGGATTAAGAGCTACCCAGGTCTTATCCCGATATGAAAAGATTTCACCGAGAGGCTCATAGTTCAGCATCCAAAGCCGAGGAAATCGCTCTCCGCCTGCCCTGGTATTGTTTTGCAAGCCTCGCTGGAACCACCTTTTGAGCTCCTGGCTGAGGCATCGCTGTTTCACTTATCTCTTAAGACCTCACTCATAATTGCTCAATGTCCGACAAGCAGAGAGAACCCTGGGCATTATCTGTTAAGGGCCCTCTAATCCAGTTCATAAGGACAGAGTGTAATCAGGACACCTCAAAATCTTTCTAAAGTCAACGCAGAATGTCACATGAGCCCTGAGCTGCTTCCTGGCGAACCCCGGGGACCAACACAGATGCCAGCCCTCCCCACCTCACCGCGGGAGGGCACATGGGGCTTGAAGGCTTGTGTGGGCCCAGAGCGAGTGCCGGTTGGCCAGAGAGACCAGACCAACTTATGGGGGAAAAAGACTTTGTATTAAAAAGCAGAAGGGAATTTTTAGCATGTGCCAGAGTTGGTATGTAACTTCATATGTGTGTGTGTGCATGTGTGTGTACATAGGTGTGCGTGCATGGACTTTCTGGACAAAATTAAAATGAGTGAGCCCTCTCCAGGCTCTCATGAGTCCACTGGGTCAGCTTAGGCAGCAAAGGGCCCCCACAGCCCTGGGCACAGGGCTGTATAGCTGGTGGCCCCCGACAGGCAAGGTGGCAGAGGTGTGGATGAGTCAGAGGCTGAGTTTCTGCAGGCCCACGGGAAGCTCGCTGACAAATGCTGTTAATCTTCGGCAGGGCAGGGGCACCTCCAGCACGGAGCTCCATATGGGCGCACCTAGATCTATCAGTCGACTGTCGACTGCCGCCCTTCATGGGACACGGGCGCGTCCCTCTGACTGATGGAGCCTTTCTGGGGGCTCACGGAGACTCTGGGCAGGTGCAAGCTCAGATGCCAGAATCCCCTGGCACCTCTCATCGGTTCATCCACCTACAACTGACAAATGGAGCTCCCTTCCCCACTGCACAACAGGGAAGGATGGCTTTAAAACAGCCCGCAGGACTAAGCTGGGTGTCTTCTTCCTGTCTAGGGCCTCACCTGGCCAGATCACACTCTTTCCACTTCTCTGATGTGAGCCAGCCAGTGTGGTGGCTGCAACCCTCTTCTGCCCTCCGGACATGTGGCTCCACCCCACCCATCTCTCTGGATGCCTGAGCTCCTGAGTCTGGGCTCTGACAGCCACTTTCCACCCGCTGATGGCTCCCCTCTGTGGCTGCGTGCTCAGAGTGTGCCGACGCATCCTGGGATTCCTGCATAGAAAATAAGAAAGGGCTGGTGTGTGTGTTGACGTCTTGGTTTGGGTCCCCCAGAAGCTGACCTCAAGACGAGGATCCCGTGAAAGTCATTGATTTGGGAGGCAACCACAGTAAGTGTGGTGGGGAGGGGAAGTGAGAAGAGAGGAGAAAGCCACCAAGCATGGCACAGGATCCACAGGCACCAGCATGCACCGAGCTCCCCTCCAGCGGGGGTGTGGGGAGGCGCCATTGCACCTGCCACAGGGTGTTCCCCAGGAAGGGAAGAAAGCTGGCAGGAATGCTGCCAGTTCCTGGGTGAGGGTTACCCCCAAGATATTAGTTACCTGGCCCTTCTGGCTTTGAAGGCCAGGAATTTCCAAGATCCTGGAGAAGTTCTCAGGGACAGAGGCATAGAACCTCTGCCTCTGGCCTTGGGAAAGTGCAGGTACATGCCAGCTGCTGAGGTCTGAGAGATGTGGGCAGGGAAGAGCCAGCGTTGGCTCTGATGGCTTTCCTAGGTCACATTTCCTGGGCAGGTTGGTTAGGGAGATGGGACAATGTGTATATGAGTGGCACCAAGGCTGGATTCTGCTGGCCAGCTTTCAGCTCTTCCTGTGCAAATTTCTGGAGGCCTGGCCCTCTTGCTGCCTGGTTAGGACCCTCTTTCCAAGGCAAACACAGTCCCCACCCTCTGATCTAGATGACTGACCATCAGCCAAGGGCAGTTGCAGTTTTGGTGCAGGCCAAGACAGGCACTGAGGTGTGACCTTGAGCCAGTGACATCCATCTCAGAGCCTTGCTCTCTCCACCTGAAAAACGGGCACCTTGCAGATAAGCAAGGGGTAGCCCAGAATAATCCACAGTATTGGAGATGAATTCGGGACATTGGTGTGCACTTCTGCTTAGCCTAATATAAATACAGATGGATGCACGTAAAGGTATTTTAGATATGTCTATATACAGGGGTTAGTGTACACACATCTGCTTCCTGGCTCTGTCCACCGAGAGGGCCTAGAAACAACGACATCCCAGTAATAACACCTACCACCCGGGCCTTGGTTTCTAATACCATCCTCAAAACCAGGAGCCAGAATTCGTTGAAGAAACAGCCCATTCTAGGATTGGGACAGGAAATGTCAGATAAGCCTGAAGCATATTACAGTGCCAAAAAGTAGAGTGTGCACACACACACACATATACACAAATACACATATACACATACATAAGCATACACATACACACACACATAGACACACACACATACACATATACACAAACACACACACATACACATAGACACACATAGACACAAACATACACACACATACCCATACACACACATACAAACACACATGCAATGGTGGGGCTTGTCAAAGAGATGTAGGGATCAATGTAAGAGCCCCCAGTGGCCAAAATCAGAATAATTCGAGCAAGAAAAATGTAGTATTGCATTACAACCCAAAGTACAGGCCGGGTGTGGTGGCTCATGCCTGTAATCCCAGCACTTTGGGAGGCTGAGGCAGGCAGATCACCTGAGGTCAGGAGTCTGAGACCAGCCTGGCCAACATGGTAAAACCCCGTCTCTACTAAAAATACAAAAAATTAGCCAGGTGTGGTGGTGGGCACCTGTAATCCCAGCTACTTAGGAGGTTGAGGCAGGAGAATCACTTGAATCCGGGAGGCGGAGGTTGCAGTGAGCAGAGATCGCACCATTGCACTCCAGCCTGGGCAACAAGAGCAAAACTCTGTCTCAAAAAAAAGTACAAAATATATATCCATGAATCCATACTGATATAGGTAAGTAGTTGAATAAATAAATAGGTGGGTGAGAATAGACACATCCCGTGCAGAAGAATTCCACGTAATTGACGTAGATGCCCCTCCCTCGAGGAGGCGGATGATCATCCCAGCTCTTAAGTGTGGGCTGCACCCAGTGACCACCTTCCCAGTGGTACGCTATGGAAACAGGGTTGAGAAAGAGGAGCTTGACCCTGGAGAAACCTGAGCCCAACCAGGCGAGGAAAGTCAGGGGCAAGTCCTCCTGAGAGTGGGATGTGGGGAGAACGGTCCTTATCCCCTGTGGCCTTTCTCCCAAGAACCCATCAGCTCAGTCTAACTGTGAGAAAAGTAGCAGACAGCCCCAACTTGAGGGACATTTTACAAAATATCTGGCCTATGTTCGTCAGATCTGTCAAGGGCATTAAAAACAAGGCAAGTAGGAGAAATAGTTGCAGTCTAGAAGATCCTAAGGAGACGTGAGTTCTAAAAGCCACGGGGTGTCCTGGATAGGGTCATGGAACAGAAACAGTACATTAGGTACAAACCAGGGAAATCCGAATAAAGTGTGGACTTCCGTTAATAATGATGTAAGGAACATTGGCGCCTGATTTGTGGCAGATGTACCAGAGCAATGTAAAATCCTAACAATGTGGGAACTCTACTATCTTCACAACTTTTCTGTAAATCTAAAACTATTCTAAAATTAAAACTTTGTTATGGCTGGGTGCTGTGTCTTATGCCTGTAATCCCAGCACTTTGGGAGGCTGAGGCAGACAGATCACTTGAGGTCAGGAGTTAGACACCAGCTTGAGCAACATAGTGAGATGCCATCTCTACAAAAAATTTAAATATTAGCCAAGCATAGTGGCACACACCTGTAGTTCCAGCTACTCAAGAGGCTGAGGTGGGAGGATCGCTTGAGCCCAGAAAGTTGAGGCTGCAGTGAGCCATGATTGCACCACTGCACTCCATCTTGAGCAACAGAATGAGACCCTGTCTCTAAAAAAAAGTTTATCTTAAAAATGGGGCACCTCTCCTGGAAGGCAGCTCAGCCATTATGAAAGGACCCTGACCTGGCATCAGGGGATTTGTATTCTTGTCACTAAGTGACTCTTCCCCGCTGGGCCTCAATGTCTTCATCTGCCAAATGGCAGGGTTGAATTTCCACGTCTGATCTTGGCTGTCTGTGATTTCCTTCACACCTGGCTTGAGTTGCTGGGGAAAACTTTTAAAGAAGAGGGGCACAGCTGAGGGCATCTTTTGCAGAGCGGGTGGCTGAGGCGCATCGTGGCTGGACCTGAGTCCATCTGCCCTGGTGCCTGCATGACTGGCCCTTCTCCTTCACAGACCATGGCCCCAGGCTCCCTTGCTTTCATTTCCCAGCCCGTTATTGGGGCAGGAGAGTAGCAAGCGGGGGAGTTTTGATGAGGCGAGGAAGCAGTGATGTGTTTTAATGCACTGTTTCCTGGGGACCTAGAATGAAAATTTTAACAACTCAGAAGCTGTGCACTGAAGGCGCCCCTGCTGCAGGTTCTCAGAAGGGTATTCCAACTAAATTGCAGAAATATAAATATGCATCTTCCTCGCTTTTGATGAGCTATCACTGCGCAGAGCCCGAATCCCCAAGTGGCAAGGTGTTTTTCCACTCAATGGGAGAACAGCCATCTTCGGTTGGCCTGGCTGTAGTGCTCCTCAGCTGTGTTTGCACTTTGTGGCCATAAGGCCATGCGCTTCCCAGGACCTGCCGAGAGCTGACCTTCTGTACCAAGCTGGGAGACAGCCCAGGAAAGAGAAAAGGCAAAAAATTATTTTAAAAACAATACACAGAGGCTGGGGGCAGAGGCTCCTGCCTGTAATCCCGGTGCTTTGGGAGTCCCAGGCAGGAGGCTCACTTGAGGCCAAGAGTTCAAGACCAGCCTGGGCAACCATAGTGAAATTGTATCTCTACAAAAAATTTAAAAACTTAGCCAGGCGTGGTGGTGCATGCCTGTGGTCCCAGCTACTCAGGAGGCTGAGGTGGGAGGATCGCTTGAGCCCAGTAGTTCAAGGCTGCAGTGAGCTATATACAGTGAGCTGCAGTGCCACTGTATTCCAGCCTGGGGGACAGAGAGAGACCCTATCTCAAATTTTTTTGTTTTTTATGTTTTTTGTTTTTAGACTGAGTCTCACTCTGTCTCCCAGGCTGGAGTGCAGTGGCACGATCTCAGCTCACTGCAGCCTACGCTTTCCAGGTTCAAGTGATTCTCCTGCCTCAGCCTCCAAGTAGCTGGGACTACAGGCAAGTTTTACCACGCCCAGCTAATTTTTGTATTTTTTTTTTTTAGTGGAGACAGGGTTTCACTATGTTGGCCAGGCTGGTCTTGAACTCCTGACCTCAGGTGACCCACCCACCTCAGCCTCCCAAAGTGCTGGGATTACAGGCTTGAGCCATCACACCTGGCCTCAAAAATTTTTTTTATAAGTAAAAAATAAAGATAAAAAATGAAAAACAATGCATGAAGATGCCCGGCAGAAAAAATAGGGTTTTACAGGATAAGTCATTACAGTGCTATCCATCCACAGGGCCTACACACACCAGCTAACTCTTAAGCTTGGGCAAATCCTTCCAGAGAATGCAGGGGGGAAAACTGTTTCCGTAAAACCTTCAGCATCAGAGCCAGGCACAATGTGGAGGAGACCCAATCCAGGGCTCTATGGGATGTATACCTTTCCCTCTCCACCAAGGCTGTGAAGTCCAGGCCCTGTGCCCCTAAGTGGGTCGGGCCCAGGATCTCTGGAGTCTGGACATTCCACCCACCGTCCCCTCATGGAGCTGCATTTCTCCGGCCTTGGGCCTGAGCCTGGTTTCACAGCCTTCTTCAGATACCTGCGGAGACACTTCCAAGACAGCACCGTGGTGGTGTTTAATGAATGGCAAACACTCTCTCACAAACAGAAAGAAAAAAAAAAAACCTCCACAAATCCCCAAACCTGTTAGCTGGAAAATATTCCAAGATCAACACATTTTAATTCACTAATTAATACAGCTAAAAGGCATTTTTCATATTAGACTTATTAAAATCACTTGTATTTAAGTGTTTTTGAACTCATATTTTCCGATGCTGTGCGTTTTCCTAAAGTGTTCTAGTCATGTTATGCAAATGCCTATTTAAATTACCAGGGGTATTTGTTGTCTATTTCTACTCTGTAAAACATAATTTTAATACAAGTTATTTGTGAAATGCACATTGGAAAAAAGAAAATAAGATTTGAGATGGCATTTCTATGATAATTTTATTGCAAATGTTGACCATGTTTTTGTATTTGTCTGCAAGAGGTAATGCAAAATATACATAAGACATATTTCCGGGATTTATTGTTATATGTGACTAAATTAGTAAAGCAAAATTTGCTTCATTGTTTGAACCCGAGGCAGGGCAGTCCGTCACCTTGTGAAGCATGTTTTAGACGAACAGTCACGGCCACGCAGCAGGCGGAACCCCTGCCATCCCAGAAAGAAAATTTGCTCTTGCTCTCCACTGAAACACGATTTTCTGATACCTGTGTGCTGCCAGGCATGATGTTTGAGGCATAAACCCAGACCTTTGCCGAGGACAGGGAGACTCGGCTTGAGCAAGACAGGAGTGCTGAACGGAAGACATAACGGGGGTTCTCTGGAGTGATAAGGTGGCAATGTGGTGGCCAGACTTCAGGGCACAGGGAGTCCTGGGAGGGGCTTCTTGAAGGGTCTTTCTTTGTCTACTTATCAGAAATATGTAGCCTTCCTACTACCAGCGTTTTTGATACACATGTGATACAGGCATAATAAGATGGCTAGAAGCAAAAGATGAAATTGAGAGAGGGAACCCTGGCAGAAATGCTATTTCTGAGCTTCCTGGCAGCCAAGGTGAAAAAGGAAACATAATGAGTTTAATGACACTAAGTCTCCCAGCACTTTGGGAGGCCGAGGCGGGCGGATCACGAGGTCAGGAGATCGAGACCATCCCGGCTAAAACGGTGAAACCCCGTCTCTACTAAAAATACAAAAAAATTAGCCGGGCGTAGTGGCGGGCGCCTGTAGTCCCAGCTACTTGGGAGGCTGAGGCAGGAGAATGGCGTGAACCCAGGAGGCGGAGCTTGCAGTGAGCCGAGATCCCGCCACTGCACTCCAGCCTGGGCGACAGAGCGAGACTCCGTCTCAAAAAAAAAAAAAAAAAAAAAAAAAAAAAAAATTACACTAAGTCATTGTCCAGGTAAAAAATGTCTACCTTTTGGGAAGAGGGATAGTTTCCCCCTAGTCTTCTAGTCTGAGTGAAATCCAAGAAGGCCCTTCATAAGGGAAAACAAGGACACAGCAAGCTCTGTTCCCAGCGGTGGTGAGCTTACACAGGCTGCAGAAATGTCCTGAAGGGCTGGGCACGGTGGCTCACGCCTGTAATCCCAGCACTTTGGGAGGCCAAGGCAGGTGGATCACTTGAGGTCAGGATTTCAAGACCAGTGGAGGCTGCAGTGAGCTGAGATCATGCCACTGCACTCCAACCTTGGTGACAGAGACTCTGTATCAAACAAACAAACAAACAAAATCCTGAAGGAAGATGGTTGAATTGAAACCAAAGGTATGGTCAGTCACAGGTTTTAAAGATTTTCCTGCGGTGTTGTTGGGGGGACCTGTGACGGAATGAGACTCTGTCTCCAACACCCCAACCCCAGTCCTACAAGGACAGTCACTCTCACCTGTGTCGACAGGACAGACACTGAGATTTTCCCAAGGGGGAGAGGCCACCATCCCCAGTGCGGGCTGGCGGTAGGAGCACTGTAGAGCCTGTGTCCTAGTGGGGACAGCATTCTCTTGAGTGCTTATTCCTTTTAGGTGCCAGTGGTTAGGGGTTATAAAAAGTGTGGAAACACAAACTCTGCTACCTGTTACCTACCTGTTAGCTGGGACAGCCCTTCCATCGATATCTGTGGAATGAGAACTTGGTTTGCTCTAGAGAAAGGGGCTTCCCAACATCGCCTGAACATACACAGCAAGCTCTTGTTCACAATAGACTCAATTCAATTCCCTTCCTTTCCCTTTCCTTCCTCCCTCTCCTCCTCCCTCCCTCCTCCTATCCCTCCCCCTTCCTTCTCCCTTTCCTCCCCCTTCCCTTCTCTTTCTTTCCCTTCCCTTCCTCCCTCTCCTTCTCCCTCCCTCCCTGCTCCTATCCCTCCTCCTTCCTTCTCCCTTTCTTCCCCCTTCCCTTCCATTCCCTTCCTTCCTCTCCTCCTCCCTCCCTCTCTCCTCCTCCCTCCCTCTCTCCTCCTCCCTCCCTCTCTCCTCCTCCCTCCCTCTCTCCTCCTTTTCCTCCCCCTTCCCTCCCCCTTTCTTTTCATCCGCCTTCCCTTCCCTTCCTCCCTCTCCTCCTCCCTGTCTCCTCCTTTCCTTTTCCCTTCCCCTCCCCCCTCACTCCCTTCCCTTCCCTTCCTCCCTCTCCTCCTCCCTGTCTCCTCCTTTCCTTTTCCCTTCCCCTCCCCCCTCACTCCCTTCCCTTCCCTTCCTCCCTCTCCTCCTCCCTCTTTCCCCTTCCCCCTCCCCTTCTCCCTTCCCCTTCCCCTTCCCCTTCCCCTTCCCTTCCCTTGACAAGGTCTTACTCTGTCACCCAGGCTGGAGTGCAGTGGTGTAATCATAGCTCACTAAAGCCTCAACCTCCTGAGCTCAAGTGATTCTCCCATGTCAGCCTCCTGAGTAGCTGGGACTATACGAATGTGCCACCATGCTGGCTAATTTTTAAAATTTTTTTGTGAGAGACAGGTTCTCCCTATGTTGCCCAGGCTGGTCTCGAGCTCCAGGCCTCAAGCAATCCTCCTGCCTTGGCCTCTTAAAGTGCTGGTATTACAGGCATGAGTCACCACGCCCAGCCTCCATATAGGTTTCTGGAAGGGAACTGACAATGGAGACTGCTGGTGCGGGTGGGCCAAGCCGTGGGCCAGTCTGGATTTACAGAAGCTGTGTGGTTGTGGGCCAGGCCTTCACTGCTCTCAGTCTGTCCCTCATAAGGTGAGGACGAACCCTACCATGCAGAGACATAAAGATGACAAAACACTTGCAAAGTACCTAGCCCGGTGCCTGCCCGGGCAGCTGGTGCTGATGGGGCACCCATGAAGACCATGATGCCCAGATGACAGTAAGGGTGGCCTGTGGGTGCCACTTAACTTCCAAAGCACTTCATGAGCCAGATCTCATTAAAGCCATGTTGCAATTCTGTAAGGTTAGGTATAGCTATCACCACCCCCATTTCACAGGAGGAATTGGCTCAGAGAGGTTCAGTGACTTACCAAGGAACGCACAGCATGTCAAGAGTGAGCCTGGGATGCAGAGCAGGTCTTCCAGGTCTCACCGGGCAGCACTTTAATCCTCTCCCTTCACTCTAGAAAGCTGGGTGGACCTTTGGGCTGGGTTCACCATCTTCAAGAAGGAGGCAGCTTCGGAGGCTGGCATGGGTCCAGGACTGCATGTCCAGCCCTTTGGAAGTGTCAAATCTGGACAAGAGGTGGGACAAGGCCTCGGAGCCAGGGACTGACCACGGGCTTGGAGGTCATGTTCTATCTTCCCTGTTGCTTCCCCTCCTCCTTGTACCAACAGGGCCGGCTAATTAGGCAAGGCCTGTGGCTCCATATTTAACAAGGAAGGTGGAGGGACCCTGGCTGTGTGTCCCCCCCTGACTTTGTGTGCCCCACACCACCCAAACCTGGTCAATGAGCAACGCCTGCCCCAGGCCCTGGAGCCCGCAGGCTTAGTTTCCTAGAGTCTCCGCTGTTGCACTGGGTTCTATCACTCAAAAGGGCACTCTGGATGGGCCTATTCAGAGGCCATTGTCTGGCCAGCAAAGCTGAGCATGTGGCTGGAGGGCATTAGCCCCCCTGGTGGCCACATAGGGAGACCCAAACAAAAGGCCTGGACTGGGAAGTGCAGAGGCCGTGACAGCAATTCTAATTTTTGAGGCCTTTTGAAGCATCGGTGCGCTCGGAGAGCCTCTTCCCTGTATCATTCTTACGTGGATCAACAGATGTTTTAAAACAGAGCTCCTGATGCAGGGGAATCCTGGCAGGCTGCCTCGCTGCCCTGAGAGGGGGCTCTGCAGATGACCTCAGGTAGGCGTTTGCTGAGCGCCACCATCCTGGCAAGGTGCACAGCTCTCATGATCTGCTGGGGAGGGTCTCCCTCCTGGGCCAGGCCTCACTGAGGACCAGCCCACAGGTCTCCGTTCCTTTCCTCCCCTTCTGAGCTGCTGTCCTGGCCTCTGAGCTGGTCTCTCAGTAGCAGGAGGAGCCGACAGAGGCAAGGGCCTGTTTCCCTGCAGGTGCTGTGTGCCTTCAACACGCAGAGGCTCTGAGGGCCGGGTCTGCAGACACCCACAAGGGAGTCAGCCAAGGCCACTGAAGTCCACTCAGAAAAAACCGCTGCTCTCCACAGGGTGACTTGGCTTTCAGTCTCCAGATGTTTACTGAGCACCTTCTCTGGACCAGGCTCTGGACTGGGCTCAAGGTCCTGGAGGGACCGAGACAGATGTGGACCTGATCTTGGGTTTCAGCGGCTGGAGGTGAAGACAAACACTCAATGTTACAAATGCTAAGTTAATCATCACAGCTTGCAAAGTGTGTCAAAGGGGAGACAGTTGGCCATGGCTCATGCCTGTAATCCTAGCACTTTGGGAAGCCAACATGGGTGGATTGCTTGCGGTCAGAAGTTCGAGACCAGCCTGGCCAACATGGTGAAACCCCATCTCTACTAAAAATACAAAAATTAGCTGAGTGTGGTGGCGCATGCCTGTAATCCAAGCTACTTGGGAGGCTGAGGCAAGAGAGTCCCTTCAACCCAGGAGGCAGAGTTTGCAGTGATTGTGCCACTGCACTCCAGCCTGGGCGACAGGGTGAAACTCCGTCTTAGAAAAAAAAAAAAAACAGTCTAGTGGAGCCCTCCCCTAGAAATCAAGCCTGAAAGAAGACTGTGGGGCACCCATCTGCCTACCTGACAGCTGTTTAGTAAGCTCCTACTGTATGCCAGGCACTGAGTGAGGGGCTCGGTGTGCACAGCGAACCAAGCCTGACAAGATCATCGTTCCGCTGGAGTGTATGGTAGCGTCCAGGGTGCAGAGAGGTATGCTGGGAACAGCAAAGAGATACCTTCATTTAGGGGAGTGGTGAACAGTGGGATGAAAGAAATAAAATAGGCAATGTAGTGGGGTGCTGTGGGTGTGGGGAGGGCCTCCTACAGCTGAGGGAGGCAGGAAGGTCTCTTTGCAGAGGTCATATGGGAGCAGCAGCTTGAATGAAGTGAGCAGGGAGCTGGGGAGAGGGAGAGTGCCCCCATGGAGGAAATGGCAAATGCAAAGGCCCTGTGGCAGGCAGGAACCAGGCAGGTTGAAGGAGAACAAGGAGCCCAGAGCGCCTGGAGCATGTGGCAGGGACAGGCCGTGAGGGGAGGTGGAAGAGATGCACATGGACCATGAGGCTCTGCAAGGCCAGAGGGGGCCATCTGAATTCTGCTTCTCATGCAATGCAGAGCCACTGAAGGGGTTAAGAGAAGAGTGACATGATTTGCGTTGTGTTAAAAGTAAATCCCAGCTGTCTCAGAGGCTCACACCTATAATCCCAGCACTTTAGGGGGCAGAGGCAGGAGGATCGCTTGAGCTCAGGAGTTCAAGACCAGCTGGGCAACATAGTGAGAACCCATCTCTACAAAAAATGTAAAAATTAGTCAAGCATGGTGACACACTCCTGTAGTCCCACCTACTCAGGAGACTGAGGTGGGAGGATCACTTGAGCCCAGGAGTTAGAGGCTGCAGTGAGCTATGATTGCACCAGTGCACTACAGCCTGGGTGATGGAGCAAGACCCCAGCTCTAACAGAAAAGAATAATAAATAAATAAACAAATCCCTCTGGCTGCTGTGTGCGGAAGGATTTACAGAGGCAGCCCAGCTCAGGGATAATGGTGGCTAAGGCTCGAGTGGACACAGGGCAGGCGGGATTTGAGGTGCACCTGGGAGCCAGCACTGCCTGGACTTGCTGGCAGGTTGTGAGGGAGGAGTAGTAGGAAGGGGAGAGCAGCGGGATCTCTGGGTTTGTGGCTTGAGTAACTCACCCAGAGAGCCCACAGTCGGAGCCGTCTGCCATCACCAGTCAATGTGGAGGGAGCAAGATCTGAGTGGAGGCCACCTGTGCACACGGTGTGGGGAGGCCCCGTAGTCCTGGGAGCCGGTAGGAGGCTGTTTGCTTGTAGCAGAGCCGGGGAAGGTCTCACGGAGTGGGGAGATCTGAGCTGTCCTTGAAGAATGAGTAGATGTTGGGCTGTGAGGAAAGATGAAGGGATGGTGGGAAGGCAGCTGAGGGGAAGATGGAAGTGGTGTGGGTTTGGGTGGGTTGTCTGTCTGGCAGGGAGTTTATGGAGCAACATGGGGCTGATAGAAATGGCCCAGGTTTTGTGTCACGGCCTCAAATGCCTGGATAAGGAGGCCAGATTTCGAGTGCAGGTGTGAGTAATTCCGGCAGACCAGAAGGGAGAGCAAAGTGACAAGTCCAGGTCAAGCTGAGAATTCCCAGGACATGGCTCTGTCTAAGCATTGGGCCTTCCCCTTTCTGGACCCAGTCATGAGAGGCCTACGAAGTGGGCCACTCCCCTTCCATCTGGAGATGGTGGATTCTAGAGCAGGGGAAGGCTGTGGAGCTGTCTATGTCCTTCTTACCCTGTCCTGCACGTCCTGCACAATCTGGTCCTGTGAGTGCTTCTCCCTCATCTCCAGTCCTCTCCCATCCCTCTGCGAGCTCCAGGCACACTGACTTTTTGCTGTTTCGCAAACTCAACATGCTCCTTTGCGCCCCAGGGACTTTCCACATGTTCCTCCCTCTGCCAGAAAGCTTCCCCTCCACTCCTTCCCTTGGCTGATTGCTTCGCGTCATTCAGGTCTCTGCTCAAATGGCTCCTCCTCCAAGAAGCCTCCCTGACTTACAGCTCCAAGCCCTTACCCATTCCGTCCTCATTTCGTCTTCTTTCTGGCACATATCACAGACTGAGACCGTGTTGTTTGTTTACTTGCATCATTGTATATCTACTGCCTCTGCCCCAATCAGAATGGAAGTCTCATAGCCTTGAGAATTTGATCATCTTGGTTACTGCTGTGTCCCCAAGACTGGAAGATTTCCCTGCACAAAGTGAGTACCCGTCAGTATTTGCTGAATGAATAAATGTTTTGGGGCCCCACCTTGACAATTGGGTGAACAGACCAAGCCCCCACCCGCAACCCCCAGGAGATCTGGCAGGCCCAGGGCAGTCCCCCAGGACCCCAGACCTCCTGACCCCAGTCCTGCGCTCTGCCGGGAGGTTTGCTGCTCTGCCCTCCCTGGGGGTTTCAGCAGCAGGAAGGCCAGGGGTGTTCTGGGTTTGGTTTTTGTAATTGGTTGGATATGATCATGAAAAGCATCTAACAATTGGACAGCTGGAAATGTTTTTCCTCCCATTTATTACTTAAAACAGCCTTGGAGTTTCTGGTTGTTTTTAAAATCAGATTCTCCTCACTTAAAAAAAGAAATAAAAAAATTAAAAAAAATACCATGAACCCACTCTTACATATTTTTGAAGAGACCCTGCAAGGTCATGACAAGGCCTCTGTTTGGGGGAGTTGGAAGGGGGGCTTCTCCATGCTCCAGAGAAGGCCTGGGAGCGTCCAGAGCTGGGTCTCGGCCATCCCGCAGTTGTAGTATCAGGAGGGGAAGATAAATTAAGATGAGTGCATTGCACAGTTAGACATTAGCCATGACAGTGAAAAAGTATTGTGAATGTTAAAACGGCCCAGACTAAAATATACCGAGGTTAAAATACAGGGTAACTTTACAAATCACTAATAATTTCTTTGGCTTTCACTGCAATAACATTGATTTAATTCATTAGATTCCTTTCTAAATCTATATTTCAGTTTTAGAGTTGTCAGTTTCTGTTAATGACAATTTTGCCCCATCTGTTCCAACATGAAAATGAGGCTCCTTGCAGCAGACAAGATAGATCTCTAAGAGTTTAAGAAGGAGAAATCTTAAAGGTATTTCACTCAGATGAGGCCCTATTTGATGATTCACACTCCAAATGAAGCTGCCCACAGAAAACTTTTCCTGGACGCCAGTAGAGAGATGACCCCCTCCCCCAGTGACTCCCAAGCATTCCTGTGCCTGTGGCTACCCCAGTATCAAATGGGCCCCTGTGTCATCTTCGTCTCATATGTGGAGGGGAAATATTCAAAACATTCTCACTCGTTCTTTTTTTTTTTTTTAATGACAGAGTAATAATTCAGGGTGTCAGCATATCAGAATTCCAGTGGCTGTGATTAGAATGACAATGAGTTGCTGTGATCTGGCCATTTGAATCGTCATATTACAGTAAGTCATTTCCGTAAGGCCTGGTGAGCTTCTGTCTGCTGAGGGGCCAAAACTCAGTCTGGGTTTTCAGCTCTGGAAGAAATGTCTCTGATATTCCCCTCCAGTCTGCCAGCCTCTATATCTGTAAGCTACCTGCAGGAGATAGTTTTGTTTCATGTGGCTTCTTTTTTGAGACTGAGTCTCACTCTGTCACCCAGGCTGGAGTGCAGTGGTGTGATCTCGACTCACTGCAACCTCTGCCTCCCAGGTTCAAGTGATTCTTCTGCCTCAGCCTCCTGAGTAGCTGGGATTACAGGCACCCATCACCATGCCCGGCTAATTTTTGTGTTTTTAGTAGAGACAGGGTTTCACCATGTTGGCCAGGCTGGTCTTGAACTCCTGACCTCAATTGATCCACCCACCTCTGCCTCCCAAAGTGCTGGGATGACAAGCATGAGCCACCGCTCCAGGCCAACAGGAGATTGTTTTGAAAACATGGGTGAAGACTGTGTGCCCAAATCCACCGGCATTGGAGGGGTCAGTGTGGGCTTGGCACAAGCCCCCATCAGGAACGAATGGGAATTTAAGAGCACCTGGATTTTCTGAAGAGCAGGAGAAGCCCTGCCCGTCCAGCTGTTCGGGAGGTGCTCTGGAGTCTGCAGCAGGGTCTTGTGTTATTGGGGGAGGACATTCCACTCCTTGTCAGCTGTGAAAAAAATGAACCCACCCACGAAAGAAGACACAGCGCATAGTTCATGACCCAAGGAAGAGGGGATTTCTTTAAACATTCGAAAACCTTCTAGAAAAATATGCAGGCATTAAAACATACATGGAATTAGGCCGGATCCTCAAAGTTAATATTCACCACATGTATTTACATTCAACTCAACGCCAGCAAATTGAGTACTGCATTACAGCTTGGAGAAAGAGGAGATTGCCTCTCACACAGGCTGACATTAAGTTGAGTTACTGTTCTGCCGTAGACTTCTCCAGGAAGTCAAAAAGACAGTTGAGAGAATCAGGCTGAAAATCCTCCTGGTACATCTACCTCCTAATTTCAAATACAAATTAGTGAAATTTTAACATTTCAGATGTCATACCTTGAGCAAATTAAAAATCAACAAAAATATTAAGGTTCTATGTTACCTGCTCAAATGTACAGAATGTATAAAAACTTTAATCAAACACTCGGGTTTGCTCAGTTTTAAATTGTGTTAGTTTAATAGTTTCTTTTCTGCTGTTTATATTAATGACATATTCCCATCTAAATATATTGCCATGCTGAAAAACCATCACAACATTTCCAAGGTTGAATGAATGCAGTTGCCTTCATGGTTTTTTAATAAAAAGATCTCTTTCTATTAAGTTCCCCCTCTTTTTTTTTTCTTGTTCTCCAAAGACTGAGGAGCTCTGCAGTGTGTACAGTAGCATTGGGACTGAGATAAATACACATTGCCACCACCTCATTTAGTGTGCAAATGCCTCCTCTGCAGCTGTGCAGAGCTGAGGAACCACCATTTCCTCCAATAGCCCAGCTGAGGACGAAGCCGCGGAGGGGCTAGTGGCAACACAAATTGCTTTTTCTAAGCATCGACTGAAGGTCTCATCACTTGGGAAAATGTCTTAATTTGCTCTTCTTAGCAAAGTGGTTGTATGCACTCTCGACTCTGTTGGAGGAACCTCGCCCTGTCTAGATACATCTAGAAGGATGTGCACATAGGCATACATGCAGGGTAGATGCCAGGCCAGGAGAACCCACCAGCAGTCGACTGGAGGATCTCCAAGTCCCATCACAGGCATGGGGTTTAACACCTTCTCCCCAGCACCCACCTGGCTATACTTCCCATGCTGCCCCTCTGATTGGAGTCTGGTCCTCAGCTCTGAAAGGCACAGGTAATACAGCCTACTGTGCTCCAATCGGTCTCCAATTTGGCAAAACCAAAGTTAAACTTTCCAGTTTTACAAAATTGAGCAATTCTTAGAGTTCAGAGCAGGGGAGGAAAAGTAAATCACAGGTAACCCAAAGGTTATTTGAAGATAAATTCCCTAGGAGCCAGGATACTTTGAATTTGCCTGCTTCTGGGCTTGGGGCAGAGGACTCCAGCTGTCTGGCTGGGCTACTCACAACTAATAAATAGGTGAGCTGTGCAAGATGGCATCTGAGGAGTTCCCATGATGCAGGACTGTCCTCCATGGGAAATAGCCGACTCTTTTAATACAAGGCAAGCTCAATTCAATCACAAGTGCATTATAACTCTAAGCACAAATAAATGTATTATTCCTACATTTCGTTATGATGTAAAGCGAGTCCTATGAATCTAATCACTTACAAGTTCTGATCAAAATAACAACCGTTCATCTGTCTACCTTTTCTTCAAAGTTATTTTTGAGCTTATCGACCATTATAGACTATCTCAATCACACAGACCAAAATAGATAATGTAATAAACACATACATGTTTAAAACACCCAGTTTTATCAAACCTTAGCACAATGTCGTATCTGCCCCAGATTTTTTTCAGGAACTGAGACGTTACCGCAGCAGTGTGCCCTGGTGTCCCTCTTGCCCAGGGACCAGCATCTTCATCATAGGGAGTTTTTAAGTGCTGGTGGCAGCTTGCGGGGAGAGGCTGATTGACCTAGAAAAGGGGGTGCTACTTGGCAGTATCATCTTCAACTTCTTTCGTCCTCATCCCCAGGAAGGGAAAGAAGGAAGGTTCCAAATGAAGGACACACATTTGACCCGAAGGCCCAGCAAGAATTGCATGTTGCAATGTGCACTGTGATCTGCAGGCGAGAGAAATGAGGTGATTAAAGCTAAAAATGAATATGCCCGACCTGGGAAACTAGCCTTCTGAAATAATTAGGCCATGAGACGCAGGATGAGGGAGCGAGATTCAGGTGTCTGTTGAAAAAGAGAGAGACTCTTTCCCCCCCTCGTGTGCCTTTTCCAAATGGCTGAAAAGTACCTCAGTTGTCTCCTGGAATTCGTTTTAGCAGCAATTCATTTCTGACCACGCAGGACTTGGGATTCAAGATGTGTTTTTCTAAGCCAGTTGTGATGAGATCCGGGGCTTTGCTAATCAACTAGAAATATGACTGGATATGAAATCTTTACCTGTTTAAGAAAATTATATATTTTGAGCAAATTAATTCCATCTGGACAGTTACAGCCCATAATCAGCTATGTTATGCAAATAGTATCTTTGTGGTTGAAATCAATAACTTATTTTCTTCTGTAATAAAGAAAAAAGGGGGAATAAGTTAGTATTAATTATGTACAAAATGAAATATTTTCTTGCAAGGTTGCGGGTTTCATTTCATTATGAAGGCTTTCCTTGTGCCAGTTTCTAGGATGCTGATGAGACCCGTGCTTCAGGATGACATCCCTAAGGCCACCTCTTGTTGGGGAGAAGGTTCAGGGAGCCGGGCCTGGGCATGCTTCTCTGGGGAAGCCCGTCCAGCAATGCCAGGCGATGTCTGCCAGCACCCCCTGGCTTGGGCTTTTTCCTCGGGCTGTGGTTCTGAGGATCACCTTATTTATAAAGCTTGCTGGGCCACAGTTAGTATCAGCTTCAGTTATAGATGAAGTTAATGACAGTATTGATTATGCCATAACCTATGTTAATAGTGAGTGTATTACCTCTTAGCCATCGGGCCGTATTTATGGGCTGTTTCTTCCCTTCCAATCATGGCTGACTCCTGCAGGAATATCATACTTTTTTTTTTTTTTTTTTTGAGACAGAGTTTCTCTCTTTTTTTTTGAGACGGAGTTTTCTCTCTTTTTTTTTGAGATGGGTGACTCCAGTCACCCAGACTGGAGTGCAATGGTGCAATCTCGGCTCACTGCAATCTCTGCCTCCCAAGTTCAAGCGATTCTCCTGCCTCAGCCTCCTGAGTAGCAGAGATTACAGGTGCCCATCACCATGTCCAGCTAATTTTTTTGTATTTTTAGTAGAGATGGGGTTTCACTGTGTTGACCAGCCTGGTCTCAAACTCTTGACCTCAAGTGATCCATCCACCTTTGCCTCCCAAAGTGCTGGGATTACAGGCGTGAGCCATCACGCCTGGCAGAAAATCACTCTACTCTTTCTTCTGGTCAAAAGGAGTGTATCTTTTGTTTTTTTTTTTTTTTTTTTTTTTTTTTTAATGTTTTTTTTTTTATTATACTCTAAGTTTTAGGGTACATGTGCACATTGTGCAGGTTAGTTACATATGTATACATGTGCCATGCTGGTGCGCTGCACCCACTAACGTGTCATCTAGCATTAGGTATATCTCCCAATGCTATCCCTCCCCCCTCCCCCGACCCCACCACAGTCCCCAGAGTGTGATATTCCCCTTCCTGTGTCCATGTGATCTCATTGTTCAATTCCCACCTATGAGTGAGAATATGCGGTGTTTGGTTTTTTGTTCTTGCGATAGTTTACTGAGAATGATGGTTTCCAATTTCATCCATGTCCCTACAAAGGACATGAACTCATCATTTTTTATGGCTGCATAGTATTCCATGGTGTATATGTGCCACATTTTCTTAATCCAGTCTATCATTGTTGGACATTTGGGTTGGTTCCAAGTCTTTGCTATTGTGAATAGTGCCGCAATAAACATACGTGTGCATGTGTCTTTATAGCAGCATGATTTATAGTCCTTTGGGTATATACCCAGTAATGGGATGGCTGGGTCAAATGGTATTTCTAGTTCTAGATCCCTGAGGAATCGCCACACTGACTTCCACAATGGTTGAACTAGTTTACAGTCCCACCAACAGTGTAAAAGTGTTCCTATTTCTCCACATCCTCTCCAGCACCTGTTGTTTCCTGACTTTTTAATGATTGCCATTCTAACTGGTGTGAGATGATATCTCATAGTGGTTTTGATTTGCATTTCTCTGATGGCCAGTGATGATGAGCATTTCTTCATGTGTTTTTTGGCTGCATAAATGTCTTCTTTTGAGAAGTGTCTGTTCATGTCCTTCGCCCACTTTTTGATGGGGTTGTTTGTTTTTTTCTTGTAAATTTGTTTGAGTTCATTGTAGATTCTGGATATTAGCCCTTTGTCAGATGAGTAGGTTGCGAAAATTTTCTCCCATGTTGTAGGTTGCCTGTTCACTCTGATGGTAGTTTCTTTTGCTGTGCAGAAGCTCTTTAGTTTAATTAGATCCCATTTGTCAATTTTGGCTTTTGTTGCCATTGCTTTTGGTGTTTTGGACATGAAGTCCTTGCCCACGCCTATGTCCTGAATGGTAATGCCTAGGTTTTCTTCTAGGGTTTTTATGGTTTTAGGTCTAACGTTTAAATCTTTAATCCATCTTGAATTGATTTTTGTATAAGGTGTAAGGAAGGGATCCAGTTTCAGCTTTCTACATATGGCTAGCCAGTTTTCCCAGCACCATTTATTAAATAGGGAATCCTTTCCCCATTGCTTGTTTTTCTCAGGTTTGTCAAAGATCAGATAGTTGTAGATATGCGGCATTATTTCTGAGGGCTCTGTTCTGTTCCATTGATCTATATCTCTGTTTTGGTACCAGTACCATGCTGTTTTGGTTACTGTAGCCTTGTAGTATAGTTTGAAGTCAGGTAGTGTGATGCCTCCAGCTTTGTTCTTTTGGCTTAGGATTGACTTGGCGATGCGGGCTCTTTGTTTTATGCAAATAAACTAGAAAATCTAGAAGAAATGGATACATTCCTCGACACATACACTCTCCCAAGACTAAACCAGGAAGAAGTTGAATCTCTGAATAGACCAATAACAGGCTCTGAAATTGTGGCAATAATCAATAGTTTACCAACCAAAAAGAGTCCAGGACCAGATGGATTCACAGCCGAATTCTACCAGAGGTACAAGGAGCAACTGGTACCATTCCTTCTGAAACTATTCCAATCAATAGAAAAAGAGGGAATCCTCCCTAACTCATTTTATGAGGCCAGCGTCATTCTGATACCAAAGCCTGGCAGAGACACAACCAAAAAAGAGAATTTTAGACCAATATCCTTGATGAACATTGATGCAAAAATCCTCAATAAAATACTGGCAAACCGAATCCAGCAGCACATCAAAAAGCTTATCCACCATGATCAAGTGGGCTTCATCCCTGGGATGCAAGGCTGGTTCAATATACGCAAATCAATAAATGTAATCCAGCATATAAACAGAGCCAAAGACAAAAACCACATGATTATCTCAATAGATGCAGAAAAAGCCTTTGACAAAATTCAACAACCCTTCATGCTAAAAACTCTCAATAAATTAGGTATTGATGGGACGTATTTCAGAATAATAAGAGCTATCTATGACAAACCCACAGCCAATATCATACTGAATGGGCAAAAACTGGAAGCATTCCCTTTGAAAACTGGCACAAGACAGGGATGCCCTCTCTCACCGCTCCTATTCAACATAGTGTTGGAAGTTCTGGCCAGGGCAATCAGGCAGGAGAAGGAAATAAAGGGTATTCAATTAGGAAAAGAGGAAGTCAAATTGTCCCTGTTTGCAGACGACATGATTGTTTATCTAGAAAACCCCATTGTCTCAGCCCAAAATCTCCTTAAGCTGATAAGCAACTTCAGCAAAGTCTCAGGATACAAAATCAATGTACAAAAATCACAAGCATTCTTATACACCAACAACAGACAAACAGAGAGCCAAATCATGAGTGAACTCCCATTCACAATTGCTTCAAAGAGAATAAAATACCTAGGAATCCAACTTACAAGGGATGTGAAGGACCTCTTCAAGGATAACTACAAACCACTGCTCA
The DNA here is from genome assembly GCF_000001405.40 of Homo sapiens. Classification (NCBI taxonomy): domain Eukaryota; kingdom Metazoa; phylum Chordata; class Mammalia; order Primates; family Hominidae; genus Homo; species Homo sapiens. The sequence goes on from NC_000019.10 coordinate 30,143,765, forward strand.
AGGAAATAAAAGAGGACACAAACAAATGGAAGAACATTCCATGCTCATGGGTAGGAAGAATCAATATCGTGAAAATGGCCATACTGCCCAAGGTAATTTACAGATTCAATGCCATCCCCATCAAGCTACCAATGACTTTCTTCACAGAATTGGAAAAAACTACTTTAAAGGAGTGTATCTTTTGTGACCATCAGAGTCTAATGCAGAAACAGCAGTCGTGTAACACTCCATTTCAGCTGGGAATGCTTGCATTGGTTTGACACTCACAGCAGTCATTATCACCTTTACTTTTCCCTTCAGATGGGACCCTATATTTGGAGGCCCCATGGAGAGAGAACCCCAGGAACCCTTGCTCGACCTTCCCAGATGGCCAGGTTGGGGACCTCCTCCAGCCAGGTCACACTCCAGGTGTTTTTCTAAATGTTGGGATGAAATCTCTTAGGGTGTGTTATCCCAGGATCTGCTCTTGTCAAAGCTGGTGGATTTTCAACCTGGAGCGAGCAGTCACAGTAACTTAAATGTGGAAATCTGTCAGAGCGTCCATGGGGCTGTGGCGCGATTGGTTTTGGCCTCCTGCCATTTCATTTACGAGGTACTTGTATTTGACAAACAGACCTCGTTTATGCACAGATATCAGCCTTCTTCCTGCCTGAGCATCAGGCACAAGACTGCGCCCTGACCCGGGTCCCGCATCTGTCACCCCCGTGGAGAGGGGCCGTTTCTCCCAAACACAAGCCTGTTCTTGTTCGCCTGGTAAAGGGGTTCTGAAGCGAGGGTGTTGTGGAGTCTTTGAGTGTCACACAGAAAAATGTCCCCACTCCTGCAGGGCTTCAGTGCAAGGTCACTGTGGGCAGACTCAGGTTCTCAGAGGACCCAGGAGAAGTAGGTAGCGGGCAGTCCCAAGTTCAACTGTGCTGCTTGAGGGTATGGCCTGCAGGAGGAGGGTTGGGGCTAGCTTATGGGGTGACAGAGGCAGCCATCTAGGAGAGGGGGGCATGGCTGACATGCTCAGGGCTTCCCAGGGTCCCTGAATTTAGAGGTCTCTTCCTCCCTTGCCTTCTGGTGCTTGGCTCAGGGACACCCCCGTCCTCCACCTGGGAAGCACGCGGGGCTCTCCACTAGCCTGGGCATGGGACGGGAGGGCTCATTAACCATCCTCCCTTCCTCCATCCCGGCCTGTTTATGGATTCCTGACTGAGTCCGCCAGGCGGCTTGAAGCGGTTGTGGACAGCTGGGCCGCTTGGCATTTTATGGTGAGTGGCGGCTTCCCAAGGCCGTAACTGTGTATGCCTGTGCGTGAGCGCCCAGGGACGTGCCTTCCCCCGCCAGGCCCTTCTGAGGGGTGCCCTCGCCGGGGGTGCCACCACCCTGGCTGGCAAGAGCAGGGACAGAAGGGTGGGCAAAGCAGGCAGGGACTGGGCGGCCGGCAGAGGCTCCATCCAGAGGAGAAGCCCCCTCATCCCATCCCACCCTAGACTGATGCTTTCATCATAATGACGCCTCCTGGGGAGACACCTTATTGCTCTTCACAGAAACAATCTCTACTGAGAGAAATTAATTGTTTTGTTGTTGATGGGAAAAGAAATAGAAGCAGCTATTTTTAAGTGTTCTCTCTAGCTGGGGGTGTTGGAATCGCAAGTCACAGGTGGCTGTCTCAAGAACCCATACCCTGATAGGGTAGTGGACCCCATGGGGTACAGCTGCCCTGGAGTGGGTACCTTCTGCCTGGGATTAGTTGGGGGGCTCCTGATGGCTTGAGGCGAGGCTGCCTCATTCTGGGCACACAGCTGGGATTAAGTCCCAGCTCCGTCACTAACTGTGTGATCCCTGTACCTCTGTTTCCTGATGGGGACAGTGATATGTTTTCTTACCGGATGTTCTGAAAATTAAATGAGATAATATGTGCTCAGTGTTTAGCTGGGAACAAAGTAGGTGCCCAGCAACTGGCTAACAGTAGGAGCTGGATGCACGAGAGGTTTTAGCAGTGGGTTGGCGCCGGACTTTTCTGTGGGTAAGGTCTAATTGGCCCCTGCCCTTCCGTGACCCTTGCTGTGCTGGTGCTGTGCCTATTAACCCAACCAGGGTGTGAGCCTTGAGTCGGTCAGTCTTGAGGCTCTGAGCAGCCTCCATACATCGGTTGTGGAGTGAGGATCCATCTTCACCCTTTGATATGCTCTGGCCCCACCTTGAGCTCAATCAGTGCGGGTGACCCTGAGCTCCCCGTCACACCAAGCACGGCACCAAACCCACTTCTGGAGCTGCTCCATAAACAGCGACCCCCCACACACAGGCGCATCCTAATGGGGGCCCCGGCAGCATATTTACTATTTACGGAGCATCTGGGAGATAACAACTTTTATGGGAGGGATTTTAATTAGTGCTGTGGCTAAATGCGGTGGAGTTAACATGGGTGGAATTGGCTGGTGCGCTGACTTCTGTGAGAGGCATCTGGCGGAGGGACGTGGCCGTATTTATCACCTGGTCCCTGCCACTAAAGGGGGTGGGAGTGGAGATAGTGCTGAGAATCCCAGGGAAGTCAAGGCCACCACCAGGGCAGCCAGGGCAGCCAGGGCGGGGCAGGGGCTGGGCAGGGCCCGCTCTGTGGCCGGGAGCTCTGTGTCGTCACACAGGGCCATGTACTTGGCTTCATGCTGTGCTCTTGTCATTTTGAAATGTTTAATAATTTAATCTTTGAGCTTCTGCTTGGTGAGTGAGGTCCGATGGGGCACCGGGGCATTGCACCAGCAGGGGAGGTGTGCCACACCGTGCCATCCCCTTTGCACCATGGTGACCCATGAGCACCACATTCTGGCGGACTCACCGTGCACGGGCATTCAGCGAGACTCGATGCGAAGGCAAGGCAAGCACGTGACATCCAGTACTACGTGAGGTGCTGACAGCCCCCAGGGGGCCATGACTTGCCTTTGTTTATATTTTATTTTTAATTTGTTTAATTTTTAACTTTTGTGGGTACATAGTAGGTGTATATATGTATGGGGTAATGAGATGTTCTGATATAGACATGCAATGTGAAATAGCACACCATGAAGAATGGGGTATCCATCCCTCAAACATTTATCCGTTGAGTTGCAAGCAACAGGATTTCCCTTTGAAACACAGCTTGCTTCGAATGCAGAGGGAAGGCACTGGTACCCTAAGAAACACAAGCAACCATAGTAGGTGTATATGTTTATGAGGTACACGAGATGTTTGGGTACAGACGTGCAATGTGAAATAGCAAAGCATGAAGAGTGTGGTATCCATCCCTCAAGCATTTATCCGTTGAGTTGCAAATAACATGATTTCACTTTGAACCAGAGCTTACTTCAAACACAGAGAGAAGACACTGGTACCCTAAGAAACACAAGCGACCAGGAAACCCAACCATATCCTTCTTGCCAGTGTTATGTCCCTAGAGTAGCCGATCCCTTACACTGGAAATGATGCTATGAGAGGAAGAGAAAGATGGGGCTCCCCACAGTCCTTCTTCCTCTCAGCCCTTCCTTGCCCATCCACAAACTGAAGGTAGAGGGTATGGGCAGAGTGTGTGTGCCTCAGGAAGTGAAATAAAAGCAGTTGTGTTCATTCTGTGCAGCCCTCCCACTGTTCTGAATGAAATACATATGAATGAATGAGCTAGAAAAAAGTTGTGTAATTTTGGTGATTCTGCTATGAGTTAAACACTTGTATATTTGTATTTAAAACTGGCATGGCACAATATAATGATGAACGTAAAACTCATGCTAATAATGTAGAGTTTTTATTTTTCTTTATTCAGAATGGCTTCAAATAGTAAGTTAAAAACACCATGACAAGTCTAGAGAAAGACTGGAAGAAAAAATAATGCTTTATATTTTAGCGCCTTTCCCAGCATTTCTCCCTTGCTTTTTGAACAAGGGGTTCTTACTTTTTTTTTTCTTGAGACAGGGTCTCACTCTATTACCCAGGCTGGAGTGCAACGGCGTGCTCTCAGCTCACTGCAACCTCCATCTCCTGGGGTTGAGAGATTCTCCTCCCTCAGCCACCTGAGTAGCTGGGACTACAGGTATGTGCCACCATGCCCAGATAATTTTTTATATTTTTAGTAGACACAGGGTTTTGCCATATTGCCCAGACTGGTCTTGAACTCTTGAGCTCATGCAGTCCACCTGCCTTGGCCTCCCAAAGTGCTAGGATTACAGGTGTGAGCCACTGCGGCCCGGCTGGGGTTCCTGCATTTTTGTTCATGGTGGGGTCTCATCTGTGATGCAGCTGTCCCTGGGTGTGGGACTCCAAGGGGCTTTGGCTTGAGGAGCTGTGAAAGTGTGAATCTTGCAGTGGCCAGGTGGGATAGGAGGTTGGTAGTAGAATAATAATCGCAGTCATAATAGCTGTCTCTGTTTGCATTTCCCGTGAGTCAATAATCGCAGTCATAATAGCTGCCTCTGTTTGCATTTCCCGTGAGTCAGGCACTGTCCTAAGCAAGTCACATGGGTTATCTCATTCCCTCCTGCAAACCCCACCAGGTACTTTGTTTATGCGCCCATTGGACAGATGAATACATTCAAGTCCAGAGAGGTTAAGTAGCACAGCCAAGGAGGTTCTCAGAGCCCAGCTGGAGTCCATAGCCAGCCAGCCTTCTTGGCCACCTTGTTTCTCTGCCACCCTCATTTTGCTCATTTTAGGGGATGGAAAACTGAGGCTCAGAAGAGCAGCCCAAAATCATGACTCGACAGGGTAGGGGCAGGCCTGGAACTCAGTCTCCAGCCCTGTGGCCACCAGGGCTGCTCCTCCCTAGGCCACCCTGCCTCACCCATGCTGGAAGCATTTTCCTTCTTCCTCTGAAAAGGCAGGCGTGTCACCATTCGTCACAGTGGGCTCCAGTATTCATGTTAGTAACCCACTGAGTGACTGTCTGCTCCACATTCCTTCTTGAGTGATGGCTCAGGACCTCAGCATAGCTCTCTAGACTCCCAACGCCCACCACACAAGGGCGCCAGCATTCAGAAACACGTATACGCCTGGACAGACGCACCCATAGCTGCTCCTGCACACAGACACACAGAAAGGCGCAGGCACATATGCATACACACACTTGTGCACAGACAAGCAAAAACAGGCATGCACAATGACAGTGCTCGGATGCGCAGACATGCACAGACTCGTGTACACACACACTCCTCAGACACACATGTGCAGGCCTGCACACAGACCTGTGCACATGGATATTTATGGGCACATGCCAAGGGTACACAGGCTCACACACGAGCTTTCACACACACATGTGCACACAGGCGGTCGGACATGCCCACGTGGACACACCACAGAATTGACTCAAGGCCACTTCAACATTGCCAGAAGTCCCAGCAACTCAGTCTCACAGAACTGGAACCATGGGTGTTGGCTTGTGGGGTCAAGGGGCTAAGGGGGTCATCACCTAAGGTTTGTTGGCACCTCTTCCACATGTCCTTGCAGGGATCCCTGTGCTGGAGGGATTGAGGTAGGAGAGAGGGAAGCATGGCAGAAAATGATCTTGGGGTCATGTGGAACCCCAAGTAAGGGTGGCCAATTTGTGGGCAAATGTTTGTTCTGTATTTAAGATACATGTGGGCTTAGAAATCACAAAGTGATAAGTGCCTGTGCTGCGTGCCAGCTTTGTCATCCACAGTCCCCTAAGAAGCTCCCCACTGGGTGGAAGGGGACACACAGTTGCAAAATGCTGGCAGGCATGACGTCACCAGAAATGCGGGTCAGAATGGAGAGAATGTGGGGCCAGAAGGGGTCAGGGAAGGCTTCCTGGAGGGGGAGGGCTTGGTCAGAGCACAACAAGGCTCACCGATGCTGTTCTGGGCTTTTCCTTTCTCTACCTCCCTTCATAATAACCAGCTCACTTGGAGCCAATACACACAGGGAACTCGTTATGACAACCTCTGAGGCCGTCCAGGGCCTTTACTCCTCCCACTACCCTCCTCTCCCTGCCCACCACCTGTAGGTAGGTCTCATTTCACCTCTGTCATCCAGATTTAGAAACTGAGGCTAAGAACGTCTCCAGTCTGAGGTCTCAGGTGGGAGAAGGAGTGGCAGGACCCCAATCCAGGACCATCTGCTTTCCAGGCCTGCCTCTCAGCCACCTCAGTTTTCCCACCGTGTGGTTGGAGGCGTTGCTTGGGCCCCCACCTAGAGAAATGGGCGCAGAGCTGGCTCTGCATTTGAAAGGAGTCCCAAGGCCCTGCCCCACACGCGCTAGCTGTGCCACCTTGACGTGTGGGTCCTGTGTCTGGTCTCAGAGCCCTCGTCTGTAAAATGGGTGTGAGAAATGGATAAAATGAAGCAGGCAACGTGCCTTGCACAGGGACTGGCCCAGGATGCGTGTCTAGTAAGTGTCAGTGCCACCATCACTATTGCTGTGATCGATCGCCTGTCACTGCTGGCTCGTCCGGGGTTAGGACATAATCGGAAAATGAGAATTCCAAGTCGGATCAGGAGGAGTGGAAGGAGGAGGCTGTGACTGTGAGCCCAGTGAGCACCTGATTGCAGGGGTCAGATTAGGGCAGAGGCTCACTGTGATCCTGTTGGCCTCCCAAGGTCAGCCTCGCCCCTATGGTGCCAGGCCCATTCTTTCCTGCTCCCCGTTTCCACAGCTCTCTAGGTGTAACCCAGCCCTGGCTCGGAGCGACATGGGCTGTCACTGTGTGACCTTCTGCATGTCTCCCATCCTCTCTGAATACCAGGTTTGTCCTCTGTGCAATGAGAATAACGTCCACCTTGAGGTGGTTTCTGGAGTTCAGATGAAAGAAAGCGTGGCAGGGCTTTGAAAAGGGCTACACTGTATACCCCTGCTATGCAGGAGGACACGGGGTGCTGAGGAGGGAAGTGGTTATGGCGCCCCTCCCTGTCCCTGCTCCTCCCCGGGGTCCCTGCCCCTCCACATCTCAGGAGAGCTCAGATGCTTTGCCAGCCCCGGGAGGGTGGCATTCTGCACCCAGTAGTTTCCATGGTGAAAATCCCAGTTCCTGCCATTTTGCAACCCATCTGACCTAATTTATACTTTATCATTTTTGGCAATTTTGTGACTTGGGTTGGGGAGTGGGCGGTGTTGAGAGCACTGGCTCTGAGTCATCCTCATTCTCCTCCGGCTGAAATTCAAGTCATGATCTACCACATGCACACACGTGTGCACATGGGCAGGCAGGGAGGCCGGGAGGGGAAAGTGGAGAAGCCCCACCATGGCAGGCATTTGTTTTTCTTTCAATCTTTATATTCTTGCTGAATATACGTGTGGAGAGAGTTGTGAATTTTTATCTCTGACCTTTGTAGGCACAAAATCATCCCATTATCATATACCTGTCAGAAGACAGGAGAGAATCAGACCGTATTCTTTGCCTTTTATGTATCAAAAAAAGAAAGAGAAAGTTATTAGCGTTTTTCCAATCCAGGGATTCAAAAAAACCAGCTACTTCTCGGCCAAGCTCCCTGAAGCAGAGGTTGCTCTCTGCTGGCCTCGTCACCTGCTCCTGGCCCAGCCCAGCCAAGCAGCAGGACTCACAGCTCTGGCCCATCCCCTATCTCTGGGCTTCCTCAGAGAGGGTGTCCTACAGTGGTCAGCATGCCCGCGTGGGGACAGGAGCAGCTTCTCTGAACACATGTCCCCAGTTTCTCAATGCCCCTGCAGAGATGGAACCTTCCAGGTGAAAGCTCTCTTTCCCCTCAGAGTGATACTAAGTAGCAATTTAAAAACACCATGACAAGCCCAGAGAAAGAGCAGAAGGCAGGAGAATTCTTTAGTTTTTATTTTTTAGAGACAGGGTCTCGCCCTGTCACCCAGGCTAGGGTGCAGTAGCGTGATCACAGCTCACTGCAGCCTCAAATTCCTGGGCTCAAGTGATCCTCCCACTTCAGCCTCCCATGTAGCTGGGACCACAGGAAATGTGCAGCCATGCCCAGCTAATTTTTGTATTTTTTGTAGAGATGCGGTCTTGCTATGTTGCCCAGGCTAGTCTCGAACTCCTGGGCTCAAGCGATCCTCCAGCCTTGGCCTCCCAAAGTGGTGGGATTACCAGTGTGAGCCACTGGACCCAGCTAGGAAAATACTTATTTCAGTGGCTTTAATGGCATTTCTCCCTTGCTTTTTGAACAAGGGGTCCCACGTTTTCATTCTTCATTGAGTCTCATCTGTGATGCAGCTGTCCCTGAGTGTGGGATCCCAGTGGGCTTTGGCTCAGGGATTTGTGAAAGTGTGGCTCTTGCAATGGGCACGTGGGATAGGAGGGTGGTAATAGAATAATGATCACAGTCATAATAGCTGCCTCTGTTCTTGTTTCCCATGAGCCAGGCACTGTCCTAAGCAAGTCATGTGGGTTATCTCATTTACAAACCTCACCAGGCAGGTTCCTTTATATGCCCATTTGACAGACGAATACATTTACTTCCAGAGTGGTTAAATAGCATGGCTGAGAAGCAGCTGAGCCAGTATTCAGGGCCTGGAATCTCAAATTTCTCATCCGTCAAGTGGACATAAAAATGATATTTGCTTGGGAGGCCGACGTGGGTGGATCACTTGAGGTCAGGAGTTTGAGACCAGCCTGGCCAACACAGTGAAACCTCGTCTCTACTAAAAATACAAAAAAATTAGCTGGGCGTGGTGGCAGCCACCTGTAGTCCCAGCTTCTCAGGTGGCTGAGGCAGGAGAATCGCTTGAACCTGGGAGGCGGAGGTTGCAGTGAGCCAAGATTGTGCCACTGCACTCCAGCCTGGGTGACAGAGCAAGACTCCTTCTCAAAAACAAAAAACAAACAAACAAAAAAACAAAAAATGATATTCATTTTACAGAAGTGCTATGAAAAAGGGCTGAAATATGTTTGCACAGTGTCAGGTACATGGTTAGTGCTCAGGGCGTGTCATCATCGCCAACACCCTCATTATTATCACTGGAATCATTACTGCGGCTGCTACTCTGGCAGCCCATTCATTCCTTCAGGCCACACGAAAGGAGAGTGTGCTAGGTGCCAGGCCCTGTCACGGCACTGAGGACAGAGCAGGAACACAGCACAAGCCCTCCTTGTACAGGTCTGTTTGTACAGGTCTGTCTGTGCTCGCCAGGGATTTACTTCAGCCCTGGTACATGCCCCCAGCTAACGCTTCCACCTTACAGAGGGAAGAGAAATGTTCCTGCAAGCATCCTTCCAGTGCCTGCCAGGCATTCTCCCAGCAACTCTGCCTTGATCCCCAAATCCCAGTCCATTGCTGATCGGCCTCAGACTCTGTCCTGCTTGGTGGGGCCTCTGGCTGTGGTCTGCCCTAGGTGGCCTGGGCTATCCCCGGGTGGGCTGGGGAAGGCCAGAGGGGACTGCTGAGATGATGGACATGTTCTTTGCAGAGCACGCAGCATCAGGGTCTGAATCTGGAGAACCTGGGAGCTGGGACTGGCCTTTAGCACACTCAGACTTGGCAGGTGGATAGAGCAAGAGGAGAAGGTTCTGGGAACCCAGTAAAGGCTGGGGGTGAGGTAGAACTCTCACCTCCAGAGGCACCTCCTCAGAAGGTCTGGGGTGGCCACAGTAAGTCCTGCCCCCTCTCATGCTGCCTGCATCTCCCCTCAATGGGATCCTGTCTTTCCTGCCTCCCCCATAAGCATCCCCAGCCCTGAAGTCCCTGAGGCCTGCAGGCTGGCACATCTCTGCTCACCCACCCCAGCCCAAGCCCTGAGACAGGACTCTGCAGAGCCTTCATGTGGGGCAGCAATCAGCCTCATCTCTGACGGATGTACTTTAGCCTGGAAGCCTCTATGCATCCTGTTTCACAGACAAGCATCTAACCTCAAAAAAGGCAGGGATTTGGGTGATGCTGACGATAAAGTCTAATTTTACCTCAATAATGCAAGTGGCTCTGTAATTCCATATAATTATATTAACTGGAAAAGCGAGGCCCGCCTTCGATAGACAGGACTCGATTATCTTTGCAGGCATGGAGTATGCTCTTTAATTCCCTTTGCCCGGGAAGGTCTGCCTTGCAGCTTTAAATCCAAATAACGACAGCATGCTGTTGGCATTCCTACGACCACTTATTTGTTGAAGCTTTTACATAAATAAAAAGGGGTGCTAAATTGGGAGGGCATGCCCTTAAAGGTGAAGTCTACAGGTCTCAGAGCTGCTGCAGACGACGGGGGCTGAAGGAGCTGCGGGATGTCCGGGGAGTTTCCCTAAGCTGGGCTTTTTCATCATCTGCCTGACATTTTAACTCTCCTTCCTTCTCCTCTCAGTTCCTCTGAACCGTAGAGCCCACATGCAAATACAACAGATAATGGGCGGCTTGGGTAATTTAGGGTGAACAGTAAGTAAATAATGAGAAACTTGCATTTTGTAACATCTGTCATCTTTCTTAAGTTTCATTTATTTTACGCCTCCCCCCCAATTAAAAAAAAAAGACCCCCATAAATACCGCAGCGCCTTTGGTTTAGAGATGGTTTGAATGGGGAGAACAGCTCGAATGCACTGTTTTTTCCTCCAAGTAAGGTACTATAAAACTGTTTATAAAATGAAACTAATGAGATTTGGAGCACACTGTTACCTGATATTAAGCTGTTTTGATGAGTGAGGCAAATTGCTGTGGTTAACAAATGTAAAACCATCACTTTTATTGATACAGGTTTGTGTATGTGTGAAATTAATCAAAGCGTGGGCGATGATGAACAGTTTCTGTAGAATTCTGTCAAAGGTTAAGAGCTAGTTATTTTTAAGAATGACATGAATCTAGCAGAGACAGTGATTGCCTAAATGACCATTGTAATTACCAATTACTTCTTGAAGCAGAGAATATATTCACGGCGTGCAGTCCTCTAAATACAGAAAGGCATTAGCCCATTTACGTACTAATGCACATAATTTAGCTCCTGAAAAGGGCAGATGGGAGCACAATGAAAGATATAATAGATACCGCCTAATATCATTCCCTAAGAATATTGGATTCATCAAAGATGAATATTACTTTATGTCAGATTGTTTTTTATAAACCAGTCAAAATATATTTCATCTCATTTTTGCACGCGGTATCAGGGTGACAATAGCAACATCACCTTTGTCATCAAAATCTGGCCAGCTGTGGGACTAGGCAGACAGGGTGCCTGATGGGGGGCGTTTCAGCCACCCTTTGTAAGCCGGTGTGTAACTCACAGGCAGGATAACTTCCAGGCAGGGGTGATTAATTTTATTTCCTTTGGAGTCGATGTCAGTGGAAGCAAGAGAGACACAGGTTCTCAGACAGGAGGATGGGAGCAGGGAGGTCTGAGTCGACCTCCTTTCGGAAAATGCATCATCTGAAATGTCTTCCGGAAGGCGACCTCCTCCCCAGCCCTGGGTTCCTCTCCTCAGGTGTTGAAAATCCAATATCCAGGTATATGGAGAAGGAGGAGGGAGCCCTTTCTGTCTGCACACTGATCTTAATGCCATATTTGGATTGATATAATGATAGCAGAGATCTTGTTTCCCAATGTTGCAGAATCAATGTAATAACAGTAACAGAAATATTATTTAGTTAGTGCAGTTCTGCTGGCATAATGTAGTCACGCTTTCAGCAAAATGATGGAAAATATAAACATTTAATCAGCCCTTATTCACAAAAAAGCCTAAAAATTAATCATGTTTAAATTCTGTGTCTTCGGGAAGCAATTCAGATGCTAAGCAATTCAGATTTTTTTTAATTTTTATTTTTCTTGCCTTTTTTTTTTTTTTGGATGCGCAGTCACAGATAACCTAGTGCTGCTCTCAATTACAGTCTCCTTGGGAGAGGCTGAACTGCCTGGCGCCTGCCAAGAGATGGTGACTCCAAGCTGTGGATTTGGTCTGCGCCCCTCCGAGTGGGTTTCCAGCATGCGTCTGATTCTCTCCTTCATGTCACCAATCAAGGGCAGGAGGTTACACAATACCCTGTTAAAACAGCCAGCCACCTGCTCCCCGTCCTGCTGAGCCAGGCAGTGGGGCACGCGGGTGTCACAGAGAACGTCAGCGCCGCCTGAATACCTACTACGCGCCGGGCCCTGTGCCAAGCGAGGACTCGGCCCTCCTCTCAATGTTTCCCCAAGGTCATGACCAGGATTGCTTCGTCTTGAGTCCTGAGTCCCTCAGAACATATGGGGGTTAGAAGGAGAAAGGAGAGAAAAGGAGGAGCATCAGAGAGGGAGGATGAAAGCGGGGAGAAAAGAGAAAGAGGGGAGAAGAGTGGAGTACCAGATCCAAGGTCAAGCTTCAGGGCCAGGTGACCTTGAGAATCACTTCCCCTTTCCTGGCTAGGATTCCTGTAACATGTTAACTGGGGATGGTGATTCCTGCCAAATGGCCCACGCTGGGGCTGGGAGAGGCCCCAGGGAGCCAGTGCAGGCAACTGGGCTTCACATGAAACCCCTGCATGGCAGGCCCCTCCTTCTGCTCTGGGCCCAGCTCATAACGTTCTCCTTTGAGGGGATTGTGTGCCTGCCCAGCAAAAACGGGAGCTTCCGTTTCATTCTCTGCTTGTACTGTGTGGCCTTCCCTGTGGGGTGTTTTCTTTTGGTCTTCTCCTTAGACCAGTGGTTCCCAGGCAACTGGGGCCAACTTTACACTTCCATCCTCTGGGACATTTGGCAATGTCTGGAGACACGTTTAGTTGTCATAAGTGGCAGGTGCTCCTGGCATGCAGTGGGTAGAGGCCAGGAATGCTGAACATCTGGCTTAAAATGTCGGCGGTACTGGAGCTGAGAAATGCTCATCTGGTTATGATGGCATGGCCAGCAGGTGCCAGGACTGTGCCCTGACTTTGCTCATCATTCGTCCCCCAGCACCCAGCACACCTCCACCTGGTACACAGCAGTCAGGGAATAAATAACAGTTGAATGAATGAGGGAATGGGGTTCAGAGGGTGCTGGCAGGGCTCCTATTGGGTGAGAAGTCGGTCTCCTGCCTGCCTTGAGACTCCCTGGAAGGGACCTGGACCTGCTGGTCTCTCTTGAGCCAAGCCCATCTCTCTGTTCCCAGCCACATAATGGGCTCCTAACATTCAGTGGGCTCCCAGCACCCCAGCAGCCTCAACTTGCTGGAGGATGGCCGCAGTGCTCTAGACCTGGACTTGGCCTGGCCCGGAGGACACCTGCAGCCTGGGCAGGAACACCTACCCATCCAGGTGCCCTGGGATGCTTGTTCTGCAGGTAATGTCCGGATTAGGCTCGGACCTTTGGACAGACCACTTTCAGTTGGTGGTGGACACCTTCCCCTGGTGGACGCTGGCCGCTTGGCAATGGAAGGAGAAATGCGAATACTTTCCCTGTGGCCCAACCTGGGCAGCCTGTCCCAGGAAGGATGCTAGAGAGGCTCTCTATACCTGTCCAAGACTTTCCCAGCGACCCTACTCCCTTGTGTAGAGCAATGGAAGCCTACTTGGGGGACAGGAGTACCCTTGTTTTCAGACCCTGCAGGTCCCCGAGAAGGGTCTGTGTCATCCTTAAGCTGAAGCTGGACCCATTTCTGGCCCATCACTCTGTCTAGTGAGACCTGAGACCGATGGACACAGCAGGGCCAGGGTCTCCTGAGGTAGAGTGTATGTTGGGGGAGAGCCAGGGGGAGGAAGGGTGAGTGGGAGATCACTGCTGTGGTTTGAATATGTCCCCTCCAAAATTCACATGTTGGAAACTCAATCTCCAATGCAACAGTGTGGGGAGGTGGGGCCTTTTGGTAGGTGTTTATGTCAGGAGGGCTCTGCCCTTCTGAATGGATTAATGCCATTATAAAAGGGTTTAGGCCAGGTGCAGTGGCTCATGCCTGTAATCCCAGCACTTTGGGAGGCCAAGGTGGGTGGATCACGTGAGGTCAGGAGTTTGAGATCAGCCTGACCAACATGGCAAAACCCCGTCTCTACCAAAAATACAAAATTAACCAGCCATGGTGGTGAGCACCTATAATCCCAGCTACTTGGGGGGCTGAGGCAGGAGAATTGCTTGAACCCAGGAGGTAGAGGTTGCAGTGAGCCGAGATTGCGCCACTGCACTCCAGCCTGGGCAACAAGATGGAACTCCATGTCAAAAAAAAAAAGTGTTTGGTGGAGAGAATCTGGGAATCTGGCCTCTTTTTGCCCTTCTGCCTTCACCACGTGAGGACATAGTGGTCCTCTCCACTGGAGGAGACAGTGTTCAATGTCCCATCGTGGCAGCAGAAAGCAGCCCTCAGCAGATACCAAACCTGTGGATGCCTTGGACTTCCCAGCCTCAAGAACAGTGAGAAGTAAATCTCTGTTCTTTATAAATCACCCAGTCTCAGAGACTTGATGACAGCAGCATGAACAGACTAACACAGTCATGTTACTGGTGCTTCAGGCTCTTGGGGAGGGGAGTCTGGGTAGGCCTGACAGAGGAGTGGGGGGACATGGGGAATGGGGGGCAGCAGGGGTAAGGCCCATAGACTCCATTGGGTGTTTCTCTTTATGGCCTTGTCCCCACTCCTCTCATCACCGAGGATCCCTGGACACCCACCAGGAGCTTCCCTCTTCCCTGGGGTCCAGGCAGCAGCTCCCAGCATGGGCAGTGTTTCCTGGACAGATGCCACTTTTTTTTTTTTTTTTTTGAGAGGGAGTCTCTGTCTAGGCTGGAGTGCAGTAGCACAATATTGGCACACTGCAACCTCTGCCTCCTGGGTTCAAGCGATTCTCCCGCCGGCCAGTTTTGCATGTCTAGGGGCCCCTTGCAGAGAAGGGCAGGGGCAGCACAGGGAACCCTAGACTGGGGCCTGAAGATGAGGCCTTGAGTCTGTCATCTCCCTTCATGCACTGAACAGTGCAGCCACCCAGGGCACGGCTCTTGGCCGTGATTTGGGGAGCGTGACAAGACAAGGGCGTCAGGACTTGGCCACCTGGAAGGGCTTTGCTTTTGGATATGCAGGGAATTCCCTGGGGCAGGGCAGAATGCTACCCCTCAGCTCTCCCTCATGGGAGACCCTGGCAATCCCGAGGGAGAAGGCGCTCAGCACCTAATTTACTTCCTCTAACTGCCCTGAAGGCCTAGAGCAACAGTTAAGAATCACATTACCGCCTTTTATTGTCTCTAATTTTTACCCAAATGATTTCTGCTGCACCAGCTTAAACAGGCTCTCATTTCCCTTCCTGCTGCTGTCATGCTCTGGGTGTGTGCATTTCTGAAGGGGTCAGCCTCTGAATGCTCTTCTCCCTCAATGCAAGATGGGCCTTCTGTCCTCCTCTCCCCTCCCTGGGTGGGAGTAGGGGCACCAGGGCACCAGGGCTTACTCCTGGGAGGGAGCCCTGTGTCTATCCAGCAACTGTTTGTGCATGTGTGTGGGGGGACCCTGGAAAGTCTGCAGGGTGTGTCTGCCCATGCGCCCCCTCCCTCCTCTGAACCTCAGCCCTCTGCCCTGGATCTGAGTCTAGGGAAGCCAGACCTATCAAGCTGTGTGACAGTGCCCTTTAACCAGACTCCTTTGGTGGTAAGTGACAGAAACCCAGCTGAAACTGAATGCAGAAAAAAGGCCGGGTGCGGTGGCATATGCCTGTAATCCCAGCACTTTGGGAGGCTGAGGCAGGCAGATCACCTGAGGTCAGGAGATGGAGACCAGCCTGGCCAACATGGTGAAACCCCATCTCTGCTAAAAAAAATACAAAAGTTAGCCAGGCTTGGTGGCGGATGCCTGTAATCCCAGCTACATGGGAGGCTGAGGCAGGAGAATCGCTTGAACCCGAGAGGCAGAGGTTGCAGTGAGCCAAGATGGCACCTGGGCAACAAGAGTGAAGCTCCATCTCAGAAAAAAAGGCGGGGGGTTGCAGGTACTCTTTTAGTACTCATGGAGCTGAGCCTGGGAATAGACTTTGCACCATGCACGGGTGGATCAGAGATATCTCGGGAATCCCTCTCCCCCACTTTTCAGCTCTGCTGTGCTGGGCACAGACTTGCCTCCTAGGCAGCAAAGACAGTGCAGCCAGGGATGCCCCTTAGTTGAGCAGGAAACCTGCTTCCCACAGGGCCCAAGAATGATCCTGACATCTCATTGGTCAGGCTCTGGTCACAGGCCCACCACTGAGTCAATTGCTGTGCTGGGGACGATGCCTGGGGTAAATAGTCAGGGCTGGGCCATGTTCCTCTCCTGGTAGCCCATGGAGTGTAGATGGGTTTGGGCTTAACCAACCCACATGGAAAGGAGCAACTTCCTAATGGGACACCTAGGAGCTGTGACCACAGTTAGGAACAGATCTCTGCTGCTAACCTTGGAGGTCCCTTCCCTCTTTCCTGCCTCAGCCTCCATCTCTATGTCCAGGGCTGGGTGAGAGAATTGGCTCTGCAAGTGAAACCATCCCCACATGGTTGACAAGAATTACAAGCCAGGTTCTGGGCAGAAATATAATTAAGCATCAGTCAGGCTGCCCTCTGGCACACTTCATTGTTGCTAAAATTCATGTAGCACTAGATACTGACCATTTATTTGCACGCCTATTGTTCCCATAGATGGGATTTCAGACATTAGAATCATACAGCTTTTGTCTAAGGATTCTGTAAGATGTGTTTCCCACCTCGAACTCCAGCACCAGTTTGAAGACCCCACGGAGGATGGGGATCAGCCTGAGAACCCAGCTCCTTCCTCTCCCTGCCCCAGGACTTCACCCTGCATGCTTCCACTCATCAACAATCTCCATACTACACCCATTCCAAAACCCTTACAATCTCCAGCCCCAAACTCCTTGGGGAAACGGATTGGAGGTTTCCTCTCACCTCCTTATTCTGTAACCCGATGATTAGTTCTCTCTTTCTGCTGCAACCTGGTGTCTCGGCGTGCTCACTTGCTGTGAGCAGCGGGCTGTGGCCATCATGGTTACACGGGAGCACCTGGAAGATGCTGTTGCTACTCTTGTTGTCTTATTTTGTCCCTGGGCAGATGTGGACAGGAGAACGCTGGTGGGAGTGTCAGGCATGTCCTCCGGCTTTCTCCCCGCCTGCAGCATCTCCCTCCCCAGGAGCACTGGCCAAAGCCTGCCACTTCCATCACCACACTGTCTAGAGAGTTCCCAGCCCATGTCCTTGTAGGACTTTCTCAGAGCCCCACTGAATGGCAGGAAAGTTTTTATTTCCCCAAGACCCTGGAGGTGTCGGGGCCTCAGAGGTTCTGTGTGGGAAGAGAGAGGACTTTTCTGCTGTAAAAGCCAGACCAGGCAGCTGCATGGTGCTCCTGCCTCATGGACATTCAAATACCTTCTTGGACCCTCGTGCTTTTCAGAAAAAATGAAAGAGCTTGAGGACTGGAAAGCTGGGAAGCTGGAAAGACAGAGAGCCCATGCCCATCATTTCTAAGTGAGGAAGCAGAGGCCCAGAGAGGTTGAGGACTTTACCAGAGCCGCTCAGCAGTGACAGAGTCTGCATCTGCCCAGTGGCCAGTGCAGAGCTGGGACTGGAGCCCAGGTTTCTCTCCTTGGGGGTCTCTGAAAGACTCCCAAGGCAGGCTCGGCTTTTCCACCCTCTTTCCTCCTCCATTGCTCAAGTCTCCTGGTGTAAACTTGGTCTGCTTCCTTCCAATGCTCACCCATGTTCTTATTCCTAATGCCTGCACTGTCACTGCCTTGGCGGGGACATGGAGACTCAGTGACACACCCTTAGGCTGGGGCTGGAGAGAGCAGCCCCCCTGAAGGCTCCTGCCCCACACCAGCCTCTGTGTCCTTGCAGGCCAGTATGGTCAGAAAAACCCAGTCCTGGAATCACTGTCTTCAGAACCACAGGGACCAGGGAGGCAGCCGTCCCCCGGGACCACTAGCTGCAGGCCTGGAGGCATCCTGCTCATGTGAGTTGGAGAGAGCTCACCCCAGCCCTGCCAAGCCCCTCTTCTTTTGAAAGAAGCCAAAGTGAGCGGTGATAACCATCAGTTAATTATCGAAGGAATTCTATGCTTCATAAATTGTTTTCTTTCTGAGAGGAAAAGGAAAGTCTACTGAAAATGGGATTTTAGGGTGTGTTTCAGGCGAATAGGATGATGTGGGCCTTCTTCTCTAATTCTTATCCAGTGCAGTGTTCACCAGGCTCCCACTTTCACAGGTCACCATGGCAATGGGAGGACATGGAGCAGGGCATCCCTGGAAAGTGGGTTTCTGAGCCCATGTGCTCATTGCCAGGCCCCTGCAGGGCGAGCCCCATCAGCTGTCTTCCTGCTTCTCCTTCTGGTTCATCATTCTTACTACTCATGAGCACCGACTCTGAGCCTGGCACTGGACTGGTGCTTTCCAGACCGTGCTGCCCTGAGAATTGAGTGTGACATCATGAACGCCTGTTCACAGGTTAGGAAGCTGAAACTCCAAGATTCTACAGCATTTGTCCAAGCTTCCCCAGGGAGTCAATGGCCCTGGTCGCCTGGCTCCCTGGCTCTTGCCCTTAAGTTCTGTGCCTTGCTAGGCAAGAACATCCACCTTTTATAGACCAGGACTCCGGCCTTCCAGTGCTATCAGCACACCCAGGACAAACATGGGGCTCCTTCCCTCTTTCCCTTGCGTGTCTTGTTGGATTAAGATTTATTTTTAACCCAGAGCAAATCTGGGGAGCTGGCCACCCTGTCAGATGCCATTGGCTGGATGCTTCTCTTTTTGCAAGAGAAATGGCTGACTGAGGACCTGCAGCCAGACCTGGGACATGTTGTCCAGGACCTGGACTTCATGTTAATGGCATCTTCTGAAATGACAGAGCAGCATCATTACTCCCAGTCCTATTCTAAAAATGGACCCATCTCTAGGTCAACATCCTCAGCACAGTTCCCACCCACTTGCTGATATTGTCAAGTGCATTGGCTAGGGTTGTATAAGGCAAGGGAGTCAGAAGGAGTTCTTTCTCCTTCTCTCCCTCCTTCCCTTCCTTTCTTCCTTCATTTCTTTAATATTATGCTTGTGACAACAAAATTAAAATTTTTTTGTGTCACATTTTTCAATTGCTATCCATTCATCCATCCATCCTTCCCTCTGTCAATTCATCCATCCATCCATTCATCCACACATCTATTCATCCATTCATCCATCCATCCATCCATCCATCCATCCATCCATCCATCCGTCAATTTGTTCATCCATCAATCCATCCATCCATCCATCCATCCGTCAATTTATCCATCCATCCATCCATCCGTCAATTTGTCATCCATCCATCCAGCCAGCCATCTGTCAATTTGTCCATCCGTCCATCCATCCATCCATCCAGACATCCATTCATTTACCCATCCATTTATCCACCCACCTATCCATCCATCCGTCAATTTGTCTATCCATCTACCCATCTGTCAATTTGTCCATTCACCCATTCATTTATCCACCCACCCACCCATCCATTCATCTGTCAGTTCACTCCCATACATTGTCTGTCAGTCCATCCATCCATCCATCCATCCATCCATCCATCCATCCACCCATCAATTCACCCATCCATCTGTCAATTTGTCCATCCACCCATACACCCATCCATTCATCCACCCACCCACCCACCCACCCATCCATTCATCTGTCAATTCATCCCTCATATATTGTCTGTCAGTCCATCCATCCATCCATCCATCCATCCTTCCTTCCTTACTTACATTTTTTTTTTCTTTACTGGATGTTTATTTACATCACTGCTCCCTGTGGGCAAAAATTACTCAATCCGTTGAGTCTGTGTTTAGTTGCCTTGACCCCAGCCCTAATTTCCTGTTCACTTTTATATGTCACTTCTTTGGCTGGATGGACAGACCCAGTGGGTCATGAATTGCCCCTCTGCAAGGCATCCTTCTCATATGCAGTGATGACATAGCTCTTCCTCTCCTGAGTCACGGTAGGTGAATGCCTCCAGGCTATCATTCTCTGGATACATGTGGCTCTTTGATCTTGAGCAAATTTACAGGCCCCTAAAAGAACTGGTTTGTCTGAGGAGAACAACCAAGGACAGAAAATTGAGTCTCATCCTTGAGTCAAAATGCAGACTTCCTATTGAAATACAAATCCATCGTTTCAAAAGGTCAGCTGGGATGGTACTTAAAAAAAGAATTGCAGCTGGTTGCGAATAGGGCACTGGAAACAAAAACGTCCCATCCAAGAATACTCTTTGGCCCTGTGCCCACAGCTTCTTGTGATTGTGGCTTGGCCGCATTATCATTCTCTTTCAGTTCCTGTCACTCAGACTTGCAAGCCTGGAGAGAGAAGGCCAGCCAGATAGATGGACAGGCGATGTGCAGGCAGGTGGCCTCTCTACCTAAGTATACGTTCTCAGGGTGTGGGCATCTCAGCATAGAGCCAGCTGCCCTTCACCAGCCCCATTCACATTCCCATGTCCCCGGGCCCACTCAGCCTTACCTTGGAACATATTCTATTTCTTAGAGGCCAAGCTTTGGCCAGAAATGAGTGTCCCTTACCTCCTCCACACCATGTTTCACTTCCAACGAACCTACAGGCCTGAACAAAGGTCCTATCTACTTCCCCAAGGGCACACTTGACATTATCCCACATTCCCATCCCTTCCAACACTCAACTGAGCCTTCAGCTTTTGGCTCTGTCCCTGAAATAGTTTGGATATTTATCATCTCCAAGTCTCATGTTGAAATATGATCCCCAGTATTGGAGACGGGGCCTAAGGGGAGGTGTTTGGGTCATGGGGGCAGATCCCTCATTGATGGTTTGATGCTATCCTCATGGTAACAAGCAAGCTGTTACTCTGTTAGTTCACACGAGATTTGGTCGCTAATGAGCCAGGCACCTCCTCCTCTCTCTTGCTTCTTTTCTCACCATATGATGTGCCTACCCATCATTTGCCTTCACCCATGACTGGAAGCTCCCTGAGGCCTCACCAGAGGCTGATGCCAGCTCTATGCTTCTGGTACAGTCTGCAGAACTGTAAGCCAAATAAACCTCTTTTCTTTACAAATTACCCCAGCTTAGGGATTCCTTTATAGCAACGCAAAATGGTCTCACACAATCTGCATGGCCTTCTGAGACTCACCCAGTGCCTGGGCCTGCCCAGCTAAGGTTGGAGGAGGGGGGAGACAGAGAAGTTACCAAGTGAGCTCATTTGCTTATTTACTGCTCCACACCCACCTTGTTCCCAAAGCATTTAATGCAGATGACAAAAATACATACAGCACAATAGTATGAAAATAGAAAAGAGATCAAGGCAAAGGGATAAAGGCAAAGGAGTGAACGGTGAACCAAGGCCAGGGATAAAGTCAAACTATAGAAACTTACGCTTTAGAAGTGGGGGTGGGGGGTGAAGGGGGTTCCTTCAATAAATTCCATATATAAATTTCTGAATTTTCTTTACAATAGGAAGAGCTGACTCCCTGCAAACATACACTGTTTTGCTTTAGGGAAGGATTTTGTCAAAGGTGTGTTTAAAGGGAGTCTCCTTAAGTGCATTTGAAGGAAGATATGGTTTATAACAACTCCATTTACACAGAACTTTGTCAACAGCGGTCAGTGGATAGCCCTGTCTGTGGATCCCTCGTGGCTGTCCCTGGGCAGACTGTACCACCTGGACAGCAGCTGTTCCCCTCACCGGCATTGCTAAGCAAGTCAGTGAGTTGACATGATGGAGCACTTTCCAGGTGTCCTCGCCCAAGGGAGGTGGCAGGAGGACAGGGACACAGAAGATTGGAGCACGTGCCCAGGAGCTGAGTGAGTGGTGCTGACTTTGAGCTCAGGCATCCTCAGTACCGGAAGAACAAGGTGAACCACTGCACTATTTAAGAGGGGAAATTGTATAGTGCCTGGCCATCACGACACGGATCAATGGGACATGACCACTCCCTGGTGGCCTGCATTTGGGACCCACCTCCTTTGGGGCCTGGCTGGCCTCATGGGTTGGTCAGCCTGTGGCCAGGAGGCGCTCACTGCCACTTATTGAATCACATGGGTTGAATCTGCTCTCGCGGAGCTCTGGGTCCCCACGGGCAGTCCCTGACCCCAGGCAGGGGACAGAGGGTACCCAGCAGGATGCTGCCCCTGCCTTACATGGAAGCCATGCATCTGGCCTGTTCCCCACATTCTGTGTAACAGGAATTCTACTTGGATCCAGGAAGGAAAATAAAAGTGTTTTTTGTTTTTTGTTTTTTTTTTTTTTTGAGACGGAGTTTTGCTCTTGTTGCCCAGGCTGGAGTGCAGTGGCATGGATCTTGACTCATTGCAACCTCCATCTCATGGGCTCAAGCAATTCTACTTCCTCAGCCTCCCGAATAGCTGGGATTACAGGCGCCTGCCACCACCCCTGGCTAATTTTTGTATTTTTAGTAGAGATGAGGTTTCACCATGTTGGTCAGGCTGGTCTTGAACTCCTGACCTCAAGTTATCCGCCTCCCTCGGCCTCCCAAAATGCTAGGATTACAGGCGTGAGCCACCACGTCTGGCCCAAAAGATGTGCATTTCTGTTTTCTCACGGAAATACTGTTTAATGGATCTCTTCCTATGCCCTCCTGTCTCCTTGCCTCTCTGTTCCTCCCCATCACCTCTCTCTCTTCCTCTTTCTTTCTATCTCAGGGTGATTTCAAAAATCCCAGAATATGTCAAGAA
The DNA here is from genome assembly GCF_000001405.40 of Homo sapiens. Taxonomy (NCBI): domain Eukaryota; kingdom Metazoa; phylum Chordata; class Mammalia; order Primates; family Hominidae; genus Homo; species Homo sapiens. The sequence goes on from NC_000019.10 coordinate 30,166,262, forward strand.
GCCTTTAACAAGGGGAGAGAGAATTAAGCCAAATTAATTACAGCAAAATAAGTGGAATTAGGCTTAATTTAAGTAGGTAACAGAAAAGAACGGAGCTGGTCTTTTCCCCTTCTTGGAAGGAGTCCTTTAAGGGTTTTTTTTTTTCTTTTTTTTCCCAAATGGAAGGGTAACATGGCTGCTTGGCTCAGAGCAGCGTGCTCTCCTCCTCCGGTTTGCCCTGTTCTCCTGGACTGGGATTACCGGCTTGCAAGTCGCTGACCGTGGTTGAATTTTATCATTATTAAGGTTCAGTGCTAACCTCCTCCCCTTATTTCCTTCCCATTTAAAGTTTGGGGGATAATAAATTCTTTTGATTTAGCAATTATGGGAGCACAGAATTAGTCAAACGCGGGCTTTGAGAACAAAGTAGAATGGGGACCCGGTGGGCTTTTGCCGAGAAGCCACAAATACTCACAGGCTTGCCATGGAAAGATCTGGGGGAAATGGTGCTTTGTTAAGTCTGAAATTGGATGGGTTTTAATTTAAGAGCATAGCTCCAACCCTCACCTCTCTCTCTAAGCAGAAAAATAGTTATGTTTGTGGGTGACATATTCCTGAAGTCAATTGCGCTAAACCACTGTGCTGAAATACATTATATTGACTTGTCTGGGGCTGTGCTTTTTCGAGTACAACATTGAGTTGGCTAGTAATAAAAATAAATAAGAATTATATATCATTTCATTCATTGTTTTGGTATTACAGATGCAAAATGCGCAAAGATATAACACAACATGTTGCAATACACTTTTAGAAAATACAATGATAAAATTAATCCTTGATACGGAATGATGTGTGTGCATGGGTTAAGGCGGAAGGCAGAGAGAAGCAGTGGGTGCTTGGAAGGTGCAGCCAGGTCAGGTACTGGACTGACATCCGTGTTCTGGGTGGGTGGGTGGAGGCCAGAAGGGGCTTGTAGTGCCCCCCACTGACAAGGAGAAGGGACCCTGCCTGCAGCTGATGTGTGGGGCGACCGCTGCCCTCTCTGGGCAGGCTGGAGCCTGCCTGGACCCCTTCCATCGATGATACTTGGTCAGCTTGAGGCCTGGTCCCCCGGGCTGGGCCCTGTTAGGAAGAGAGATAGCTAGAGTGTCCCTGCCCACTGCAGGGTGGGGTTGGAGCCAAGTAGAACAAGCATTTGTTTGCTGTTGGTTTCCTTTGTCTATGAAGCAGCCCTGAGCTGGAACGGTTACAGTGGGGTGTAGACAAATGGGGACCCTAGTCCCGGGATCCTCAGGTTCACTGAAAGTCCCTCAGTAAACACACTGGACCGTTCACCCGCCAGTCTCTGGGCTCAGACCTGCTGGGGGTGGGAAGCACCCACTGGCCTGGAGAACTTCAGGGTGGAGGTCCAAGGGGGAGGCCCTAACCCCAACCCCGACCTTTAGGTAATCCAGTCTCTTAGTCTGACAGCGTGGGGCAGGGAGAGCCCCCAGACCAATCCCATCACTGGGCTCTGGATTCTCCCCGTCACCCTCCCCAGCATCTGCCATCCCAGACGCATGTGCGCACACGTGTGGATGCAGGCACAGATGAAGGCATACACACACATGAGCACCCAGGAGAATGCACACATATGAACATATACACGTGGACATACACACACATGAGCACCCAGGAGAATGCACACATATGAACATATACACGTGGACATACACACACATGAGCACCCAGGAGAATGCACACATATGAACATATACACGTGGACATACACACTCATGCATGTAGAGACATGAAGCTGAATTCTCATGTGTGCACACACGCACACATACACACATGCGGAGACACCTACACACAGAAGACCTGTCCATCCCATTCTTAAGGCTTCTCTGAGGTGGGACAACCTTCCCCTTCCCCACCACCGCAATAAGGGTCCCAGTGCTGTCTCCTCCCCTGCCCTGCACCCTCCTCCCTGGACCCAGCCCCAACCCCAGCTTCTCGGCAGCCCCAGCTACCCCTGGCATCTCTGGTGCCCTCTCTCCCTCACAGGCAGCATGACCTCTGACTTAGCACCCCAGTGGCTCCCCACTGCTCTGGGCATGAAACCTCATCTTCACCTCCCCACCACAGCCCAGTGTGGCCCTGGCCTTCCAACCCTCTTCCCTACACGCCCCCTGCTCCCGGCTCATCACCACACCAGCGTGGGGCTCTGTCCCATCCTCATGAAGGCCCATGATCCCTGCAGAGCTCAGCTGAGCGCTGCCCCCACCAAGCCCCCTGCTGTACCTCACTGGTCCCCTCCGCCGTAAAGCTCTCCCACAGCGGCAGCTACCAACCCTCCTTACAGTAGCCTGCGTGATTATTCCATTACATCTGACTCTCCCTCCAGACTCTCAGCTCCATGAAGGCAGGGGCCTGTCTGTTTGCTGTCTGCCGTGTCTCCAGCCACACCAGGGTTCAATACCTTTGCTGGGTAGAGGCGTCAGTAATCTCACTGCAGAGGGATGCAGTCTCCCAGAGTCTCTCCCCCTACCCCAGCCCCCTCCTATGAGGACCTGGGAGAGTCTTGCTTTTCATAGCAGAGGCTGCTGAGCCCCTGGGCAGTCACCTGGGATGAGAACTGTGACCTGGGATGAGAACCCTGGTGTCCTGACTCCTGGCTGGCCTCGGAGACTCTCCCACTCCACCCCTAGCTGGGCTTGCCGGCAGCCTCTGAGGGTCTTCCTGAATGACTAGAAGGATGTCCCCTGCACCCTCCCGCAGCAGACACCAGACCCTGCTGTCAGCGAAGGGAAGGAAGGCAGGCCTAGAAGCCAGCATGTGAGTGTCATCGTTGTAGGGAAGGGATGTGCTGCCACATGGAGACCCTGCCACTCACTGCCCTTCCTGCTCAGAGGGAGGAGGGAGCTGAGATAGATGTGAAGCAATGGAGTCTGGAACCTGGGGACCTAGGGGCCATGGGGACAGGGACAGTGGGGAACAGAGCCATCAGCTGCCCTTAACAAAGTCTGTGGTGGGCAGGGGTAGAGGCCCTTTCTGCCACTCTCCCACCCCAGGGCCCAGCAGACAGAGAGCCTGACTGGTTCCTCTCTGTGCATATTCGGCGGCAGAGGTGGGGAAAAGGTGGGAGGGGAACCCTAACCTGGAGGAAGCAGAGTGTCTCGGGCTGGCGGTGGGCCCGGGAGAGGCACGGGAGGCTGAGCAATGAGGAGGCCCTTTCCTTTCACATGGCCCATCAGCTGATTGTCCCCTGGCTCCCTCTGCCATGGCCCAGGGTGGCTACCTCTGCTGCAGGCAGCCATGGAAGCTTCTCAGAGGCTGCCTGCTGGGTGCTGGCCTGGACCCCTTCCATTGAGGCTCCTCAGCTGGCTGGAACCCTGGCCTCCTGCAGGCTGGACCCTGTTGGGAAGAGAGATGGCCAGAGTGTCCCTGGCCACTGGGCACCAGCAGGGGCAAAGGATCCCAGTTTGAGCCAGGCAGGACAAACGTTTGTGTGTGGTTGGCTCAGGCGGGCTCCACCCCCAAACCCTGCTGCATGGCAGGGCATGCATCTTCTCGGTGACCTTGGTGACCTCAGGATGGGGACAGTGCCTGGAGGTCTCTCACCCAAACCAGGCTGCAGGCACTATGGCTTCTCCACCCTGTCTAGCCTGGAGGTGTTTGCACGGGCAGAGCCTTGAGCTTCCCAGGCTCATCCTTCAGAAACCTCCCCAGACCTGGTCCCGATCTGCCCACACCTTCCTAGCTCACAGTACAGCCCAGCATGGAGCATCCCGCTTGACAATAATGTGTTTATTGGGTGATTACTTGACAAGACTGTGGGCTTTTCAAGAACAGTCTTCTCTGATTTGGTCAGCTTAGCACCCAGCTTGGCTTGCCACATGTGCTCATTAAAAACCACTGATTCCATTAATGATTATGAGAAGAATGTGCACACGTGCTTAAGTGTAGTGTGTGCATGACTGTGAGAGCGTGTGATCGAGTGCACACATACATGAATGTGTGAGCACGTGTGCACATTTGTGTGCAGTTGTGCATATGGGTATATGTGTGTGCACATGTGAGTGTGCGGACTCAGCACGTGTGTGTCTGTGTGAGTGTGTGGGTATAGCATGTGTGTGCACTGTGATTGTGCATGCGTGTGCATGGATGTTATGGACTGAATTGTGTGTCCCTGCCCTAGTTCCCAGTGTTCTGGTATTAGGAGGTGGGGCCTTTTGGGGGTGATTAGGCTGAGATGAGCTCATGAGGGTAGAGCCCCAGGATGGGATTAGTGCCCTTATACAAAGAGGAAGAGACACCAGAGCTCTCTGTCTGACCCCCACCCCCCATATGAGGACTCACTAGGAAGGCAGCCGTCCACAAGCCGGGACCTCACCAGACACTGCATCTGCAGCACCACGGGCTTGGCCTTCCAGCCTTCAGAACCTCGAGAAATAAATGTCTGTTAAGACCCCCCAGTCTGTGGTTCTTCACTCTAGCAGCCCTGGCTGACTATGAAAGTGGGTACAGTGTGTATGTGTGTGTGTGCATGTAGGTGTGAGTGTGAGTGAATGTGTGTACATGAGTGAATGTGTGTAGGTGTGAGTGTGAGTAAATTCATGTGTTTGTGTGTAGGTGTGTGAGTGATGTGCGTGTGTGTAGGTGTGTGAGTGAATGAGTGTGTGTAGGTATGTGTGAATGTGTGTGTATGTACGTGTGAATGTGAGTGAATGTATGCATGTGAGTGTAGGTGAGTGAATGTGCAAGTGTGTGTAGGTGTGAGTAGGTGCGTGAGTGAATGCATGTATGTGTAGGTGTGAATGAGTGAATGTGTGTGTAGGTGTGTGAGTGTGTGTGGTGTGTGAGTGAACATGTGTATAGGTAGGTGTGTGAGTGAACGCATGTGTGTAGGTGTGAGTGAATATGTGTAGGTGTATGAGTGGATGTGTGTCTGAGTAAATGTGTGTGTATGTCTAGGTGTGAGTGTGTGTAGGTGTGAGTATGAATGTGTGTAGATGTGTGAATGAATGCGTGTGTGTAGGTGAGTGTGAGTGAATATGTGTGTGGGTGTGAGTGAATGCGTGTGTATGTGTAAGTGTGAATGTGTGTAGGTGTGAGTGAGTGTGTGTGTAGTGAATGTGTGTGTACATGTGAGTTTGAGTGGATGTGTGTAGGTATGTGAGTGAATGCATGTGTAGGTGTCTGTGAGTGAATGTGTAGGTCTGAGTGTATGTGTGTGTGTGTAAGTGTGAATGTGTGTAGGTGTCAGTGAGTGAATGTGTATGTGTGTGGTGAATGTGTGTGTACATGCGAGTGAGTGGATGTGTGTAGGTGTGTGAATGCATGTGTGTATTTGTAGGTGTGAGTGAATGTGTAGGTGTGAGTGTGCATGAATGTATGTATATGTAGGTGTGAGTTAATATGTGCATAGGTGTATGTAGGTGTGTGTGTGTAGGTGTGAGTGTAAGTGAATGCGTGTGAGTGTGTGTTCAGAGTGTTCCCAGATACCAGATGTTGAGGAGGGACCTCCCTAGGGCAGTGGCTCTGAGTTCTCCGAATCCAGGTCTCCCTCCAGAGTCCCCTGGGGTCTCTGAGCACCGCCCTGAGCAGGTTTTCAGGCCAGTGAGGCTCACTGATTTTCCATTCTCAGAACTGTCTGAAATCCACGACCAGCAACTCTTTGCCCTGGGCTGCCACTGGTTCCACATCACCATGTTCCCCCAGTCCCCTACTGTGACACCCAGTGGCTGCTCCTGCGGGTGGAGCCTGTGGTGTCCAGGAGAGTCTGGGAGCTGTGGGGCCACTGCAGTCTTTTACACAGAGTCCCTGGGGAGACAGCTGTGCTTCTACTTAACAGCCTCTGCTGAAGGCCCACGGGTGCCAGGCACTGGGCTAGTTTCTGAGAGGGAGCCATCCCAGCCTGCCTTTGGGGTATCCCTGACAGAGATTTGAAGGGGCCTCTGGGAGGTAGGAGGGGATATTCCCAGCCATGGCTAGAAGCTGGGAGGGCCTGAGTGCGTTGGGGAGCAAAAAATCAGGTGCCCTGTTCACACCCCTGCAGTCTCTAAGTACAGGGCGTGGGGTGCCTCTGCCAGAGTGGACCCAAGGGAGCACCTCTGCCACTTTGCCACAGAGCCCTGGCCCTCAGGCTGCTGGAAGGGGCCAATGCATTGGCGACAGGATGTGGGTGGCAGTGCCTGGGAGAGGTGAAGCTGCCCTGTGGAGGGGCTGGAGCAGGAGAAGGGAGCTGGTGACATTAAGCAGTAGCCACGACAGGTGGGAGTGAGCTGGAGGGCTTCTGAGACAGGCTGGTGGCTCCCAGAGACACACTGTGCGCAGGTGGGGGGCATGCGGTAGGTGGGAGCCCTGCATTCCCAGGAGTGTATATGTGGCCACTGGACATGACCTTACCAAAACAGGGAGATGGGGGAAACTGGGCTTCAAGGGGACAAGCTAGGCCAGTCTTTAAGGAGCTCATGGGGCTGTGTAGGAGGGGTGCTGACAAGATCTGACAGCAGCTGTTCCCAGTCAAGGTAGACACTGCTATGTGCCACACAGGGCATGCAGACAGGGCACTGCAAGGGTTGAAGGGAGTAGGGAGGGTGAAATGTGCTCTCTTGGTCTGTGGCAGGTGCCGTGCAAACTTCCTGCTGTGTGTTCCCTTGTCCTGTGTCACCTACATCCTTGATGTCTGCGGTGAATGGCCAGTGACAGTGTTAATGGATTTCCTAACATGATCCCCTGACCAACGCGGCTGTAGGGCAGACACACCTCTCAGGCACAGAGCGAAGCCCCCATTGCAGGGTGGTCTGGGGCACTCTGTAGGGGCAAGCGGGATCCTGGTCGTTTATTGCTTTGGCTGTTACAAGGCTCTTTCTGGAAGGCCACATCTGTTCTCGGATGTTCACCCAGCAGCCCAAACAGACAGGTCAGATCCCAGCCCTGCAATGTGACTTATTCAGGAACCTTTAAAGTGGCTTTGAAAGTCATTTGGTGCCAGATGTACCAAATGTCTTGGATGGGCTAGAGGGCTGGGGCTGTGAGGTGAGAACTTACCTGGCATTGGGACTGCCAGGTACATCCCCAAAGCCACGCCCCTCCAGAAGGCATCTGTTGAGTTTCATATGCCCCAGGAGGACTCTATATTTAAGGCCAGGCAGGAGGACACCCTGAGAAACCACGCTGTCACGACTCAGTCTCTCAGAATGCCATGGCAGTTTAAAAAAAGTACACATACACTTTTTGCCACATCTTAGATGTCCCTCCGCCTACAGAAGCCATCAAATAAAAATTAATTTTGCTTCAAAAAAAAAACATGCTGAATATTTTTGACACTCAATGTCTGTTCATTTGCATGGGACACGTTCTTCCATAATGAATCATCGTAACGCTTAAATTAAACACAGTAAAAGAATGGTTAATGCCATAACACGCTGACAATTTAACCTGGCCAATATTTTTATTGCCTTGTACAAGAAACCTAACAGAGCACCACTTGCTTTTGACTGGTGGAAAATCGGTTATGAACCGCCAGGGAGCGGCCAATTTTTCAAATGCAGTCATTCAGTCATACGATAGCCACTATGACTTTTTTTTTCCCATACACTATTGCTATTATAATCTTTTGAGGGTATTTTTATCACGGCAATAACCTCCTCAAAATCAGTCTTTACAGCAGTTAATGATTGGACAGCTGGAGCTATAACTGGCCTTGGCATTGCCCCCAGCTATTAGCTAACAAACCAGTTGTTATCTGCAGGTAACAGCCAATTTCTTGTGGAATTTTTTTGATAAAGTGCCTCCTGGATCGAAGGTATTTTTTCCCTCTTTGTCCCAGCTTCAAGCATCTTGGGGAGCTTGGTGAAGAGATGGAAAGCTGGTGGCTCTGTAACCCCCAGGCATGGAGCGGGATCTCTGAGGGTTGCTGTATTGCCACAGGAGAGTGGGGACTGGCTTTTGTCGCTGCCTGGCTTTGTGAAGTGCAGGGTGAGAGTCTGGAGAAAGAGGCTGCTCTGCTGAACTGGCTGGACAGAGAAGGGAGCTGACTGCCTTGGAGGCGCAGAGAATGGACCAGGCAGGGCCAGGCCTTGAGCGACCCTGGGAGTTGGGGTGAAAGCCAAACAATGGGGTCAATTCCATTGTTGAGACTCATTTGGTGCCAGATGTACCAAAGATCTTGGGCAGGCTAGATGGCTGGGGCTGTGAGGTGAGAACTTACCTGGCACTGAGACAGCCAGGTGCATCCCCAAAGCCACGCCCCTCCAGAAGGCATCTGTTGAGTTTCACATGCCCCAGGAGGACTCTATATTTAAGGCTCGGCAGGAGGACACTCTGAGAAACCACAAGAGAAATCTACTGAGTGGACAGGCACCTTGCGTTTGATAAATCTCTGTGTTTAGATTTCGATATCCTGGTTTCATGTGTGTTTCATTTTTGATCACCCTTCTAAAATGTGAGCTTTTAAATTCGTGACTTAAAGTTAGGAAATGTTCATCTATTTTAAAGTGAACACCTTTTTTTATAAGGACCAGATTAGTAAATTTGGACCTTGGCACTGATGGCTAAGCTACGTTCAAGCACAGGATCCTTGTTGGGATGAAATTCTCCAGGTTAACCCAAGTAAAATTCAGAGCGGGAATGTTGAGATAGAATGCTGGACCAAGAGAAGCTAACTGGTAAAGGGACAGCCTGCCTTCTGCGCCCGCAAGGCCTTCTGCTTTTCATGCTGCCTGGAGAGAGGAGCCGCTTCCCTTTTCAGCCGTGACTGTGTTTTAATATCCCTGGTACTAAGTGTCAGAAGTGGATTGGGTGCTGCAGCACTAGAGCGAAGAGTTAACATGACAGCGATCACCTGTTTGTGGCAGCAGTTTGAGATTCTGCAGATTGATCAGTGTTTACTGTGTGAGACCCAGAGATTCGATTCCTGAAATCACAGGGCTGATTGCAGTAACTTTACATATGCGTCCTTAACAAGCAGGGCAAAATAAAAAAATTAATATTCTTAAAAGTGAAATAAGATATTTCCAGCCTGGAGAGAAGACCAATTAAAATCACTTCACATTTTTAAATGAGTTTTCATTTGAGAGAGTGGAATTCTTTGAAGAATATGAGTTTTGCTAAATATTTGAAATCATCATATATCGTGCTTATTTGAAGCCCAGGTTGCTTATAAATTCAATGACAAATTGAGAAGTAAGCACAGAATTTATGTTTGAATTATCTGTTGGGTGACTCCCCTGCTGGGGCAGGCCCCGGTTTCTTAAATTTGGAGGGTCACTCTGGGTAAGCTGGAAGGTAAACTAGGCTTCCTGCGAATTCCCAAATTCAAATACTGCCATGGGACTAAAGCAATTCCATGATTTTAAATCATTTTGAATTTCATAAACCCAACTCTTTAACCTTTTGTAAATGACAAGAAGTGCAACCCATTCTTAACATTTCTGATCATTCCACACGATGCTGGCCCCATAAAGCTCATCTTTTCCAAATTTAAGCACTTAAAAATGTGAAGTGCTCCAATAAATTTAAATTGGCATATGCTACGCATATCAATGGGAAATGATTCAAGCATTAGAGGCTGGAAGTGGTGAGTGAGGGCAAGCACGCCAGAGCATCCATTGTCACAGGATTGATTTTTAATGACTTTCTATTGATTTGATGCCTTTTAAACCTGAAGGCCGAAGGTTGGTCCTGCATATCTATCACGCTGTATCTTTGGCCGATGCACTCTCCCGAGGTGAATGTAGGTTGCTTTCACCCTCTTGCCAAGACAGTGTCCTATGAGGATGCAGGTCCTTCGGGGATAGGTCCTGGCTTGCATAGAGCCTTCCAGGGACAAGAAGTGAACAGCCACCTGGCAGAAGTGCAGCCCAGTCTTCAAGGCTCTAGTGGTTGTAAGCAACAACATCCATTTCAAGCCAAAAAGGGATGCACCAGCTTTCATAACTGCAAAGGCCTAGGGTGAGTCAGGGATGGCTGGGTGCAGACACTTTCTCCTTCCCCTTTTTTTGTCTCTCTCTCACTTCATTTTCTCTCTAGTTCTCTTGCTTCCTTTTTTGCTGCACCTCTCCTCCATTTCTGCTTCTCAGTTGGGAAACCTTCAGGCAAGGCTCTGTGCGCTTTGTAGCCTCGGGCAGTTCCAGGCTCCTATTCTCATGCTCCCAAGTTTATCAGAAAGAAATCCTATCTCAACAATGTAAACCAAAAATACAATTCTAAGGCCTCCCAACCATCTGAATGGACCCCTCCTCTCAGCCAAGGGCACTCCAAAGTTAACCTAAAAACTAGTTCAAACCATGATGGGAAGGGGGAGCCAGACATGCCTCATGATACCCTCCTCCCTTTGGGAATTACTGACAGACAGACTCTTTAAAGTCTGATAAGAAACATTCACAATCTATTCTCTCTGGAGCCTGATACCTGGAGACATCATCTGCATGATAAAACCTCAGGCTCTACACCTTATCATAACCCACACATTTCTTTCTATTGATAATAACTTTTTCAACGAATTGCCAATCAGAAAATCTTTGAATCCACGTATGACTTGGAAGCTCTCTGCTTCCAGTTATCTCTACATTCTGGACCCAACCAATGTACATTTTACATACATTGACTGATGCTTTATGTCTCCTTAAAATGCATAAAACCAAGTTGTGGCTTGACCACCTTGGGTGCATGTTCTCAGGATCTCCTGAGGGATGTGTCACAGGCCATTGGTCACTCATATTTGGCTCACAATACATCTCTTCAAATATTTTACAAAGTTTGACTGTTTGTTGACAACAATATCAAAAGAGGGTGTGAATCGTGGGTCACTGGACCATCTTGGGTCATGTGCCCAGTTCTAAGCCAGTTGCCATGGTCAGGGGGATCCAATGTTCTGATTGGCCCCATTCTCACTCCTAGAGCTAGGAGTGGAATAAAATCCCAAACACTGGAACTTGGAGTGAGAGAGAGATAAGTATGAGTCCTATATGGGGCATGGAGGTCCCTTCTGACTCCAGATGTTTCTGATTCTCTGTTGTGAGTAAAATTGCTTCTGCTTGTTTCCTTGCAATTGTTACAGGAAAGGGGTCCTGATCTAGACCCCAGGAGAGCATTCTTGGATTTCACTCAAGAAATAATTCAGGACAAATCTGTAGAGTAAAGTGAAAGCAAGTTTATTAAGAAAGCAAAGGAATAAAGAATGGCTACTCCATAGACAGAGCAGCCCTGAGGGTAGCTGGTTGCCCACTGTTATGGTTATTTCTTGATGATATGCTGAACAAGGGTGGATTATTCATGCCTCCCCTTTTTAGACCATAGAGGGTAACTTCCTGAGCTGGTGGGACTGTAGCAGTGAGGACAACCAGAGGCCATCTTGGATTTGAGGGGATTTGGCCTGCTTCTTTACTGCAACCTGTTTTATCAGCAAAGCCTTTATGACCTGTATCTTGTGCTGAGCTCCTATCTCATCCCGTGACATAGAATGCCATAATTATCTGGGAATGCAGCCCAGTAGGTTTCAGCCTCATTTTATCCAGCCCCTATTCAAGATGGAGTTACTCTGGTTCACAACCTCTGATACAATTAGCTGTGCTGTGTGATTTGCCATGGCCAGTGACCAGGGAAACCAAGTGTGTCACTTCTTGGTGGAAACCTTAAGAATTCCAGGCAGTGGATGTTCTTGCAGCCTGGGACCTGAGTAGAGAGGCCCAGGAGTGGAGCCCTTGGCTAGCCAACCCATGATTAACATGAACAATGGAAGCAAACATTGGTTATTAGAAACCACAGATATTTGAGGATTGTTCATAGACACAACATAACCTAGCCTATTCTGTGTGATGTGGACATCAGTATCAGAAATGAGGTCTTACCAAAACCCAAACCTAAAATGTATGGCATTGACTTTGTGTTGGGTTAGTGAACAGTGAAGAAATTTACCAGAGGCTGGAAAGATGGCAAACTATGTGATGATGTAGTAAAACATTTGGCAAAACTGTCATGTGCAGTAATTCAGGAGACAAAATGGAAACTTGCAGTTCTTGGGGAGAGTTTCGGGGATGGAATGTTCATGGCGTGTGGTGGTGGTTGTTGGCTGCCTTTGGCAAAGTATCAGAAGAAAAAGATGAATTTAAAAATAATTTTCTGATTTGTAAGCAGGAATAAAAGAGAATACTCAGGGAGTACTACGGTTGGAAGCTGCAACTCCTTCTCATCTCCTAACAGCAAAAGCTAGAATTGAGAAACACTTTCAATGACAAAGTCCTTAAAGAAATATGAAATCATGAACATTGCTTTCATACCCATTGTTAAAGTCTCTGAATGGATGAAAGTGTTTCAGGCAAATACTCATTACAGGATGTGGAGCCCCTTGAATACTTTCAGTTGGACAAAATCCTGAGGGAAAAGGAGGTTAAGATGAGATCCTCTTCCCAAAGCTTGATAGGTTCAAGGCATATATTATAAAGCTTAAGGAGAGATGTGGAGAATTGGAAAAAATATCCCTCCCCCCTGCATATTAGGAAAAGAAATGGACAATGCACAAGTGCACACCCTCTGTTGAACCTATCAGAAAGCTGAGGCCTCAGGACAACACTAACCCCAAATCTGGAGAGTGACAGGGGTCTTTGGGGGAAGCAGGGGGCGTGGCACTTGCTTAGCTGAGGGCAGAAGTCATCAGACACTGGTAGGAAGGATTCAGCTAGAGTAGTGGATGCATGAGTGAAGGCTGAGAACAGGCTGGTGAAACGATGTGAAGCCCATGGAGCTGCAGAAATGAAGGCAGGTGGGTAGCCTCTTGCAAGCTTCTTCTCAAACCCCACCAGGCACTCACAGGGAAGACAGGGAAGGATCTTGAGAAAGTTTCCTTTGTGCAGGCCTTGGGAAGGGAAAAAATAACCACCACAGGAGAGGCAGAAAACTCTACTCAGACTATTCTCTTCTATCTCTCCTAGGGAGCAAAAGCCTTAATTTGCAGGACAAAGGCCATCAAAGACTGTTGTTGCACTTAGCGCATTAAGAAAGCCCATTGCAGCTGGGATAAGAGAGCAGAAAAAAATACGCTAGCCCTGGGGAAGTGGTAGGAAAAAGTACTGGATTCAGAACCTATAACTACAGCCCATAAAACCAACAATTGCTCTAGTTACAACTAGAGGGATTTGAAGCCTCTGGTGCCTAGAGGGTAAATATAGTAACAACAAACCTCAGAGGCAGTCTAACTCCTAACAAGATTAGTATAAAACTCCACATTAAAGACCCAGAAAAAAAAAAGTTATGCCCATTTCTGAGCTTATAAGGCTTTAATGGAAAAGATGCACAGCATACAAAATCAGATGGGTAATTTCAGAAGAAAGATGGAAACTATAAGAAGAATCAAATGGAAAGGGTTGAAATAAAAACAGAAACAAATATTGATAATTGAATTAGAGCTCCCCAGAGCGACAAAACCACTAGGAGATTATAGACGTAGATATAGATATAGATATATGAGGGAGATTTATTACAGTGTGTTATCATTCTTGCATTGCTATAAAGAAATACCTGAGACTGTGTAATTGATGAAGAAAAGAGGTTTAATTGGCTCATGGTTCTGCAGGATTTACAGGAAGCATGGTGCTGGCATCAGCTCAGCTTCTGAGGAAGCCTCAGGAAGCTTACAATCATGGCAGAAGGTGAAGGGAGAGCAGGCATGTCACATGGCCAGAGCAGGAGCAAGAGAGAGTAGGGGATGGAAGCGCCACACACTTTTAAATAACCAGATCTCATGTGAACTCAGAGCAAGAGCTCACTTGTCACCAAAAGGATGGCTGAAGCCATTCATGTGAGATCCACCCCAATGATCCCAAATACCTCTCACCATGCCCCACCTCCAACATTGGGAATTACAATTCAACATGAGATGTGGGTGGGGACAAATATCAAAACTATGTTATAAGGGAATTGGCTCACACAATTATGGAGGCTGAGAAGTTCCATGACAGGCTGTCTGTGAGTTGTAGAGCCTAGGATGCCAGTAGCATGGCTTCAGAACCAGGATAGCTGATGGTGTAACTCTCAGCCTGAGGTAAACGGCACGAGAGCAACGAGCCTGGAATTGTCCAAAGACAGGAGAGGAAGAGTATATGTCAGCTCCAGCAGACAGATCAACATATTTGCCTCTTCCCTATTTTTGTTCTCTCCAGGCCCCCAGCAAATTGGATGATGCGCACCTACATTGAGGGTGGCTCTACCCCACCTAGCTCACTCAGACTCAAATGCTAATTTCCTTGGGAAACGCCTTCACAGACATACCCAAAAATAATGCTTTACTAGGTTTCTAGGTATTTTTTATACTTCAGACTAAGAAACCTAATCAAGTTGACACCTAAAATTAACTATCAAAATGCCTTTGACAGGCTCATCAATAAAATTAACAGCTGAGTGAGCAGCAGGCTTGACAGCTAAGTGAATTTGAAGATAGGTCAAAAGAAATTGCCTAACTGAAGCACAAAGAAAATAAAATTTACATAACAAATACACAAAAAAGACAATAGTGCATCCAAGAGTTGTGGGGCAATATCAAATAATATATCACATGCATTATTGGAATTCTAGAAGGAAAAGAGAAAAAATAGGGCAGAAAAATGATTTGAAGAAATAATGGCCAAGAATTTTCTAAAATTAATGACAGACACAAAACTCCAGATCCAAAATGCTTAGACAATACCAAGGAGGATAAATAGACCTACCCTCAAAAAACAAAATTAAAAAACATGTAGGCATGTCAAATTCCATCTGTTAAAAACAGAAAACAAATAAATCCTGAAGGCAGCCAGAGAGGGAAAAAAAGACCATATTCAATACGAAATAACAAAGGCACTTGTTTTCAGAATCCATGCAAGGCAGAAGACAATGGAGTGATATCTTTAAAGTACTGAAAGAAAAAAGAATTGCCTACCTTAAATGCTATACCCAATGAAAACAGGTTTCAAAATGTAGGAGGCATAAGAAGTTCTCCATGAAAAAAAAATTAAAGAATTTATCACTTGAAGATGTGCTCTATAAGAAAAGTAAAAGGAAGTTCTTCAGGCAAAATGAAGACAGTCTCAGACAAAAACTTGGAAGAGTAACGTAAATAAAATAAATGAAAGTAAAATAACTTTTATTTTATTTTTTAATTACTCTAAAAGACAACTGCCTGAAGCAAAAAATAAGTAGTAATTATTTGTATATTTATACCTATGTAAAATATATGGTAATAACACATAGAATGGGAGGGAATAATTGGAGGTGTACTGTTGGAAGGTCTTTACACTACATGTAAAACATGTATAATATTACATGTAAAATACTACCTGTAAAATATACTACATGTATAATATTACATGTAAAATACTACAAGTAAAACAGTATAATATTACTTGGAGACAGGCTCTGATTAATTAAAAATATATTTTATAAACCTTATGACAACTACTAATGAAATAATAAGAGGCATAAATAATCAGTCCATGGTGGAGATAAAATGGAATCAAAACAATATTTAAGTAATTCAAATGATGGGAGACAAAAGAAATAAAAACAGAAGAAATTAATTGAAAAAAGCTGCTAAGATAGATTTTAATCAAAATACAATTTGGATCAATAACCACACTAAATAGGTATGTCTAAATACATTAATCAAAAGGCAGAGACTTCCAGGTTGGATAAAAAAGCAGTATGCTATCTACAATATACTATGTACAAGAAACTCACAATATGCTATCTATAATATACCTGTACAAGAAACTATACAGAGCTACATTAAAAGTAAAAGGATAAAAAAAGATATACCATGTGCACACTGGTTTCATTTCTCTTGAGTATATATCTAGGAGTAGAATTTCTGGGTCATATTGTAACTCTATCTATAACTGTTGGGAGAACTGCCAGACTGTTTTTCCAAAGTGGTTGTACCATTGTACATTCCCATCAGCAGTGTTTGAGGGTTCTGATTTATCCACATCCTCATCAACACTTGTTTATATTTGACTTTGATTACAACCATTTTATTAGTCCATTCTCATAGTACAGAATAGGAAAGCAATAGGAAAAAAATCAATGAAACCAAAATCTAGTGCTTCAAAAAGATAAACAAAATTGATAAACCTTTAACTATATTGATAAAAAGAAGATTAAAATTATTAGAATCAGAAATGAAAAAGGGAACATTACTACTGACTTTACAGAAATCAAAAGATTTATAAAAAACTCCTATGAACAATTGTATACCAATAAATTAGATAACTTACATAAAATGAACAATTTCTAGAAAGACACAAAGTGATTGTGGTCTACAAAGACCAAAATGGACTCAAGAATAAATAGGCAATCTGAACAAATAGAGATGGAATGAATAATTAAAATATTATATAAAAAGAAAATCCCAGGCCAGATAGCTTCACTGCTGAATTCTACCAAATCTTTAAATAGAAGAATTAATACTTTTTGTTTACTTTGGAGAGATCATCACAAACTTCAAAAAAATAGAAGAGAAGGGGACACTGCCAAACTCATTCTGTGAGGCCAGTATTACCCTGATACAAAAACCAGACAAAGACACCACAAGAAAAGCACTGATCCCTTATGAATACAAATGCAAAAGTCCTCAACAAAATATTAGCAAATCAAATCCAGCAACATGTAAAAAGACTTTACCATGAGCAAGTAAGATTCATCCCAGGAATGCAAGGTTGGTTTAATATCCCAAAATCAATTAATGTAATGTACCATATTAATAGAATAAAAAGGGAAAACCACATTATTTTCTTAATAGATACCAAAAAAAATTTCTACCAAATCCAACACCTTACATTAAAAAATACTCAACAAACTTTAAATGGAAGGAGCTTCCTCAACCTCAAACCCATAGCTATCATACTCAATGGTGAAACACTGATACTTTTTGTCTAAAATAAGGAGTGCAAAACAAGGATATCCACTCACACCACTTCTATTCAACCTGGCATTAGAAGTTCTACACAAGACAATTAGTCAATGAAACCAAATAAAAGGCATCCAGATGGAAAAGAAAAAAGTAAAACTACCTGTAGTCATAGAAGACATGATCTTGTGCATAGAAAATTCTAAGGAATCCACTAAAAACTACTAGAACTAACAAGTCTAGCAAGAGTGTAGGGTACAAGATCAATATACAGAAATTAATTGCATTCCTATACTCTAGTGATGAAGAATTAGAAAGAGAAATTAAGTAAACAATTCCATTTACAGTAGCATCAAAAGGAATAAAGTTAGAATAGACAATAAAATAAATGAAAAACTTTTACTCTGAAAACTACAAAGTATTGTTGAAAGGAATTTTAAAAGATCTAAATAAATGGAAAACATCCCATTTCGGTGGATTGCAAGACCAAATATTAAGATGACAGTACTCCCCCAAATAAATCTCATTGTTGAATAGAGTGTTCTATAGATGTGTATTATTCTATAGGCCAAGTGATAAATTATGTAAATAATGTTTTACACAGTTGCTTTTTAAACCTCTTAAGAGAAGAAAAGAGAAGAGTATACATTTATACTGCATTCTGTAATTATATGATCACTTTTACTAGTATTGTTTTTTCTTGTGGATGCTTTTAACCTGAACAACTTCCCGCCTTAGGACTTGTTGTAAGGTAGGCCTGTTAGCAGCAAATTCTCTCTGCTTTTGTTTATCTGGGAATACATTTATGTCACCTTTAGTTTTGGAAGATAGCTTTGCTGGATACAGAATTCTTGGTTGACAGGTTTCTTTTTTTTTTTCTTCATGCAGTTTTAGCACTGTGTTCTGGCCTTTTTTGTTTCTGTTAAAAAGTCAGCTCTTAAACTTACTGGGGTTTCCTTGTAAGTGATGAGTCATTTTTCTCTTGGTGCTTTCAATATTTCCTCCTTCTCTTTCACTTTTAGCAGTTTTTTTTTACGTGATGTGTCTGGATTTCTTTGTGTTAATTCCACCTACTTGGAGTTCATTAAATTTTCTAGATGGGTAGATTAATTTTCAATGAATTTGGGACATCTTCAACCATTATTTCCTTGAATATTGTTTTCTGCTTCTTTGTCTCTCCTCTATGTCCAGTACTCCAATTACATGTATGTTGGTGTGCATAATGGTCTCTCACCAACTTCTCAGAAGCTCTGTTCATCTTTAAAATTCTTTTTTCTCTATGTTCTTCAGATTGTATAATCTCCATTGATCTGTCTTCAAGTTCGTTAATTATTTTTTCTGCCAGTTCAAATCTATTGTGGAGCTCCTCTAGTGTATTTTTCATTGCAGTTATTGTGCTTTTTAATTTCAGAATTTTCACTTGGTTATTTTCAAATAATTTCTATTTCTTTATGAATAGCCCATATTTAATATGACATTATAATATATTTCTCTTTACTTCTTTAGTCATGGTTTCTTTCAGTTCTTTGAACATATTTATAATGGCTATTTTGAAGTTTTTTTTTTATTATACTTTAAGTTCTAGGGTACATGTGCATAATGTGCAGCTTTGTTAGATATGTATACATGCGCCATGTTGGTGTGCTGCACCCATTAACTCGCCATTTACATTAGGTTTATCTCCTAATGCTATCCCTTCCCCCTCCCCCCACCCCATGACAGGCCCTGGTGTGTGATGTTCCCCACCCTGTGTCCAAATGTTCTCATTGTTCAGTTCCCACCTATGAGTGAGAACATGTGGTGTTTGGTTTTCTGTCCTTGCGATAGTTTGCTCAGAATGATGGTTTCCAGCTTCATCCATGTCCCTACAAAGGACCTGAACTCATCCTTCTTTATGGCTGCATAGTATTCCATGGTGTATATGTGCCACATTTTCTTAATCCAGTCTATCATTGATGGAAATTTGGGTTGGTTCCAAGTCTTTGCTATTATGAATAGTGCCGCAGTAAACATACGTGTTCATGTGTCTTTATAGCAGCATGATTTATAGTCCTTTGGGTATATGTCCAGTAATGGGATGGCTGGGTCAAATGGTATTTCTAGTTCTAGATCCTTGAGGAATCGCCACACTGTCTTCCACAATAGTTGAACTAGTTTACGGTCCCTCCAACAGTGTAAAAGCATTTCTATTTCTCCACATCCTCTCCAGCACCTGTTGTTTCCTGACTTTTGAATGATCGCCATTCTAACTGGTGTGAGATGGTATCTCATTGTGGTTTTGATTTGCATTTCTCTGATGGCCAGTGATGATGAATATTTTTTCATGTGTCTTTTGGCTGCATAAATGTCTTCTTTTGAGAAATGTCTGTTCGTATCCTTCACCCACTTTCTGATGGGGTTGTTTGTTTTCTTGTAAATTCGTTTGAGTTCATTGTAGATTCTGGATATTAGCCCTTTGTCAGATGAGTAGATTGCAAAAATTTTCTCCCATTCTGTAGTGTGCCTGTTGACTCTGATGGTAGTTTCTTTTGCTGTGCAGAAGTTCTTTAGTTTAATTAGATCCCATTTGTCAATTTTGGCTTTTGTTGCCATTGCTTTTGGTGTTTTAGTCATGAAGTCCTTGCCCATGCCTGTGGCCTGATTGGTATTGCCTAGGTTTTCTTCTAGGGTTTTTATGGTTTTAGGTCTAACATTTACTTTTTTAATCCATCTTGAATTAATTTTTGTATAAGGTGTAAGGAAGGGATCCAGTTTCAGCTTTCTACATATGGCTAGCCAGTTTTCCCAGAACCATTTATTAAATAGGGAATCCTTTCCCCATTGCTTGTTTTTATCAGATTTGTCAAAGATCAGATGGTTGTAGATGTGTGGTATAATTTTTGAGGGCTCTATTCTGTTCCATTGGTCTATATCTCTGTTTTGGTACCAGTACCATGCTGTTTTGGTTACTGTAGCCTTGTAGTATAGTTTGAAGTCACGTAGTGTGATGCCTCCAGCTTTGTTCTTTTTGCTTAGGATAGTCTTGGCAATGCAGGCTCTTTTTTGGTCCCATATGAACTTTAAAGTAGTTTTTTTCCAATTCTGTGAAGAAAGTCATTGGTAGCTGGATGGGGATGGCATTGAATCTATAAGTTACCTTGGGCAATATGGCCATTTTCACAATATTGATTCTTCCTATCCATGAGCATGGAATGTTCTTCCATTTGTTTGTGTCCTCTTTTATTTCGTTGAGCTGTGGTTTGTAGTTCTCCTTGAAGAGGTCCTTCACATCCCTTGTAAGTTGGATTCCTAGGTATTTTATTCTCTTTGAAGCAATTGCGAATGGGAGTTCACTCGTGATTTGGCTCTCTGTTTGTCTGTTATTGGTGTATAAGAATGCTTGTGATTTTTGCACATGGGTTTTGTATCCTGAGACTTTGCTGAAGTTGCTTATCAGCTTAAGGAGATTTGGGGCTAAGATGATGGGGTTTTCTAAATATACAATCATGTCATCTGCAAACAGGGACAATTTGACTTCCTCTTTTTCTAATTGAATATTCTTCATTTCTTTCTCCTGCCTGATTGCCCTGGCCAGAACTTCCAACACTACATTGAATAGGAGTGGTGGGAGAGGGCATCCCTGTCTTGTGCCAGTTTTCAAAGGGAATGCTCCCAGTTTTTGCCCATTCAGTATGATATTGGCTGTGGGTTTGCCATAAATATCTCTTATTATTTTGAGATATGTCACATCAATACCTAGTTTATTGAGAGTTTTTAGCATGAATGGCTGTTGAATTTTGTTGAAGGCCTTTTCTGCATCTATTGAGATAGTCATGTGGTTTTTGTCATTGGTTCTGTTTATATGATGGATTACATTTATTGATTTGCATATGTTGAACCAGTCTTTCATCCCAGGGATGAAGCTAACTTGATCATGGTGGATAAGCTTTTTGATGTGCTGCTGGATTCAGTTTGCCAGTATTTTATTGAGGATTTTTGCATTGATGTTCATCAGGGATATTGGTCTAAAATTCTCTTTTTTTTGTTGTGTCTCTGCCAGGCTTTGGTATCAGGATGATGTTGGCCTCATAAAATGAATTAGGGAGGATTCCCTCTTTTTCTATTGATTGGAATGCTTTCAGAAGGAATGGTACCAGCTCCTCTTTGTACCTGTGGTAGAATTCAGCTGTGAATCTGTCTGGTCCTGGACTTTTTTTGGTTGGTAGGCTATTAATTATTGCCTCAATTTCAGAACCTGTTATCAGCCTATTCAGGGATTCAACTTCTTCCTAGTTTAGTCTTAGAAGGGTGTATATGTCCAGGAATTTATGCATTTCTTCCAGATTTTCTAGTTTATTTGCGTAGAGGTGTTTATAGTATTCTCTGATGGTAGTTTGTATTTCTGTGGGATTGGTGGTGATATTCCCTTTATCATTCTTTATTGCATCTATTTGATTCTTCTTTCTTTTATTCTTTATTAGTCTTGCTAGCAGACTATCAACGTGATGATCTTTTCAAAAAACCAGCTCCTGGATTCACTGATTTTTTGAAGGGTTTTTGTGTCTCTGTCTCCTTCAGTTCTGCTCTGATCTTAGTTATTTCTTGTCTTCTGCTAGCTTTTGAATGTGTTTACTCTTGCTTCTCTAGTTCTTTTAATTGTGATGTTAGGGTGTCAGTTTTAGATCATTCCTGCTTTCTCTTGTGGGCATTTAGTGCTATAAATTTCCCTCTACACACTGCTTTAAATGTGTCCCAGAGATTCTGGTATGTTGTGTCTTTGTTCTCATTGGTTTCAAAGAACATCTTTATTTCTGCCTTCATTTCTTTATGTACCCAGTAGTCGTTCAGGAGCAGGTTGTTCAGTTCCATGTAGTTAAGCGGTTTTGGGTGAGTTTCTTAATCCTGAATTCTAGTTTGATTGCACTGTGGTCTGAGGGACAGTTTGTTATAATTTCTTGTCTTTTACATTTGCTGAGGAGTGCTTTACTTCCAACTATGTGGTCAATTTTGGAATAAGTGTGATGTAGTGCTGAGAAGAATGTACATTCTGTTGATTTGGGGTGGAGAGTTCTGTAGATGTCTATTCGGTCCACTTGGTGTAGAGCTGAGTTCAATTCCTGGATATCCTTGTTAACTTTCTGTCTTATTGATCTGTCTAATGTTGACAGTGGGGTGTTAAAGTCTCCCATTATTATTGTGTGGGAGTCTAAGTCTCTTTGTAGGTCTCTAAGGACTTGCTTTATGAATCTGGATGCTCCTTTATTGGGTGCATATATATTTAGGATAGTTAGCTCTTCTTGCTGAATTGGTCCATTTACCATTATGTAATGGCCTTCTTTGTCTCTTTTGATCTTTGCTGGTTTAAAGTCTGTTTTATCAGAGACTAGGATTGCAACCCCTGCTTTTTTTTGTTTTCCATTTACTTGGTAGATCTTCCTCCATCCCTTTATTTTGAGCCTGTGTGTGTCTCTGCACATGAGATGGGTCTCCTGAATACAGCACACTGATGGGTCTTGACTCTTTATCCAATTTTCCAGTCTGTGTCTTTTAATTGGAGCATTTAGCCCATTTACATTTAAGGTTAATATTGTTATGTGTGAATTTGATCCTGTCATTATGATGTTAGCTGGTTATTTTGCTCGTTAGTTGATGCAGTTTCTTCCTAGCATCGATGGTCTTTACAATTTGGCATGTTTTTGCAGTAACTGGTACCAGTTATTCCTTTCCATGTTTAGTGCTTCCTTCAGGAGCTCTTGTAAGGCAGGCCTGGTGGTGACAAAATCTCTCAGCATTTGTTTGTCTGTAAAGGATTTTATTTCTCCTTCACTTATGAAGCTTAATTTGGCTGGATGTGAAATTCTGGGTTGAAAATTATTTTCTTTAAGAATGTTGAATATTGGCCCCCACTCTCTTCTGGCTTGTAGAGTTTC
Source organism: Homo sapiens (assembly GCF_000001405.40). Taxonomy (NCBI): domain Eukaryota; kingdom Metazoa; phylum Chordata; class Mammalia; order Primates; family Hominidae; genus Homo; species Homo sapiens. The sequence goes on from NC_000019.10 coordinate 30,189,014, forward strand.
TGCCAAGAGATCCACTTTTAGCCTGGTGGGCTTCCCTTTGTGGGTGACCTGACCTTTCTCTCTGGCTGCCCTTAACATTTTTTCCTTCATTTCAACTTTGGTGAATCTGACAATTATGTGTCTTGGAGTTGCTCTTCTCGAGGAGTATCTTTGTGGTGTTCTCTGTATTTCCTGAACTTGAATGTTGGCCTGCCTTGCTAGGTTGTGGAAGTTCTCCTGGATAATATCCTGAAGAGTGTTTTCCAACTTGGTTCCATTCTCCCTGTCACTTTCAGGTACACCAATCAGACGTAGATTTGGTCTTTTCACATAGTCCTGTATTTCTTAGAGGCTTTGTTCATTTCTCTTTACTCTTTTTTCTCTAACCTTCTCTTCTCACTTCATTTCATTCATTTGATCTTCAATCTCTGATACCCTTTCTTCCACTTGATCAAATTGGCTACTGAAGCTTGTGCTTGTGTCACGTAGTTCTTGTACCATGGTTTTCAGCTCCATCAGGTCCTTTAAGGACTTCTCTACACTGTTTATTCTAGTCAGCCATTCATCTAATCTTTTCTCAAGGTTTTTAGCTTCTTTGCAATGGGTTTGAACATCCTTCTTTAGCTCAGAGAAGTTTGTTATTACCAATCATCTGAAGCCTTCTACTCTCAACTTGTTAAAGTCATTCTCCATCCAGCTTTGTTCCATTGCTGGCGAGGAGCTGTGATCCCTTGAAGGAGACGAGGTGCTCTGATTTTTAGAATTTTCAGCTTTTCTGCTCTTGTTTCTCCACATCTTTGTGGTTTTATCTACCTTTGGTCTTTGATGATGGTGACGTACAGATGGGGTTTTGGTGTGGATGTCCTTCCTGTTTGTTAGTTTTCCTTCTAACAGTCAGGACCCTCAGCTGCAGGTCTGTTGGAGTTTGCTGGAGATCCACTCCAGACCTGTTTGCCTGGTTATCACCAGCGGAGGCTGCAGAACAGCAAATATTGCAGAACGGCAGATGTTGCTGCCTGATCCTTCCTCTGGAAGCTTCGTTTCTGAGGGGCACCCAGCTGTATGAGGTGTCAGTTAGTCCATACTGGGAAGTATCTCCCAGTTAGGCTACTCAGGGGTCAGGGACCCACTTGAGGAGGCAGTCTGTCCATTCTTAGATCTCAAACTCTGTGCTGGGAGAACCACTACTCTCTTCAAAGCTGTCAGAAAGGGATGTTTAAGTCTGCAGAAGTTTCTGCTGCCTTCTGTTCAGCTATGCCCTGCCCCCAGAGATGAAGTCTACAGAGGCAGGCAGGCCTCCTTGAGCTGTGGTGGGTTCCACCCAGTTCGAGCTTCCTGGACACTTTGTTTACCTACTCAAGCCTCAGCAATAGTGGACGTCCCTCCCCTAGCCTCGCTGCTGCCTTGCAGTTTGATCTCAGACTGCTGTGCTAGCAGTGAGTGAGGCTCCCAGGAATGGGATATAATCTCCTGGTGTGCTGTTTGCTAAGGCCATTGGAAAAGTGCAGTATTAGGGTGGGAGTGCCCAATTTTCCAGATACTGTCTGTCATGGCTTCCCTTTGCTAGGAAAGGGAATTACCTGACTCCTTGCACTTCCCAGGTGAGGCAATGCCCTGCCCTGCTCCGTGGGCTGCACCCACTGTCTGACGAGCCCCAGTGAGATGAACCCAGTACCTCAGTTGGAAATGCAGAAATCACCCATCTTCTGTGTCACTCATGCTGGGAGCTGCAGACTGGAGCTCTTCCTGTTCAGCCACCTTGGAACCAAAGCCTTGAAGTCTTTTTGTGATAAATTTGACATCTGGTCATTTGTTTTTATTATACTTTAAGTTTTAGGGTACATGTGCACAACGTGCAGGTTAGTTACATATGTATACATGTGCCATGTTTGTGTGCTGCACCCATTAGCTCATCATTTAACATTAGGTATATTTCCTAATGCTATCCCTCCCCCCTCCCCCCACCCCACAACAGGCCCCAGTGTGTGATGTTCCCCTTCCTGTGTCCATGTGTTCCCATTGTTCAATTCCCACCTATGAGTGAGAACATGTGGTGTTTGGTTTTCTGTCCTTGCCATAGTTTGCTCAGAATGATGGTTTCCAGCTTCATCCATGTCCCTACAAAGGACCTGAACTCATCATTTTTTATGGCTGCATAGTATTCCATGGTGTATATGAGCCACATTTTCTTAATTCAGTCTATCATTGTTGGACATTTGGGTTGGTTCCAAGTCTTTGCTATTGTGAATAGTGCCTCAATAAACATACATGTGCATGTGTCTTTATAGCAGTGTGTTTTATAATCCTTTGGGTATATACCCAGTAATGGGATGGCTGGGTCAAATGGTATTTCTAGTTCTAGATCTCTGAGGAATTGCCACACTGACTTCCACAATGGTTGAACTAGTTTATGGTCCCACCAACAGTGTAAAAGCATTCCTATTTCTCCACATCCTCTCCAGCACCTGTTGTTTCCTGACTTTTGAATGATCACCATTCTAACTGGTGTGAGATGGTATCTCATTGTGGTTTTGATTTGCATTTCTCTTATGGTCAGTTATGATGAGCATTTTTTCATGTGTCTTTTGGCTGCATAAATGTCTTCTTTTGAGAAGTGTCTGTTTGTATCCTTTGCCCACTTTTTGATGGGGTTGTTGGTTTTTTTCTTGTAAATTCGTTTGAGTTCATTGTAGATTCTGGATATTAGCCCTTTGTCAGATGAGTAGATTGCAAAAATTTTCTCCCATTCTGTAGTTTGCCTGTTCATTCTGATGGTAGTTTCTTTTGCTGTGCAGAAGTTCTTTAGTTTAATTAGATCCCATTTGTCAATTTTGGCTTTTGTTGCCATTGCTTTTGGTGTTTTAGACATGAAGTCCTTGCCCATGCCTATGTCCTGAATGGTATTGTCTAGGTTTTCTTCTAGGGTTTTTATGCTTTTAGGTCTAACATGTAAGTCTTTAATCCATCTTGAATTAATTTTTGTATAAGGCGTAAGGAAGGGATCCAGTTTCAGCTTTCTACATATGGCTAGCCAGTTTTCCCAGCACCATTTATTAGATAGGGAATCCTTTCCCCATTTCTTGTTTTTGTCAGGTTCGTCAAAGATCAGATAGTTGTAGATATGTGGCATTATTTCTGAGGGCTCTGTTCTGTTCCATTGGTCTATATCTCTGTTTTGGTACCAGTACCATGCTGTTTTGGTTACTGTAGCCTTGTAGTATAGTTTGAAGTCAGGTAGCGTGATGCCTCCAGCTTTGTTCTTTTGGCTTAGGATTGACTTGGCAATGCAGGCTCTTTTTTGGTCCCATATGAACTTTAAGGTAGTTCTTTCCAATTCTGTGAAGAAAGTCATTGGTAGCTTGATGGGGATGGCATTGAATCTATAAATTACCTTGGGCAGCATGGCCATTTTCATGATATTGATTCTTCCTACCCATGAGCATAAAATGTTCTTCCATTTGTTTGTATCCTCTTTTATTTCATTGAGCAGTGGTTTGTAGTTCTCCTTGAAGAGGTCCTTCACATCCCTTGTAAGTTGGATTCTTAGGTATTTTATTCTCTTTGAAGCAATTGCGAATGGGAGTTCACTCATGATCTGGCTCTCTGTTTGTCTGTTATTGGTGTATAAGAATGCTTGTGATTTTTGCACATTGATTTTGTATCCTGAGACTTTGCTGAAATTGCCTATCAGCTTAAGGAGATTTTGGGCTGAGATGATGGGGTTTTCTAGATATACAGTCATGTCATCTGCAAACAGAGACAATTTGACTTCCTCTTTTCCTAATTGAATATCCTTTATTTCTTTCTCCTGCCTGATTGCCCTGGCCAGAACTTCCAACACTATGTTGAATAGGAGTGGTGAGAGACGGCATTCCAGTCTTGTGCCAGTTTTCAAAGGGAATGCTTCCACTTTTTGCCCATTCAGTATGATATTGGTTGTGGGTTTGTCATAGATAGCTCTTATTATTTTGAGATACTTTCCATCTGAAGAAAATAGAGACACAAAAAACCCTTCAAAAAATCAATGAATCCAGGAGGTGGTTTTTGGAAAAGATCAACAAAATTGATAGACCACTAGCAAGACTAATAAAGAAGAAAAGAGAGAAGAATCAAATAGATACAATAAAAAATGATAAAGCGGATATCACCACCGATCCCACAGAAGTACATACTACCATCAGAGAATACTATAAACACCTCTACGCAAATAAACTAGAAAATCTAGAAGAAATGGATAAATTCCTGGACACATACACCCTCCCAAGACTAAACCAGGAAGAAGCTGAATCTCTGAATAGATCAATAACAAGCTCTGAAATTGATGCAATAATTAATAGCTTACCAACCAAAAAAAGTCCAGGACCAGATGGATTCACAGCCGAATTCTACCAGAGGTACAAGGAGGAGCTGTTACCATCCTTTCTGAAACTATTCCAATCAATAGAAAAAGAGGGAATCTTCCCTAACTCATTTTATGAGGCCAGCATCATCCTGATACCAAAGCCTGGCAGAAACACAACAAAAAAAGAGAATTTTAGACCAATATCTCTGATGAACATCGATGCAAAAATCCTCAATAAAATACTGGCAAACCGAACCCAGCAGCACATCAAAAAGCTTATCCACCATGATCAAGTTGGCTTCATCCTTGTGATGCAAGGCTGGTTCAACATATGCAAATCAATAAACATAATCCATCATATAAACAGAACCAATGACAAAAACCATGATTATCTCACTAGATGCAGAAAAGGCCTTTGACAAAATTCAACAACCCTTCATGCTAAAGACATCTGGTCATTCTCACAAGCAGTTTCTGTTACTCGTTTTTTGTTCTGGTGTATGTGTTATACTTTTATGTTTGCTTTGCAAGTTTTAATTTTTTGTAAACTGGACATTTTAAGTAATATATTGTAGCAACTCTGCAGATTGATCTTTCCCCCTTTGGGGATTTTAAATTATTTTCTTGTTTATTTTTTTGATGACTGGCTGGATTGTTTTAATGAAGTCTATTGTCTCCCACCTCCCCCAGTATGAAGCTTCTGATGTCACTCCTTGGGGGCTAGGGGGAAGCCTTGGATATGACTATAGTCACCCTGGGTTGATAGTGGCTTTGGAAGGACTCACTTTGACTGTGTCTTCCCCAGCCACCCCAGCAGACAATCACCACTAATTTCCAGCTCATTACTTCTTCATTGTTTTTTTAAAATTTCTTTGAACATAGGTGGGAGTAAACTGATCCAATAAATTTGGAGTCCCTTTGAAGGGATAGTTATTGAGGTCAATGTGTGAGATTTGTTCTGACCCTAGGAGGTCCTCTCACTTGTCTTTCTCCCTGACTCTTTCTAGCAAACTAACTGGCCTGTAGTTTAGCATATATCTCCAGTGATTCTGCCAATCTCCTTTCAATTGCCTTTTACCACAACTTGCATTGTTTTTGAGCGGTGTCCTTAGGCTTGAAGTCCATACCATGTTACAAATGATGTGTTTCTTTGAAAAAAGATTCAGAGCTCTTTTTTATGTCTTGCTGCTTCCCCTAGGCAAAAATCTGTCATCCATGGCTCTGAAGCTGAGAGTTGAAACAATGGTACACTTCTCTCTGCAGGAGAGAAGTTTGGTTTGCCTCTCCTGGCTTGGATTTGTGAACTACAAATGAGCCAGGGTGAGGGTAATCTAAACCGCAGTATTCCCAGCACATCACACTTGCGGTAGAGCTTCCAACCCATGAGTGGGGAGTGGGAAGAGGCAGGGACAACATCCAACTTCTCAGCTGCACTCACCTGGAAGGGAGCCTTACAACAGCTAGCTGAAGGCAAAATGAGAGATGCTGATGTCCTGTCCATCCCAAGAAGACAGTTTTCTGACTGGGGGCTGGGGAAGATGCACACATCTACAGTGGAGTTTCCATTTTGCTGAGCTGAGAGGAAGAAGGGTGAGAGCAGTTGGTTCAAATTCCAGAGACTCTTGCTGTTGTTACTGAATTTTAGTAGATTTTCTTGAGTAACTGATTTTTCATCTGTTGTATGCTCTTAATATCATTTCCAGAAGTGTTAAATGATTGGATAGTTTTTACGATTTTCATCAGTTTCAAAGGGGAATGAGAATACAGTTTCTTATGCTATCATGACAAAGTGTAACTCAAAGAAGGATACTTTCTTAAAAGAGCAGCTACAAAATTTCTACAGTTGACATCATACTTAATGGTGAAAAACTGAATGCTTTCTCTCTAACATGAGGCATAAGGAGGATGTAATCTCTCACAGTTCTTATTCAATCTCATAATGGAAGCCAGTGCAATAAGGCAAGAAAAATAAATAAAAGGCATATAGACTGAAAAGGAAGAAACAGAACACCTGTATTTGTATACAATACAATTACGTATATAGAAAATCCCAGATAATTTACAAAAAAAGCTTCTAGCACAAATAATTGAATTTAGCAAGGCTGTAGAATACAAGCTCAATATATAAAAACCAAATATATTTCTTTATACCAGCAATGTAGAATTGAAATTCAAAATTTAAAACAGATTAATCACAGTACAAAACATAAAATACTTAGGTGTAAATCTAACAAAATATGTATAGGATCTGTATGCTGAAAAATATAAAACACTGGGGAAGAAATAAAAGAAGACCTAAATAAGTGGAGAGATATCCATTATCACAAATTAGAAGATTCAGTATTGTTAAGATGTTAATCCTCCATAAATTGATCTAGAGATTAACTCCAACCCTATTTAAAATCCCAGCTTTTAAAAATAGATATTAACAAGTTGTTCCTAAAATTTATATGGAAAGGCAAGGAAACTAGAAGAGCCAAAACAATTGTGAAAAGGACAAATCTGGAGGACTCACACTACCTGATTTCAAGACTTACTATAGAGCTACAGTAATCAAGACAACTATGGATAAAATAATAGTCAATGGAACAATGGAATTGAATAGAGTCCAGAAATAGACCTACAAAATGTCTTTGACAAAGATACAAAAGAAATTCAATGGAGAAGGAATAATCTTTTCAAGAAATTGTGTTTGATTGGACTTTCCTATGCAAAGAAGTGAACCTTGATCCAAACATTACATTTCATAGAAAACAAACAAACAAACAAAAAACAAACAAACCTGAAAATGAATTACAGATATAAATGTAAAATGTGAAACTATAAAACTTCTATAAGAAAACATGGGACAATATCTTCAAGACTGTGAATTAGGCGAAGTTTTAGATATGACACTAAAATCAGGATCCGTAAAAAAAAAAATCGGACTTTATTAACATTAAAAACTGTTGCTCTGGAATAGTCACGTTAAGAGAATAAAAACAAGACAAACATTGGGATAAAATATCTGCAAATCACATTTATGACAAAGAATTTATGTCCTATATACATAAGTAACTTTTAAAGTTCAACAAGACACTAAATAACCCAGTTTTTACAATGAGAAAAAGATCTAAATAGATACCTTGCCAAAGAAGATATACAGATAGCAAATAGGCAGATGAAAAGATTCCCAATGTCCATTAGTCATTAGGAAAGTACAAATTAAAATTATAACAAGATATCACTATAATCCTATTAGAATGGCTAAAATTAAAAAAATCTGACAATACTAAGTGTTGACAAGGATGTAGAGTGACTTTAACTCTAATGTACTGTTCTTGGGACTGGTAAATATTACAATCATTGTGGAAGACAGTTTGGAAGTTTCTTATACAGTTTACTATAACCAGCAATCCCACTCTTACTAAATAAAATCTTATGTTCACATGAAAACCTGTATGCAAATTTTAATAGCAACTTTATTCATAACAGCCCCAAACTGAAAACAACACAGATGTCCTTCAACCAAGGAAGAAATAAACAAACTGGGGTGCTTCCTTGCAATGGCATACCACTCAGTAATGTAAAGGAGCAAACTATCTGTATTAGTCAGGGCTCTCTAGAGGGACAGAACTAATAGGATAGATAGGTAAAGGGAAGTTTATTAAGGAGTATTGACTCACACAATCACAAAGTGAGGTCCCACAATAGGCTGACTGCAAGCTGAGGCACTAGGAAGCCAGTCCGAGTACCAAAGCTGAAGAAATTGGAGTCTGATGTTTGAAGGCAGGAAGCATGCAGCATGGGAGAAAGATGTAGGCTGGGAGACTCAGCCAGTCTAGTCTTTTCATGTTCTTCTGCCTGCTTTTATTCTAGCTGTGCTGGCAGCTGATTATGTTGTGCCCACCCAGATTAAGGGTGGATCTGCCTTTCCCAGTCCACTGACTCAAATGTTAATCTCCTTTGGCAACACTCTCACAGACACACCCAGGGCCAATACTTACAGCCTTCAATCCAATCAAGTTAACACTCAATATTAACTACTGATACACTACTGATACACACAGAAACATAGATGACTATTACATACATTGTGCTAAGTGAAAGAAGACAGAATCAAAAGATTTCATATTTGATGACACCATTTATATGACATTTTGAAAAGGGCAGAACAATAGGGATGGAGTCAGGAGTAGGAGTTGGAGGAAAAGATGGATTACAAAGGGTCTGCATGAGGAAATTTTGGGGTAGTGGGATGTATCATGACTGTGGTGGTGAATACCCGATGAGTTATTTTGTCAAAACTCGTAGAGCTCATCATGGAGTTTAAGTTAAAAAGCAAAAACAGGATGTGGGGGAGACAAAAAATGAAATGCAAACTGCGGTAAATGAACCTAACTGTACTACAGATGAATGACATAAGCACACTAAAAAAGTGGGAAAGAAAAAAAACTGAACCTAAGTTACCTTGTAAAATATTCAATGTTTCACTAGATAATGTAAAGATAAAGAGAAAAAGAATTGCACATGAATGCGGTATTCTGGTTAGTAAATTTGTTTCTCATGGGAGTGCAAGTTTGCAATTCCGTAACTACATTATGTGTATAGAAAAGTTGAACAGATAAGTAAGTGTATTTTAGATAATACAGGCCAGATTTCTCACTGTTGGAAAAAGAAATTATAATTAAGGAAAGGAGAAGGCTAGAATGAACCCTGCATTGATGAATTGGAATGAGAGGTATCAGTATGAATTTACTTAAAAACAACAAACACATGGGTGGATGGATGGATGGATGGGTAGATGGATAGATAGACAGACAGATACAGACATAAATACAAGTATGTGTATATGCATGGAGAAGAATACATTATATATTTATAAGTTCTGTTTGCTGAGGTGGCCTAGAAGCAATGACACCCTAGTGACAATGGGTACACCTAATGCTCTAAATTTGGTTTCTAAGTATCATTCTTCAATAAAAGGAACCAGAGTGTCTTTTAGAAGTGTTTGATTCTAGTATGGGGTAGGGATAATACAAGATGAACCTGGAGCATCTTGTAGTGCCAGAAAGTCAGAAATTGCTTAAAAAAGAAGAGAGCATTTTGAAAAGGCCCAAGAGCCAACCTCAAAGAGGCCCCAATGGCCAATACTCAAACAACTTGAGCAACAAAATAAATAGTGACACTATTCAGATATAACCCAATAAAATACATATCTATGTGTCCATACTGGTATAAGTAAACAATTGAATATACAAATAAATAGAGAGAAGGTATAACTGTTCCTTACAGAAGAATCCTGGTTACTGTAAGTAAAAGAAAAGAAGGAAATAGAAATCATATTAAACACAGTAATAATTGTTGCAGATAAGATGCACTGATGCATGTTAAAATTAGGTTAGAAGTTTGAGTAGATACAGAATATTTGCACAGTTTCAAAGTAACTCCCCCAAGATATGTATTAATAACAAAAGGAAAAATCATGACTTTCAAGTAGAGAAACTTGGAGGACATCATTCAAAGTAAAAAAGATGGCCAGGTGCAGTGGCTCACACCTGTAACCGCAGCACTTTGGGAGGCCGAGGCAGATGGATCACCTGAGGTCAGGAGTTTGAGTCCAGTCTGGCTAAAATGGTGAAACCCCATCTCTACTAAAAATACAGAAATTAGTTGGGTGTGGTGGCAGGCGCCTATAATCCCAGCTACTTGAGAGGCTGAGACAGGTGAATTTCTTGAACCCAGGAGGCACAGGTTGCAGTGAGCTGAGATTGTGCCATTGCACTCCAGTCTGGGCGACAAGAGTAAAACTCTGTCTAAAAAAAACAAACAAAACAAAACAAACAAATAAACAAACAAAAAACCACCAAAGTAATAAAGATTAACATTGCTGGGTGTGGTGGCTCATATCTATAAAACGAGCACTTTGGCAGGCCAAGGTGGGAGGATTACTTGAGCCCAGTAGTTTGAGACCTGCCTGGGCTACAGAGTGAGACTCTGACTCTACAACTAAACAACAACAACAACAAAAATATCTGGGCGTGGTGGCATGCACCTGGAACCCCAGCTACTTGGGAGGCTAAGGCGGGAGGATTGCTTGAGCTTAGGAGTTTGAGGCTGTAGTGAGCTGTGATTACACTGGAGCCTGGGAAACAGAACAAGATCCTGTCTCAAAGAATAAAACAAAACAAAAGATTAACATCACTGAGAGAAAGACATATCAATATCATGAAAACCCTAATCCAATGTGCTGAGAAGGACACATCATTTCTTTAGGTGGCAACGAGGCTGTAGTCTCCACTGCCAAAAACTCACTGAGTGGTTGTGGACTAACTGCCACTCTCTGGGCCTCAGTCTCCTCATATGCATTGAAGAATTGGGGTAGATAAAGGAGAGGTTTTCAAATAAGTTCGTTTGATCCTCTGTTTTTGCCAAGGAGTCTTTTCCTCTCAAATAAAAACACAGGACGGAGTGGTTCTGAATCTACATAAAAATGTGTAGCCTGGCTGGATGAGGTGGCTCACATCTGTAATCTCAGCACTTTGGGAGGCTGAGGCAGGGGGACTGCTTAAGGCCAGAAGTTTGAGACCAGCCTGGGCAACATAGTGAGACTCTGTCTCTGTTAAAAAAAAACAACAACAAAAACACAAAAATTGGCTGGGCACAGTGACTCAGACCTGTAATCCCAGAACTGTGGGAGGCTGAGGCAGGCAGATCAACTGAGCATAGCAGTTCGAGATCACCCTGGGCAACATGGTGAAACCCAATCTCTATTAAAATACAAAAAAATTAGCCAGTCGTGGTGGCGAGCACCTGTAGTCCCAGCTACTTGAGAGGCCGAGGCATGAGAATTGCTTGAGCCTGGGAGGCGGAGGTTGCAGTGATCTGATATCATGTCACTGCACTCCAGTTTGGGCTACAGGGTGAGACTCCATGTCAAAAAAAATTTTTTTTTTAATTAGCTGAGCATGGTGGCATGCACCTGTAGTCCCAGCTACTTGGGAGGCTGTGGTGGGAGGATCCCTTGAGCCCAGGAGGTCAAAGTTACAGTGAGCTATGATTGTGCCACTGGACTCCAGCCAGGACAGCAGAGAGATTTTGTCTCAAAATAAATAAATAAAAAAGCATAACCTAAAGATAACAAGAAGGAATATCAAACAAACCCAACTGAGGCACAGTTTAAAATATACTTGATCAGTACTTTCTAAAATGTCAGGGTCATGAAGGACCTCGGAAAGACTGAGGAACTGTCACCCATTGAGGGAGACAAAGGAGGCGTGATGACCTAATGATCTTGGTTGGCCCAGCTCAGATAATTGTAATTGGTCATACAAGATACTAAGCTCAGGGGAATTTTTGCATCTCTTCTGTAAGGCTATGATTATTTCAAAATAAAAAATTAAAAATACAACAAAAAGTAATGAGAGAGGGAGAGATAGAGGTGTGAGTACAAAGAGAACCAAAAAGAAAAGTGGTTTTGGGGGCTCTATCTCAAAAAGAACTGTGGGCCTCGTTGTCGGCAAGTGGAGTTGATGAGAGGCAAGTAGATAAGATGCTGATCTGTGTAATCCCAACACTTTGGGAGGCCGAGACGGGCAGATCACGAGGTCAGGAGATTGAGACCATCCTGGCTAACACGGTGAAACCTCGTCTCCACTAAAAATACAAAAAATTAGCCGGGGTGGTGGCGGGTGCCTGTAGTCCCAGCTACCCCGGAGGTTGAGGCAGGAGAATGGCGTGAACCTGGGAGGCCGAGCTTGCAGTGAGCCGAGATTGCACCACTGCACTCCAGCCTGGGCGACAGAGCAAGACACTGTCTCAAAAAAAAAAAAAGAAGCTGATCTGTTCTGAGTGAATTATAGTGCCAAAAGTATTGTCAGCCTGTGCTGTTAAGAGAGACTGACTGAGTCTTAAAGTCACCCTTGGGCTCCCAGTGCTGTATGGGTAGGAAGCAGCTGGACAACACTGGCCAGTCCTCCGGGAGGCCATAGTCCCAGTGCATGCCTCAGATAAGCCAGAGAAGAATCTTCCAGATGACAGAGCCAGGGTCAGGGAGCTACTGCCTTGGAGCAGAATCAGAGCCCAATCAGAGGAAAAGGTTGTAGGGTACTGAGCCGCTAAAATGCTTTGCTGGCAGGATTTTGGGATAGCTGTGCACAGTTGTTGCAGGTAAGATGCATTTCTGGGCTGGGTGCAGTGGCTCATGCCTGTAATCCCAGCACTTTGGGAGGCCGAGGCGGGCGGATCACGAGGTCAAGAGATCGAGACCAGCCTGGCCAACATGGTGAAACCCCGTCTCTACTAAAAATACAAAAATTAGCTGGGCGTGGTTGTCTGCACCTGTAATCCCAGTTACTCAGGAGGCTGAGGCAGGAGAATGGCTTGAGCCCGGGAGGCGGAGGTTGCAGTGAGCTGAGATCAGACCTCTGCACTCTAGCCCAGGCAACAGAGCAAAACTCCGTCTAAAAAAAAAAAAAAAGGAAAAAGATGTACTTCTGTGACTTCTCTTTGCCCTGCCTCTGAATGGGAGTGCTTACTGAAGGTGTCTAGTCTCTGTTCCACCATTCTAGAGCAGGTGCACATTGGGGTGGGCAGTCCAATCCCTTGGCTTATAGCTTCAAGTCTCTGGAGCAAGAGGAACTCCATTAAACTGGGGCGGAAGTGTCTGATATGTGTGAGAAGCAAAACATTTAATGACGATAAGTGCAGTCTTTGCTAGTGCTTAGCACTGCACGTTTCTACATCTGCTTGTCCTCCTTCCAGACACACAGTACGATTGCACTTCCTACCCCCTGGAAGTGAAGCACGGCCACCCGACTTGCTTTGGCCAAAGAAGGTAAACATTATGGCTTCTGAGTGGAAGTATTTAGTTACTGGCACAAGACTTCCCAATGCTCTCCCTGCCACTGTCACCGTGATGGTCCAGAAGGTGACAGCTCCTCATCTCGGAAGCCAGAGTAAGGACAACAAAAAGCAGAGCCCTCACTGATCTGAGATCAACATGTCATCTAAATGTTTGGTTTTGGTTGTTTAGGTTGGGGGCTGGTTGTCACCATGGCCCATCCTGATGGAACTCAGTAGTCAAGGGGAGAATGTACGCCAGGCGGGGAAACCAGAGATGCCCAGCACCCCCCAGAAAGTCAGATTTCCTTAAGCCCAGTCTGGGATGTGTCACCTGGCTGCTCTGGCAAGGTAATGTGGTTTGATAGCTGTTGAGCTATTGTTGTAATGTCGTAACGTATTTCAATGGCCATTTTTCTTTTTCTTTTTCTTTTAAGATGGAGACTAGCTTTGTCACCCAGGCTGGAGTGCAGTGGCAGAATCTCAGCAATAGCTGTTTTTCTGTTCTTGAGTTGGGAGAGACTTAGCTCTGTGAGGCTCAGGAGAAGAGGCCTGGTTCTAAGAAAGGTTGGCCAGGCCTTTTCTTCCACAGCCATTTTGCTTTTAAATTCAGCCTTCCGGGCATGTAAGAACAACCATAAGAGCTTCCTAATCTGTCAGGGAAGGAAAGGACCGCTGCAGTGGCTGGAAAGTGGTGCACACCGCCATGCGGGTCATCGGCCTTCGCATATTGTTTCTGCTGAGTAGTCCTGAGTACAGAGCCCAGAAACCTGGTTTGAGTCCTCACTGTCCACAAACTCATTGAGTGGTCTGGGACTGACTCCATGTACATATCCTGTACTTTGGGAAAAAATGAGTGAGAGTTTTGAAGTCAAACTGCTTTGGGTTCAAATTCCTCAATCTGCTGTGACCTTAAATGAAGAACCTTAAGTCCTGTCTGCTTCCATTTTCTCATCTGTAATGTGGACTTCCTAGAATAACAGGAACTGGCCAGTAGAACTGGGAGAAGTGAGTGACTAAATGGATGAAAGGCCTGAACCCGGCTCCTGGCAAGGAGAATGCATTGATGGTCAGTAGCATCTTCATCATCTTCATCATCATCATCACTACCCTGACCAGATGGGGGTATTTCACAGTCTTTTTTTTTGTTTGTTTGTTTTTGAGATGGGGTCTTGCTCTGTCATCCAGACTGGAGTGCAGTGGCACGATCTCGGCTCACTGAAACCTCTGCCTCCTGAGTTCAAGCGATTCTCCTGCCTCAGCTCTCAAGTAGCTGGGGTTACAGATGCCTGCCACCATGCCCAGCTAATTTTTGTATTTTTAATAAAGATGGAATTTCACCATGTTGGCCAGGCTGGTCTCAAACTCCTGACCTCAGGCGATCCGCCCGCCTCGGCCTCCCAAAGTGCTGGGATTACAGGCATGCACCACCGTGCCCAGCCTGTTTCACAGTCTGGTGTGAATATAAGATGCAGATGGCTCTGAGTAACTTGTTCCCAATCACCACCCCACCTACCCTGTGTGCCTCAGAGTTCCCTGTGCCTCAGAGTTCCTCGTGTGCCTCAGAGTTCCCTGTGCCTCAGAGTTCCTCGCTCAGGACCAGCGCCAAAAAGGAAATTGACAAATATGTGGTGGATTCAATTGGTTAAATGGCTGATCTCCAAGGTGTGTCCCAAACAAAACCAACAACTTCCCAAGCTGGTCTCATTCAACAATGTTGCTGAATGTGGTAGTGTTCATAAAATTCCAACACAAGTAGTTCCAAAAATGAAAAATACACCACCAAATGCCAACACCACACCAAAACCAATGGCAAATACCACCCCCCTTTTTTTTTTGAGATGGAGTTTTGCTCTTGTTGCCCAGGCTGGAGTGCAATGGCACTATGTCAGTTCACTGCAACCTCCACCTCCCAGGTTCAAGCAACTCTCCATCCTCACCCTCCCAAGTAGCTAGGAATACAAGCACCTGCCACCACACCCAGATAATTTTTGTATTTTTAGGAGAGATGGGGTTTCACCACATTGGCCGGGCTGGTCTCCAACTCCTGACCTCAGGTGATCTGGCTGCCTAGGCCTCCCAAAGTGCTGAGATTACAGGTGTGAGCCACCACGCCCCACCAGCAAATACCCTTTACCCTCATCTGATCTACATATGAGTGAACAATCAATTGATCTGCTGTATTTCCCACAGCAGATCATTATTCTCATCAGAGTATAGACATAATCCAGGAGTGCTGTGTTTCAGTGTGGCCCCGAAGGAGTTAAGTGAAATAAAGAATATTATCAATATTGTATCAGTCACAGATGAGAAACTGCATACCAGGATCAGTGTAATTCATTCATTGGTTTATGGACACCGGGTCCTCCAGGGACTGTCACAAATCCACTTGATGTTCCTGAGTGAGAGATTTAGCATTTGGATCTTTGATTTAGCTGAAAGATGTGTAAAAACTCATGCAGTCAGACAACTCCCTACAGGCGATTCATCTCTGTTGGCTTTTACGTAACAGTTATTCCAATCAAGTGTCAGCAGTAACTTAAGCTCTGTAACTTGCCTCTGAATTCACATTTGTGAGATGCTGGGACATGAAGAAACAGTGGCAGGGACAAGAAGGCCCTTCTGGGAGAAGGAAGCCTTCTTGCTCTTTTTGTTTCTTTGGAAGTGGCAGACACACCTGGGGAGTTAGTGTTCTGAGGGAGGAGGCAGCCTCTGGCTTCTGAGGCTTTGGTCTTGCATGAGGTCTTGTGTTTCTTGTGCAGAGTGCCAGGTTGGGGTGGTGGGGGGAGAGCATGATTCCTGGGAGACAGGGGCACTGAGGGTCCTCAGAGCAGCTGTTGGGGTCTTACAGGAACCTCAGGTCCACAGCTGCTCCCTGGCTAGCTCAGCAGGGACGGAAGATCTGAAGACCTGCATCTGATCGGTTAACCCAGGTGAGAGGCATAACTCTGAAGTTATGACCGTATGGATAGTGCTTAGCGGTTTCTTCTGCCAGAATTTCTCCTGTGTCCCTCACCACAGAGGCCTCTGTCCTGCACTAAGTCTCTTTGATATCTCATCACCTGTGTCAAAAGTGAAGGGAGGAGAGAAGGCCAAGGATTGCTTGTCTCAGTGCCTCCAGAGAGAGTGAAAGTGCAAGTGGAGGCTGGCTGTGGTGGCTCACGCCTGTAATCCCAGCACTTTAGGAGGCTGAGGCAGGAGGATCACTTGAGGTCAGGAGTTCGAGACCAGCCTGGCCAAGAAGGCCAAACCACATCTCTACTAAAAATACAAAAATTAGTCGGGTGTAGTGGTGCACACCTATAACCCCAGCTACTCGGGAGGCGGAGGCAGGAGAATCACTGGAATGTGGGAGGTGGAGGTTGCAGTGAGCCGAGATCATGCCATTGCACTCCAGCCTGGGTGACAAGGTGAGACTCTATCTCAAAAAAAAAAAAAAAAAAGGCCGGGCGCACGGTGGCTCATGTCTGTAATCCCAGCACTTTGGGAGGCCGAGGTGGGCAGATCATGAGGCCAGGAGATCAAGACCATCCTTGCCAGCATGTTGAAACACCATCTCTACTAAAAATACAAAAATTAGCTGGGCATGTTGGTGCATGCCTGTTATCCCAGCTACTCAGGAGGCTGAGGCAGGAGAATTGCTTGAACCAGGGAGTCAGAGGTTGCAGTGAGCAGAGATTGCCCCACTGCACTCAAGCTTGGCGACAGAGCAAGACTCCGTCTCAAGAAAAAAAAAAGTGCAAGTGGACTGTTCTGTGGATAATTTAAGATAGATAAATAAAGCAATGCAATGGCCTATCCACATGAAGTGGCCTCCAGTATCACTGTTATTAACAGATGATGTTTAAGATGTGTTTGGTGAGTGCTGGCCCATGTTGGAGAAAGCCCTTCCGAGAATAAAGCATTCATTCCTCAAGCAAACTTGAAAAGAAAGCTCATGAACCATCCCCATTTTATAGAGAAGGAAACTAAGGTGTAGAGTGGTTCATAAATTGAGTAAGGTCATACGGCTGGTAAAATGGCAAAGCTGGACTTCGGGACCGACTCTGTTGACCTCCGATGCGATGCTCACAACCACTGTGTTAGCTCAGTTTTGTAGCATGGTGGAGAGCTATGCCATCTCACCCATCAATTGTTGAGGGTGTTTGCAGGCTGGTGAAGGGGCAGTCAGGCATTTCCCTGGGTGGAGAGTGGGGGCGGCTTTCCAGCTTCCTGAGGAAGCAATTCACAGGCAGTTCAGCTGTGATTATATTACAGGTACCAGAGGAGGAACCTGTGGAGACATCTCCAAGCAAGGAAACTGGCACAAGGACCCCATCATGCTGGGCTCTGAGCTGGAGGGTCCAGAGTAAGGTGTTGCCAAATCCCACATTCAAGTTCCCTCTCACAGTCAATGCTTGCCTTCTAGCCAGAGAAGAACTGGCGGTGAGAAGCAGACCCACTGAGGCAGTACAAGAAATTAGCCAGGCAGATGACAGCTCTGAAGGAAATTACACAGAAGGCAGCGCAGAAAGAGCTGGAAAACACAAGGCACTGAGATGCCTACAGGATGAAGCGAAGGTCTTTTTGCTGTTGTTTGTTTGGTTTTTTGATTTTTTTTTTTTGAGACAGAGTTTTGCTCTTATCAACAGGCTGGAGTGCAATGTCACAATCTTTGCTCACTGCAACATCTGCCTCCTGGATTCAAGCAATTCTCCTGCCTCAGCCTCCCAAGTAGCTGGGATTACAGGCACCCAACACCGCACCCGACTAATTTTTGTATTTTTAGTAGAAACGGGGTTTCACCATGTTGACCAGTCTGGTCTCGAACTCCTGACCTCAGGTGATCTGCCTTGGCCTCCCAAAGTGTTGGGATTACAGGTGTGAGCCAGCGTGCCCGGCCCAAAGGTCCCTTCTTAATAGAGGTTCTAGAAGGATGGAATGGAGAGGAGATGAAAGTGGCAATTTCTGGAGAGATTATGGATAAGAATTTTCCAGACCTGATGAAAGACATGAATCTTCAGAATCAAGAATCACAGAGTTCCAAGCAGGAGATGAAAAATAATAAATCCACAACAGGATACATCACAGTAAAACAACAACAATGACGACAAAAAAAAAAGAGAAAAACATTAGCCTAGGTCAAAAGGGTATTTATTAAAGAGACACGAGGGAGTCTTTGGGGCTCTGGGGCATCGTCAGGCAGCTGCTGGGACCTCAGTAGACTCTGTGACCAGTGGCACAGTGCTTCCTCTTCAGTGTCGTGTTTTCTGTTTCCTACTCTACCCTGGGACTTGAGAGTGTGCAAGACTGAGCAGCCAACACCTACAGGGGAAGGCGGGAATGAAACCCAGCAAGAAAAGGTCCCTCCATCCTTGGTGGTGGTTCTGCCAGCCTCACCCACACCTTTGATCCAGAGGAGGTGGAGCGGAAAGGGACAGGGCCTCAGCCACAGCAGACTTGCATGCATTTACCACTTACCCTTTGAGGAAGAGAGCCGGGAGTGGTCCAGGAAAGAAGTCTCCTTTTTCTTGTCAAATACCCATTAGGTGAGACGGTTGTGTAAAGCCCCTGGCACATAGTACATGCTCAGTAAAGCCAAGAGAGGCGTTTGCTTGAGAGCAGGTACTGTGCACCAGCAGTCTCTATGTGCGACAGTCAGTTCTCACCAGGAGCTGCTTGAGAGGGAGGTTCTATCATCCCTATCTTACAGAGATTGTCTCCTTGCTAGTGAAGCCCACAGAGGTACCAGAACATGAACTCAGGCAGTCCAGTTTCAGAGTGGTCATGAAATTTAACTTTTTTTTTAAATAAATGGAATCTCTTCTGTCACCCAGCTGGAGTGAGGTAGCATGGTCATAGCTCACTGCAGCCTCAAACTCTTGAGATCAAGCAGTCCTCCTGCCTTACCCTCCCAAGTAGATATGATTACAGGTGCATACCACTTGGTTACTTTATTTGTAGAGATGGGGTCTTGCTACATTGGCCAGGCTGGTCTCAAACTCCAGGCTTCAAGTGATCCTCCACACCTTGGCCTTCCAAAGTGCTGAGGTTACAGGCATGAGCCACTGCACCCACATGAAATTTTAAATATTTTCTAAAGGAACCACAGAGCTGTCAAACTGTGGAATAGGGTAAGTGCATAAAATGACATTTTGGAAAAATGAATGGGGACGTTTTAATTTTACATCCCCAGAATTCAACCCAGCCATGTGTAGGGAACACCTACCGTGTGCATAATCTGCTTTCAATCCGAGGGAGTGACTTCGGGCACAGCTTGTCCACAAGGTCAGCAAGTGGCAGGGGTGAGGGGGTAGTGAAAGTGAGCGCTCTCGTGCGATGGGGAAGCCCGGAGTCCTGGGTCCTGCGTGCATTTATCTCCTCTGCTGGCCCCGGGGAGCTGGGGACAGCTCATATGCAGTGGCTTCCTCAGGCTCCAGTGTTTTAAGAGCCCTGGCTTGAAGCAGTTCCATTTGGGAGAGTTTCTCCCTAGCATTTGGTATGGAATTATTACCAAATGCTAGAGAGGAACCCTGCCAAATGCTGTATATCAGCTAAAACCCACACTCCTAAACAATGAAATATTTATAATAAAAACAGACCCCGGAGAGGGGCACGGGCTGGGGCGCTCAGCTGCTGAGGGGCTCATGGCTCAGGTGTTCTGAGTGGGTCTTGCCTGCTGGTACAGGTATTGCCGTCAGGGCAGCACGCGCCAGGCAGTGCGGGGTGTAGCTGGACCAGGTCTAGCTCATGAAGAGAGGAGAAACTGTGGGTCTTGCCATCGCCTCAAGCCCCAGAAGACACAGCTGAGCTTCTTCCTCCCTAGAAGCCCTCCTCCCCTCCTCGTACAGTGCTCGGCATTCAGCAGGCACTCAATAAATGCTGCCTGCCCGCAAGCGTGGATACTTCCAGTAACAGCAAAACCTTGCTCATCAGGAACCCACAGGGAATGGGATCCAGACAGCTGAGTTTTCGAGAGGGAGCCGTAAATTATTTTCATGTAACATTTTCAGATGGAAATATCTCTAAGATGCGGTGAACATTTCCCTTCCTTCTTGCTTGGAGAATGTGGAACACCATTAACCTTTCTGTAATGGCCCAGGGTTGCCGCTGTGAACCTCCGCTGCTGAGCGGGAGGTAATGCAGCCCTCCGGGCTTGCGAGGTGTGCTGGGGTGTTTGCCCTCTGCTAATGGCCTCTGTTCTCGGAGCTTCCTTCAGTCTCACGGCCGATTTCCTAGAGATTTTTGAGTTCTTCCCTCGCCATCAGGCCTCTAGTTGTCACTGTCATCGGTGTGGTCATCTCTCCCTTCCTAAATTGCCATTTCTAATTGGCTGTGGACTAGAAACCAGAACTCTAGGCTTATGAGAGTGACTGTGAAGTCAGCATTCATCTGCTTTGATGAAGCATCTGATAGGCCTGAGTTAAGGGCAGAACCTTCAGGCTTTGCAGCCCCTGTGCCGGCCATGGAGAGTCATTCTTGTGTTTCTCCTTGATTTACAGCCACAGTTCGGAAAAGGGAGGCTACAGCCTGAGAGGTAGCTGCTCTTCATCTGAGTTGCACAGAAAACCCTGAACACACTTATCACCCATCTCTAAATTCCCTACGGACACCAGAGCTTGCAAACTGTTTCAAGAGAACCACACTGCTTATGATCTTCACCTTTTAACAATAAACAAAGCACGTTGACTATTGCTTCCCTGTTTGGAAGATCAGGAAATTGAGGCTGAGGAAGAGATCACAGGAGACTGATTCTATAGCTTGGAGCCACCCTTAGGTGGGGATTTGGTTAGAGCCTGAACAAGTCCAGATTCCAGGAGGAACAAGATGCATGGGTAAGTGGTGCCTGAGGGTGTCTGAAACAGGGCATTTACAGCGGTATGGGCGGGGCTGAGGGAACCGCAGTGGATGGAGAGTCTCAGGGGCCAGCAACTCGGGAGGTCATTCTATCCCTCTTTGTGTCCCCAGTTATGAGCACAGGGACTCCATATATGGCAAGGGGAAGGGACAGAGTCCTAGGACATGGAGTTCCACGAGGGGGCAGCCCACAGGAGTGAGGTGGTAGCCAGAGGAGCCCAGACATTCCCATACCATGGCCTGCTGGGGGTTAGGTGGGGGACCCCACACTCTCTTTCCTCCGGCCCTCCAGCCTCTTGCTGGTACCTCCCATTGCTGCACTGATCTTCATGATCATGCCTGAGGACAAAGGAGTTTGGGGTTGGAGTCTGCAGACATCCAAGCGGCTCGGCCTCCCGGGGCCCAGCGTGGGGCACAGGAGGAGGGAAAGTAGATCAGGATGTACGCGGAAGAATCAGCACAGAGCCTGACATCAGTGAGGTTGTCCCACATCAGCACAGGCTCTGCAGATGTTTCCCTACGGCTTGCCAGCTCTGCCCACGAGCACTCGTCCTGCCAGGTGGGATGGCTCGGCTGTTGGTGAACCTGCAGGCTTGGCAGGGCCTCTGAGACACGTGCCTTATCTCCACGGCAGAGAGGCAAATTGTGCGTAAGTCCTGCTGTAAGCCTTCTAGACCAAGCTGGCTGCTCCTCACCCCTTCTTCCTTTCCAACTTAGCCCTGCTTAGCTGGAAAGATCAGGCAGGAGGAGGGCAGGGTGGAGCAGTGGGAAGTGCACACACGAGCCTGGAAAACAGGCTCCTGGACCTAGCCAGGCCCACCTCTTCCTCGCATATCTTCCCTGAGCTCTCAGTTTCTGCATCAGTAAAGTGGAATAATCCATCCCCAGGCTTAGTTGTTGTGAGGGGGAAGGAGAAGGAAGGTGAGGGAGCCCTTGATCAATTCTAAGGGACTGTGCAAGGGAGAGATGCTGAGTTTGAGGTTCTCATTGCCTGAGGAAGGATTTTTTTTTTTTTTTAGATGGAGTCTTGCTCTGTCGCCCAGGCTGGAGTGCAGTGGCACAATCTTGGCTCACTGCAACCTCCGCCTCCCAATTCAAGTGATTCTCCTGCCTCAGCCTCCTGAGTAGCTGGAATTACAGGTGTGTGCCACCATGCCCAGCTAATTTTTGTATTTTTAGTAGAGATGAGGTTTCACCATGTTGGCCAGGCTGGTCTCAAACTCCTGACCTCAAATGATCCACCCGCCTCAACCTCCCAAAGTGCTGGGGTTACAGGCGTGAGCCACCATGCCTGGCCCCCTTCTTTCCTTCTGCAGAGGGAATGTATTGGTCCATTCTCACACTGCTATAAAGAACTACCTGAGACTGGGTAATTTATGAAGAAAAGAGGTTTAATTGACTCACAGTTCCACAGGCTTAACAGGGAGCATTATTGGGAGGCCTCAGGAAACTTACAATCATGGTGGAAGGTGAAGGGGAAGCAGGCACCTTCTTCTCATGGTGGCAGAATAGAGAGAGAGTGAAGGGGGAAATGCCACATACTTTTATACCATCAGATCTCGTGAGAACTCACTCACTACCATGAGAACAGCAAGGGGGAAATCCGCCCCCATGAGCCAATCACCTCCCACCAGACCCCTCCTCTAATTCCACATGAGATTTGGGCGGGGACACAAATCCAAACCATATCAGGGAGGAAGTCCTATGGGCCTGTAGGGACTTATCAGGTGATCAGGCGCTGGGCTATGGTTGGGATTGGAGGGTGGGCAGAACCCGGAGAGTGGCCTGAGCCAGCCCACCCACCTCCAGTGCTCAGCAGGTGGTGGGGGGTTCCCTCACAACTCTGTCCAAAGCACACCTGGGTCAGGTGTTTCCCTCTCTCCCATGAACCGCTCTCTGTCCTACCTTCCCCAAACTGGAAATATAGGTGTTTCGTTGATTTAAAATATTTGTTCCAAGGCATGGTGGCTCATAACTGTAATCTCAGTTACTTGGAAGGCTGAGGTGGGAGGATCACTTGAGCCCAGGGATTTGAGGCTTCAGTGAGCTATGATGTTGCCACCACACTCCAGCCTAAGTAACAGAGCAAGACTCTGTCTCTGAAAACAACAACAACAAAGTTTGTTAATATGCCCATTGTATAAAATTTAGAAGACTCTGAAATCTATCAAGAACAAAAGTTAAATCACGATTAATCCCACCATCCAGAAACACCATTAATATGGGGGTGAATTTCTTCCCATACCTTTGTTTTTGTATTTTTTTGCATGTAAAATTTACATGCATAAATAAGTATGCATGATGCAGTTAGAGAAAAGAGGCTGCAAGGGAACTCACCCACGTGTTAATAGTGATTGTCCTTTGGTTAATTCACAGGGAATGTCGTGGGTCACATGCACGTCTTCAGAACGAGCATATTTATAGATGCATGCATAAAACAGGCATTGTGTTGTCAATAAAGTTTTGTACCCTGCTTTTTTTTGCTTTCCCCATCTGCTAGGTCTAATTAACCAAATAATTTTGATGACTGTAGGTTTTCCCAAATTCTAAAAATCGTCGTCTTTCACTGGACACTGGTGTTTTGTGGAATGTGGTATGCATTCGTTCACTCACTCACTCAAGAGCCACACGCTGAGTCCCTGTGAGGTGGCAGCTCTGTGCTCACTGCTGAGGACACCGAGAGGAAAAGTCCCGTCCCTGCCCGTGGAGAGCTCCTGCTTTAACGCTAATGGCCAGGCTGAGGCCGTGCATAGCAGACTTTAGCACGAGGACTCATGGAGTGTTTCTTGTCCCCACGGGGTGCAGCCCAGAGCTGGATGTGCACCACACTGGCGTGCAGCCTTCACTCTCCCTGACCAATGCAAATCCACCCTTCTCTCTTTCACAACATCCATGTCTTAGATGATACTTCGCACCCAAACCCTCCACGTGCAGGCAGCCTGCCCTCCCCCTTTCTCCCCCAGGAAAGCCCTCTCTTGGCTGGTGACTACATTCACAAGGTCAAGGACTCGAGTTGTTCATTTCGTCTTTAAACTCCTGGATTGTGACTTATTTCCGGTCTCCCAGGTGTGAGATTGATTCTTTTTTTTTTTTTTTTTTGAGACGGAGTCTCGCTCTGTGGCCCAGGCTGGAGTGCAGTGGCGCGATCTCCGCTCACTGCAAGCTCCGCCTCCCGGGTTCACACCATTCTCCTGCCTCAGCCTCCCGAGTAGCTGGGACTACAGGCGCCCGCCACCACGCCCGGCTAATTTTTTGTATTTTTAGTAGAGACGGGGTTTCACCATGTTAGCCAGGATGGTCTCGATCTCCTGACCTCGTGATCCGCCCACCTCAGCCTCCCAAAGTGCTGGGATTACAGGCGTGAGCCACCGCGCCCGGCCGAGATTGATTCTTAAAGGTAATCTTTTAAATGTTTTCCTCTGGGACTCGGCTTCCAGAATCTCAGTTCTGATGTGTTGCTTTTCGTAATGTAACAGGACACATTCTTAGACGGGGTGGGAGAGCCAGCGACAGAATTCGTCTGGCAAACGTTGTCTTATCCTGGGTTTATCCAGGTGTGCAGCTCTGTAGCCACTGTGTGCTGCTGAGGCGACACTTCCTCCCGGGGCACAGTGGGAAATGTGTTCCTCCTGTCCTCTATGGTAGATGCTTCTCACTAAGCCTGGGACTTCCAAGTGGCAGAGACATATCTTCTATCGTTAGAAAACCCTCACTTGCTTATGTACTCAGCCTAAAGCCCAGGTAGGTTAGAACAGAAACATCTGAGGGTATCGTGCAAGCCCTCAGCTCAGAACATTGTATCTGGGCCGGGCGTGGTGGCTCATGCCTGTAATCCCAGCACTTTGGGAGGCCAAGGCAGGAGGATCACTTGAGGTCGGGAGTTCGAGACCAGCCTGGCAAACATGGTGAAACCCTGTCTGTACTAAAAATACAAAAATTAGCTAGGCGTGGTGGTGGGTGCCTATAATCCCAGCTACTTGGGAGGCTGAGGCAGGAGAATCGCTTGAACCCGGGAGGCGGAGGTTGCAGTGAGCCGAGATTGTGCCACTGCACTCCAGCCTGGGCGATAGAGTGAGACTCAGTCTCAAAAAACAAACCAACAAACAAAAAACAAACCAACAAACAAAAAACAAACCAAAAAACCCAAAATCAAAACAACAACAAGAAAACATTGCATCTAGCTTCCTGGGGTGACTGGGTGGGTTTCATTCACAGTCCGGGCATCACAGCCATGGCAGCAGATGGTTGCTTGTAAAGGCAGTGTTGTGGGGGTACATTCAGGGGGGATGTAGCCATAACCTAATTTTGGGGGTTAACTTCTTTTGTTTTTTGAGACAGAGTCTTGCTCTGTTGCCCAGGCTGAAGTGCAGTGGCATGATCTCGGCTCACTGCAATCTCTGACTCCTGCTTCAAGCTATTCTCGTGCCTCAGCCTCCCAAGTAGCTAGGATTACAGTTATGTGCCACCATGCCTTGCTAATTTTTGTATTTTTAGTAGACATGGATTTTCACCATGTTGGCCAGACTGGTCCCTAACTCCTGACCTCAAGTGATCTGCCTGCCTCGGCCTCCTAATGTTGGGTTAACTTCTAACTACTCTAGTGATTCAGCTGATTGCTGCTGCTAGAAAGCTGGACTTTTTCTTACATTAGCAACTGTGTTTCCACCAGTCAGGATCAGGAAGGCCAACTTCCCTGCTGTACTTGTGAAAAGATGAATAAGTAATTCATAAAATATCTGTCCATAGCCCAATAGGCATTCCACAGAGATGACAGAAGACAGGCAAAGGGGCAAGAGGGAGCCCAGATGCAATGCAGTCCCCAAATCAAGTTCCCTTTTGTAAAGTGCGTCACCTGCAAATGCCTATTGTGAAAGAGAAAGCGCATCACCCATGCTGTGGGTTCCTGACTCAGGCTGATGGGGAAAGCCAAAGCCATTTGTGACAAAAGCTAGGTGACAGGGGTAAGCCACTGGTTTGGGAGTTTGCAGTGAGGCCATTCTGAACCTGCAAAACCAGATCTGACAGTCTAAACGATTTACTAACAGGAAGTGCTCCGGATGCTGTGATGGACTTCTGTATTTACGTTGAATGAGTTGAATGAATGTCATAGGCAGAAAGAACTGCTCACTAGGGGGCCGGGACAGAGGCTGATGGAGATTCCCGTTAGCCAGGTGTGGAGCGGAGCCTCCAGGGCTTGCCAGGTATGCTGGAAACAGAACACCACACAAACATCTCTACAGCCCTGAAGTGCAAAGCTAAATAACATGGGACATTATGAAAACGACTGTCATTCTTATTTAATTTAGAAAATCCACATAAAACATGTACACATCATGAATAAGAATAGTAAAGGCCTATTATGTACCAGGTGCCATGCTAAGGGCTAATCCACTGAGTTCTCTAAACACGCTCTTTTTTCTTATGTGGAGGTTAAGGCACAGAGAGGTTATGTAACTTGCCTAAGGTCACACAGCTCTAAAATTTTGGAGCTGGGATTTGAACCCAGGTGGTCTGGCCTCAGAACCTGTGCTCTGCTGCTTTATGGTATTCTCCTCCCCTTCTCTTTTAGAGCAATAGAAAAATCACCACCATTGGCAAAAGTAACTCGAGGAGTTAGCAAGGGGTGAGGGGTCTGGGGAGATCTAGAAGCAGAGCTTCTGAGTGGGCAGCAGGCAGGGGAGTTGGAGCCCTAGAATGACTATATCAGGAATATTGGCTGGACACATACCTCCCTTGGATACACAGCCCATCTGGAGCTAAAGCAAAGAGATACATTGTTTTATTTGAAGCCAGCAAGGTTCAGTGGGCACTGAGAGACATCCCTGGGGTTCCCTAGAGCTGAAGGGTGAGCCGGGGACAACAAGAACCTGTTGAAAATGGCACCACCATCAGAATTAAAAGTCCAACTAATTTGGAGCAATAGTGACTGCCTAAGGTTTATCATCCTCTTATGAGTCTGTAAGGTAAGCCATAAAGCCTCCTGTGCATAAATGGGCAAAAGGCTGGAGGAGACACAGGAAGAGAAACAAATTGGGAAGAACAAGTTGGGGCAGCCTTTTTGGAAAGAAAGTTGGCAGCATCTAGGAGGGGCCCCAAAACCTTCATATGCACCGATCCAACTTCACCTCTGTCAGTGGATTCTAAGAAAACAAGCAGAGACGCAAACAAAGCTTTAACCATGAAAATGCTCTCTCCAATACTTCTAAGAGAACAACAACAACAACAACAACAAAATAGAAACAATTTAGATGCTCCAAAATAAGAGGTTGTTTAAATAAATTATGTTGCATCCATTTGATGGAACATTATGTAGCTATAAAATCATGTTTTCAAAGAATATTTAATGACATGGGGAGATACCTTGTGCTACAAGGTTAGAGAACAAAAGCAGGACACAAAATTGTTTATAAAAATGATTCAAAGTTTGCAAAAAATTGATATGCACAGAAAAATGCTCGGAAGGAAAGATACAAAAGGCTATCAGGGTGAGATTAAGAAAGATATAATCATCTTTGTACATTCCTGTGTTTTCTAATTATTCTTCAATGTGCATCAAGGACTACTTTATATCAGAGAAAAGAACCATTAATTTTAAAGTGTTGCAACTAATTTCTAGTGGTGGCAACACATTTTAAGCAATGCTGTTCATATGTGCATTCATTCATTCATTCATTCATTCATTCATTCATTCATTCAGTGGTCAGTGTAGGTAAAGTGCTTAAAACAGTGCCTAGCCGGTTGCAGTGAACCGAGACTGCACATTGCACTCCAGCCTGGGAGACAGAGTGACGCTCCGTCTCAAAAAATAAAAAAACAGAACAAACAAACAAAAAAATCCCACAAAAAAACAACAAACAAAAATAAGTGCCTGGCACATAGTATGAATTATTTAAGTGTTAGATATGATTCATTAATTTCTTTTTTTTCTTTTTTTAGAGGCAGATATCTTACTGCGTCATCCAGGCTGTAGAGCAGTGGTGAGATCACAGCTCACTGCAGCCTTGAACTCGTGGGCTCAAGCAATCCTCCTACCTCAGCCTCCTGAGAAGCTGGGACTACAGGCGAGTGCCACCAGACCCAGATAATTATTATTATTTTTATTTTTTTTAGAGACAGGGTCAAGCTATGATGCCCAGACTGGTCTCAAATTCCTGGCCTCAAGAGATCCTCCTGCCTCAGTATTAGTTTCTTGATTAGTTCCATCAACATTTCCTAATGATCTGCATGGTGCCAGGGATTGGGCTAGGCCTAGGGTCTGGTGATGAACCATGTTTGGGGTCTGCCCTCTGAGAAGTTTCGAGTCTTGGTTAGAAAGGAAGCTCCCACAAGCAAAGTCTTAGATGGCATCCCCGAAACAGCAACTGTAGCCAAGGTAGTTCCACAGATCTGGACCCTCAGAGCTAGAAGAGGACCAGAAAAGCTGGCATGGATACAACCATATCTCAAACACTCACCCAGATGAAAAAATTTGTCTTCGGTCACCAATGCAGTTTCATACTTACCCTCCTATACCTTTAGGGGCCAGACCCCAAGTCTCCATCTGCTAGCTGATCATCCCAAGTACAGGTTGCAAGGACCCCCTGGGGGATTTTGTAGGGCCCATGGGATCTACAGCACTCAGGAACCTTGGGTGCAAGTGCAGATTCAGCCTGCCAGAGACTCTCCAGGGATACAAGCTCAGCCCTTGGGGCCGCCCCTCCCATTTCCCCTACACCGCACCATCCAATTGCATTTTACTCCTCTCTTGGAGCCTGGCACCATCAACATGCATTTGACCTTCAGCACATATCTCTTTGCTCCGAGGCTTCCCTTTCTCTTTCCCCCAAATCCACCAGACTCGACTAAGCCCTTTGGTGGAATCAGGATTTAAAACAAAGCCTCTATAGTGATGGTCCTTCCCTGGCTCCTGGCCCACCACCCACCCTGAGCTCCAGTCTGTTCCCTGTACAGGCCCATGGCCAGCTCTCCATGGAAGCGGGCTGTGACACAGGGCTCTCAGGCACTGGCCAGGGTCAGGGACTTGCTTTTTGCCTGACTTTTTCATTTTCATTTGTTTTCAAGTTGCTACCTGGTAGAGAAATGCTTCCTACAAGGCGATAAAGCTCCGTATTTACCCGTGTAAGTCCCGGGGATTGTTACTGGTGATTCTGTTCAATCCATACAGACCAGGTCACATCTATGAGCCAAAGGGTAACTGTAACCTTTTCCAAAAAACTATATTTTATAAATATTTGCTCCCTTTCATTTGTAGTGGCAAGCAAAATTTGCACTTCTTCCCCAGGTAAAACCAGGGCTGAAAATTGGGACTTTGGAAAAGCAAGGGGCCAGGTCACAGCCATGTGCTGCATGATGCGCACATTTACAGCATGGGAAAGGGAGTACCAGAGAAATCAACATCTTAAGAAAATAAGTTCTGGGATCCCCACCATCAGTTTCGTCTCATAACCTGATATTTTGTTTCAGTTACAATTCAGTACAACTGAATTGTAGTCTCAACAGCCCCCCAAATTTAGAACTTACTATGGGCTATTTCATTGATTTCTCCTCTTCAGGAAAACAAAGCACAGGCCACATTCTGGTCAGAAAGTCCGCTAGCTTCATAACATTTCCCCCAAACCTAATTCAAAACCGATGATAGCTGTTGAAGACAACTGCAGGGCCCAGAGTTGATGGTCCAGGATCTATTCAGGACATTTCTGTTCCACAGCCTTGCAAAGGAGTGGGTGTGTGAGGTTGTAATTATACTCAATAGACCTCAGCACATTTTTTGTTGTTGTTGTTGAGACAGAGTCTCACTTTGTCACTCAGGCTGAAGTGCAGTGGTACAATCTTGGCTCACTGCAACATCCACCTCTGGGGTTCAAGCGATTCTCCTGCCTCGGCCTCCTGAGTAGTTGGAATTACAGGCACACACCACTATGCCTGGCTAATTTTTGTATTTTTCGTAGAGATGGGGTTTCACCATGTTGGTCAGGCTGGTCTCAAACTCCTGATCTCATGATCTGCCCGCCTCGGCCTTCCAAAGTGCTAGGATTACAGGCGTGAGACACCGCGCCCAGCCGCTCAGCACATTTTTTTTTGCATTTGACTAACTCATACAAAGACACCAAGAAGACATCCACATTGGTCCTGCTTTACAATAAAGCCTGATGTAGGAAAATTAGGATTATAAATAAATTACTGTTAATTTGTTATTTTAGGACACGCCCATTCATTTTACAAATGACATTGTCTGTTGAGATGCCTTAAATAACCAGCTCTTCCAGTGCAATCAGGTTCAATTTACAAAAATTTACTTTATAAGCATCTCTTCTGGCACAGAGCTATTAATGCAAAGCAAGGTGCACCTGTAGCTTTAAGAGAATTCTGGTAAGTTCTTTGCCCATTCACTGGAAAGAACACCAGGGACCATGCTTTGCTTTTCTGCCCCTTGTTCCAGCCTTGTTTTTGAGCGCTCTGGTCCCTGGCCCAGGTGTTCTTTGTTCTTGTCAGGTGCTAACTATTATCAGATCTCATTCTGTGGCAAATAGCAGAAAACCCAAAGTAAACTGAATTAAGTTAAAGGAAGTTTATCCACTTACAAAACAGAAAGGTGCTGGGGTGGAGCTGGCTTCAAATGTGGCTGGATTCAGGGCTCATACAAGGCAAGCAGCACCATTTCTCTATCTCCATCCTGCCACGGACTGTGTTGGCACCCTTCTCTGGCTCCTCTTGGTGGCCCCTGAAAACTCTGGACTCTGTTCTTTTGGTGCTGGGATGGAAACTACAGTTCTCCAGCAGTTTAACCTCTCCACTAGCACCTAGCAAAAAAAAAAAAAAAAAAAAAAAGTCCAAGATTCACTCTGATTGGACCAACTTAGGCCATATGCCTATTACTGAATGACAGAATCCAGAGAGATGTGATGCACTGATTGCCTGGGATCCGGGGCAGGACCCCCACCCAGATGCCCGCAAGGCAGGAAGGGAAGGTGAAGCTGTTGCTGGAGGAAGGGACATGTTCCGCCAGGACAACACGAATCACTATGCTGACTTCTTCCCTCTGTTGGAAAAACCGGAAGAGGTGTACAACCTTTTCTTGAGCTTGTGGGGCAGCAGCACCCTGGGTCTGGGACCAACAGGTCATGGCAGAATAGCCAAACAGATCAGATGCTTCCCCAATTTCTTCTTATTCAGGAATCACCTCCACCTCTAAGGGCACCCTTCTGAATCATGCTCTCAGGGAGTCTTTGAAGGGTCATTCATACTGCATTGCTCATGACAGAAAAGGCTGCACCTTGGCCTTGGTGGAGAGACAAATGACCCCTGCAGCATAGAAAACCCTTTTTCCTAGTGCAGGACAACTCCTTGCTGAAGCCAGGTAGCCTTCCTCCCAGTAAAGGATGGTCGCCTACTCCCCTGAGATGGAAAAGCAGGGTTCTCCATGGGAGGCCACCTGGGACCCTGTGGCCATGCAGACCAACTCCCCACCTAACACATGGGCCCTTTGCAGACCTAGCGTCTTTCTTCTGCTTGAAGAAGGGAGTCATAACCTGGGGATTAGGGGTATCATTGTGCTAAAACCACTGACTGTGAGTGATCAAAGGGGTATTACAGATGTTGGAGGTCATCTTTATATAGATGGAAAAACTGAGGTTCCAGAGGAGAGGGAACTTGGCCTCTTGATTCAGAAGTGTCCTGGTCCACCCTTCCATCCTGGAGCCAATGTAGCCCTCTTGGGTACCCTCCCTGCTGCTTTTAAATCTGTCTATACAGCAAGTCCTCACTTAATATTGTTGATGGATTCTTGGAAACTGACTTTAAGCAAGTGATGTATAATGAAACTAGTTTTACCATAGATTGATTGATACAAACAAGAGTTAAGTTCCTACAGCATGTCTCTGGTCACAAAGCTTCACCGCGCTTCTACATGTCTAAACATTGAAATAAATATGAGCTATACATACATTTAAGAGCCATTAATAAAACAAGTAAGATCATTACTTACCCCAGTTTTTGATCAATTAGTGAGGGTGGTCATAGTAGTAATGGGTTAAGTCAAAGAATACATGTTTGCAAAGTGAAAATTGTAAGGAGTACCTCTCACCACCACCAAGTTGAAAAACAAAAAATCACAAATATGGTGGACTCAAAATATGTGCAGTCGAAAGTGCACAACTATGAGCACTTTTGTACTGTACTGTTTCTTGGCATACATTAGTATGATTATCATATATTTTATGTATTTTATTTGACAATAATTTATATTCATTCATTGTTTCATGTTCCAGCCTGATGATTCCAGTTCACCATCTCAAGGGGCTGGAGCCTGTCTTAGCAACTCAGGGTGCAGGGCAGGAACCAGCCCTGGACAGGATGCCATCTCATTGCAGGGAACACTCATACATATACCTACACTCCCTCGGGTTGGCACCATGCAGACATGGCTATTCACCTACCGTGCATGTCTTTGGGGCATGGGAGGAAACGTGAGTACCCAGAGACAACCCACGCAGACCTGGGAAGAACGTACACAGTCCGCACAGATAGTGGCCCTGGCTGGAATCCATGTTTTTTTCTCATTACATTATAAGGAAACAATGTTGAAGGAAACAATATTATAAGAAGACCTGGTGTACTATGAAGGAGGCAGGATTATAAGGAGCAGAAGAGAGTGAAGGGAAAAGAATAGCAATATACAAACAAACAAACAAAATGAGTAGTGTTGTGACCAGGAGTGCAACTCCAAAGTAATGGTTTGATAACATTTTATGAATCACTGCCATGTTTGAGGCGCGAATGACAGAGGTCAGAACAAACCTATTGGTGTGATCAGTATCACTTTCAAAGTAGGCACTTTGAGTGATTGAACGCTTCTTATAAGGAGCTGATGGGCTCCAGCCTGGTGCAGCGCTTCCCAGCCTTGCTTTTGAGCTGGTCCAGGAGTCACCAAAGAACTCATTTCACCACCTTGATTTTTACCCACAGCCACCACCCACCTAACTCATCATCCCAAGTTCCCAGTAACTTTCATCAGTTTCAAGAAATTAAATGGCGGGAGTGGCCTTGAGGATTCCGCAGGAGTGGAAGGCCCGGGTCAACGTCCCCTGGGTAGGGAGGGGCTGCCCTTAGAGACAGCTTCGAGTACTGAAGAGTGCAGGACTCTTGGGCAGGGGAGGGGTGGGCCCATGGGAGCCTCTGCCGAAAATCCAAGGGGTTCCAGCCCTGGCCAGGCGAGGCAGGGGCAGCGAGAAATACTCGAGAGTTTGAAAAGGAAGAGCAGAGAGAGGCCAGACCCAAGGGAGGAAGATGGGGACCCCGAGAAATCCTGGATACGGGGAAAAGCATAGGAGAGCCACAAATTATGAAAGCGGCCACAAAACACCCCTGGTGGGGTGGGGCTGGTGGGTGGGGAGCCAGTGGGGAACTTTTATACTTTAATGAGACGCAGGTAGGCGTCAAGTTTCGGCATCTGGAGGATAAGGGGCCTCTGTCCATTTTCTGGAACCCTCCACCTCCCACTCCCAACAAGGGCCGCGCCGGGAGGTCTCCCCGGGGACCCCCACTCAGCTTGCTCAGGTCCTGGAGGCATGCAGAGGGCGTCGGCGCCGACAGGGGGAGCCGGAGAGCCCCCTGCCCGGCCGTCTGCGGGGCTCAGGCGGGGCTTGGCCTCCGATGAGCGCGCTGTCTCTGCCCGGTGGGTCCCACCCCGCCCGGCCACGCAAAGCCGTGGCAGCCCCCTCGCGGCAGCGCGCCCCAGGCGAAGCACCCCGGGCCACCGGGAGCGCGGCCCTCCCGAGACGCACGGGCTCCGAGGCCGCAGAAGCCTTGGGCCTCCAGGCCTGGAAGGGGCTCCCCTGGCCTGGAGGCCATGGGCCCGGCCCAGACCGGCCAGACACCGCCAGGGACCCCCAGAACGACGCCAGGACGCGCGCCGGGCTCCGTGCCTCCCACGGCCCAGGCGAGGCCGGCGGCTCGAGGGTTAAAAGGCGACCCCCATTCTGTAGGGGAGAAAGTGCCTTTTCTCCAAGTCCATATGGTCACTTCCTTTCGACCTGCTCGGCCCTGCTCGCCTCTTTGTCCGCTCTGTCACTTATAAAGAATCACTTGACTTACAATAACAGGTTCAAAAGACGACGGAGTATAATCAGTTGATCCACGAAGAATTGGAATAAAGAACACCCCACCGCTCAGGCTATCATTCCCATAGAGATAGTGATATCATTCATGTGATTGCGATGCTAATTTCTATACAAGAAAAAAAAAACCCTTGTATTTTGGTATTTGTTCAAAGAGAATTTCAGACACATCAGATTGGAAAATGTGGGCTGAATTCCTAAACTTTTTTGGGTAGGCAGAGAATTTTTTAAAAACACCACTGCAGAGATTTGAGCGGATTTTAAGAATCTCCTGGAACTAGCTTGTTGGAGGAAAGTGATTATTTCCTCACTCCTCCAGTGCACTCCTGGCGAGAGAGAGAGAGAGAGAGAGAGAGAGAGAGAGAAGAGAGAGAGAGAGAGAGGGAGAGAGAGCAGCAGCAAGGAGCGCTGGGTTCTCAGGGCAGGGTCCGAGGATGCTGGCAGCGGCAAGGCCCGGTGCCCGCCGACGGCGCGCCTGGGGAGAGGACCACCGGCGGTGAGGGCCCAGGCCCAGCGCCCAGGGCAGCTGCGACGCGTCCGTCTCCAACGCCGGCACGCTAACCCAGCGCTCCTCCCAGCGCAAAGTTTTCTGTGTCTCTCCCCTCACTCTTGGACTGGTTGCTTGCCACCGAATGACTCCTTCAGCTGGAGAGGGGTGGTGATGGGGAGGCTGTGGCATGCCTTTTCTGTATCTTTGCTTTTGATGTCTTGTGATGCCCGGGTTTAAAACCCGTCAGTCATCTTGGGGGAGCTCAGTTCGGGCAGGCTGGAGCAAGTCTTACCTGAATCAATGTTTTAAGTGCCCCTGTGGCTTGGCGTTTTGAATAATCAATCTGTCTCCATCACTTCTTAATCATGCGCAACACAGGCCTCTCTCTCTCTTTCTCTCCCCCCACCTCGCTCTCCCTCCCTGTATCCTTTTTTTTTTTTTTTTTGTCAACTCTTTTGGATCCTGTCTCTTTGCTATTAACATGCCCAGTGTCACATGCGAGGCTTTTCTTTAAAACAAGCCCCTCATTGGTGTATCTGGATACTTCTTTTATTATTATTATTACTGAATCTTTTTTCCCATAATGACACCAGGATCATTATATAATCCCATAACAAAGAGGCTTTTTGAGGCACCAGCTTTTGTCAACTCTAGGACAGAGAATCCATAATTGCATTATCCAGCTTTTTCCTCCTTCTTCCCCCCTCCTAGCTTCCCAGAAAACCAACCTCATGCCCCACTCACACCCCCACCTTGTTACTTCTGCTTATATTATTTACCGAAACGTTTGCCCAGAGGACCCGCCTTGCAAAGTTGCCTTAAAAAAGTTATTTTGTTTGATAATTAAGTCCTGGAGCCCATCGCATGATGATTATTCTACACCCATAAGGCAGAGAACCTGCGTGACGTTTTTCTCGAAGTTTAATTACCGTATGCTAATTTCCTTGCCTACTACGTGATTAATTAAAATCATATTTTCATAATCATTTGGCACTAGTATTGTTTTAGAATTATCATGATCTCCTAAATAGTGTCTGTAAATAAAGTCGCCTCTAATGGCAGGCGCGGGAGGCGAGGCTGAGGACCTCTCCGCGTTTGTATCGCGGCGATTGGCAACATAACTGCCTTATTTACATTAAATACGCCACAAGGTTACAGCGCGGATCAACGTCATTTGATCGCTGATGACTCCCTTAAACGCCCGGGCTGTGACTGATTCTTCGCGTCCCGCTGTCCACCGAGATTCACCCGGGAGTTTTTTTTTTTTTTTTTTTTTTTCCTCCCAGAAAAGAAACAGACTTTAAATAGTTTCAGGAGCAGGTAAGAATTACGCTTTTTCCTCGCCCCTTCTCCGTCTCTCTCTCCTCTCTCTCCGTGGCAGTCTCTCTCTCCCTCTCGGCTGGATAAAAAATTCTTTAGTCAAAGGCAGGAATGCAAAGTAGTGACAAGGAAGGGGCTGATATATGTCTCAGTAACGAGTCTGACAATCAGAATGTAGCTCTTGGAGAATAGATAGATTTTAATAAGTGTGTTTACATGAGCTCAAGGTCAGAACCAAGCTGCGCTGTGTTAAATGGTTTCTTAGTTGCTAGACAGAGAGAAAAAATGGACGATCACACACCATTCTTTGTAGATTATTATATCAAGGGTTCAGTCTCTGGCTCATCAAAGCTAAATGCCGCAAGACCTATCTAGTTGCTGTGAATTATGCCAGGGCGACAATGGAGAGCGTTTTTAATGGTACAATGCATTTCACCTACCAGATAGGGGGAGGCCGAGCCGGGGATGGGGATGTCTGCTGGGGCTGGGTGATGAGTATCAATGAACGGGGCGATTCTGAAAAGAGGCTGATGAAAATCGAGCCCGCCCTGCCCCGGCTGGGCTGGGAACAGTTCGCAGGGCTCTGCCGAGTGGGCGAGTG
Source organism: Homo sapiens (assembly GCF_000001405.40). NCBI lineage: Eukaryota > Metazoa > Chordata > Mammalia > Primates > Hominidae > Homo > Homo sapiens. The sequence continues at coordinate 30,225,517 of NC_000019.10, forward strand.
AGGCGCGCGAGCAGGGCGCCCGTCCCCCCTCAGCCCCGGAAAATGATCAAGTCAATCGTGTGGGCATGTTTCATTATTCATTGAACACAATCTTTTACAACGCTCCGTTTACGTGCCCGAGTTTGCTCCTGACGCCCGCGTTTCAATGTTTAAGGTAAGGAAAACAAAGGTGGGGGGGGGATCGCGGGGCGCGGCGCGGTGCGGGGGGCGCGGCGCGGGGGGGCGGCGGCGGGTGGGGGGGCAGCTTCGGCGTCCGGGAGGTGGCAAAGTGAGTTTGGACTCTTGGCGCGGCCCCCCCGTCCCCTCCCCCTCCCCATCTCGGCGAGGCCTGCCGCCCGGTTCCTTCTCGCCCCATCGCGATTAAAAAATACGGTCTAATTAAATATCCGTGGCTGTGACGTTGGCGAGAGAAGCTGTCAGCGGGTGGGGGGTGGGGGGAAAGAAGAGGAAAACCGAGCCGGCGGCTGCGGCCGGGCATCGTATGGCGCTAGAGAACTTCGGCGGCGAGCGGGACCTGCGCCTGGGCCGCCGCCTCCCCGCCCGCGGTCCCGGGACCGTTACTTTGAAAAGGAGTCCCGAGGCCTGGCGCCCGGCGCGCGATCGGGACCCCGCGTCCAGCTCCGGGGACCCGGCCGGCGCCCCCCACCCGCGAGCGGCCCGCGAGCCACTCTCAGGCCCCGGGAAACTTTCAAGAGGGTCTGGGGGGTGGGGGGAGTAAAAAGGGGAGGGGGTAGGCTGGGGCCGCGGAAACTTCTGCTCAAGTGACTTTCCCCATTTTCTCCTCTGCCTGGGACGGGGGTTCGCCTTGCGCTCTTTCTCTGGTCCGCGCTCACTGCGGGGTTCCGGCCCCTCCGCCCGTGGAGAGAGGGTAATTTGCAACCTTTTTTTTTTTTCAATTAAAGTTAGCTGATGCTTACAATGTGTCAAACTTGCGGGCGCCGAGAGCCGCTGAGATCTGCCATTTTGTGATTGCATCGGCCTCCTGTGCCCCGGGAGCCTGGCCAGGCTGAGGCCGGAGAGTTGGTTTCAGGGCTGAGGTGCCAGGGTCCGAACCCGCGACCCCAGGAAAGGCCGTGGCGCCTGCAAGCGCAGGCGGCGCCCGCAGCACCTGCCCCAGCCGGGCCTCGGCCTGGGGGCCCAGCCGGGGGCCAAAGAGGAAATAAATAAATAAATAAGTAACAGGTTATGGAGGGAAAAGAGCCGGCCAGTCCCAGGCTGGAGAAATGAGGCCAATCAGAGCGAGGAAGTGCGGGCGTGGGGGCTCTGGAAGGCAGAGGAGAGGCAGGGCTTGCGCGGCGTCTGGGAAGAGTGCAATCTGGGGGGACGCCTCCCGTCCCCCCAGCGCAGATGCATGACTGGGGTAGGAATGATCTTTGCTGATAAGCCTTTTTCTGTTTGCTTCAAGACATTATTTTTCGAAGATGAATTGAGGAAAACAGTCGTAGGCGAGACTCGGGGTGTATTTTAGGCAAAAAAAAAAAAGTTAGGGTTGGGGGAGAGCTTTCCTTTGATGAGTAGGAAAGTGTCCAGATCTCGACGCGCCCATCTGTTGCAGTTTTGCAAATAATTTAAAATATAGATATCTCCATATAGACGGATGTATGTGAAGTGGAGGAAGGTCGAAACGCGGGGAAGTTAGGGAAAAAGAAAGAAAAAGGGCTGGGCAGAGAGAGACCTGTGTTGCTCACTCTTCACTCTGCGGAGTGAACTCCGGCAGGGCTTTCTTTGGGGACAGGTGGAAAGTTAAGTCCCCCCCTTTTCACTTCTGTATTGTGAGTGGTTCCTACTGTGTGCCTGTTGGAGAACATGTCCACCGTTCCCGAGTTAGGTGGAGGATTGGAATGTTGGGGGGCGGGGAGCGTTGGAGTTGAGGACGCAGTGGCCAGGGGCTGGGGGCCGAGAAAGAGCAGGGCGGGGTCTCAGCCCCGCGTGCGGGTGGCAGCGGCGGCCGGGTTTTGTTTGCCAGATATTGTTATGTCTAACGGGTGCCTCGCCGGAGACGTGATTTGTCAGCCGCCTTCGTTTTCACTTTAGCAGAAAATACGGCAGCTGCGAGGTGTCCCGGCCTGCGGGGCTCGGGCACCCGGTGCGTCCTGGGGGCTGGGTCGTGTGCGCGGGTGGGAGCCGGCGGCCGGCGGGGCCGGGGCGAGGGGCGAGCGGGAGGGGCGGAGTGAGCGAGCGCGCGGTACGGCCCTCCGGTTCCTCCTGCGCCTTCTCCCGGCAGCCGCCGCCGCCGCCGCCGCCGCTGTGCAATTTAGCAGAAATCCGACAGGGGCCGCGTTTGCTGAGCGCATCCGGCGGCCGGGCAGCCCGAGCGGGCCGCCGGGCCTGGTCGGCCGGTGTAGAGGCGCGGAGGGGGCCGGCGGAGGGGACCGGCGGGGATGGGCGCGGGAAGCACGCCTGACCAGAGCACGCGCCGTTCCCCAACCCTGGTGTCCCCGGCGAGTTGGGCAGCCCCGCGCGCCCTGACCTTGACGCCCCAGTCTCCAGCCAGGGCTTAGGTGAACTTGGGGTGGGGTGTGCGTGCGTGCGTGTGTATGTGCGTGCGTGTGTGTGTGTGGAAGGGGTGGTGAGACTGGGAACGCGCTGTTTTCTTTCCCAGTTTGATACTAGCAACTGGATTTTTACTTTAAGACCGGCTTTGCTCTCTGCTGGGGTTGGGAGGGGGGGCGATCTTTTCCCATCACTCACATCTTTGTTCATTGTTCACTGAGTGGAAGGCAGGCGACTTAAAGAGACGAAAGAGAGGAAAAAGGGGTGAGAGACGGAGAGAGGAAAAAGAGGGGGGCGGCCAGAAGAGGGAAGGAGAGGCGTGGGGACAGGGCCCCCGCCCCCGCCGGGGTCGGGTTTGATGGTGAAATAGTAAACCCACGCACGGAGGGTCGCCAGGAAAGTGGACATTACCGCTTTAATTAACTTCGAGATGCTCCGGCGGCGGGACCTGGCGTAGCCGTGACGCGCCCCCATAAATCTGCCCGGCCCGGGGCTGCTCCGAGAACTCGTACAGTAGCGGCGTCAGATCCATCCCGCGCCTCCCAGTCCGGAGTCCATTTGCATAATTGGATTTTTTTTTTTTGCCTCCTTCTTTCTCCCTGAAACTTGTTTGAAAACCCAAGTGAAAACCGCGACGATCTGCACACTCAAAAGCAAGTGCCAAGTAAGTGCCCTGCGGTGGCCTCGGCGCGCCCCGGGGTGAGCGCGCAAAGCCGGGAGCGAGGTGCCGCGAGCTGCGCGCCGCCCCGGGCCGGCCTCGCGTGTGGGCGGCTGGGCGGCTGGGCGGCGGGAGGACGGCCTCCGCGGGCTCCGGGACTGCCCGGCTGGCTGCTCGCACAACTTTTTTTTTTTCCCCCGTCTGCTGACTTTTCGGGCCAGGTGAAGTGTTTGGGCCACGCGTGTACCTGTGGCGAGACTCGGGAGGCGATCTTGGGGGGCGCGCGGTCGCAGTTGGGCATCTTGCCTGGGTCGGGGGCGGGCAGTCGGTCCCAGTGGCCGCCGCTGAGGGCAGAGCTGCGAGCGAGCGGGGCCGGCTGCTGGTCGCGCCGCGCCGTAAATGCAAGCCTGTAGCCAAATGCTTCCCCCATTATTCTAAGGTTTGTGTCTGCGTGTGCGTGTATGTATGTGTGTGTTTGCGCTGTGCTTTTAAACAGAAAGAAAAGCAACCAAAACAAGAGCAGGAAGGGCTTTTTCCTTAGCTCGTCCCCCTTCCCCCAGCATCATTTATTTCTTTTGCTTGAAGGAGAGTGCAGACCTTCTTTGCTAAAGACAGGGTCACCGAGAGATTGACAATTCTGTTGGAAATGCCATCAATCCTATAGCGAAAATGTAGCTGCATTTATAAAATACCAACCCTTGCCTGATAAGGAAAGTGGTTTCACAGTGTCTCAAATTTTATTGAAAATATGTAATATTATTATAATGATTATTTACAGCGTTCAGAACCCAGGGGAAAAGTCGATTTGCTTGGGGGAAGACTAGAACCCTAGTTCTTGTTTGCCGGCCAGCCTGGGAACTTGCCTGGGGCTGCGCCCACCACCCTGAAAGCTGCTGCGGGTGGTGGGGGGGGCTCAGCTTTCAGTCCAGGGAGTCGCAGGGGGTCGCCCCTGCAGCCCTCTGGCCTCTGCTCGGGGAGAGCCCAGGGCTTCTGGCTGAAGGCTGCTTTAGTTATGATGTCATTCTGATAGCGGAGTGCAAATGTCTCCTGATTCCACCATTAACCGCCTGGCTGATTTGCTTGGTAATGATAGCACTGACGTCCTGCTCCCTGACAAATGCAGAACCGCCGAGCCCTAGGAATTAACTTTTCCCCCCACTGAGGAGAAACCCGGCTGCCAGAAGTCTCAGCACTGGGCCTCTGCCTGTGGACTTTGTCTGCCTCAGTCCCAGACACTGACATACATGACAGGCCCCTGGGCTGAGGGACCCGTTTTCCCAAAGTTTAGAAAACTTTTAAGACTTTCATTTCCAGAAGACCCTTAATCTGGTCAAACTTAAGTGCGATTGTGACCAGGCAGAGATATTTGCATGTGACCAATGGCAGGGACTCTGAGACCATTGCATGGAAGACTTGCCTCCTACCTTCAGCCCCTTAACTGTGTCTTCATGTTAATATCACTGCAAGTCAGCCGGATTTAGTGTTGATTTTTAACTAGTGTACAATGATTTAAGATTTCTTTTGATTTACTGTTCAAATGAAATTTACATAAATGTGATGAAAATGAACTTAACATCTGGGCATATGAAAAAAGGTTAGTACCTCATATGTCATCTGCAGGGAAAGTCTCTAAAATGCTTTCACCCTAAACTGGGTTTGGGGAAACAGTTCCTGGAGACATAAATGGTAATTATGGAGAACCTGGAGAAAACACTTTCAATAAATTTGCATTCTTTTGGACTAGAGCTCTGAAAGCCCATCTTGTTCTGTGCCTGGAGTGGTTAACTTCTGAGCAGGCTGGAGATCTTCGCAACTCAGCAACTTAACTGCTGGCCGGGCTGTCTTCACGGAAGACTTAGGGCAGGCAGGGAGCGACAGTCACGCTGTTCTGGTCCAAGTCAGAGGCCAATAACCCCCATTATGGGAGAGGACAGAGAGGCAGCTAGAAGGTGCCGCCCGACTTCCCACAGTTGCCCATAGGGTACTGAAGGCAGTGCTGAGATGTGGAATCATTGCCCACTGAACCCCAAAGAGCTGAATGATTAGGTTTGTTTGCTTTGCCTTAGGTAACCAAAGAAATTTCCATCAGCTCCACGAGCCCATTCAAGTGAACTCTGAACTCCATCTTACTTTTGAGCAAGAGAAGCTTATCTCTGGCATCAGGAAATCAGAATTAAACAGCCTTCCCCAAATGTGGTTGCCTTTTGCTCAAAAGTTGGCTGTGAATGGCACAGGTGTTTTTAAAGTGCCTTGAATGGAGGGGGAAGAAAGACAGCAATGATACTCATGAGAATATAGATGAACTTTTTTTTTTTTTTTATAAGAAGAGTATCATAAAAGAAGAAAGCAAATAGATTTATTTTTCCAGGCTGAATGAGGACAATTATAGCTTTTTAACATCTTTGGATTTAGTGTTTTTAATAAGCCTTTTAAGTAAGCTGAAATATCAGCTTGCATTTTGTTCTCAACATTATTTAAAGTGAGACTTGATGCAAATTTAAAAACAAGTGAGTTTTCTGCAGGTCAACATTTGTCCATATGAAGGAGAGAAGCCTCTTCCATGGCCTGTCTGCCAGGACCTAGGGCAGGCCAGTGCTCAGCCCTGCCTCAGCCTATCTCCAAGTGAGGCCTTAGATTTCGGCTGGAAGGACAGGGGTGGTCAGGTGGCATCTCTCAGGCTGTGAAGGCTGGATTTTGGAATCTAAAAGCAGGGCACAAACTCGCTTGCATTGCTACTAGTGGGGCCTTGTGAGTGGAGGGGCTTCCTCTGAACTCACACCTGCTGTGCACACTGGCACCTTCTCCAGAATGTGCCAGGGCAGGGTCTGGGCTGAGGCTGTGGAGGAGTTGGAGGGAAGGGAGCAGGGCCAATGGGGAGGAGTGGGAGGGAGGTCTCTGTCTGCCTGGTTGGGCTCACCTGTGTGCTTCATGTGGTACCTGCTCGGGAGTTGGAAGGGAGGCCTTTTGCCAAGGAGAGGGATTGGTTGTTCAGGTCTAGACTCTTCAGGCTGCCGTGATGGTCCCCTTGGTGGCATTGAACGTCCTTAGAGGAGTGAGCAGATAATGTGTGTGGTCAGAATGCGCTAAGCCAGGGAGTGGCCCCCTAGGTTGTGCTGGTGATGGTGGTGGTGGTGATGTGTGTGTGTGTGTGTGTCTGTCTGTCTGTGTGTGCTGGGGAAGGGTGCTGCCTGTTAGAAATACTTGTTCTGAGATGATTTCCTTTTCATCCACAATTGTACTATCCAGGATAGACTGGTGAGTTTGTAATGTACATGTGTGTTGGAGGGGTTGGGGTGGAAATAAATGAAGAAATCAGGAAATACAAAAGAAAATGCATCTTCAGAATAGAGATGCTAGGAAACACAGTCCAGTTTTCTGAAATCCCCCTCACTTTTTTTTTTTCCCAAAAGAAGGCAAACATGGATGGAAGCCCCCTCAGGAAGGTGGGCTGTGCGGGAAGCCATCTGGCCCACCTGGGGTGGGCGTGGGGGCCTCCCCCGGCCAGTTGATGCCATCAACGGGCTCCTGTTGACTGTGCCTGGTGATAAGGGCTGCTGTGGCTGCTTCTGCTGGCTCCCTGAGAGTCTCCTCTCAGCTTCTGATTTTTAAAAAATAATTTTTCAACTTTTATTTTAGCTTCAGGGGGTACATGTGCAGGGTTGCTATATGGGTACATTGTGTGATGCTGAGGTCTGGGGTACAATGCATCCCGTCACCCAGGTAGTGAGCATGGCACCCAGTAGTTTCTCAGCCCTTCTGCCCCGCCTTTCTCCCCCCTCTAGTGTCCCCCAGTATCCATTGTTGCCATCTTTATATTAATGTGTACCCAATCTTTAGCTTCCACTTATACATGAGAACATGCTGTATTTGGTTTTCTGTTCCTGCGTTAATTCGCTTAGGATAATGAGCTTTCACTTTTAAAAATCACTGTAGATCTCTGGTCTTTCTCTTACAGTGGAGTTTTTGCTACTATAAGCAGCATCAAGCACTTGGCTTTTCACATGCTCTGAGCTTGCTCGAGGTGGGGTTTATTTTCCCTAAGAGACAAGATTCAGATGAGAGTGAGGTTTGGGTGGAACTTAACAGATGAACCTGGGCATCATTTCTCCAGCTCAGGGCACTCGTGGGAGTCCGTGCTGTGCGTTGTAGGATGTTTGGGAGCGTCCCCAGCTTCTACCCCACTAGATGCCAGTAGCACCCCCCAGCTATGATAATCAAAAATGTCTCCAGACATTTCTATATCTCCCTTGGGGAGAATCAAGCTTATTTCCCACACTTTATGCGCTGGGCCTTGTCTTGGGCCTCTTCAGGGGGGTGGAAGGTCAGCTGTGGTCCTACCTTTGGGGACTGCACAAGCTGGTGGGGAGACAGACAAATCCCAGTGCCCTGTAAGTCCAGGGGGTTGGACTGTGCACTAAACAGGGGAAGACCCATGGGGTCTGAGAGGGCAGAGAACTTCCACATGGATGAATTGTATCTGAGCAAAGGCATGGGGCCCAGCTCTGACTGCTTAGAGGTCAATTGCACATGGAGGTGGTGTCGGGGGTTGGGGCGGGGGGAGAACCCCATCCCTGGCCCCTGACTGTGACATGCAAACTAAGCAGTGGAAAGCATAGTTCTTAGGCTCTGAGTGAGTTGAGGCTGGGCACTTTGCTGGCAGGATAATGATACCTTTTTTTTTTTTTTTAACTTTAAGAGATGGAGCCTTGCTCTGTCATCCAGGCTGAAGTGCAGTGGTGCAATCACGGCTCACTGTAGCCTCGTCCTGGGTTCAAGAGATCCTCCCACTTTAGCCTCCTGAGTAGCTGGGACTACAGGTACATACCACCACACCTAGGTAGTTTTTAACATTTTTTTTTTTTTAGAGATGGGGTCTTGCTATGTTGCCCAGGCTGGTTGCAAACCCCTGGCCTCAGGCAGTCCTCCCACCTCAGCCTACCAAAGTGTTGGGATTACAGGCATGAGGCAGTGCACCTGGCTGTCCATTTTTGAGTATTTGCTATGTGTAAGGCACAGCTCCTAGTGCTTTACACCTTCCTTATGATGCAGGTACTATATATGTCCAGAATTCAGGAAGGAAAACTGAGGCAATGGGAGGGGTAGGTGGTGGGTCTAGGATTAGACCCATCCTTTATGCCTCTGGAGTTGGCATGCTTAGCTCATCTACTGCTGCAAAGCATCTCCCGTGACCCACGTTCAGCTGCCCTTTCTGGGGCCAGATTTACAGCAGGACCTCTGTGATTTGCTCCTGATTCTCAAAGCTCATCCACCACACCCTGACACCAGGCTTGGGGGCTGGTAGGGCCAAAGCAAGCACTCTTTGGGGTGGACCAAAGCCTCCAGGTAGGTGGTGGCAGGAAGGCAATGTTGATGCTTCAAATGCATGAAGAGATGCAGGAAGGAAAGTCAGTCTATAAGGTTCCCCCTTTCCTCTACCTACTATTCTTAGTCTATGGCTTTCCAATGAGAAAATTAAGTGCTGTTATGACACAGGAGAAATGATCACCGTAGGCTTGAGCTGACATTAACCTGAAAGTTTTCTATCTAGGCATTACAGCTTTGATTACCTGAGCTGTGTTCAGTTGGGTCTTTGATTACCTAGGTGGGCCTGGCTCCTGGGGAGTATATTTCTGGCCCCCTACCTCCTTGCTGGCTCTTCAGCTGGATGCTGGGAGGCCACCTCTCCACTGCTGACTCTATTTGTCTATTTGGGACCACTAGGCTCCTTCCTTTTTTTTTTTTTTTTTTTTTTTGAGACAGAGTCTTACTCTGTCCCCAGGCTGGAGTGCAGTGGTGCAATCTTGGCTCACTGCAACCTCTGCCTCCCAGGTTCAAGGGGTCCTCCCGCCTCAGCCTCTCAAGTTGCTGGGATTACAAGCATGTGCCACCACACCTGGCTAATTTTTGTGTTTTTAGTAGAGACAGGGTTTCACCATGTTAGCCAGGCTGGTCTCAAACTCCTGACCTCAGGTGATCCACCTGCCTCAGCCTCCCAAAGTGCTAGGATTAAAGGCATGAGCCAATGTGCCTGGCCTCCTTTACATTTTTTAGGCTTTTTGTTGCTTTATTACTAAATTACACACACACACACACACACACACACACACGCGCACACGCACCCCACACCACGAAGTAGCTTTACTTAGGTTGTGAAAGCCCACCTAAAATCGAGATTAATCACAGAAATGCCCATTCAGCCTTAATTATAATGATGGTCTGGCTTGCATTTCTGAGATTCCCTCATAATTCCCATAAATTTGAAGGAGAGTTTGGTTCATGCAAGTACCAGATCGTAGGACCCTCGGGAGGTGGTATTAATTCAGCAGACATTCCTGCTTGTGGTTTCCAGGTACAGGAGGAAGGGAAGGTTTGGGGCTCTTCGGTGTAGGTATGGAGAGGTGGCCACAACATTGACACCTGCAGTGGCCACTATTGGGTGGTGACCCCATGCCAGGCACTACATTACACACCCCGGGTGCATTATCTTGCTTAGTTCTTTTAATGCCCCAGGGAAGGGCCTCCCTTGGGGCAGCTTCCGCAGTGGGCAAACTGAGGGGTGTAGGAACTTGTTGCTGCCCATGCCTGTGGCATGGCCGAGCGGGCATTGGAAGCCAGCTGCATTGGCCCAGGAGGCGCGTGTCTCAGCCTTGTTTGCACTCCTGCCTCCCTAAACTGTCCTTAGCACTGAGAACAAAATCATCCTTCTGAATAATGTTAACCCGCCTTGAAAAGGAAAGTTAAAAATGTCAACCGGAACTTGCTACTTTGAGAACATATACATTGTTGTGAATTTGTTATTAAGAGGGAGAAAATATTTGGAAATGCTATGTCAGCTAACAAGTAACTATAGAGACAGCAAACAGATCACAGCCCACATAGATATTACATATAAAATTTAATCTCTTTGAATAGCTTGATATTTAATTTTATCTTCTGAAATATCTAGAAACACTTATCCCTTATTGACTAGAGAAAAAAAGTAGCTTACACAATTTTTGTGTGTGGTTATTTTCCCAAAATTTTAATTCCCGATTAAAATCTATTTAAATCAAATCAGGCAATGTCTTCCAAATTATTATGGAAAGGCCGTCATTTATATGAAGCCTATTGAAGGGGCTGGGAAGTCTTACTGCAATTAGAGCTAAAGTGCTTTAATTATTTTGCTTCCCCGGCCAGGGCCCCCAGTTTTGGGGTTGTAATCTGTTGATGCCAAGTGGCTATTTCAGCAGCCTTAAATCTGCACCGAGCAGAGAGCGTCTCACGGATAGAACATGGCTGGATCTGTTCATTAAACTCAGTGCATGGATTCCACAGCATCAGAGAAACTTTATTCCCCAACGTTTCCACCCGAAAGAGGGTCAATGCTGGTGGGTGGGCAGTCCCCCTCCAACAGCCCAAGAAGAGTTCAAAAGGTGGAAAAGTGGTAGTGTGGGAATGCGAGGAGGAAGAAAAGCGGCCACATGCCGGCATGAAAGGATTTAATCTGCGCAGCCGAAACCTCCTCTGATAGTGGAGGGCTTGCTTCTGTGCTGGTCTTGGCAAAGCCACTCTCTCACTGAGTCCTGCCGCCGCCGGGTACTGAGGACTTGCATGTAGCTGGGAACAGTCTGAAGCCACAGCCTGCCTGGAGCTCTCATGGACATTGCATGCACCATTTCTTAAGCAAAAAGCCAGACACTCCATCTGCAATTCTTTTTAGAGATCATTGGTTTGACAACTTCATATTTATTTTCCGTGTGATTTTTGTTTTGTTTTGTTTCAGCCCCCCCACCCCACCCATTTCCTTCTTTTTGGCTTTTTCACCCTGTGTGTACACATTCATCCTGAAAGTATTTTGAAAAAGCTTTTGTTAAAGTTGGGGCGGGGGGGGGGTACAATTGGAATTTTAGTTCCATTTAAAATTTCCATCTATTTTGAAGGCAGAAGAAGTACAGACAAGATAACATGAACATTTCCATCATCTAAAAATGGATTAAGGCTGCAAGGTAGCAATTTTCCCCTTTAATAACTACTGCCACCCCAAGAAGACACAGTGGCTTTCTTAGTAGGTGACAAACGATTAGCTCAGCCAGGGTCTGGTCATCTGGTTGGCATTCCCCATGACAGTGCCCTGGGATGTAACGGATGGTGATATGGCTTGTCCTTTGGAGGGGGGTGGTAGGGATGTGTATGCCCGGCATGTTGGCATGTTTGTTCTTTGGCGATGGCTGTCTGGTGAGGTCAAGTAATATATTCCAGATATTAGAGTATGTGCCATCTTCCAAATGCTTCCTGAAGAACTGGTTGCATTTTGACATTCTGCTCCTTTGTCTCACTGACACCAGCAACTTGATCCTCACGTCTCAAAATGTTGACAGGAGCTAGATTCTTGTGAGATTTTTTTTTTTTTCTTCTAGGCACTGCCTGGCTAAGGAGCCTGGCCACTCAGGTGAAAAATACCAGGCCCCTGTGTGGATCTGGGGGACAGCAGGAGTCTGTTGTTAAGAAAACTTTTTCTCCCTTTGCATGATAATATTGCTCAGATGAAAATCACACAATTTTTGTGTGATCTCCAAATACCACCTTCAATAAAATAATTTGTTCATTGATCTGAAGAATGAGTGGTTTCCAGCTGCTTCCTTCCCCGGGACAGACTTTCGCATTGGAATCTGTCTCTTTGACTCACTTCTGGTAGAGGTTGGCCTCCCGTGGAGGCCATTGTGAAAGGGCCAGGCAGCCTGGGGAGGCTGGGGATGGAGCCCTTGTTTCTCTAGGAATCAGAGGGCTTAGCAGAATCAAACACAAAATCATAATATGATAATTTGAGCTTAAACGTGAAGGTATTTATGATCACTGATCTTCATCTCAAAGGTAGGCGAGTGGAATTCTTGCTGGACTGTGGGGGCCAAGGCGACCCTCCTTTTACTAATCTCTATCATCAACGGACTCTTAACCTTCAGAGTAACATGAGGAAACTTTGTGTATCTTTTCACTGACTGTATCATTGATCCTGAAGGAGGAGAGTCTAAAGGAGGATTCTTTGTGTGCATTTTGTTTGCTAATTAAATTGTTTTTGCAAGAGTTACACAGTCCATGTGTGTTGCTTGATACATCCATATCTATAAGTTCTTTTTTTTTTTGCATAATTTAACTTTTAGGGTTGCTTCCTCTCTCAATAAGATGCTTATTTCATTGAGCTGGAAACATCAAGTTTGTAAATGAGGAAGAGCTGGAGGCATCTTTTTGTTTTGTTTTAAAGCAGTGTAACACCATGATAAAGAGCTCAGGACCAGTCAGATGGCACCAAGTTTGCCATCCAGCCTCACCACTTGCAAGCTGTTTGTAAGCAGCGCATTTTGATCTTTGAGCCTCAGTTTTCTCATCAGTAGAACTGGACTAATTCTTTCTCCCTCATAAGGTCATCAGGATTAAAAGAGAAAATGATTAAGGAGCCCAGAGACCAGCTATTCAATGAATGGCCAGCTACTCTTATTACTTGTGTAATACATGTTGTTGAATATTTTAGAAATAGAAGCCCCACCAAAGGCTGTGGGCTTCAGTCATCTGCAGAGCCGGGTGAAGAAGTGCCATTCCTCCTTCCTTCCTGGCTGGTCTTTGGGGTGATGTACCTGGGAATCCAATAACTATTGGCTGATTGATTTCCTATGTATCTGAAGATGCATTTTAAAGGGTCAGCTGAGTTATGGAGGGGTCTGGGGTCTAAGTCTTCACTAAACAAATATTCTCACTCCAATCCATCAAATGTTAGTACCATGTATCTAGGCCACACACACACACACACACACACACACAATCACACATGAAAACACATACATGCACACAAGTGTACTGGTTGGTTGCTGGATTCCTGGTAGGGACATTATAAACTGTGCTTTCCATCTTTTCCCTACAGCCAAAGCTAAAGATCACAAGGAGGTCCCTTCATTCCTTTCTTTCTTCCGTCTTTTCCTCCCTCCCTCCCTTTCTCCCTTCTTCCTCCTTCCTTCCTATCTGTCTCTCTATCTATCTGTCTGTCTGTCTGTCTGTCTAGATATATAAAGTGTATCCTAGGTAGGATCGGCACTGTGAATGAGAACAGAAATGCTTTGAAACCATTGCATCAACACAATAGCAAAATGAAAGCAGTGATGTTCTCCTAGTTTCCATGTTCCAAATTAAAAAAAAAATATATATATACACACACATACACATATACATACCAGAGACTCCCCTAATTTGCATACTGGTGTATATTCAAGTGTTGATTTCAAAGCAGCCTAACACTTAAGCATGAAGTATAAAATTAATGAGTTGAACCTGTGACCACTGCATTCAAGAAGAGTCACCCAAGAGAGAGGTGGGGAGTCGAACAGAGCTCCTTTACTTTCTCCCACAGAGGAAAAGGTGGAATTCTGGGCTGGCTTTCCCTCACCAGAGGGTATCCCAAATCTATGACAAAAGAAAAATGCCAGTCTCTTTTGGAAAGTAGGGAATGCCCTAGTGATGCTGTATGAAGAAGCAAGCCTCCATCTTCCCCGGGGAAATTTGAAACCAAGATGGGGTCCTGTCAATGACCCTCTAGCATTTATTGAGTGCCTATTAGACAGGTGGCCTTGGGCTTTGAAATGCAATATCTTATTTAACTTAATTCTGAGAACACTCTCTGTCTTTTGATGGAGAAAGCGAGGCTTATCCATGGTGGTGTGACTTGCCCAAGGCCAAGCTGCTGGTAGGTAGCAGTGCTGGGCTCCGTCTGAACGGAACCTATGTCAGTGACATGTAGGTTGCATGCCCTTCAGACTGGGACTCTTGGCACGTGGCCTGGACCTTCTCTGCAAACGGGGTTTCCTAGAACAGACATGGCGGTTGGAGAATCGACAGTCATGAGACAGACACACTTGTTGTAGTTGCAAAGATTCTACCATACTCACTCCTTGGACCCTAAAGGGGGAGACTTGTCCTGTGCATTTCTGAGCATGGGAATTATTTTGCTTCTTAAAATGCAATTAAGTCAAAGGCCTGGGAATTAGAGCAGAAGCCAACATCCCATCCTCTGCTGGTGGGTGAGGAATGCTTCTTCCCATGCTCAATAGGCATCTCCTATATTCCCAGGGCACCCTTGCCTTTCCTGTCCCTACCCCGCATCTCATTCTTCTTTCAGGCATCAGTCCAAATCCGTCTTGCTCCATGAAGCTGTATTTGAACACCTATCCATGCCAAAAAGAGCGCACACCACGATGCCATGTGAGGCAAGGTTGCCTTTCATCTGCTCTCACCCTTGGGGTTTTGGGATCCAATCCTCTCCAGACTTGTCAGCTAGCCTTCTATGGAGACATCAGGGAGGTGTACCTGGACTTTATCCCTACTTATCATTTGTGAGTTATTAACCCAAACCAGATGCAAAGGTGTCGACATTGGTTGTGTTGTAAGAATTCTGAGGGGCCGGGCATGGTGGCTCACACCTGTAATCCTAACACTTTGAGAGGCCGAGGCGAGCAGATCTGTTGAGGTCAGGAGATCGACACCAGCCTGGCCAACATGATGAAACCCCATCTGTACTAAAAATACAAAAAAAAATTAGCCAGGCATGGTGGCGGGTGCCTGTAATCCCAGCTACTTGGGAGGCTGGGGCAGGAGAATTGCTCAAACCCGGGAGGCAGAGGTTGCAGTGAGCCAAGATCGTGTCACTACACTCCAGCCTGGGTGACAGAGCAAGACTCTATCTCAGAAAAAAAAAAAATCCAAGGAACTGGCTTTGCTGGGCCAGTTTCTGGTCTCCAGAACCCCAAGGGGACTGTATCTCTTCAAGGGAATAGGTTGAGGGGTATCTGGGCCCCTCCCAGGACCTTGTCCCAGGGCAGCTCCCAGCTGCAGGTTGCTCTGCCTGGGAGGAGGCCCAGGAGTGCCATCGCATTGCTGCACTGGCCTGACCTCCCACTGGCCCGCACATGAACTGTTCCAGAGACAATACCTAGCTTTCTAGGGGCAGCCTGGAAGAACCCCCGAGCAGCTGGGCTAAACAGGCTCTGAGAGGGAAGCATTGCTAGCAGGCCATATAGCAAGGAGGGCTTCGTGGACCGTCTCCTGAAGGGTATGAGGTACTTAGGCCTCAGTCCTTAAATATTAGTTGAATAGATGAACAAGAAGTGAAGGGCACAGTGTTTGGTGGACGGAACAGCAAGAATACAGGTGTGACAGTAGGAACTGCTGCGGCAATCTGGGAACAGCACTTGGGAAGGACATTGCTGTGGGGAACCTGCTAGAGAGGCTTTGAGATTTGGAACTGTTTGGGGTCCTGGGGACATAACAGTGAACAAACCGATTCATATCTGGGCTCTCATGGAGCTTCCATTCTGGTGGGAGGGAACTGGAAATAAACAAATAATTCAGGCCTGGGGCAGTGGCTCACACCTTTAATCCCAGCACTTTGGGAGGTTGAGGTGGGAGGATCACTGGAGCCCAGGAGTTCAAGATCAGCCTGGGCAGCATAGTGAGACCCCATCTCTACAAATAATAAAAAAATTAGCTGGGTGTGGTGGTGCATGCTTGTAGTCCAAGCTCTTCAGGAGGCTGAGGTGGGAGGATCACTTGAACCCAGTTCGAGCCTACAGTGAACAGTGATTGTGCCACTGCACTCCAGCCTAGGTGACACGGCGAGACCCTGTCTCAAAAACAGAAACAAAAACGAAACCCAAATAATTCAAATACATTGTATATCAGATGGTGACATGTGTTATGGAGAGAAATGAAACAGGGTATGAGGATACAGCAGAATGGGAGTGGGGGTGGCTGTAATGTCACACCAGTCGGGCAGGAAGCCTCACTGAGAAGCTGGCATCTGCGCCTGGACTTGGCGGTGGATACCAGGATGAGAGCACTCCAGGCTAAGGGAAGGGCAAGTGCAGAGCCTCTGAGACAGGACTGTGCTAGGTCTGTCTAAGGAGCAGCAGTGTGGCTGGAGTAAAAAAGGGATGGAGAGAGTTAAACTAGCAGAGCCCATGGGGAGCGGGCTTCCTATCTCCTCTCTCACTGCACTCTGGGCAGCACCACCAGGCTCTGCAGATCTTTGCTGAGTGTCTGCTATGTGCCAGGCACCTGGACCTGACCCCTGTGATTCGTGCTGCTCTAGAGAGACACGGAAGTATATGCGCCATTTCAACCGTGCCCACGAAGACTAGGAAGGGAGAGAACTGAGGGCTGTGGGGACACCTCCTCACCTGGGTAGTCAGTGGTGTCCTCTGGGAGGACTCAGGGTGAGAAGAAGTCAGCAGAGAACAAGGTAGGGAAGAGTTCCAGGCAGAGGGAATGGCCTATGCAAAGGCCCTAAGGTTGGAAAGATCTTGGTGGCGCGATCTTTCTTTGCATGGGGAAGGGGACATCTAGTTGGGGCTGCCCTCTCTGCTGTGAGCGCCTGTTGAGGGGTAATTCCTGTGGGAGGGCATCCATGGGCCACTGTGGTCTTCTCTGCCTGATGCCCTCTCCTGCCGTCCAAAGTCAATATCTTCCTTCCAAGTGGCCCTTCCCTCTTGCCCTCCTTCTATTCTTCTTCCTAGGCAAATATCTACTAGACATTTACTCTGTACCAGGCCCTCAGAGAAGTGAGAAGATAAAGTTAGCTACAAAGACAAAAATGATCAAGCTGTCTCACAGGGTAGTTCCTGTTGGGGTTCACAAGGGAGTCTGTGATGCCTGGCTCCCCTCTGCTTCCCGGTCGGCTACCCCCAGCTTTAGGGGGTATCCGTTCACAGTTATTTTTGTATGGCAGCATTGGGTTAGACTTGGTTGTGCTTCACGCAGTCTAAAGGGTGGGAGGGTCCATCATGAGTGTCACAACAGTATTTTGGGTTCCTCTTTCCTACGCATGGCTGCAGTGGTGTTCCGTATTCCCTCCATCCTTTTCCATCCATGACCAGGAAATCTCCACAAAGCAGGGTCCCTGCCCCCAAGGGGATTTGTACTTTACTTAGGACCTGACCCTTTGAGGAGGTTCTTACTCCCCATCCCCAACTCTTCATCACAAAGACCTATCCCTTTCGAGAGAGGGACAGGTTGGCAGGAAAACCAGATCCTTGTTGGTATCGCCTGTAGGATCACATGGGATGTTTTGATTTGATGTTGAACTTGAAAGTACATCTCATGCCTGGCCTTCCGATTCGTTACTTAAATTATTACAATGTTAACTTTTTAATTTTATTCTTATTATGTTTTTTGGTGGAAAATGAAATATGTCCTGGCTGTTTGGATACTGAACTTTTTTTTTCTCATTATTAGGTTTTAAATGGTTAAGTAAATTTCATTAAATAACTGTAAACATTCCAAAGAGTCCTGCATACATATCGTATTTCACATCATCGTAACTTAGATGCAAAATATTAAAATGTAAATGACTCAATAGAAAAATTATGGAAACAAATGTATGACTTTTATTACACTTTTGGAAAAGTTGCTTAAATATTTCTCCTTCCTTCGCAAAAATCTATGATGAGTTAAAGGAAAAAAATATTTTAAGACACTATAAAAAACAATTCTTAAGAATAAAGCAACAGACCTTGTGGAACAGCTTTTTTTTTCTAATTTTATCTGTTCAACTCTGTGAATATATGTTGGCAATTGTCCACTCATTAATTTGATTATTTTAAAGTAAGCTATATAAACATGAATATAATTATTGTAAATTTAAAACATTAGTTAGAACAATATTGTTCCCAAGTACATAATAGATAGAGGTCTAAATTTTGGTATCATGCATTATGAAATTTGAACCAACAGTTCTTTTTCCTCCGAGGAAATATTGCAGTCTGTAGTAAGAATTGTCTGGGAAACATTTGGTATTTTATTTTAGTCTCTATCACAAATTTCCATGTGATTGTTCTATATTAATCATGAAAACTGACACGAGATTCCTTTTCCATAATAAATAGCAAGTAATGTAATAAAAACAAATGATAACGCTAATGAAAAAATTATATTTTTCCCCAACTTAGAGAAGAGTTCCAACAATAGGTAGGATAAAATAAAATCAATATTTTGACAGTGCTAGTGCTGTATTACGTCTGGCTCATTAATTTGGAGACAACTTCTCTGTTCAATCCCAAATCACAAAGTGTCAACAAATAGTAGTTTTAACATCTACTCTCATTCCAATGCATTTAATGCTTTGCAAGTTATTTTTAGCAGAAAATGATTTTTTTGATTCTGCAGATGTATAGAGATTGCATTGTGTAGGTTTTTGTCTTGGGGAACAATGAAAAACTTTTGCCATTGCAATTTGTATTCAAGAGATAGTTCATTATAAATTCCAGTTCAGCACAATCCTATATACTTTTTCCTATATATATTTACATATATGAATATGTGTGTGTATACACTCTTAAAGGCCATGTTCATTCCTGTTCATTAATTTTATGCAAAGTTTTCCTTAGCTTCGTCTTCTTTTAGAAGAATCTACAGTTTCTGATTTCCAAGTACCGATTGTCAGTTGATTAAGGTCAATGCTAGCACTTATTCAGGCTCTTATTGACTGGGGCCACGTGATAGATGTGATTGATCGGCTTTAGACACAGGATTGCTCATTTCCCATTGTAACACTCCTTTCCACCTGACCCATCCCTCATTACCCCGAGTTCTTCATAGAGTCTTTAAGAACGATCCACCCCCCCACCCCTCAGGTGCTGTGCTGTTACATTAAGGCCAAATTCCATCTCTCACTTGTGCAAAAATATATGGGTATCACTGCTGCCTGTCTTCCTTTGTTTTCCAGGGATCACAAAAGCCTGGGATTTAGAATAGCAGATAATAACATACAGTGCATATTATTGATGCTGCTTTAATTGTCTTATTGACAACTCACTTGAACTTGGAGAAGCATGCTAATATTTATCATCCTGTGAACTCATGTGCATTTTCTCTACTCAAGCCATAATTACAGAAGAATTTCGAAACTCAGATGTCTGCCTGCTGCACTGCCTCACCTTCCCTGTGTTTGGACAAAGGCTTCCAGACCACTGCATTGCCAGCTGTCTTTGCTCCTTGCCCCTGAAGCTTTTAGCACCCTCTGGATGCTTCTCCCTCTAGGGGAGATCTGGCTAATTAACACTTTGACCAGCGTCTGGCCAGGATCGGGGTGGCGATGTGACCCACCTGAGGAGTTGCAAGGAGGGCAGCATTTGGGTTGCCTAGTGGTTTTTTGTTTTTTCCAAGAGACAGCTGTTTCTTACCTTTAGGAAATGCCAATGGAACACATTAGAAAGATTTAGAACAGGCTGAAGCTAGAATTGAGGCCACTGTCCTGGCTAGGAGACAAAAGTCCACTTAAGGAGGGTTTGACAGGCTTAAGTCAATGGATGGAGCCATCACCATCTAACTCATGTCTACCTAGCTGTCCCCATCTGCCACCCATGCCACCCCATCCACCAGGCTTCAGCCTCACTGGTCTCCTTTCAGGTCCTCGGACACACAGGCTCCATCCCACTTGAGGGCCATAGCACACCTGTTTCCTCTGCATGGGACCCCCTCATCCTCACCTTTTACCTGGCTGCCCCAGCACAATGCTCAGGTCCCACTCAAGTGGCACATCTTCAGGGAGGCCATTCCTGTCCTCTTCTATCCTATCCCAGTCACCTGCTGTCTTGTCCTTTTCTGTTGTCTGCACAGTGCTTATCTTCATTGACTTTATTGATTGTTTGCACACTTACCCATCTCCTTCCCTCCACAGGACTAGACTCCCCAAAGCCAGGGCCCCTAACAGTCTCCTGAGGTCTCTACTCCCAGCACCCAGAGCAGCGACTTGCAAATGGCAGTCCATTAATAAATATGTTTTGTAAGAATGTTACTTTCCTAAAAGAAAATATAAATTTAGGAGTGTGTCCTTGACCCTTTGAGAACAATGACATGTCATGAAACAGACTGTCCCATGACGCATCCTTTGTTCCATTGTTAGAGATGGAAGTCACAGCTGTGACTCTCTCCCAGCCCACCACGAGGTCGCCGTGATGGAAGTGCAGAAAGAAGGTTGTCTCTCTATTGAAAATATATTAGCGTTATTGCCAAGTTGTTCTCCCTTTGTAGGGGCACTGGCTTAATCAAGGGCGCATGTTATGATAGGGACAGGCTTAATCAAGGGTGTTTATTCTGGCTTGGGTTTTGGCCTCGGGGGCCTTTTCTCTGAAGGTATTTCCCCGCCTATACCACTTGGTCTGAGGTTGGCCACGCAGTCCCTGCTGCAGGCCTCTTGCTTGACATCAGTACGTTGGGCACGGAGCGTTGGAGTCAGGTTCTTTGTCGCTGCTGAGAGCCAGCTGTGTGGAGCCCTGATTAACACAGATAAAGTTGTTAGTCGCTCTGTGTTCTTGTCTTTGGCAGTGCTTGATGTGGGTCCCTGGGCAGAGGCGTCGTGGAGACGAGAGAAGATGCTGCCCCGGCCCCCTGATTGGTGAGCCGCTCATCTGACTGATGAGTGAGGTGGAGTAACCCCACTGGCTTCAACGAGACACTCGAATCACAGAGGATGATTGCAGAAGGGGGAAAGGACTTTAAACCTATGTCACACCCTGTTGCCCCAGTGACTCCTGTCTTGGGGAGCTTACGATGCTTGTGCAACTGAAGAATCTGTTTTCTGAGAGTGTTGGGATTGTATTGCTCGCGTATTTCTCCCCACAAGTCAACAACAAACGAGAATTCTTGCAGAAAAATAAAAGACGGTAGGAATCAGAGAGGGAAAGAAGTCTCGATTTTCTCCCGTCTGTCTCATAGAATCCTTCTGCGGCATCAAATGTTTTCCTTTTATCCATATTATTTCTTTACTAGTTAAATAGAAATATCCTTTCCCTGTGCACATATTTCCTCTCAAGTAGACTGCAAGCTTCCTGGGAGCAGAATTGTTCTTTTTCTTCCCATAGTGTGCCACTGCCTTGCCAGCTACACACTGCCCCCGTCCCCACCCCACAAGAGGTCTGGCACTCGAGGGTGGGCGGTTTGGGATGCGTGAGGAAAGTAATAAAACCTTAATGAGTAACAGAAGTGAATGAAGAGTGTGGGTCTTTGGAAAATATTTAGAATGATCTCCTGTTGAATTGTTCATCATTTATAGACCTCTTGGGCTAAAAACTATTTGCTGTCTAGCGGTAGCCAAGGCTAGCTTTTTTCTTTTTCAATTCAATGAGTAAAAAAGTCGACTCATTATTATTATATTTTTTAAATAAGGACCCTAAGAGTCTACCAGGGATATTTGAAGACACTATTATTCAAAGCCAGACATTTTGGGAGTGAAATTCTCATCATGAATGGGTTCCTTGATGTAGAAACTAAGAAATCCCTTGGCGTTGTGATTCTTGGTGATGACCTATTGTTACTTGCTTCCAATTAAGGAAGGGAGTCCCACGTCCCCTGGGTTCTTCCAGCTTTCCGCTGGGGTTTGGGCATTGCCTCACTGGTGTCTGCCTCCCAACCTCTCTTCCCCAGTGTGTTCAAGTCTCCAGCTTCCTGTTCCACTATGACTTCAGCTGTTTGATGGTGTGAATGAAAATAAGATATGTATTCAAGGGCACCCCCGGTGTGCCCCCATTGTAGGCCAGGTGACAGTTCATAGTCAAACACAGGGTGGAGGCAGAAATCCCAGGTCCTGGCCTTTGCTTGGTGATTCACTTGGGTACTTTATTACCTACATGGGATCTGTTTCCCCGTCTGTAACACAGGGGAGGTGTGCAAGAGACCAAGAGCAGGTTGAAGAATCATTAGGGATGCTTGTCAGGCATGCCGGTTCCTGAGCTCCACCTGGAGAGGCAGCTTTGCAGGGGGTGCTGTTGTCCATGGACTCCACACTGGTCCAGGTAACCCTTCCCAGTTCTTCTCTGATGGGTTACACCTCGAACCTGGAGACATGGTTAAACATCCACAGCTGGGCGTGGTGGATCAAGCCTGTAATCCCAGCACTTTGGGAAGTGGGAAGATGGATTGAGCCTAGGAGTGGAGCCAGGAGTTCAAGGCCAGCCTGGGCAACATCGCAAGAGCCCGTCTCTACAGAAAATTAAAAAAAATTAGCTGGTGTGGTGGTATACACCTTTAGTCCCAGCTACTTGGGAGACTGAGGTGAGAGGATGGCTTGAACTCAGGAGGTTGAGGCTGTAGTGAGCTGTGATCAAGACACTGCACTCCAGTCTGCGTGACAGAGTGAGATGCTGTCTCACTGTCACTTACAGAAAATTATAAGTAAATAAACATTAGCAAACCTTATTTATTGCCTCCTTGGTTTTCTCCAGATTGTCTCAATTAGTGACATTTAACCAAATCAGAGAGTATTTCACGCCACAATCACAGAGGCAATTCTAGACCCTTATCTCCTGAGACCCTGTCACCTTACGGTGCAGACAGCGGCATCAGGAAGTGAACCGACCTGGCCCTGTTCACAAAAGAGCCACATGTACAGCGTCCACTGAATCTCTGCATTCGAATTCAAACCAATAGAAAATAGCAGAAGACAACAAGGAAATGACTGATTGGTCAAAAGCCTTGTCTGTGATTTTAAGAACTTGTAGCTTTGAAGATTTCTTTTTCTTTCTTTCTTTCTTTTTCTTTTCTTTCTTTTTTTTTTTTTTTGCGACAGAGTCTTTCTCTGTCAACCAGGCTGGAGTGCTGTGGCATAATCTTGGCTCACCGCAACCTCTGCCTCCTGGGCTCCTGGGTCCAAGTGATTCTCATGCCTCAGCCTCCCAAGGTGCTGGGATTACAGACACCTGCCACCATGCCCTGCTAATTTTTTTTTTTTTTTTTTTGTAGTTTTAGTAGAGATGGAGTTTCACTGTGTTGGCCAGGCTCGTCTCGCACTTCTGGCCTCAAGTAATCTACCCACCCGCACCTCCCAAATTGCTGAGATTGCAGGGGTGAGCCACTGTGCCCAACCAGAATCTTCAGATTTCTATCTGGTGAAGTTGGGGAGATGTTCTTGAAAGGTATAGCTGCAGTGAGCATGTGTGATTGGAAAGAGACTTCTAACCTTTTATCTTATGAACTGCCCATCCCATATGAGTTAGAAATTCTCTCATAACTCCCTAATGGAACCAGTGGGACAACATGTTATTAGTACTGTTCCAGGTATGTCTGGCTTTTGACCTTGGCCAGCAGTGGTTCTGAGGAATGATTATTTCTGATGCCTACTAGATTTCATCTTTTAACAAGGAAGACCCTTGAGTATGTCTACTCCTTCCTTTTGTCTTTTTAGCACCCCTCCCCCAGAAGTTGGGTGACATTTTAAGGAGGAAGGACAAGTCACTACTGTGTGCAGATTTCATATCAGATACAAGAACTCCACTTGCTGCCAAACGGGGGTTTAACCTCTCCCAGATCCTTGGTTGTGCATAATTAATGCGTCGTTCAGCATTTGACTTTTGTGCCTTTCATACAGATTTGATCTTAAAGGATGCCTGTGGAGAAGTTCTGTGCTCACAAAAGCACCTTCCATGTATTTCATGGCTTTTGCTTTTGAGTTTTGGGGAGACCCTTTCTTGAGTTTTCCTAAAGAAGGTGATCTGTATGGATACAATACACAATCTCTCTTAAATTATTCAGCAACTATTTATCCAGTGCCTAGCACTGTGTTTCCAAATGGTTGGAAATGAATGGCTGCAATATAGTTACTATTACTAACACTAATGTTAGTATTAGTCTTAGTATTATAATATAAACAGGAAAAGAAGGAGAAGGAGGAGAAGGAGGAGGGGGAGGGGGACAAGGAGGAGGGGGAGGAGGAGGAGGATATTTTAACACGCCCTTGTGGCATGAGTTCTATAGGTAACTTCCCTTGCATTGTTTTTTTACTGAATCTTCAGCAGTCCTGTGAGATGGGGTCATCAGTTTGATTTTCCAAACAAAATATCTGGGGCTCAGAGCACCAAATGACTTACCAAAAAACACATGCAAAAAGGATCACTTGAGCCTGGGAGTTCGAGGCTTCAGTGAGCCCTGACTGCACCCCACCTTGGGTGATGGAGCGAGACCCTGTCCCAAAACAAAAACAAAACAAAGCAAAACCAAAAACCCACATTCAGAGCAAGTGGCTGAGTTCAGGTGGAAACCCCCCACCCTGCCTCATCGAACCTCTCTTTGCCACTGTGCTGTGTTGCTGTGGCCAAGCTATTGCCTTTTTGGGGAATGGAGGTGGAAGGCTGAAGGGACCATTCATGAAGTCACCAGGCTCTAGTGGGAAAGTGTCTAGCCAAGAGATAGCTGCAAACCTAGTTCCCATTTATGCCCACTGTTGAGAATGCTTGGGGACATCCTTTAAATGGTTTCTCTCTGGGCAAAGGCAGCACTCCCTGAATCTGCCCTCTTGCCAAGTAGAGGAGATGTAAGAACATGTTTTCTATTGATTTTTAAAAGCAATTCAGGACCCAACTGGTAATAATCGGTGTGACCTGTGCTGTTCTCCAGGCAGTCACAAGCAGCTCGGAGCCTTGTTGTGTGACTCTGATGTTTGGGATGTGCATTCTTTGAAGATTACTTCTAAAGCAAGGAGTCCAAATCCTTAATTCACGATTCTGTCTATTCCTGTGGTGTTTACATTCCACCATGGCAGAAGATCACTGTGAAAAAGAAAGATGAAAATGCACTTTTAAGAAGGGCTTTTCTTGTGCGGGCCTCCTCCAAAGACCCTAACCCTTTCCCCTCTTGTTGACGCCGAGGTCTGTGTTTCATCTACAGGGAACATATACATTAATAGGTGATTTAAAGCTTTGTCACACTGTGGTGACACATGCAGGCTGAGCTCTTGGGGCAATGAGCTGCGTGGAGCAAGTGCTGGTGTGATTTCGGGTGTTGGGGCAGGTCTCTCTGGCATCGTGTGTCTGTCAAAGGGCTGTCTGCCCTTTTGCTGAAGTCGGGTCTGCAAGGGTCTTGGGGAAAGTGGCTGGTGAGGCTGATTGATTTGACCAGTGAGCAGAGCAGGACCTTGCTAGGGCTGGGCACTAAGAGAGAGATGAGTCTTCTACTTAGAGAAGTCGCTGAGCTTTGGAATCTGAGAGCTGAGTAATGTGCAGACACAGGGTCTGGGAAGACCCCTTGATTCCCTAAACACTAAGACAACTACGATTCCTCTTCTGTCTATACCACTCCCCCCATATGATTCAAAAGGCACCATAAAGGCATAACATATACAAGGACCAAGTTAGTTCTGATTTTTCCAATGATGACTGTTTTGATGCCTGTTGGGTTTTTTTTTTTTTTGAGGGGGACAGATATCAAGTGTCAAATACTTTAAAAATAGAATTCCTTTTTTTAAAAAGTGGTATTATTGCTTCCTCATTTTTGAGGAGTTTCCAAAGCACATATGGTCTGTCCATGATGTTACACGGGGTTTAGGTTTAAGATCTCGGTGAACTTGATACCCATGACCCGGTCTACAAAGAACATGTGGGGTCTGTCTGCTTCCCTCTATCCCTGCAGTCAGCAACACCAAGGATACTCAAGACTCCCTATCATCGGTGGGGAATAAGCCACCAGGCCACCTGATCACAGAGCACTCCCTGGATGCACTTGAGTGTCTGGGTTCCAGATAGGCGTGGTTCTACATAAGACTGTGTGTCTACATTTTCTGGGGCCAACGAGAAACCATTTCTGATGCTATTTGGGCCACCCATCTAGTAGATTAATGTGGACAATGATGAAATGATGGTTCACAGGTGGAACCTGAGATGCACTCTCAATTCCCATATGGATGGTTGGTGTGGGTGCAAATGGCCTTAGGAAAAGAGCCAGGCTTTTGCATTGGTCAGAGCACTGACTTTTTCTATAATGTGTTGAAGGGGGAGCAGGAACTCACTAGTGTTCCTGCTGATGGTTCCCAGGGCCCTTTAAAAACAGCCTCCTTAATATGTTGCTGCCTGTTCAAGGCATCGTGTGGCCTTGAAATTTAAAAACATCATATAGTAAATTCGTCTACTTCTTTAAAAAATTTTACTTCCATAAGTTTTTGGGAACAGGTGGTGTTTGGTTACATGAGTAAGTTGTTTAGTGGTGATTTGTGAGATTTTGGTGCGCCCATCTCCTGAGCAGTACACACTGCACACAATTTGTAGTCTTTTATTCCTCACTCACTTCCTACCCTTTCCCCCTGAGTCCCCAAGGTCCATTGTGCCATTCTTATGCCTTTGCATCCTCATAGCTTAGCTCCCACTTATGAGTGAGAACATACAATGTTTGGTTTTCCATTCCTGAGTTACTTCACTTAGACTAATAGTCTTCAATCCCATCCAGGTTGCTGTGAATGCCATTTATTCATTCCTTTTTGTGGCTGAGTAGTATTCCATTGCACATATATATATATAGAAAAGAGCTTTTGCACAGCAAAAAGGTCAGCAAAGTAAACAGACAACCCACAGAGTGGGAGAAAATCCTCACAATCTATACATCTGACAAAGGACTAATATCCAGAATCTACAATGAACTCAAACAAATTAGCAAGAGAAAAACAAACAATCCCAACAAAAAGTGGCCTAAGGACATGAATAGATGATTCTCAAAAGAAGATATACAAATAGCTAACAAACTTATGAAAAAATGCTCAACATCACTAATGATTAGGGAAATGCAAATCAAAACCGCAATGCAATACCACCCTACTCCTGCAAGAATGACCATAATAAAAAAACTTCCACTTTAAAAAATATCTTCTATTCTCCATAGGGAATACTCCCTGGAATTCTTGTTGGCCCTGGCTGGCTGTGGCTGGGGACCGCACTCCTAGTCTCCCCAGGGGGATCTGGTGCCTCCGGGGGAGCTGGAGAAGCCTCTGGAGGTTGGAAGGCCAGGGTGCATACCCTGGGATGAGGCAGGAGGATTTACCCTCCATCTACCTCAGGTCAACAGCATTCCTGTGATGCGAATGGACCCTGGGTCTTTTACTGTGTTTTCTGCCCACCTGTATGCCATAGCCCGAGAGACACCTGCCTACCATTTTTTTGAGTGAGTGGATATGACCACTAGACATCTGTGCCTGCGGCCATCAGCAATCCAGCATAAAGTTACCCCCTAAAATGGGAATCTTTGCCTGCCTAATGGAGTGGCGAAGGTGCTGAGCTGGGTTGGAGACCAAGATTAGATCCACTGTCTAATTCTCAGTAGATTGATTCTCCATTAGATCCCAGATAGATGAGCTTGGTAGTTCTAAAGCATTTTTTGTACCTATGTAGGAATGGCAGAAGGGACGGATTCCCCACTGTAGGAATATTTAGGACATATCTTGTTATTTTAAAAAGTGGCTGTGATTCTCATAAAACAAATTCCATTTTAACTCCATTTATTTTGTAGGGCTTTAAAGAAGGTAGAGAATGTTTCGAAATGCTGATGATGATGGTGATGGTGATGGTGATGAGCAGTAGCGAGGTGAAAAGATTTGGAATCAGTTTCTGAAGTGGGCACCCACAATGCTCATTCCAGTTGGAACCATCACCCTTTAGGCAAATCTTTACCCCTTGGAAGCTCTCAGATTATCAGCCTCCTAACCGCAGGGAGACCCTCCTAGTCAAATGTGGAGAGGGATCCTAGCTGGTGTTTCCAGAGGGCAGTGTGAATGATAAATACTGTTCATATTCAGAAGGAAAAATTGATTTTAAAAATGTGCCTTTGATTCACTAATCTCTGACATTGAGACATTTTTTGAAGTCTGTTGCTATAATTAGAATTCTATAAGCCATTTCATGTCTCTATCAAAATTTTAAGAGACATAGAAAATTTAAGGTTTTTTTTGGCTTACAATTCATCATATCAATGCGAATCTTATTGCAGTTTGGGCTTCAGTGTGGAGCAGTATTTCGGGGCCAGAGACACGCGTTCTGTCATCAGGGCTGTGTTGAGAGCAGCCCCTGTGCTGCCCAACAACGCACAGCTTGAATTTTAAGAATTGCTTGTGAATTGTGTTTCTGCCTTGTTTTGATTTGTTTTTCCCAGCCAAAATGTGGGGCTGGAGGCAGGAGACTGTGTCATTCAGAATCTGTGCCTGCTTCCCCACCCATGGGCTGTATCTGTGTGTGCCCCGGCTGGGCGGGTGGACGGGAGGAGTCGCGGGGGAGGCTTGGTTCCTGGGGACATGTGGGGTGGCGCCGACAGCTCCAGCCGGGCTCAGGTGAGTCACGGCTGCGCTTTGAGATGGGTAATTGGTGGCATGTGGTCCGTGAGCCATGTGTGAGAGCCCTTCCTTAGTCATAGGAAAGGGAACAAGCGTCGCAAATAAAAGCCTCATCAGATTAGTGAGTCAGAAAAGACGCTAATCCCAACCCGATGCTTCATTTCTACTTTTTTTTTCCCCTTCCAAAAGCAGAAGCTGTTCCTGTTCTTTAAGAAAAAAAAATTAAAATCAGTTTTCTAAAAGACTGATTTAACCACAATCAAAAGTGGAGGGGGGTGTGGGCCGTGTCACTATTGCTGTATGACGATTAGCATGAAGATGAGTTGCACTTTAGCCGGGCTGAAACTTGTTCCTAACAGAATGTTAAATACTTAGTGAAAAGAAAGATTATGTCTATCTAGTTACACCATTCCTTGATATATGCTCCATGTCAGAATGCCATTGTCTCCTGGGTAAAGACGGAGAGTTCAAATACCCACTATCTCTCCCCTGGTGCTCCGAATGCTCTTCTTTGAAGTTTTTATAATCCATCTGTCATCTTCTAGCAAGGAGGGCACATGTTCTGTACCACTCAATTACAGAATTCTCCTTTGCCAGCTCCAATGAGACAGGAAAGAATGTTATGGGTGGTTGAGAGAAACTGTCAGATATACTAAATTCCTAGGATTCATACGCACGGTGTTTTTCCAGGGTAGGAACACAGCCCGCCTTATTGTTCAAGTGCATTAGAGATACAGTTGGCATTGGGGTAGAGAACCTTTGATTTTTTTTTTTTTTTTAAAGTCTCTTCCAGAGAGTTGTCTTAAATTTGATTGTTCTCTTTTTGAAAAAAAAAAAAAAAATCATCCAAACCTCCTCTGGAATGTGGACCCGCCAATGTGAACTGAAAATGTGACATTTGTTTTAGCTAACTAGGAGTCGGTAGTCCAACTGTGCAGAGATTGGGAAGTAGCAAAGTGCTTTTGTTTGTGTGGTTTCACTTTAGTGAAATAGGATTTTTACTTGGTCTTGATAGAAGATGGTGACTAGATAAAGCCTGATCCCCACAGAAATAATTTTCATCATCAGCTGAGCCGAAAGCCTGAACCTTAAATGTTCTGCCATCTGGTGAGATCTGAGAAAGTTAGCACTGGACTTAAAAGTCTTTAAAATGGGTTATTTTATTTAAGGACAATCTACCTTGGAGTGGTTAGTGTTTCTAGATATCATGTTAACTTCTCACTCATTGAGTCACGGGTGGTTAAATTCGTTGTCTTATGTGAAATGAGTTTGATGATCTCGGCTTAGCCTCTAGTGGGTATTAATTCACATTATGAAATATCCCAGAATAATTTAGCACCGTGTGGCATAATTTGCATTTTTACTCAAGATAGGGGCAATGATAGTGTCTCTGGATCTATTCCCCCCCTTTTTTTCATTCAAAAGAGGATGGCTCTCGTTTGTGGCTTTCAGGGTGATTGTCGGTGGGGTTTACTCTTACTAATTCGGTGGGAACATATGGCTTTAGAGCTTGGGGTGGTGAGAAGAGGAAATTTTAGCTTGGGCGCTAAAACCTGACAAGGAATATTTGCGGGGAGATAGTTGCAGCTGATGAGCTAGGATTTCATGACCCTGCGAGAGTGGACATCTCCTACATGCATGTACATTTTACACAGAAGCACATACATGAGACTAAAGAACACGGGTTCGGGTGGATGCATTAGGTTTGGGGGTCCACAAGTGTCCCTCAATTTGTAAAAGGCGTCTTTTCTCTTTACAAAACAGGAAGGTTTTCCAGAAATGCAGGATACGATTACAGTAATTAATTTAGTGAAACTTCTTAAATCTGATCTTCTGTTCAAACTAATAATGCCAGGATGGGGTGGCTCAATGTTGTTAATTGAAATCTGGAGACAATAAAAAAAATGTCTTTCTGCAACTTCAATACAGCAGTCTGGAACTGTCGGGTCAGGCTGTGAACCAATTTTCTTCTCATTACTTTTGATTTTGGAGTCAATACAAATTTCATCAGTGATTGTAGGGTGCAGGTCTTCGTCTGCATAGACCCCGTCATGGGAGAATATGTGCGCTTGGTTTAAAGATTTATGGAAAAGTGGTGCTAGTGACTCAGGAAAGAGAGGAAGGAAATGCTGAAGCCAACAGCCTCCTTGGAAACTGCTGCAGTGCTCAGGGGTGATTAGCATGGAGAGGCATTGGGCTGGGGGGAGAGTGCTGGACCCCAGGAGGCCTCTGCATCTGCAGACCACTGGGGGCAGCTGGCGGCAGCCTCTGTGGCTCCCTTGCTGTTCCTTCCAGACCTGTGTCTTTAGCCCAAGTTTCTCTCTCCTTTTTTCTTTCTCTCTCCCACGTCCCCTATATTTACAGCTGTGGAGAGAGTCCTTCTGCAGCTCACAGAATTTAAGGCCCCACAGAAACTTAAGGGTAGAAAAAAGGAAAAAAGAGGAGACTCAACTTTGTAGGAGTTTGTGAAATTCTGAAAGCATCCTGGGCAAAGAGGTCTTTTGTGTTGAAACATAGATCCAAGACGTCGTATGCGATTCCTCATTTTTCCTGCGTGCAGTTTGCATCTGTGTAAGTCATGGGATCAGCCCATCTATCATTAGGTATTGGCCTAATTGGACATTTTTTACGAGCCCGGTTTGCTATTTATGTTAAAAGCAATTCGCAGAAATGCCCTTTCTTCATGATTCGGTATTGGCAATAGCGACGTATGTTTAATCACATTTTCCATGAGTAATTATCTAATTTACATGATTACCAATATAAAACAGGAAAATAGAATAGGGGCTTAACTCAGTCCTGCTTGGGCGGTGACACAGGCGTCCAGAAAGACCCGAGTGAGGGCGAATGGTTGCTGGTTCTGTTTCCTTCTGTCATATCATGGAGATTTTTATTAGCAACAGGAGCTCTCTGAAGCCGGGCCTCTGGAGGAGAGAGGCTATTTGGGATTCTGTTGTAATGCAGTTTGAGGTTCACTCTGTCTGCTTGGGTTCTTAACGTTTGGGGCTGTCCTTTTTGAAGACTTCCGGGAGATGGAGGTCACATTTTTTATTCATGTTGAAAAATATTCATTTATCAGTATTGGTGCAACTGTAAACAAGTGATAAAGTGACAACATTTACAACAGTAAAACTGACAGCATTTACTTTAATTTTCTGTCATTTTGGTAATTATATCAATCAAGATCCAAAACTAAAATGATATTTTAGCATGCAGTAAGAAATGAGGAATTCAGATCTTAAAAGACCATTACAATTAGCTTTGAAATGTTCGCCATTTTACCATAATTGTTTCATATAGCTTATATGTCTTCATTTACAGCCGAATATTCTGTTGATCTTTTATAAACAAAGTAGCACCCATCTGCTCCTTGAGACACTCCTGGCGCCTATTCATTGCAAAAATAATACATGTCCTAATGACTTCCACATATTTTGAAATCTCCCTTTTGAAATTGGTCTTGGCAGATTATTTGCAGGTACTTGAGTTGCATCTGTTTGCAATTTTGCAAATGCGGAAGACTTTAATGTTGAGCACTGCAAGAGGGCTATTTTAATCCTCAGATAACATTGGCTGTCATCAAAAGCCACATTTATCTTTTCGAAGGTGGGGCAAATGTTTAATGTTAAAAGACAGTAAAAGGTCAAGGCCAAGTCTGGGGTCTGAATATTTTCCTTTCACGTGCTGTGCCTTTTGCAAACTCTTCCTTGCATTTCTTTTTATTTAAGTTTTAGCTTAATAACCATTGCCAAGAGGATGTTTTGCTGATAAAATGAAAGATCAGGAAGAGAGTAAATCAGAAATAATAGTGAACTCCAGGATCCTGAGCTCATTACTACCATGTGGCTAGCAGCTGACCAGCTTTAGGTTGACTCTGTTTACAGGGAAGAACTAAACAGCACAGTGTTGGAGAATACTGGGGCCTTGAATGCTGTTGCTGGCCTGCCTCCCAGGAGGGGCTGAAGATCTGGGAGGGAAGGTGGTCACTGTAAGGCCAGCGTACCTTCAGCAAGCTGATGCTGCTCCTGGGCGGACCCATTGCAACTGGAGGAGCTGCTCACTCTAAGAGTCTGCATGGGGACTTGTTTCCTCTTTGTTCAAACTCTGAAGCCCAGAACACTGAAGTTAAGTGAAGGTACTTTCTGGATTGCTGTCTTTGACCTGGTCAACATTGAGTACACAAGCAAGCCATCCTGTCACTAGGGTTTTTGGACTCTGCAGAACTAGGGCAGCAGGACAGGTTGTTACCAGCCTCCTTCCTAGTGTCTCCTCTTTGGTCCTCATGGGGGTCTGTGTGTGCCATGTGGAGCTACAGTTTGTTCTCCACTGGCTGCCATTTTGGCCATCACCCTTACATCTGAGAATAAGATGTTAGCCCATTTTGTGTTTAAATGGAAGTAGTTGGCCATGGAGACGTCATTGGTGGCTGCAAATATGCTAACCATGAAGGTGTCGCCTACACAACCTACAAAACCAATTCACCTCCAAGCCACTTCCAATGACTCTGGTGACAGAAGGGACACTAAAGCTGAAACTAGCCCCATCCTCTTGTTAAACGTGAGAAAAGTAGGAGCTTCACAGATAACCAGGTACAGCCCAGCATCTTGAGGTTTAACTTAAGAAAGGCATGCTCTAATCCTGGGGTGTTTCTGGATATTTTTCTGGCAAAAATTGTTCAATATGTAGTTGTATAATGCGTAGTTGTTTCCTGTTTCATAGATAGTTGAACATGCCTCTGGCATAGAAACGGAAAGTACATTAACTGTGTTATGGAAGAGTGCTTTATCACCACCACTCCTCATCAGCGAGCACCTTGGTCATCTCAACCCATTGGTACCATTTGATAGATGAATGCTTTACAAATGTGTATGTTTGTGTGATTAGTTCTTTAGTACATAAGTCATATGTAGTCATCAAAAATTTTTATTTTTTAAATATTTATTTATTTATTTATTTATTTATTTATTTAATTTTTGAGACAGAGTCTTGCTTTGTCACCCAGGCTGGAGTGCAGTGGCATGATCTCCGTTCACTGCAACCTCTGCCTCCTAGGTTCAAGCGATTCTCCTGCCTCAGCCTCCCGAGTAGCTGGGATTACAGGTGTGCACCACCACGCCTGGCT
Organism: Homo sapiens; assembly: GCF_000001405.40. Lineage (NCBI taxonomy): Eukaryota > Metazoa > Chordata > Mammalia > Primates > Hominidae > Homo > Homo sapiens. The sequence continues at coordinate 30,258,883 of NC_000019.10, forward strand.
AATTTTTATATTTTTAATAGAGATGGGGTTTCTCCATGTTGGCCAGGCTGGTCTGGAACTCCTTACCTCAAGTGATCTGCCTGCCTTGGCCTCCCAAAGTGCTGAGATTACAGGCATGAGCCACTGTGACCGGCCAAAATTTTTTATTTTTTTATTATTGCATTCAAATAAGTATAGCATTAAAAATATAACAAATTTCTGAGGTTAAACCTAAGAGAAGCCTGTAGCAACTCAACCCCCGCTTTTTCATTTTGTTTGCAGTTGCGGGTGGGGAGAAGGTAGCGATTTTGCACAGAATGGGAACTGGCATCCAAGGTTTTTGCTTTTTCTGCGTCATTTATATTCTGATGCTTTCATATATGGGTGATTACACTTTAAAGAGAAAAGACCTCACACTCTTCTGATGATCAAAAATTTCACACTACCAAAGGGATACATCAGGGAGCAGGGATGGTTACCATCTTTCCCTTACAGAAAAAGAATGCAGCAGCGGGTCCTGAGATGAACTAGGACTGTGGTCCTGGCGCAACAGCATGGGCGTCACCAGGGAGCTTGTTAGAAATGCAAATCCCGGGCCTCACCCCAGACCCATCTAATCGGAAACGCTGTGGGTTAGGCCCAGCAGTCCATGTTTTAACAAGTCCTCTAGGTGACTCTGATGCGTACTGAGGTGTAAGAGCCACTGCTTCAGGGGTTATAAAATGGCAGTGGCTTTTCCAAGGCTAGAAGCCCAATCCCCATGTTCCAGAACTTTCCATCATCTCCTAGTGTCATCTTCGTGTCCCAGAGGCTGTGCTACAAGCCTGTAGACCCAGTCAGTAAGCACGGTTGTTTGTTTAAAATGCGAAAAAACAGATAGGTGGTTATCGGGTGCTTCTTTTTTTTTCTGAGACAGAGTCTTGCTCTGTCACCCAGGCTGGAGTGCAGTGGTGCGATCTTGGCTCACTGCAACCTCCACCTCCTGGGTTCAGCAATTCTCTTGCCTCAGGCTCCTCTATATCTGGGATTACAGGCACCACCACCATGCCCAGCTAATTTTTTTTTTTTTTTTTTTGCATTTTTAGTAGAGACGATGTTTCACCATCTTTGCCAGGCTGGTCTTGAACTCCTGACCTCAAGTGATCCACCTGCCTTGGCCTCCCAAAGTGCTGGGATTACAGGCGTGAGCCACCATGCCCAGCTATTGGATGCTTCTTTCTTCTGCCTTTCTAAGAGATCATTTATTGGGGTTTTTCACAAGTTTACCAGTTGATCATTAGAATCTTGAAAAATGTAGAGGTGACTCCGATGTCTAAAATGTGTTTATTTTAGACTTGAATTCTGGAGAATGCCATCTCTCCGTACTGCAACAGGTCAGTGTAAAGTGTCTGTTCTTTGACTTTTGAGTCCTGCATCCTGCAGGGCATTAGGTGTTTCCATGTTCAGGTTGGGGAACATCACAGCAGTTGTTCCTGTCCAGGAAATATCTGCATTTTATGGAGTCATTAGAGTTGTCTGTTTAGAGTTTGCTGGGCAGGATAAGAGGATTCTCCTACTCATTGCAGAGCTTCTGCTGGAGTGTTTTTGGGCAGAAGCCACAGCTGTGTGACTATAGTGAGATGCTGCGAGGAAGGTTGGTGGTCCAAGCCCAAGGCCAACCTCCGTTGCATGTCGGCCATTGGCAATTCTCAGGTAGAGCTTTCTTGGCAGTGAGAGAGACTCTTGGTGAGTTCAGGATGGAGTCAGAAGGAAATTCATTGGCCACTTGCTGTGCTGCCACTGAGAGTCCTTCTCTAGGTTGGGAAGTGACAGGCTGATGGCCTTCTGTTAAGAAGTTATGACCCAGGCACCAGCCATGGCCACCATACTTGGTAGAGTCTAGCGAACCTGCAAAGGCTTCAGCCCCCGGAGCAGGAGAAGCAGGTACAAGCAAATGTGTGGGCATGGCCTTCATACCCCCAAGCCCAGTCCTGCTCCTAGAAATAAGGAGACAAAGACCTTCATGCTTCAGACCCCCTGGCCCATCCCATTGACTCCACAGCCTCAGCTTCAGCTACTGAGCTCTCCACAAATGTGGCTCCCACTATGTGAGACTATTTTGCATGATACATAGATTATTGGATATCTAAAGACCTATTAGAAAAATATAACTAGCGGCCGGGCGCGGTGGCTCACGCCTGTAATCCCAGCACTTTGGGAGGCCGAGGCGGGCGGATCACGAGGTCAGGAGATCGAGACCATCCTGGCTAAAATGGTGAAACCCCGTCTCTACTAAAAATACAAAAAATTAGCCGGGCGTAGTGGCGGGCGCCTGTAGTCCCAGCTACTTGGGAGGCTGAGGCAGGAGAATGGCGTGAACCCGGGAGGCGGAGCTTGCAGTGAGCCGAGATCCCGCCACTGCACTCCAGCCTGGGCGACAGAGCGAGACTCCGTCTCAAAAAAAAAAAAAAAAAAAAAAAAAGAAAAATATAACTAGCACATTATAGCTGTGAGTTTTGCAGATGCTATTGCTTAAGGTGAGGCTAACTTATAAAAAGAAGAAAGAAAAGAGTAGGTGCGGTGGCTCATGCCTGTAGGTGCTATGGCTCAGCTCTTTGGGAGGCTGAGGTCAGAGGATAGCTTGAGCCCTGGAGTTTGAGACCAATCTGGGCAATGTAACAAGACTCTGTCTCTCAAAACATTTAAAAATTAACCAGGTGTGGTGGTGCATGCCTGTAGTCCCAGCTACTCAGGAGGCTAAGGTGGGAGGGTCATTTGAGCCCAAGAGTTCAAAGCTCCAGTGAGCTATGATCGCACCACTGCACTCCAGCCTGGGCAACGGAGTGGGACCTTGTCCAAAAAAAAAAAAAAAAAAAAGAAAAAGAAAAGTGAGTTGATTTAAAGTTAATTAAAAAAAAGTATTAAGTAAATAAAGGTCTGGATGGCACAAAGTTATGGTGGGAACTGTGAAAGGGGGCTGTGGATGACTGAGGTGTGGAATGGGCTGAGGGTGGCCAGTGTTTCCTGAACCTCCTTGGCCATCCCCTGGGGAGGGCTCCTGCACCCAGCAGAAGTGTGGCTGGTCCATCCTGGTGAGTGTTTTATTGAGAGGAGTCCCACCCCCTCTTCACATCTCAGGCTGCTGGTGGGTGCACTTCTGCGTCTCATTGGCAATGCAATTACTGGCACCATGGGAGGTCTGCAGGTTCAAAGCTAGTGATGAGAAATCTAGTTCACCGCTTTCAGAAATACGGGTTTGGTTTAGGTGGCGATGGTGGTGCTTCATCAAAGAAAAACTCCACCAACCCATAAAAGACAAATAAGAACACAGAGTCTGGTGCTCCTCTGTTAGCAGGAGACTCCAGGTGAGAGGCTGAGCCTGCCTGGCTGGTCTCCTCATTGTCCTCTCTTCCTCCTTTTCCATGGCGGCTGCCCAGGACATAGGTCCTCCAGGTGCAGGTGGGAAGGGACAGTCATGGAGCTGTACCACTGAGTTTCCCTGAGGCATCCACATGACAAGTGCTTGTACCTTGTAACTCTGGGCTGATGCACGGGTCAAAGCATGGGGCTTGTGCTGACTCAGAGGCCATCTTCCTTGGTGCCTGATGGCAGTCTTTGCTCCTGTATTTCAAGGCTGCGGGTTTTGGGGACTGACAGATGGGCAGCAAGGCAGTCCTGTGCTTCCTGAAGTCAGTTATGCCACTGCCTCTGCGTGTGCTGCCCCAGGAAGGGAGGGCTCATCCGTGGTTGGAGGCTTGGAGATGCAATGTGGACTTGTCTTGCTGGTGTTCGTGGAATGCTATGGCATCCTTGGGTGGCCAGGTGGTCAGAGGGACCTGGGTGGCTGGTGGAAAGTGAGGGGCAACAGTGTCGCCTCCCTGCAATGGTGGGGACATAGGGGGACCTCACCCTCAGGGAGGTACTGCCTGACTCTGCGATGCCCACACTGCCTCCTTGTTTGTGTCCCAGTGGCAGATGGGGGCTGGTTTCCTCAATATTTGGGACTTTCTGAGGACGCCTCCAAGGAGGATGAGATATAATTTCTGCCCTCGTGGAATTTGCAACATGAATGGAGAGCCAAGGCCAACCCTCTTGGGAATGACCTGTGTAAGGCAGGGGTGCTAGAGCACCAAGCCCGTCAGGTGTGGGTGCTCAGGGACAGGAAGTTCAGGGTGATAGAGAACTCCGCAGCGTGGACAGGCATGAGGGAGGATGTCCTGGTGTCCCCTAGGTGAGCAAAGGCAGTGAGCCCCGAGAAGGAGGTGGGAGGAGGGCTGCTTGGTGGGAGCAGCATGGTGCAGCTCCTCTGTGAGACCCCAGAATGCAGCACAGCGCATAGCAAACAGTACATGCTCAATAAATATTTGTTAAACTGAACTGAATGGGACTAGAGCTTCGGTTGCTTATGTGGATGCCAGGGCTGGTCTCTAGCATAATGATTTTGGAAAGCATTTACTGGGTCCCTGCCCTGTCTTGGATTCTGGAACCCGGAGCCCCTACAGAAGCCACACTGCAGTGCCATCACCCGTGGAGCTGGCAGCAGAACCCACTGGGACCAGATTCCCTGGCATCTCCCAGGGACCATCCCCCCGACCAGCTCCTTTTATTAACTCAGTGTTGAAGGAGCTGCCCATTGCTGAGGAAGGATGGAAATGAAAGATAACGGAGTGTGTGCGTGTCTGTGAAGGTGACGATATAAAGGTAATGCCACTATGAAAGGTGATCTCATTCGCAACTCGGCGACTCCAATCTTCTGTGCGTTTTGGCCTTTTCTGAATCGCTGCCCCACTCAGCCCCAAGTCAAAAATTTGTTTACACTAATCAGATTTTCAGCTACTCATTCTGTTGCAAGAAGAAGTTAAGTTGTGTGTGTGCACGCGTGTGTGTATTTCATACATTTATGGGTTAAAATCAGACCCCGCGTTTCCATTGTTTTCTATCTCTAGGTTAAAAGCTTTTCCCTGAATCTCTCCTGATGCATCTCTCTAGAAAGAAACTCCCAGACTGGGCTAGGCTGAAATTTAAACACACACACACACATACACACACACACACACACACACCCTACACACACGCATTTCAGACTACACTGAAAAACTGCAAGAGAAAATAAGAAATCCAGCAACAGGAAAGGAACTTTCAGTTTTCACTTCCAAGTTTGGCAGCCTGGTGAACTTGAAAGGTTAGCTATGAATAAGCATAATCAGATCTTTCTTTTTGTCCATATTTAATTCAAATGAGACAGCTCTGTGTTGACTTCTAATACAGAAAGGCCACCCACCATGGTGGCGCTCCCAGCCAATGAAGCCGGCTGGTGAAAGCTTTCTTAAATGGTGCTAATCAGCCCGGAGAGGCCTGCCCTCTATCCCCATCAGTATTCTATAATTCAGATGTGCTGATAACCTGAAATTGAATGTGTCAGGATGCAGACATGTGAAGGGAAGAGGGAACTCCAGGCTAGAGGAGCCGGGTAGCTGGGAGACAATGCTGTGGGGGAGGGGGTTTCACACCCTCCCCTGATCCCCCCAGGCCCCCGCCCCCCGCAGTTGTGCCTCTGTGTGTGTGTGTGTGTGTGTGTGTATGTGTGTGTATTCGTGTGCACGCATGTGTGTGTGTTATTGTTCAGGGCCAGAGACAAAATGGAAGGTTTCAAGTTCTGAAATATTTATAGGAAAGCTTTGGATTTTGTATATGTTAAATGAATCAACAGACATTTTGGCTGCTAAGGGGTGAATGGTAATTTGCGATTAATTTTTTTTTGAAGCCAAGGCTATTTTAAAACCTTTCTCCCACTTTCTCATATAAGAGACAGACAGACACACACACACCCACCCCAGTCTGGTGAGCACGTCTCACAGGGAAGTTTAACAAAAGAGTCGCTATTGTCACTGTCCCAGCCGGCAGCAGTGCAGCTGAGGGTCAGTTGCTATTTCTATTTTAAACCTTGATTTTTGCAAAGTTTGTCTTTTGACTGTTCTCATTCTAATCAGGCTTAGTTAGGGGATCCGCTCCAAGCTCCACACCAGGCTGTGAGGACAGAGAAAGATAAACCGGGGGGATTAAACAAAAAGTTCTGCTCTGTCAATAGTCGTGTGTGTGTGTGTGTGTGTGTGTGTGTGTGTGTGTGAGAGAGAGAGAGAGAAAGAGAGATTCATTGACCAACACTCATCTCGCAGCCATTTCTTTAATTTCAAAGAAAGTGCAGTTTGTCACAGAGCTCTGCCTTCTGTGAGCTGGTGCCTTTGACTTTGCATGTGATTTGTTGGGTGTGCCTTCAGGGTGCTGGCTCTTCAGTCTCCCCCTTGTGCCCCATGACTTTATGTCCCTAGAAGACAGGGGAACAGCAGCTCCAGCCCCAGTCGTGTCTTCAGTACCTCAGTCTAGCCCAAACATTTCCCAAATGCTCGGGTGCAATCCTCTGCCAGCCTCTGCTGCTGCCAGGAGCCCAGCCCTCTTCAACTTTGCTGGTTGATGTCTTGATCAGCTTAGAAGCCGCCTGATTTCTGCATCTTCCCCCATGTGCTCTTCCAACCTCCCGCTCCTGCAGGTCAGGAGGGACCTTTCCTTCTGCAGGTCTCCCTTCATCAGAGCATGTGTCATTCCATCCTGGTTTAGAGACATCTGCATGCCTCTTGTGTGTCCTACTGTGTGATGTGCTCCTTAAGCGCTGAGTGTGTCTGAGGCGCCTTGTCCACCCCGCATCTCCCTCTGCACAGAAATGGGCAGGAACTGGGGAGACGCACTCAGAAAGGGGCTGAATTGCCTGTGGTCCCTGCTCAGGGCTCGCCATATTCAGAGGAAAGGATAGCGAGGGGAGACAGGCTAGGACTAGGCAGGATAGTGGAGATATAGAAGCTGCCTTTTTTCGTCATGGTTCCAGCTGGTATCACCTTGTCATCTCCCACTCAGTCCAGGCTGGCCTTAGGGACACGGGTCTGCCCTCCCAATCAAGTGGGCACTCTTTTCTTCAGAGCTCCTAGATTTTCTTCCTAAGAGACTGCTCTGTCAAAGGGTAAGAAGAAGGTCCCAGGTTTTTGTTTCTCTTTTCTTTTTTTTTTCTTTTTTTGAGAGACAGGGCCTTGATCTGTCATCCAGGCTGGAGTGCAATGGTGTGATCACGGCTCACTGCAGCCACAACCTCCTGGGCTCATGAGATCCTCCTGCTTCAGCCTCCCAAGGAGCTAGAACTACAGGCACATACCAACATGGCTGGCTAAATATTTTTAGAGACAGGGTCTTGCTCTGTTGCCCAGGCTGGAGTGCAGAGGCACAATCACAGCTCACTGCAGCCTTGAATTCCTGGGCTCAAGCAATCCTCCCATCTCAGCCTCCTGAGTAGCTGAGACTACAGCCACGAGCCACCATGCCTGGCTAATTTTTAATTTTTTTTGTAGAGAGGGGGTCTCACTTTGTTGCCCAGGTTGGTCTCAAACTCCTGGGCTCCAGTGATTCTCCTGCATCAGCCTCCCAAGGTGCTGGGATTATAGGCATGAGTCACCACCTGGCCAAGGTAACTTCTCATCTCCATCCCCATCACGGTCAGACTGATTGGCACCATGTGGCCTGTCATCCAGAAAGACCAAGAATTCTTCCCTGTGGTTTGGACCCAGTGGTGGCTTCCCCAAGGGAACGGTTGGCATATGTTTAATTATTCATTGGTGTTCTCGTCTGTATCTCTCTCCTCCTTGATTGTTTTGTCTTTCCCTAAAAATATTTATTTGAAATTCTGTGATCAAAGACTGAAAAACAAAATAGAGCAGGATATTAAAAAGAAAATTTTTTTAAGGAGGTTGGAATGTCAAGATCATTTTTATTAGAAAAGTTTACAAGATGAAGCCACGAATTATTTACGTAAACTTCATATATCAAGCATAATACTCCCAACTGTGCCTTTGGTGAGTGATATTGGCTGGCAGAACTTGGATTTAAAATACCTTCTACTTAAGGCAGGAAGAATGCATTTTAATTAAAATTAACGGATTTTTTTTCTTGATCATATTTTAACACACACACACGCACTCACACACATCTGTGTTCAGAATTGATAAAGAAGGAACTCTGGTTAAATAATCCACTTTTGTCTGACAACGGAATCCGTTATAGAGGTGCAAATATGCAGAAAGCTATTTGGAAATGCATCCTAGTAGTTGTCAGGTTTTATTATGCAGGAAGGTGTCATGTTTGTTACGAAGCTGAGTGCAGATGGCAGAGTGGAAGAAATGGATCACTAATTTTAACAATGATTAATGAACAGAGATAGAAAATGAATTACATTGGACTATCGGAGGCAAGAAATATTTTTGTGAAAATTTTGACTCATCTGCTGTGCTGTTCTCTGCAAATTATTTTCAGAAATTCTATATGTTGTCAACAGTTGACTGCATTTTCCATTACTGTCTATTTCTGTTCTTAAGTACTTTTGTGTTATTAGAGATACATAATTTCAAAATACCAATACATTCCTGATTACTTAGAGAAAATATATGTAACAGTGTGACTGTTCCATAGACACTAGCCATAAAAGTCCTGTTTTATAATAATCTTTCATTCTTCCTCATTTTATCACTACATTAGGAATGTTTGATAAAAAGAAAAGGAGGGGGACTCTTCTAGCACACGCAGAATAAAGGAAAAATAGAGTGAAGGTAGGAATAAAAATGTGGTCTTGGTGGCTTATTGTGGTGCTGAGCTGCTACCAACCCTGTCCATCTTTGCATCCCCTGCCTGGCATCATGGGAAGGAGGGGCCAACTCCTTCTCTGGTGTTACCCTCTGCCATTTGTGGCACACCCCGTCCTGTCCTCTGTGGGTGCGGCTTCAGGCATCTCCTGACTCCCTGTCTGCCTTCAGACACAGGGAGTATCACCAGTTCATGAAGTTGTCCCAGAGATTATTTTTTCCTCTGTTTGACCCTTCCTTACTTTAGTTCTTTCTCTCTGCTCCAGTGACCCTGGTATTGATAGTGAGTTTTCACAGTGCTTTGCGAGTCTCGCTTTCTTTTTCAGCCTATCAGCAATTGAGTGTGTATGTGTGTGTGTGTGACAGAGACACACACACACACACAGAAAGAGAGAGAGAGAGATCTGCAACGGAATACAGCTTATTTGTTTATGATATCTGTTCTTGGCAGGAGGCACACCTATATAATTTCTCATATGGAGAAAATGGATAGTGATTTTCTTTTCTTCCATCTTCCTCCCCCCGCCTCCCTCCCTTTCTCTCCCCCTCTCATCCTTCCCTCCCCCCCAGATATATTAGCCACATTAAATATATTGACTTCAGGGCTTCTCATTTTCCTGAGATCCTTTGCAATAGAGAAATGATCTACTAGTGTTTAGATCCCGCGTTGTAATTGGTAGGCACTTAATTTCACTCATCAGGACCCACTTTAGTGGTGACCTGAGTACATTTCATAGTTAGTAAATTTAGGATTCTTACTATTGCAGGACCACCCAATCAGAGTTCAGCTGTGCATCTGTGGTCAGTGCTATTAGTCCACCTCTCAACCCATCACTATTTAATACTTGGCTTGGATGTTAATTTGAATTAAAACTTTACCTATATAAGGGTATAGTCCTGGTGTGGTTTTGACAACTCCCCATTCTTTCCTCAAGAAGGATTCCCTCAAGACAAGATGACAGGGTGCTTCTCGACCCTCCCAGGGAGTGCTGGCTCTCTAGAGCCCTGACATTTGTGTAGGGTGAAGCTGCCTCCTGAGAACTGCCTGGTGTCTGAACAAATGGACGATCTATAACGACTTCCTTCTCCTACAAACGAGCTTTCCAAGTTTTCAACTTGACTGTTTTATTTATGCTCTTGACCTGTAAAAACAAGCAGGCTGTTTAAAAAGCAAAAAGTACTTCCCATGATTAGAGTACTTAGAGTTGAAATAAATTGGAGAATGAAGCGAACATTCCTCGCCGCTTCAGTGGAAAATGTCGTGGGGGTTTTCCTTCTTGAGCATGTTCTGTGCTTCTGCAAGCCGGAACTCCCCAATCTCGCTGGCCTTAGGGTCTCCAAGAACGGATTCATGTGTCTTCCCCTTTTCTTGCTTTTAGGTAGTGGAATTATCTTAGTGAACATTTAAAACCTGTTTGCGAATGGTTCTAAGTCAAGTAGTTTGCATATAATTATGGTCCTGATGGGAAAACACTTTGGAAAAACAACTAGTGATACAATGCAAGTCCCGCTCAGGTTACATAGCATATGCTAAACACTGAGGAAACACTCACGGTCTTTAGTGAACAAGGTAGGGGAAGGCTCCAGGGAGCCAATTTAGAATGTGACTTAAGGCAAGCATGGCTTTTTGTGTCTCTTTCTTTTGGCGAGTGTGTTGAGTAGCAGTGGTCCCTGGAACTCCGCAGGAACCCTGCCACCTGCCTGGGGAGGCCGCCCTGCACAGATCTGTACAAGGTGGGTGTCCGGAGAGGAGCAGGTTGAACATGAGGACTCAGTGGGAGGCTCTGGGTGAGCAAGGTTTGGTGGAGACAGTGGTCACTGGGCTGGTGCTCAACTGGAAGTTGCACCAGGGATAATTTAATGGTGTGGGATGTAGAGGGAGAGTTACGTACAGGCAGGGAGGGGGAGAGAATCCTACAATTTGTGGATGGAGAGATCAGGAGGAATGAAAAAGAAACTGTAGATGATCCACTTAAGAGACAAGTGATTCCTAAATATAGAACTGTCTTTATGATTCATGGTTGGGGTTGCTTTTGAGGCAGTAAGTCAGGTGGATTATCTATAGGAATAATTTGAGGGTACTTGAGATTTCGACATTTGGGTCTAAACACCAGGAAACACATTGGTGTTCAGGTTACATTCCTCCTCCTACTATGAATATCTTCTGGCTATTTAACCTGAGTGTGTTCATGCCTGTGTAAATTTGGCTCCTGGCCTGTGTTTGTACTAGGTTGGTCCCCCGCCTCGGCTTGTACGAACGAAGATGCCACAGCCCAGTGTCTGTGTGTGCGGCCTTCCCACTGCCATTCCCGGAGGCAGCTGGCACCCATGTTTCACCCAAACAGGAGCCAAAGGCAGTCCCGCTTCTAGCTGGTTCCAGTTTTCAGGGACGGCACTGTTTATTTTTCCACAGTCGTTACTGGGTTTTTGTTTTGGTTGTGATCACCTTTATATATCCCTCTGAACTAACTCATCCAATCAGAACTGGAGAGAAAAATGATTTGAAAAGTCATTTAAAAATACCTACTTCTAAGGCGAATTCATCCAAGTCATCAGATAGGTGCACACACCCCCACACTCATTTGGCCACAACTGCTGGTCTGTCGCAGGGCCTATGTGTTTGATATGGTGACAACTATGTGTGAAAACATAAGACCCACCAGCCGACAATTCTTCGTGGATACAAATCTCTAGGCATGTCCCGGGAGTGCATCTTTTTAGCCTGCCAACCCCTGGAATATACATTGAAGTTAAGCTGAGTTGAGTAATTATAATGCTATGGCCTATAGCATGAACTGAAGAAAATTCAAGATGTCTGTCATCCTTCTATTACCTCAGGTAAATAACTGATTGACCTTTTTGGGGCTCTGATACTTTACTAATCAGAACCTGAAATCTGGATAACAACACTTCATTTACTTGATAGACAAAAGAACAATTGCACTTGAAGTAATGTGATTTCTAAATAGACACTGCCTGTCAAAAATAAATGCATTAGAAGTAAAATGTAGCTCAAGGAGACAATTAGCAAACAGAGGTGACACCGTAAACAGGTGCACCCATTATTCCCAAAGCTTGTGGCAATATATTCGCGTCTTTTAGAGTGATGGAAGATCATGTGACGGTTTGGTGAATTATCCATCGGTATCATCTGACTGATGAAGCCCGCTGCTGTTGCAGAACATTTAAAAATGCATCTCACAAATTACATGGTAGCTGGGAAAAATGCAGGTTTTTTTTTTTTTTTTTTAAAGAACAATGCTTTTCTAAAGCTATGTGCTAGCATACGTAATTTTTTCTTTGAAAGGATGGAGACCATTTCATTATGCTGGGTATACAGTCGGTTAAGGTTGTGCAAATTCATTACAATGTTTGTTAATGTATAAAACATTTTCCATTCTGGTTTTAGTGACATTGGATTTTTTTTTTTTATAATGTGCCATTTCTGAAACATCTGCCATCCCCTTGTTACCTGTGGGCAGAAGAGAGAGAATGCACTCTTTCTAAGAATGTTTAGAAAATCTTTTCCAAAATGGAAAGGCTTGGGAGATAAGAGGGAAAGGACAGCTTTTTCTGTGAATGGTTAGGTTGGAATTTTCTGGGATAGGAACTTTACCATGCAATAGGCAAAGAGGGGCTGTCAGCAGCTGCTCAATATGCCAGGAGAGGAAAGGCCTGGCTTCCTGGTGGTCTTTCTGTGCCCTGTGTTTGCACACCCTGTACTGAGCACTGCTTGCAGAGTACATGCTTCTGGAAGCTTTCCCTGTGTTTTTTTCTTTTCTTTTTTTTTTTTTTTTTTTTGCTAAAGCATGAGAGATGCTTGAGGGACTTATCATTTTGGCAGTTACTATTTCTTCTTGTTGCTATATAATCACAGGAAAACAGTGTGAAATATTTTATGTGACCTCCACATTCATCTGCCCTTGACTTTTCTCATCCCTTCTCCAGAATAACCAGTAGCTGGAGCTAAGGCTGATATGGATTTAGGGGTCAAGTTCACCAGGATAGCTGTATTTTGATCACACCCTCTGCCCAGATAGCGAAATGAGCAAAACCCCACCATTCTCTCGCCATGTTCCTAGCAGCCTCCACGTTCCTGCTAGTTTCTAGCTGGGGAGGTGGCTCATGTCCATTTTCACACTTCTCTCTGGTCTCTCATACATCACAGCACTTTTTGAAGCATCCAGGTTTCTGTCTTGGAGACTGAAGAAGTGAGAGTCTCCACTTGTGAGAGTAACCACCTTGTGAGGTGGAAACGGTTGGAAGAGCTCCTTGCCCTATGTGTCCTAGGAGACAGACCCCAGGAAGTGGCTGTAGGCCTGACTGACCAAGGCTCTCCTCCAGAGACACAAGTCCGTGCGTTTTGTGAATTAAAACAACAAGAATAACAAAAACCCCTGCACAGAAGTAAGAAACTGGTAGAATGAGGTCTTCAGCCTTTGGGATCTGTGTCGTTGAAAGCCAAGAGCACTTCTTGAAGAGCTGCCCAAGTAGCCTCTCTGGGAATTTTTTGGACATCAGCTCATCGGAGAAGTGGCGGCCAGAAGGCTTCTGAAGGATCCCAAGTCTCTAAGCACTGGAGAGATTTCCTGATTTGCAGAAGTGGAAATACTTCAGCTAGGGAAGAGGGGTTCACTGGGTTTCCTCAAAGCTGTTCTTTCCTCTTTTCTCTTTTTTTTCTTTGTAAATTAATAGATAGGTAAAGTTCCTATCCCAGAACTTTGTAAATTATTTTTTGAGCAGTTTTAAATATCCAATAAAATTGAGCAGAAAGTACAGCGTTACCATGTATCTTCTGACCCCTCTCCATTAAAAGACATTTTAGTTGTTTCCACCTTTCCTCTGCTATTAAATTTGTGTTAGTGTGGTACTTTTGTTATGATTGTTGAACCAATATTGATACATTATTATGAATGAAAATTCATAATTTATATTCAGATTCACTCTTTGTGTTGGACATTTTATGGGTTTTGACAACTGTATTATGACTTGTATCCATCATTACAGTATCATACAGAGTGGTTTCACTGCCCTAAAAATCCCCTGAGCTCCACTCCCTCTTCCCCTGAACCTCTGGCAACCCTGGTCTTTTTCCTGTCTCCCTTGTTTAGCCTTTCCCAGAATGTCCTGTATTTGGATTCGTATGACATGTAGTCTTTTAACATTGGCTTCTTTCACTTAGAAATATGCATTTAAATTTTCTCCATGTCTTTTCATGGTTAGATAGCTCATTTCTTTTTATTGCTGAATAATATTCCATTATATGGATGTACCACAATCGAGCTATTCACCTCTTAAAAGACATCTTGGTTGCTTCCAAGTTTGGGCAATTATGTGATTCATAATAACATTCAATAAACATTCTGCTATAAACATTCATGCGCATTTTTTTTTAAATTTTTTACTTTTTAAGAGACAGGGTCTTGCTTTATTGCCCAGGCTGGAGTGCAGCAGCACAATCATAGCTCACTTCAGCCTCGACCTCCCAGGCTAAAGCAATCATCCTGCCTCAGCATCTTGACTGCAGGTATGCACCACCACACCTGGCTAATTTTAAAATTTTTGTAGAGACAGGGTCTCACTATGCTGCTGAGAATGGTCTTAAACTCCTAGGATCAAACGATCCTCCTGCCTCGACCTTTTGAAGTGCTGGGATTACAGGCATGAACCACTGCACCTGGCCATGCAGATTGTGTGTGTGTGTGTGTGTGTGTATACCTAAGTTTCCACTCATTTGTATAAATATCAAGGAGCATGATTGCTGGATTGCTTGATAAGACAATATTTAGCCTTGTAAGAGACTGCCAAACTGTCTTGCCACGTGGCTTTCCCCTAGCAGTGAATGAGAGTTCCTGTTGCTCCATGTCCTCCTCAGCATTTGATGTTGTCAGTGTTTTGAATTTTAGCTGTTGTGATAGGGGTGTAGTGGTATTTCATTTTTGTTTGCATTTGCAAGTCCCTGGTGACATAGGATGTTGAGTATCTTTTCATATGCTTATTTTCTGTCTGTATATCTTCTTTGGGGACGTACCTGTTCAGATCTTTTGCCCATTTTTAAATTGGGCTGTTTATTTCTTACTGTTGAGTTTTAAGAGTTCTTCGCATATTTCAGATACCAGTCCTTTATCAGATATGTGTTTTGCAAAAACTTTCTCCAATGTGTAGCTTGTCTTTTCATTCTCTTAACCCTTTCTCTTCTTAACACTTGTGGAAACTAAGCTACTTTAGCCAGTGGCTTTTATTTTTATGTGGCCGAGCAGCATCGATTTGCATTTGAAACCTGAGATTTTGAGAAATTTGGAGTCAAAGATACACATGATGTATGTTCTTAACTATGTTCATGAATACATATACATGTACACATGTGTTCATTAACACATATGCATGCATATATGTGCAAGAATGGAAAGAAATGCACCAAAATATCAACAGCCATTATATCAGTTAATAGAATTATGGATTATTATTTTCCTCTTTCTAATATCTTGTATATTCCAAATTTTCTACAAATGAGCATATATAACTTGAATAACCAATTTTAAAAAGTAAAAAGTAAATGAGATTAAACAAAAAGTGACCCCTGTAAAGGAGATACCAAGATAGTTCCGTTAGAAGTGGCATAACTTTCATTTCGACTTCAGAGATCAGGGGGACCAACGTTTCAAGTGATATCCGTGATAATATGTGTTCTCTAAAAACCTGCTTTGGAAAACAAGCAAATTTTTAGTATGACCAAATTTGACTGTCGAAATGCCAGATTATTTTGCTAAGCTCAGAATCTGCACTGCACAATAGAAATATAGTGCAAACCACAAGTACAAGTCATGCATGCATTTTTGAATTTTCTAATAGCCACATTATATTTTGTTTAATTCAGTGTATCCATAATATTATCATTTCAACACATAAAAAGTATAAAGAATATTAATGAGACATTTTTCATTCTTCCAAATGCAATTTGTAGTTTACACTCACAGCGCATCTCAATTTGGACTGGCCAGATTTCAAGTGCTCAGTTGCCACGTGTGGCCAGTGGCTACCAGCTTGGACAGTGCAGTTCTATGTGATGGCAGAATGTATCTTTTTTCTTTCCAACTTTTATTTTAGGTTCAAGGGGGTACATGGGCTGGCTTGTTACATGGGTAAGTTGTGTGTCACGGAGGTTTGGTGTATAGACCATTTCGTCACCCAGGTAATCAGCATGACACCTGCTAGATGTCTGAACATTCGAGTGATATTTATCAAGCAGAATATCAGCACAGCAAGCAGCATTACCTCTGGTAGCACAGGTGGAACAGAAAACAACTCTCCAGTTTCCAGTTATTTTACATCTCTTCTTCAAGATGCATTACTTCATAGATATCTTGGGGTTTGATGATGCTATGAAGTACTTTCTGTAAAGCGATACGTATGTTGAGTTCATGTGGTGATACACTCTATTAGAAAGCCTTTATAATTTTCTGGATTTTTCCCCCGTTTGCATCATTCCATCTCTGGCGGCCAGAATTGTCTTAGTTTTGTTGTCCTGCCAAGTCTTGAGCTGAGTGGGGTCTTCATCCTTGTGGATGGGGTGAGAGATCCAGGGCAAAGACATTGGGTGGAGCGAGGTTCAGGGAGAGCCTGCCAGGCACTGACTGCTGGAGACCATGGCCTCTGGGGGAGCTGGAGGACTCCATCCTGAGTGTGGTTAGGCTCTGGAAATCCACCAGCTTGGCAGCTTGTTAGCCAGTGCTCCCTGCCCTTGTAGAAAATGCCTGCATCTAGTTTGCACTTCTTACCCTAAGAACACTGACCTACAGGGTAAGTTCTCCTTCCTCACCTTGTCCTGGGTCAGAACCACCCACCTTTTGCTGGGGAGTAGGAACCCAGGTGCAGAATGGTGCCAAGCTCTGTGCGTGCTCCTGAGGATACGGCCATGGGGGCCACTGGCTGTGTCTGACCGGCGGACATCAGGCAGACTTGACTGCCCTGAAGATGAGGCTCTCCGAGGCTGTAGGGAAGAGATGCTGTTGCCTTGCGTTGGGGCACAGTGTGTTTGAGTGGCTCACAGCATGGGTCATGGAATCAGTCTGCTGAGATTCACACCCTGGGTCCCCATCTCCTGAGCTCTTAACCTCAGACACAGAACTTTGGGGCTAGTGCCTCAGTTCTTCATCAATAAATGATAATACCCACCTCATAAGATGGATGCAAGGATGAAGTGAGATTGCGTGTCAATGCTTGGAACTCTGGGTGGCACTTGGTAAATGCTAGTTTTCATTCTTATTGAATTCAAGAATGGTCAGTCAATGAACAAAGCCCTCAGAAGGTGTGTGTGTGTGAGTGTGTGTGTGTGTGTGTGTAAATACATACTGGCTGCTTCCTGGACTACATTTCTTTAGTGGCCCAAGTGTTCCTATCTCTTGCACTATCAACCTGCACTGAATCACCGGCAAGAGTATCTCCCCTCTCCCTTCACTTTCCCTCTCTCCTTTCTTCCTTCTCAGGGCTGTTTTGACTATGAATTAATTGTAGGTTTGGGGACTTGCAAGCAATAATCAAAGCCAATAAACTTCAAAAGGATGGGGAGGACCAGGGCCACCGGGGGAGTGCAGGGAGCCGACTGGAGCTCTTGGTGGCTGTGGGTTGGGGTGGTGGGGGCTTTCTATGTTTCTTCAAAGGGGACACCAAGTGTTTCAGATTGTCACTTAAAAGCTAGATGCAAAACTTTGGAAATCTGGTGAGAGGTGACGGTTTCCAAAACAGCTATTTTTATCTTTTGCCAGCAAGCATGAGCCCAGTGGAACGGAGAGTTAAACTTGGAATTTCTTGGCAAGGGTTAATAATCAATGTAGATCTCCTAACAAAGGAGATGCTGCCTTATTATACTGGGAAAGTTTTTTTTCTTAACTGTCAGTGAAGCAGTACTAATTATTACTCCAGTGTAAATGAGGTCATTTCCTATTAAGAGAACAAAATGCTCAGCCCTGCCTTGCCAATTCATACCAACTATTTTTCACACATACTCAGCTTTTTAGTTTTTTTTAAATTTTGATAAAATCCATTCATTTGTATTAGAAAAGTGTAAACCATCGCCATAATAGTTGCCCGTGATTACCCAGATGAGCTTTTGTAATGTGTGGGTTGTTTGAATACCATGTGTTAGCTATGGAACAATTAGGCAGCTGAATGGATCTTTAAAACAATCAGATACTTTTATCTCACTGAAAAAATACATTCCTTGGATGTGTACTGTTAAACCGTAAATTCCGGCGAACATTAAGCTCACGTCACCAGGAGAACTTTCGGATATATGTTGATCAAGGACACAAAGACATCCAAATATCTTGTCTTCATGTTTTTTTTTTTTATGCAAGCAAAAAGATTTAAGGAATATTGTAGCAAACAAAGGGTAATTGTTTTAGCCCAGATGTTGCTTTTGCACAACAAGCAGGTTACAATGTTCCCACAGAGCTGATGAGCCCAATCAGGGAAATGATTAAAAATTGATTTTGTCCCTGTAATTACAGTATGTAAACTACTTAGCTTGGATTGCAAAGGAAGTGATTTTCTAATTACGTATATACTCTGGTGTCTAATGATTGGTTTTTTGAAGTAATGAAGAGAGAGCACTAACGACTCCTTGGTGTTCTGTTGTTTAAGAAAGACCATCTTTAGAGTAAGCGGCAACAGACAAAGAGTTTAAATTGAATTTTCAACACTGTTGATGTGCACATGGATTTGTTTATTAAAGAGACAGGGGTGTAATTTGATTGGCTCTGAGCATCTTGGCTTTTTTTCATGCTAAAGCATGTAAAAATACATGCACAGGGCAGGCGAGCTGATGAGAGGAAGCCTCTCCACTCCTCTTTTATCATCCCCGAGCCTGGTCCGATATTGTAGGGTATCAGGTTTCTGTGAGCTTCTGATGTCTGTGTATCCTGAAAGCATTTAGATCGAACAGGTATCAAATAGCTTCTCCATCAAAGTTACCTTTGTTTTAAAATGAAAGAAGAGGCTTCCTTTGGAAGCGTGTCTGGGCAGCCCTACGCGCTCTGTGTTATAATATTTCAGCCGTGTCGTATGATGCTGGGCTCTGTGTCAGGGTGGCAACTGCTGTCTACCTCCAACATGCATGTGAATGCTCACACGTGCACACATACATGCACATACCCACACACACACTCATACAGGTGCTACCGCCTGTGTGCGGAGGCCTGATGGCAGCGTGTCCGTTGTGGGACCCTGTGGAGTGGGCTAATGGGTTTTGGGAAAGATCTTGCCAAGTTTCTAGTGCTTGTCCTCCTCTTTGAGACACATTGTGGCTGTCGAATAACAGCTCAGGCACCTGCTCTGGCAGAAGTTAGCAGAGGGTGACCATTTCTCCGTTGGTATGTCATGCCCTCTGGGAGGAGGGTGGTGGCTTCAGCATGACCCTGACAGCAAGAACCTTGTGGGCGGTGCTGTCTTCAGCAGAATCCAACTCACACTCTCTCTGGGCCCTGTCCTCTCCTACGCGGGCTTCGTGCTGGTGACTTGGGACCCGATGTTTTGAAATGTAGGTTTTATTATTATTCAGATATGGCGTGGCCAACAGGGCAGGAGACAACTGAGATTGAAGGGACAGTTTGTTACTCACAGTTCCCAAGAGGAAGACATGCCATGCCACGTGGGGATCACATGGAGAAGCACCAGGATTCCTGGGAGGCAGAAGGCGAGAGGGGAGAAGAGGGACAAGAGCCTTTATCATAGCTTCCCAGGGAAAGGCAAGGCAAGGCAGGGCTGGGAGGGTTTGAATTGGCTCGTTTGAGTGGTTTCCACAGGCATGGACCATAGGGGTTGCTTCTAGTTGTCTGGTTTCTGGCCATGGGCGATTAGGGCAGGAGGATAGTGGCCCCAAGTGGGGAGGCCCTGTGAGAGCCCAGTAAAGGTGGTGTGGGCGGTGTGGTTTGGACTGGCTGTTTTATATATGAAAGGAGCTCCCGGGGAGTCATTTACCAACTCTAGCAGGGCAGTCTTTCTGGGGCCAGCAAGGCCCCAAGATGTCAGGGCATCAGAACCTTTTGGTGAACACACCTGGGTCCTGGGCTGAGGCTGGTTTGGGAGCTGGTTCCCTGTGCCCCCTGGGTCCTGGGCCAGGGTGAGCGTGGCTGACTCTGGGCTCTCCTTACTCTTGGTGTTCTACTTGGCAGGTCTCACTGCTTTGTCATGGAACACATCCCGAATATGCCTGCCTTTCCCCTGCCACTGCTCTCTCTCCAGCTCACACCAGATCCTCGCTTACTTACACACCTGCAGCAGCCTCCCCCATGGGTCCCCCTGCCTCCTCTCTGACCCCCTCTTGTCTGCTCCTTTCGTAGCAGGCATACAGTGCAAATAGATCATGTTTTTCCTGTGCCCAAAATCTACCAGTGGCTCAGGATAAAACCCTTTCCGACTAGGTACGTGGATCCTAAAAAGCCTATCTTCATCCATTCTCCCACTCACTATCCATACCCAGGCCGCAGGGAATGTCTCAGCGCTCCTTGAATGCACCATCTCCATCCAACCTCAGGGCCTTTGCACTTGCTGTTCACTCTTCCTGTACCGCCGTTGCCCGCATTCTCGCAGGGCTCACTCCCTTACTTTATTCCGGTCCCTTGCCAGATGTTGCTTCCTTAGAGAGGTCTTCTCTGATTGTCACTGTCACTTCCTCCAGCTTTATTATCTTCTTAGAGATTGTTATTTGCTGGCATATTTTACTTTTGTCTTTCATTTGAATCTGGTCTCGGAAACATGAGCTCCATGCAGGTGGACACGATGTTTATCACTGGATCCCCAGAAATAGAATAGAGCCTGACTGCAGGGGTGCTGGGTGGATAATGGTTGAGTGAGTGGCTGATTCTCCGAGAGAAAGCTCCCTGGGAGCTTTCCACACCAGGACCCCCTTCCTGTTGGAAATCTGTAGCAACAATGGGTGTGTCATTTGGGGCCATGTTCATCCCCCAGCGTTGTCTGAGAAAGAGAGAATCACTCAGTGCTTGGAGAAAACTTCCAGATCCGGTTGGAGGAGCTGCGGTTTTTTGGTAGGGTCCTTGTTGCTAGTGGAACTTGAGAATATCAAGCTCTGGGCTGGGAGGAGGTCTCAGAACCATGGGAGGGAAGTTGCCAGCACCCAGGGGGTGCACACTGGAGAAGACGCTCTGTGTATCTTGGGACGCAGAGAGCCTGCTCTTGGTAGAGGGGGTTCCGAGGCATTGCTTGGGAGCCACTGCACTCAAGTGTCATCTGTGGGGAGACTTAGTTGGGCACCCAGCTGTTTCCCCTCTGGAGCTCTAAACCATGTCCTTCCCCGGGCAGAGGGCCGAAGGAGCCGGACTGGCTTTCTCTCCAAATCCTCCTTGCCCAACTCTTTTCTGGAAGGAAAGTAGTTTCCCTGGCTCCCAATTGCCACTCACTCAGATGCCTCCGCAGACAGCCCCTGCTCCTGCTGCCAGACCTCCCAGTGACCCATCCGGGGAAGGGCCATCCTGTGTCTCCCCAGGAATACACTCCACCTCCCGCAGGAGAGAATGGAACATGGGCCAGGAGGGGAAATTGAAGCAGCCCTCGCACCTTTCCTCCCAACCATCCGCCTCGCCTCCATCTGTCCATCTGCACTTTCATCCTTCCATCCGCCTCACCTCCATCCTTCCATCTGCACTTTCACCCTTCCATCTGCCCCTTTTCTTTCATCCTCCCTTCCACCTTCAGACCCTCTCTTTCCTCCTGCCCCCCTTACTTTTGTTTTCCCTCCCACTTCCATTTTTGCATCCATCTTCATCCTTCTCTCCTTCTCTCCTCCCTCTCTACTCTATCTTTCCTCCATCCTTCCATTCCCATCCTCCCGTCTGTTCTCCTTCCATCCTTCTGTCTTAACTTCCCTCCCCTACTCCCTCCCATCCACCTAGGTCCTCTGACAGAGGTGAGGGGCTGGAAGGAGAGTCTGACACCACCCTTTCCCCAAGTGCTGGACTGTCCTCTGCATGTGCCCGGGGTTTGCTGTGGCCTCAGTGATGGTGACATTCATTGCTGCTCTCATATCCTCCAAATTGTCATGGTGTGGGGTGGAGACAGGTGTGCACTGCCCACAGGCAGGAAACTCGCTGGCCTGGAGGACCGCTCTGTGCTAAACTCAGGGCCCATCTCAGAGCCATGGTGATGCTGGGGGTACCCCGTCTCTGCTCATCTCTTGACTGGCCAATCACTCTCTCCCTCAGAGCCCATGGGTCTGAGTCGGGCAGGCTGGGCTTTTGCTCAGGGAGGGTTTCTCTGGCTCCTTCAGGGCTCCTGTGTAGGCAGCTCTGGGACGATATGGGAGGGAGGAGGGTGCCTCATCCCCTGTGGGGAGCCCTTGTGGCCTCCTGCTTTGGTGGACAGAGGGGCCCGTGCAGGGCTAGCTTGTATGTCTGCGTTCAGCGGGGCTCATTCAGTGAACATGGCTGGGCTGCTGGGTGGGTCCTGCCTTGCCTGTGGAATTCACAGGGATGGGGGTGTGTGGACTTGGGGTAGGCCCACTGTGTGTCAGGATGGGTCAGAGCTGCCGAGGCACCTTCCACTTCCTCGCTTGGTTGGTGCCCCCCATATCTTCCTGTGCTCCCACTTCCCCTTTGAAGTCCCTCTCTCAGAACTTTCCACTCCTGCTCTTGTCTCCCCTTCCTCAGAGAGGCCTTGGAAGTACCTCTGGCTCTAGGAAGTCTCCCTTTCTCCCTCCTCGCTCCCCAGCAGCCTGCATCCCTGCTGTACTCCAGCCAGGGTCCACCCAGGAAATGGCCATTCAGCCTTCCCTTCTTTAGCCCCTGCAAACCTTCTCACTCCCCTTTCTGGAAGTTGCGGCCACTCTGTTGCACTTCTGTGCCCCTTCCTGGCCTCCAGCCCTGTCTCCACCAGGGCCCTGCCTGCACTTGCTTAAGGGCTTGACTCAACTCTGCCCCTCTCCTGGTGCCCTGCCTTTGATGTGCTCCTTGTCCTGGCAACCGGGACCTTCACACGATGGGTGGTATCTGATGGGCAGACCTGCTTGGCCCCTGACCTACCCCAGAGGCCCCAGTGCACCACAGGTGCTGGGAAGGGAGTCTCCAAGCCACTGAGTGAACAGGCCTCCTAAGCTCATCCATGTTGCTGGGGAGGGCTGCGTGGGAGCCTTATCTGTGCTTTAAGAGGGAAGCAGGAGCCATCAGTGTACAGCGAGTGGAATTTCAAGCACTGAAAACGCACCTGTGGAGGT
Source organism: Homo sapiens (assembly GCF_000001405.40). Classification (NCBI taxonomy): domain Eukaryota; kingdom Metazoa; phylum Chordata; class Mammalia; order Primates; family Hominidae; genus Homo; species Homo sapiens. The sequence continues at coordinate 30,281,743 of NC_000019.10, forward strand.
TCCCTTATTTTGATGAGGTGGGGGCTACCCAACCCCCACTTAGTTCATACCATGCTTTTTGTCGCCTTTGCAATCTTCCCCTTCCCACCCCTACTCTGAGCTGCACCAAACTGGGCTCATGGACAGAGTCTCCTGGGTGGCCCCTCAGGTTGGGGTCCCTGTGGGGGACAGGGCAAGGGGAGGCCTCACGTCCAGGCTGCTTCTGGTTATGCCACTGACTGTGTTATGTCTAAATACAAGTCACTTACTTGCACCAAAAGAGCTGTTTCTTTCATTGAGGAAGACAGAATGACTCTGCTGGTGCTTCCCTTCCTCCCCACCCTGCATCACGAGAGCATCTGTGGTCAGATGGAGTCACCTTTCCCCGACCCGCAGTGACTGTAACAACATCAGACACCAGGAGCCTCCTCCTGTTTAGACTGGATCAGAAAGGCACAGATGGAACTAACTTGATTTCTTTTCCTAAGGGCCCAGTGAGGCTGTACTCGTCAGCTGCCCTACTGGCGTGTTGGGCTAACCTTGCCCACGCAGGTCAGACACCCTTGCATAAGCCCACTAATCTGTTGGAAGAGCACAGCCTCCAATGTAGCCACGAGGCTTGTGCTGGGCCCTTTCATGATTTAGAGCATAGAACCTGAGGGGTTTGTGCCCATCACTGCCCCGGTGCCAACTGCAGGAGACGGTGTTCTGATCAATGGCGTGAAGCTGGACAAACCGGTGTGGGACTTCCCCCGATGAAGACTCTCTGTGTTCTCCTGTCATTGGAATTTACAGGGCCTCTAAGTGAATGGCCCCTGGAGAATAGTCCTAGAATTTTGCAAGTCATGAGCTTAGATATAAAATCTGAGTGTGTCTCCCATCTCCTGCAACCCCCTCCCTAAACATAAGGAGGTCGTAGAGCAAAGCAAATAAGTGTTTTCAGAGCCGGCTGGGTGCTGGGGACCTGTTTAGCTCAGCGATAGGACAGAACTTTGGAAAGTGTAGCATTGGGCATTTGTTCCTCACTCCTTAGATTTTGAGTGACACGGGGAAAAAAACAAAAAAAAATGCAAAAGATCATCTGGTTCAGGGAAGAGAGAGAGACAGACAGACAGACACTGAGATGTAATTTCTTTCCGTGTTGGAGATGGTTGAGACATCAGGTTTTGCTTTATGTCTCAAGATAGGCAGGTAGAAATGTGTTTACAGACAGCAGCTTCCCTGTGGCACCCTGAGAAAACACTTTTCGAGCATGCAGTCAGCAAACACATTTTTGGTTGCCAGAAATCAGCCTTGGAGTTGAATGAAGTGTTGCAAGCCAGTGGTTCAATCAGTACAAACTTCTTCGGCTGGGGCTGCCACCAGTCCTACAAATGTATCTTCTGGTTTTCCATGGGCAGAATCAGATTTTCTGAATCCATAGCGAAATTCTACCTCTGTGATCAGAATTTACAACTTCACTTTCAGTAAAATATAATTTATTAAGGGAACTTATGTTTGCCCCATAACATCCCTTCCGTGACATGGCAAAACAAATGAGAATCCAAATTGCACTGGGTGAGGAGTGGGCTGGAGATCACAGGCTGGGGGCTGGCCTTCCTTGATTACCCCCTAGCCAGCAGCTCTGCATCCATCATAGATGAACATCCCAGCTTTCCTTCTTGTCCTTTATCACCTCTGAGCATGCCGTAGGAGGTGAGATCACCCATGTGGGACTTACATCAGTGATAAAACAGAATGAAGAAGTAGAAAATCTCACTGGCTGCTGCTTTCCTGGTCTGGGTTCGGGAGAGAGGACGTTGATGCCAAACACAACATCTCTAAGCCTCAGTCAGTTGCAGATTCCCATTCTGTATCCACTGGCTACCAAACAGGTTTGGCCAGTTGAAATTTGGGTGGAATTTTGGTCTACTGTAGAGGGCTCCATAAATCAATCAGGGAAAAAGCAAGGACCCTTGGGTACTTCTTCACTTTGAGAATTCTAAAGAAGAGAGACAGCGAGAGAGAAAGAGAGAGAGAGGGAGAGAGAGAGAGAGAGAGAGCCCTTATAATATTAGCTCCTATTTCTTCTGTCCCATATAGAGAAGATAAGAGATGGTTAGAAGTTCTTTTTGTGCAGGTGGCGATTTCCCACTGAAAACAAGCTGAGGAAATTTGGTTCATTGCAGCAAAGGTCACATAGTTCCCATTTTTTAAATTGCTCAAAGAATTGGGGGCAGTGGGGCTATTCAAGTTTTTTAGGCTCTCAACTAACCCAGCAAATTGTTACTTTGGATGAATGCTGTTTATGTGACTTACTGAAGTCGACTTATGTGACATTTACAGTTTCTAACAGGTCTTATTTTTGCAGTTCCTGACCACCACGGCTTTAAGAATATCCTTCAACCGGGAGGGAGATCCATTGCTTTAAGACTTGCCTGGTAAGGACCATCGATTTGTAGTTTGTTGAACTGGTGTCTGTCTGAGTTTGTGGGGAAGTCCAGGCTGCCTTCTCTGGGCTGCTGATCCCTATGCAGAGCTATGGAGAAACTTCCAGAGTCACAGGTGTCTGGGAGGTAGCATGGGTTCCATATCTTGTGGGCGGGGTGAACTACAATGTGGAGACATGTTCTTGAGTCTCTGAACAGGTTCCCCCATGAGGCAAAGCCCAACAAGGGTGACTTCTTTCTCTCTTGCGTGACACCCTGAGTCCCTATCTGCCAGCCAGCAGCCTGGAACCAGGGCTGAGAGCTGGTGGGGCTTTTGCTAAAGGCCGAGTGACCTCGTCCAAGTGCCACCTGTGGTCGGGCTCCCCATCACTCACCAGGTGACTCAGTGGCTTGGCCCAGTCTTGGACAAATCCTGTCCCAAAGCTGCTCCGTGTTTGTCACCTCAATCAGACTCCAGATTGCAAACTCCTGACGGGGTGTATTTCCGGCATGGGAGCTGATACAAACTTAAAATACAAAACAAAGGGTGACATATGTATTTGATATCTTTGGTGGCCTCATCTGAGGCTGCCCCTGATATCTCTGTTAACTCACCCTCGGTTGTAATTAGCCCAGCCCACCTTCTCCTGACCACACGTCTCAGAGGTCACTACATAAACCAGGGAAATTGATAGCAGAATTATGCACTCAGAAATTAATTTTATGTTGTACTGAATATATATTTTTTTTTATTGTGACTTTATCTTGCTGGAAAAGTGCTTACTTCTGATTTTGTGGATATTCCTGACCGTGGATTACTTTTATTTTGATTTTTACACAACAGTTATATTAGAAATTTGCTGTTTTATTCTTACCTTCTTAGTAAAAATCCTTTTATCACACAATGGGTAATTTATATCCATTACCAAGCCTTTCAATCCTTTTCAGTGGGGCTGTCAGTGCCGTTGGCACAGTAATGATTAATGTGATCTAATAATAGTGTACCATTATATTACCTTAGTAAAACATGTACCAACACCCTATTCCGATCTACCAAATTCATAGCTTCCTATAATATTTTTGTTGAAAGACAGGATTACTATTTTTCAAAGCTGATTTTTTCCCCTTTAACATATTTAATGAAATTCACAATTCTTTGCCTTAGTAATCCTGGGCATGTGACTGGGCTTGATGGGTGAACTCCACATCTGTAGGCCCTGTTGTGATTTGTCAGGAGAAAGGTCCAACCATCCCAGTGATCTGTCAGAGAGATTATTTTGTTTTTGTTGGGCCTGGATTGTTTTGCCTTAAAAAAGAAGAAAAAAAATTGTTGGGTTTCCAGTCCTTTCTGATGCATAATAAGGAAGGTGTGTTTTAGATTGAAAGGCAAAGTAGGAAGCAATTTGGTTTTTTCCTCCCCTCTGTCACCTGCTTCTGTCTGCCAGTGAATCGGAGGTATAGCCGAGCCAGTGGAAGTGGCTTTAAACCGCTTCCCCAGAAATGCCCCTCTCTGACCCATCCACTCCTCTAGCTGTGGCCAAGCCTCTCTGGGTCTGACATAGGGTCTTTCACATTTGGCATTATTGAAATTTTGGACTGGATAGCGATTGGTTGCGGGGCCCTCCCGTGCACTGCAGAATGTTTGCAACATCCCTGGTCTCTGCCCACTAGATGCTGATAGCATGCCTCCACCAACACTTCCTCCATTGTGACAATCAAAATAACTCCAGAAATCACCATATGTCCCCTGGGGGGCCCAATCATCTCTTGTTGGTCTAACCTATAGGAAAACGAGCAGATATTTTTGGCATGTCGGGGAATTCCTGTCAGAGTTCCAGAGTTCCATGGTGCTTTTTCGGAAGTCTTTGGCTTTGGGAGAGAAGATGTGTGGGTGAAGACGACGCAGGGCATCCTTTCCTTGGCTGAAATACAGCCCTCTTCCTCCTCTCTCCCTCCTCCTCTGCCATGAGCCTGGCCCGAGCGAGGGCCTGAATCTTAGCGTCTTCCACTTAAATCCCATTATAATCACGCTCATGATTGATAACATTCCACCTTTTCAAAGGGCTTTAAAATCTGTGTCAACCAAGGATGACATTATTGTAGTGCGGGCGAGATGTATTCAAACAATTACACGCTCAAATCAAAGTGGGAAGTTTTGTCCTTCTATCTCGGCGCCTTTGTGTGATGTGGCTTCAGCCAGCACCACAGTCCTCACAGCCCCAGAGACCTTCAACAGAAAAATAAATGGGAAGAAACAGGTTTTGCCCTTGGTACCATTCAGCTTGGAAGGCAGCTTGAGTATTTGGGCTCCTTAGGGCTAGAGGGTGGGGGAGCAAGGAGAGATTGTTGAGCATAGGAGAGAGAGAGAGACAGACAGAGAAAGAGAGACAGAGACAGAGACAGAGAGAGAGAGAGAGAAAGAGAGAGACCGAGAGAGACAGAAAGACAGACAGAGAGAGAAAGAGAGAGAGAAGGAGAGAGACAGAGAGAGAGAGAAATCCTTGTTTTTGATTTGGAACAAAAACTACTGCTGCAACTTTGGCTCGAAATATGCAATCAACTGAAATCAGGAAAAGTATTTTGAATACAAAATTTATATTGAAATACTTGAATCTTGATACGTGTGCACCCACATACATGTATATATTTAAATCAAGGATATAGATAATGAGGAATAAAGCTTCTGTCATAAAAATATTGCCTGCAGTATTTGCCCTTAGATAATTCTGCCACATTGGAATACAGTTTTGTACTGTTAACATTTCCATATGAGACACTCTTGCTTGTTTTTACAACTGATCCTTGATGATAACAGCAAATGAGGAAATGGCTCTGATTTACCTTTGTGTTAGGAAGATTTGGAATCCATCGTGTTATTTGGTGCAGGAAGCATTTTAGTGACCTACTCCTTTACTGGTTTCTGGTCTGTCTCTCCTACTGCGACGTAAGAGTGGTGAGGGTAGGGGCTTATGTGTTTTGTTCCTTGTGATTTCCTCAGTTCCTGAAATGGTGCCTGATGCACAATAGCTTCTCAATAAAGCTTTGGTGACTAGATGGATGGATGGGAGGATGGATACATAGATGGGTGGATGGATGGATAGATGGGTGGAGGGGTGGGTGGGTAGGGTGATGGATGGATGGATTGATGAATGGATGGCTGGATGGATGAGTGGACGGATGAATAGATGAGTGGATGGGTGGGTGGGTAGGTGGGTAGATGGATGGGTGGATGGGTGGGTGAATGGATGGATGCATAAATAAATGGATAAATGAATGGATGGATGGATAGATGAATAGACGGATGGATGGGTGGATAAATGGGTGGATTGATGGAGGATGGATAGATGGATAGATGGGTGGATGGATGAATAGATGGGTGGGTGGATGGATAGATGGGTGGTTGGATGGGTGGGTGGATGGGTAGATAGATGAATGGGTATATGGATGGATGGATGGATGGATAGATGGATGGATGGGTGGATGGATGGGTGGGTGGATGGATGGGTGGGTGGATGGATGGGTGGGTGGATGGATGGGTGGGTGGATGGATGGATGGATGGATGGATGGATGGATGGATGAGTGGATGGATGGGTGGGTGGGTGGCTGGATGGGTGGGTGGATGGATGGATGGATTGATGGATGGGTGGATGGGTTGATGGGTGGATGGGAGGATGGATGGATGGTGGATGGATGGATGGATGAATGGATGAGTGGGTGGATGGATGGGTCTCTATCTCAAGCCCTAACATGTACCTTAGAATATTGGGCTCATTGATCCAAATGAAATCTCACTTTTACCATCTATTCATTCATTGGCCTCCCAAACATTTTTTGAAACCTTTATTTTCAAAATCTAATGATCAGTTATAACAAGGCATTTTCTTTTAGTCTAGTGTTTTAAAATGGAAAAACTATGTCTAGAACTGTGCTAGGCAACCTCTGTGAACTGAAAACCACCCTGTTATAAAAATGTCTTTAAAAATCCACAAGGGCACATACACAGATGACTGGGACTGAAGGCGTGGAGGTCACGTAGGCGAAGATGATCTCTTTCAAAGTAGGATGTGGATGAGGGATTTATGAGGCTGAAAGGACTTCCTGCCCACGTGACTGGATGTCCGTCTCCTGGGCAAACCTCTGCAATCTGCACTATATTCCATGTTCTTCTGGAGATTTTTGTGTGTCCTCTTCAGCCCTGCCATGACTTGGTCTCTGTGGGACTTGCCACTGCTCAGTCCTATTAGGTCAGCTGTCTTGAGGGGATAGGCTGAGGCTCTGGGGAGTGGGGTTCCCAAGTTCTGGCATGGTGTATGCAATGTACCCATCTATTGGAAAACTTATTCTCAGTGATAAGAGTGGTCCAAGTTACCTCACCTTGACTTTTAAACTATAGTACCATGGACATCATAGCAGTACCAGTGAGAATGTACTGAAGAAAAAAGATAAATGACCTCTCTGTCTGACAATGCATAGCAAAGGTATAGGCTTTGGAAGCAGATTTCCTGGGTTGGAACCCTGGCTCCACCATTCAGTAGCTGTCTGACCCAGTGTCAAGGAACTTGCACCTCAGTTTTCTCATCTGTAAATTGGGAACAACATGACAGTCTGGTAGATTACACTGTGTGATGCACTTAAAACACTGCCTGGTTCAAAGTAGGCATTTAGTACAAGCATGGCACCGTTGTTATTTTCATTTCCTCTATTCCATCATCCTTCCCCCTTTCTCCATCTTTATTCAAGATTAATGAAAATGTAGGCCATTTTCAGATAATTAGGCTTTTCCTCTCAGTCTCATACCAGTGCTAGGAACCCCAAGATGTTGCTAGGCATGTGGTCTTTCCAGCATCCCTTGGGACCTTGGTTAGCAAGTTCAGAGAATGTCAGAAAGGGTGGTGAGTTTCCTAAGCCAACTTCTCCATCCCATTCCTTTGTGAAGGAGCATTGTTGACACATCACTGGGGGCTTGGGATTTGCTTGGTGTTTGGAGAACGCATTCTGAGATGGATGCCACGTGGTCATGGTGGGTGGGTGGGGACAGCCAGCCCTTAAAAGGGAGGGGAGGCCTGTGGTTTTTCTCCTCCACCCCCTCACAAATGAGACTGTTTTCCACCATGGCCCGGTTTTATATTTTTAGCTTCCACTGAAATTTAATGTTTTGTTTTTGGTTTATTATGTATGCAAGTATCTTGCTGATAAATTACATGTGTAATTGTACCATCGTAACCACTGCTAGTCAGCGACAACATATAATTAAACTCACCCTTGTAGTCATTGAACTTTTCTGTCCCTGACAAGATCACTGACCACTCCAAGGAGGGCATACCTCCACGTATGAGCCATGCGAGTGCCTGAGAGGCCGGACCACCCCGGGGGCCCCCGTGCTTTCCTGCACATGTGCACAGGCCGACTTCCCCTGGATGGCCACACATGGGATGCAAGGGTTAGCTCATGAGGCCCAGGGGTGCTTCTCTCTTTATTTCTGTGTCTATGCCTGGATGATTATTGGCTCCAGAGTGGGTGCCTGGTAAATACTTTTGTGAGTGAATTGGAATTTTCTTCAGTCGCCTCTGAGCCCTCTTTTCTCATATGACCCCCAATGCCTATCCCGCTCATTTTTTAGGGGTGTTTGTTACGTTGCTCTTATGCCTCTATGCCAAGGCTACAGCCTGTGAGTCACATCCAGCACACTGCCTGTGTGTGTTGGGTTTTTTGTTTTACATTTAAAAATTTAAAATAATTGCGATAAAATACACATAATATAAAACTTACTATCTTGACCATTTTAAAGTTTAGAGTTCAGTGGCATTAAATAGTTACATCACTGTGCAACTGTCACCACCTCCCATCTCTAGAACGTTTTGAAACGGAAACTCTATACCCATTAAATAACTCCCCATTCTCCCTACCCATTCCAGGTCGTGGCATCCACTATGCACCTGTCTGTCTCTGTGAATTTGACTACTCTAGGTACTTTATATAATGGAACCATATAGTATTTAACATTTTATGACTGGCTTATTTTGTTTAGTCGAATGTCCTCAAGGTTCATCCATATTGTGGCCTGTGACAGAATTACCTTCCCTTTTAAAGCTGAAAAAGATTCTGCTATACAGTATGTATATACCACATTTTATTTTACTTTTTGTTCGCTTTTCTTTTATTTTGGGACAGGATCTTACTTTTGTTCTCCAGGCTGGAGTGCAGTGGCATGATCATAGCTCACTGCAGCCTTGAACTCCTGGGCTGAAGTGATTTTCCTGCCTCAGCCTTCTGAGTAACTGGGACTACACGTGCACACCACTACTAATTTAAAAATTTTTTTGTAGATATGGGATCTTTCTATGTTGCCCAGGCTGCACTTGAACTTCTGGGCTCGAATCATCTGCCAGCCTCAGCCTCCCAAAGTGCTGGGATTACAGGCATGAGTCACTGCACCCGGCCCCCTATGTTGTTTATCCACTCACCCATCAATAGACACTTGGGCTGCTTCCACCTCATCACTCTTATGAATAATACTGCTGTAAATGTGGGTTTATATGTTTCTTTTTTAAAAAATTTTACTTTAAGTTCTGGGATACATGTGTAGAATGTGCAGGTTTGTTACATAGGTACACATGTGCCATAGTAGTTTGCTGCACCCATCAACACATCATCTAGGTTTTAAGCCCTGCATGTATTAGGTATTTGTCCTAATGGTCTCCCTCCCTTTGCCCCCCACCCACCAACAGGCCCTGGTGTGTGATGTCCTGCTCCCTGTGTCCATGTGTTCTCATTGTTCAACTCCCACTTATGAGTGAGAACATGTGGTGTTTGGTTTTCTGTTCCTGTGTTGTTTGCTGAGAATGATGGTTTCCAGCTTCATCCATGTCCCTGCAAAGGACATGAACTCATCCTTTTTTATGGCTGCATAGTATTCCATGGTGTATATGCACCACATTTTCTTTATCCAGTCTATCATTGATGGGCATTTTGGTTGGTTCCAAGTCTTTACTTTGTAGATAGTGCTGCAAAAAATATATGTGTGCATGTGTCTTCATAGTAGAATGATTTATAATCCTTTGGGTATATATCCAGTAATGGGATTGCTGGGTTAAATGGTATTTCTGGTTTTAGATCCTTGAGGAATTACCACACTGTCTTCCACAATGGTTGAACTAATTTACACTCCTACCAACCATGTAAAAGCATTCCTATTTCTCCACAGCCTCGCCAGCATCTGTTGTTTCCTGACTTTTTAATGATCGCCATTCTAACTGGTATGAGATGGTATCTCTTCGTGGTTTCAATTTGCATTTCTCTAATGACCAGTGATGTTGAGCTTTTTTTCATATGTTTGTTGTCTGTATAAATGTCTTCTTTTGAGAAGTGTCTGTTCATATCCTTCACCCACTTTTTGATGGGTTTGTTTGTTTTTTTCTTGTAAATTTGTTTGGGCCTATATGTTTCTTCAAGACCCCACTCTTAATTCTTTTGGGTGGAATTGCGGGATCTATGGTAATTCCATGTTTAATTTTTTGTGGAACTGCCATACTGTTTTCCATAGTGGCTGCACCATTTGGCATTTCTGCCAGCAGCGTGCCAGGCCTCCACTTCTTCCACACCCTTGCCAGCACTTGTTTTTTCCATTTTTATGCTAGCAGCCATCTTCATGGGTGTGCAGTGGCTCTTAGTATGGTTCTGCCTGTTCTCATATGGCCTATGATCTAAGAGTGGCTTTTCCATTTTTATATGATTGAAAAAAATCAAAAGAAAAATAATATTTCGTGATACCGGGACATTGTATGAAATTTAAATCTCAGGGCCCATAATAAAGTTTTATTGGCATGCAGGCACTCCTATTTGTTTATATGTTGTCTGTGGCTGCATTGACACTACAAAGGCAGAGTTGGGTAGTTGAGACAGAGACTGTGTGGCCCGCAAAGCCTAAAATAGTTACCACCTGGCACTTTATGGGAAACCCTTGCCAATCCTGCCCTATGGTAAGTGTTATATGCTTTATCTGTTTAACCTCCTCTCTAATCCATTTTGCAGACACAGAAACTGAGGCTCAGCAAAGATAAGTAACTTGTACAAGTCACATGTTACCTAACCAGGACACATGTACCTGTCTGTGTGACTCCAAATCTTGCACTCCTCACTACCATATTAAATGAACAAAATCATTTGAAGATTGCTGTTTCTAGGGAACTGTTTTTTTTTTTTCTCTTTTTCTTCTTTTTTTTTTTGAGACAGGGTTTCACTGTTGCCCAGGCTTGAGTGCAGTGGTGTGATCACTGCAGCCTTGACTTGACTTCCTGGGCCCAAGCCATCCTCTTGTCTCAGCCTCCCAAGTAGCTGGGACTACAGGCATGCACCATCACACTACTTTGTTTGTATTTTTTCGTAGAGACACGTTTCCCAGGCTGATCTTGAACCACTGACCTCAAGCGATCCTCTCACCTTGGCCTCCCAAAGTGCTAGGGTTATAGGCATGAGCCACTGCTAGGCCTCTAGGGGACTTCTTTGGGTGTTTTTAGTAAGCCTGAGGTCAGGTCCTAGTTGAGAAAAAAAAAATTGTAATTATACAAAGATGTGATGTTGTCTTTGGGAGAGGAAGCCAATTGAGGGAGAGAATGAAGATGGAAGGAGATGTTAGGTGAGCTAAGCTTTCCTTTATTTCTTATGTTGAAATTCTAAGACCCACGCCTTATGTTGCATGGCAAGATGAGCTTTCAACTCTAAGAAGGAGATAGTTTTAGGATGCAGGCATGTCAACACGCACAGGATTTCCTCAGGATTAGAAGAAAAGCCAAACCAATCAATAACTTCTTCTTGCATTAAAACAGTGAATTATTTCCATAACCGAGAGGAAAGTAAGCCAGGGTCTACAAGGGAAGCTGTTGATTGATTCCTTCTCCTTCATTCTTTGGATCGCATGTTGTTTGGGGTGAATCGTAGTGTAGATACCTTTGGCCCACCCCAACACATTTTTCCCCAAATGTAAAGATCTGCTCTCCCATCTCCCAGAGGCTGTCTTGGGCACTCCTTTTGCCTCTCGGGCTCTGATGGTCAGTGGGTTCGTTGTTACTGATGAGGGAGTGGTTAGTTCTCTCTCTCTGCCTCCTCCCCTTCTCGCCACCCTCTCTGTCCACCAGGATGTGTGGACTTGGTACCAGGAACCTTCTGATATTTCTTGATACAGAGGACAAAGCGTGGATAGTTATTTGTTCTTTCTTCCACGGGAGAAAAGTCTTAATTGATTTTACATATTTCTGTGCATTATGGAAATCACCCATCAGTCCCAAGTACTTAGGGGATGTTGGGGGCTGCAGGAAATGGCTGGTCTTGCGTCTATCTCAGGCAAAGAGATTGTGGTTCTCCTTTTATGTTTGGGAATGCACGACATTCCCCCCGCCTGCCAGCCCCCAGTAACTACTGTATTTCAACAATAGGCTTCACGCGGCTGCAGTGTGAGGCACAACAGTGGTTTTCATGAACTTTTGGCTGTGGTTTAGGCCTGGCAGAGCTGGACTCTTACCCTTAGAGTTTTCTGGCTCGATTCATTTTGCACAAAGGAAAGTACGATAATCGGAGTTGCAGGATGATAATGTGATCGGCATGTTAGCACATTGCAAGAAAGACAGAAATGACTTTGGAGTTTGCATTTCATCCTTGAAAATGTGCAGCGCTGCCTGAGCCAAGGGGCTTGTACTTAGTAGGTGCTTGCTAAATACTGGAAGAAGGGGTGAGGGTGGCAGTTGCTTTGTGCCTGAGAAGAGGCAGGAGAAGTATGTGATAACCTATGCCCATACATTTTGGAAATAGGGATAGCTATTAGATTTTTTTTTTCCTGTTTAAAGATGAAGTTTGGGTCTTGACCTGGTGTTGGTCTCTGCCTGCCTGGTTGCCCAGCAGGTGGTGGTAACATGGCCACAAATTCATTTGACCTTGAGTTCCCTGACTCTTCTACTCCGACGGTCCCTGTCTTTCACTATCTCTTGCCAATGAGCAGCTAAGCATTTATTGAGGGTCCCTGTGCTCAGCTCTAGAGGGTGGGGTGTGGCCCCCAACACAGAGGAGCTTGCTGCCCAGAGGAGAGGGAGTTTTAGCTGGGGAGGTAGAGGCACGTGTATTTGCTGAGGTGGCCGTGAAGGGGTGCATGTGTTGAATTTTCCCTACCCCCAAGTCATTTTTATTTTCTTCCTGCAATACTGCAAGAAAATAATAAAGTTTTTCTAATGTGGATGTGTGTGTATTATTTCATGTCTGAAAACAGTTAATAGTACAAAATGATGCTCTTGAGTGAGCTGAACTCAACAGAATAATTTTTATTCCTCAACAGAATATAACTTGAGACAATATTGACAGTTAAAAAATGTAAGTATGGCATATGTGGGAATCATTCACCAAATTTCTGTTTCTCCTCTCTAGGCCCCAATATGTGTGTGTGTGTGTGTGTGTGTGTGTGTGTGTGTGTGTGTATTTAAACATGACTTCAATGTTTTTAGAAATGTGACATCCTAAATATGATCAGGTCTCCAGTAACAAGACAGTGGGTGGCCAATGCCCCCATGAGTGGCAGACTCCCTAGAGAAGGTTTTGGAAGTTTGCGGAATTCTTACAAGATACACCTGCCCTGACCCTCCAAACTCAACTCCTGCTTCCTTAGGTGGGGCGCACTCCTCCCTCTACTCCTACAGGGACTGAAGGCTGAGAGAAGCTTGTGAGGGAGGTTGAGGCAGGCATGCATAGATGGAGGCTGCATAGGTGTGGGAAGGAGTGCTGCTCTTGGAGTGAGGAGGCTGGTTCTGATGTCTATCTGCAGTCCTCAGCCTGGGTGACATTGGAGAGCCTCAGGCCATTGCAGCTGCAGGCTGCTACCTGAAGGGTGGGTGTCTAAGCTTCTTTGTAGGTCTTAAACAGAATGACCTAGACCAGGGTGTCAGGAATGTACACACAGAGCCCTGGGGGTCTTGGTAGCATGCAGATTCTGATTCAGCACATCTAGGGGAATGAGATTCTGCATACTTAACAGGCTCCCAAGAGATGCTGATGCTGCTGGTCCTTGGACCACACTTTGAGTAGCAAGAGACTAGAGGGATAATTCTCAAACTTGGCTATCAATTATAACAACACAGGGAGCTTTTAAGACCCGCCAATGTCTAGGTCTGCTCCCAGGCCAATCAAATCAGGACTTGCCCTACAGGAAACAGTGTGATTGGAGGCGGGGGTGGGGAGGTTGTCTGCTGGCTTGTAGCCAAGGTATGAACGGCTGGGGTAGTGTCGTGGATCTCCAACTTGGGCAGGTGTCAGAATTGCGTGGAGGGCTTTGAAAAAACAACATTGGGCCCCAACCCACATTTTCAGATTCAGAAGGTCTTGGGTATCGTCCAAGAATTTGAATTTCTAACAAATTTCCAGGCAATGCTGTTTCTGCGGCCCCAGGGACTCTGCTTTGAGAACCACTGGTCTAATGTAATCCCCTCCCAGTGGATATTCATGAAGCAGAAACCTCCAGGGAGTGGGAGCTGGGGGCTCCAGGACACGCAGAGCCCTGCCTCTGGGGTCATTCCGTGCACATCTGTTTTACACAGTGAGCAGCCTTGGAAAACTTTCACTTGAAAAAAATGTGGGTAGAAAAAAATGTTTGAAAACCTCTGAAGCAAAGGCAAGACTTTTAATCATGGGAATGGTGAATGTTCATTCTTTAATTGAGGGGCAAAGCAGGCAGGATCCTTGGTCCCTCTTGTTGCCAGATGTGGCCGTGTTTGCTCCTAGTACTGCCCTGTCCTGCAGGAGGTGTTTTCCATGCTGAACTCCTGGCTCCCTCTTGCATATAAGAGTTCACACCTGTCCAGAGGCCTCCATGGGGCCCAGACCAGTGTCGGGCAGGGCAGGTTAGCTTGCGGGGAAATCCAATGTGTGCAGCTGCTAGCACCTAATGACTGTGTACTGGGCTTCAAGCACCGTGCTCATTTATATGCATGATCTTATTTAATTCTGTAGTGACCTCATATAATAAGTACTGTCATTATCCCATTTCAGAGATGAGTATTTGATGCTACCTTCCAGACTGACAGTGTCCAGGAAAGCAGCTGCAGTGGAGGTGGAAGGGCAGTAGGATTCCCTGATTGGTAAGGGCAGTGGAATGTCATGGGGAAGACTTTGTCCTTGTTGGTGTCTTGGGAAGAGAGCAGAACAGTGCCCTGTCAGCCCTGCAGGTCCCAGAACCCACTACCTGGGCCAGGTGACAGAACTCAGAGCCTTTGGCTGCTTCAGGAGATGTCACCATGGCTGTCTCTTCTTGGTCAAAGTTCCAGTTGGCCAAGACATCCTGGGGAAAATGGGCAGGGAGGTTCCTCCTGGGTGAAACCCTTTTGTATGGCTCTTGACAGTGCAGAGGGGTCTGGGAGGAGATTCTGTGAACTAGCCGGGGTGAAGGGTGGGTGGATCTCTCCAGGGCTCAGGTCCTGTTTCTGTGGCTGCCATCTCTAACCATGGAAGGCTGGCTTGGACAGCTCTCAGCTTGCTCTCTACCCCCAGGGAGCCTAAAATGTGTCCAAAGCTGCAGGTTTTTGCTGAGACATCATGCAAAAGCTGGTTCTTCTCCCTGGTCACCTAATGTGCTTGGGGCAGAGGCTGCGAGCCTTCTGGTTGGAGGAAGGGAGGCACAGATGGGTGTGTGGTCTTCCAAGCAGCATCTAGGTCCTTCTGGTGGCCAGGGGATGGCAGCATCCTTTCGCCCTCATGGGAGCCACCCTCTGTCACCTGTGTATTTCCCTGGGTTCCCTTCATGGGACTTGGGCCTCGCCTCCGTATTTACAGCTGATGTTGGCAGTGGAGAGGGGAAGGTGAGAGTAAAACTTCCAGAAGAAAAGCTTCCTATGAGGTGTTTGAGATGCTCCACGATCAGGCACGAGGCCCCAGCCAGGGAAGACCCTTCCAGTGGCCAGAACGGTGCTGCTTCCCCTGTACCTAAAACATCTCCCTCCTCCTCCAAGAGATTTTCAAAAGAGTCTTGAAGCTCAGTCCGACTGCAGCCCAAGCATCTGCCCTTCACTTCCATCTTCAACTTAAATGAGATGCATTTAAGGAAAGGCTGGCCTGGAAACTACTGTGATCAGTACCAGGCACCTTTTTCCTGAAGTCCTTTTACATCTAAAAAAGGTTCATATGGTTCATCACCATATAATCCCTTCGTATGCCTGGAAATGGTACGTGGGGGAAAGTTTACATCCAGTTTAACAGAATTTCTACTTAAGTGCTTTTTTTAATGGCCCACGTTTGATCTTAAGCCACTTCTTTTTGAACCCTTGAAGGTTTTATTACTGAACTTTAAAAAGAACATTCAATTCAGAGGGCTGGCATGTTCTTGAATGGAGCTGCATTTTGAAAGAAGGGAGATGAATTTCTTTCCCCAGCAGAGACACAGGTGTCACCTATCAAGGGTGGTCAGAACTCTATTTTTTCCTCAGTGTAGCACCAGGATGTAGTGACTTTCTCTCTTTGAAGGACTAGGCATGCAGATATTATTGTTAGGATTTGTAGAAATGATGGCCGCTCGAGTAAACGAGTGGCCAGGAGCTGGGGGTGGAAATTCTCCCACAGGTAGCCCTTTCTCAAGACTAAATGAACATCCCAGGCAGTGAACCTGCCTGTATTGTTATGCATGTGTATAGCATGGGAGCTTGGGCGCCAGGCAGCAGGAGCCCCCTGGATTTGCACCGTGCCCTTTATGAGTTAAATTTTCCCCACAAACTTCATGCCTTTTTTTTTTTTTTCTCAAGACGGAGTCCCCCCCCCCTCTGTCGCCCAGGCTGGAGTGCAGTGGTGCGATCTTGGCTCACTGCAGTCTCTGCCTCCCAGGTTCAAAGGATTCTCCTGCCTCAGCCTCCCGAGTAGCTGAAATTATAGGCGCGTGCCACCATGCCCGGTAATTTTTGCATTTTTGGTAGAGATGGGGTTTCATCATATTGGTCAGGCTGGTCTCGAACTCCTGGCCTTGTGATCAGCCCGTCTTGGCCTCCCAAAGTTCTGGGGTTACAGGTGTGAGCCACCTCGCCTGGCCTCATGCCCTTCTTTAAGGAATCCCACCGGGTCCTCTACAGTACCCTCTTCCCTTTAGAATAGCGGGCTAATTCCAGGTGCCCATTAGAAATTCAAGATGTATCACCACATACTCTGACTCAAGACCCTTGGTTGCAACTGGACCATAGGAGGTATGCCCAGGATGTCCCCCTGTGGCTCACACCCCATCACCAGCTGTGCAGAGGCACCATACCCTGTCTTTGCTTTGCCATACAGTGCAGAGGATGTGCAACCAAGAACAGGTCTCTTGATGACCATTTGCGTGGGAGTTTCCTAATGCTGGTAGCGTTGGGGTCAGAATCTTTACAGCATCCTGGGCTGTTGAAAGATCTTTGTCAACTGCAGAAGAACGGTGTGCTGACTCCTTCATCCTGTCTCACACCAAAGAAACTTTTTTGGTATCTAGGAGACTTGAGACCAAGGAATACATTATAGCGATGGTTTCAGGATTGCTGGGAGAATCTGTTTCAGGTGTAGGTTCCCATTCCCCATATCTGCAGGTATGCCAGTCTGGGAAGGAACCTGGGAATCTTCGTTTCTCCCAGTCTCCTTTGGCAATGCCAGTGGGCCTGGAATTATAGTAACACTAAACCTAAATTTTAGTGGGTGGACCTCAGAAGGCTGGATTCTGGAAGCTTCTTACTTACTTCTCAGCTGCAAGACTTTGGGTCAAACATTTTTGAGCTCTGTTTTCTTACCCGTAAGAGAAATTGGCCCTATATGACTTCTAAGAGTCCCTCCAATTCTGAAGTTGTAGCACATTAAAAATAATCTGCATTTTAGGCCTGGCAGGTCACATTCCCTGCCAAAGGGGGGGCCTGGGAAAGAAAAAGACTCTACAATGTGAAAGTGTGGGCTTCGTGGTATGAGGCCAAGTTTATAAAGGTAGCCTCTGTGAAAGAATCATTTGTATTTATTGAAATCACTGATTTTAATCACCTTGGATGCTCCCTTGATAAAAATTATAATCCTCTGTAAATTATGAATACCTTGAAATTCACAAATTCTATCACTTTTGTGATTGGCAACATTAAATGGCAACAGCTCATTTAAATAAGCAACATCTGGACATTATTATTTTTAGGGATTTTTCATCTGTTGATTTAGAAATCTGGGGCCTTTATGAATCTTGCATGAATATTCTTTTATATTCACATCTACCATCAAGACACAAAGGGATAGCCAAAAATATTGTCCAGTGACTCTTTGATGCAATGAATGTGTTTTTTAAACAACAAATCCATTGTGAATGAGAGAAGATATAAAATAGGCTGCCTGTGAGGGTAGGTGGTGGGGGTAGCTTGATCCTTCAAAAGCCAGAAGAGTCCAGCAATTCAAAGCCACAGTGGGGAGAAGGTTTAGATTTTATATATAATAATATAAAATTTTAAGATCACAATATGATTTTGGACTGATGATATTGGAATATGGCATTCACTAGTTCTCAGAATAATCCAATTTAGAACAATGCATTCTGAGCAGGTTTGGTAAAAATAGAAGATCTATCATCCCATGGTATAAGATAATGCATTAATTTTTATGAGTGAGTTATGAAGATGTACAACTCGGTTAAGAGTTAGGATAAACATAATATTCCTTAATTAATCCATTATGCCATGGTACACATGTGCCATTTTTATTACCTTAAAAATGAAATATGTCAAAAAAGGAAATTGCTGCTTTTTTATATCAAAAAAGCCTTTTTTGAAAAATCATAAAATGCCTAATCTAATTCACCATATAATACTAATGAGCTTAACAAGCCATCTCGATGCACAGTTTAGGATAAAAGGTCATCAGTTTCTGGCAGTCAAATTCCACTACTTTTCAGACGAGGCAAAACCTTTCGGCACCAAATATTGGAAATGGCATTTGTGATTAAGCGTTATTAATAGCTATTTGTTATGAGCGTGGGAGAGTTTTAGAAATTCATATTATACCCTCCTCAAGTTTTCTAAATCTTACCATTGCAGATGCCAAGAGCAGGCATTTCCCCCCGTCCCACCCCGGTGAATCTGATTAACCTGTTGTCCATCCCAATTCTGGGTGGTGTTGAACAGGAATCTTACATTCACACAGCGCTTTCCGTTTCATGCCACATTTAATTTCCCCAAATCTCTCTGAATCCCCTACATTTATTTCCTGGGGTCTCTTTGCTCTCCAGGAGCCTTCCTGTCCTCTGTATTTGCCACTGTCATCTGCCTGGTGTTTCTTTTGTCTTGTCACAGAACCGGCCCTGTGGAGGTACAGACTGGGCACCTTCGGCCGCAGTGCATGCAGTGGCTGCAGCCAGCCTCGTTATGGAAAAGAATTGCCCAGTGGGTTGAGGGAATGGGCAACAGCACACTAGAATCATGAGGCTGAAAGGAATATTGCCGACTGGAGGTCATTTTTCCCAACTGAGGGGCAATAGTTTGCCACTATAAACTGCACATTGCAGTCAGTATATGTTTTATTAAACCATTTAAGGAACTTGGGAGCCATTTCATTTAAACTTCCTGCGTGAAGGAACTCAGGGCAGAGCCCAGAGCAGCTCACAAAAGAGGCCTGGAGTAATTTGCCGAAGAAATACCCCAGGTACCCGGCAGGATGATCGCAACGGGGGGAGCCTGGCGAGGGCTGGACCCAGCGCTTATAGTACTCTTCGACGCCTGAGTGCACAAGTGTGTGTGTGTCTGGAGGTTCGAGTCCTAGCTCTGCCGCTAACTAGCTCCATGACCTTGGTCAAATCTCTTAGCTTCCCCTGGACTATTTCTGCTGCTGCAATAGGAGGGGATGGGGTTTGATAGGAGAGGCTGGGTCCTTTCCAGCTCAGTGATTCCATAAAATGCTGGATCATCAGGGGGTTGCCCCTGGAACTGTGGTTCTGGGACGCCCCATCAGGCCCCTGATCATCACAACGGAAAGTCAGCTTTTGTGTCTGCCCTGCCTGGGAAGTGATTCTGGCTGTGGACGTTTTCATAGGCTCTGGGGACTGAGGCTCCCCTGATCCAGTGGTGACGTGCGGGTTCTCAGCATAGAGCAGGGAAACCGGCGACAACTTACTTCTCATATTAAACAGAAATAACCTCTTCACATGATAATTTTATGTCTGAGGAAATAGGAAGCTGAGGTGCGTGCACTGTGCCTCTGAGCCTCAGTTATTCTGTCTGCAAAATGGGGTAGCGGCGATGCGGACGCTGTTGCTTTAGCTGTAAAGGGCGACAGAAGGGATGCCCTGGGTCCCTTCTGTTATCACTCTGGGTAACTTTGTGATTACAATTTAGCTTTAACAACTCTTGCGAATTGCATGACTGCACATTCCGTGTTCACAGTTTGTGCCTAGGAAGAAAGGAAGGATGAGGTGAGATGTGCTTTATCTTTAAGAGTAATGGACAGAGTGCAATCTGCATTGTAGCTTTCTCAGCCCTAACTGGTGGTCCTTAGTAGGTGGCTTTAATTCTACAAAGTTATATAACCGAATCTTTTGTCTAATTGGTAACTATATTTAGGAGGTAGAGAAATATGTGAGCTATTCGTTTCGATTAAATTTTTTATTATGCACTCTGCATTTGGATTGACAACTATTAATATTAAAGAGCTTGGCCAAATTGAAATTTGTATTGCTGGAGAGACTTAAATATAATGTATGATGCTGAAAAAAAAAAAGCCCAGGGAAAAGGGGAATTACCAGGCT
Organism: Homo sapiens; assembly: GCF_000001405.40. Taxonomy (NCBI): domain Eukaryota; kingdom Metazoa; phylum Chordata; class Mammalia; order Primates; family Hominidae; genus Homo; species Homo sapiens. The sequence continues at coordinate 30,301,874 of NC_000019.10, forward strand.
GGGTGCAGAGAGGTCCCTGCCAGGTGCCGATGTGGGCTAGGTAGAATCTGCCCCACCTCTGCACACTGAGGAGGGAGGTGTGTAGAGGCCTCTGCAAAGCCAGTGTCAAGGTCTCAAGGATTGAGATACTTTCATAGAGATGATGCTAAATAAAGATGTAGAGCACGTTTTAGCAACGTATACAAATAATTTTTTATAATCACTGTTTGTATATAATATTTTTTCCCAGCACTATTAAGAAGGTTTGGGGGTAAGGCAGAGAAAGTCGTTCTAAAATAGGATGCATGGAGCACTGGTGCAATGATGTGGAAAAGGGAGGACAGCTTCCTCGGAAATCCTAACGCAGATTGTGTTGCTCTGCTGCAAGTCCTCGGGAGATGGGAGGCTCTGTCCGTCCTGCGGCAGGGAGGGCTCAAGGCCACAGCCAGGTGGGGAACGTGCTGGGAGCAGATTCCTGGGCATCCTGGGCCTGCTGTGGGCAGGCCCTGGGACTCACAGCCATGGTTCTGCGTCTTTGGGGCTGACTCCTTTCTAACTCCTAGCAATGCCTGTGGCTTTGCACAGTGACCTGGGTTGTCACATGCAGAATCCTATAGGATTTGCACGAAGACCCGGGTGGTCCTCAGACAGGGGAAGTCAGGTGTCTGGGTCCATGCGGCCACTGAACAGCAGACACAGGACAAGAACTCAGTTCTAGAATGCAGTCTGTGGGGCACTCTCAAGAGAAAGTGTCCTCTTTGGGAGTCTACAATGCTACAGGGCCAAGGGTGAGCCCACGAGCCTCTGGCGTCTGTGCCCTGTTAGCTGGTCTCACGGACTCCAGACACCTCCACCTTCCACGCATTTTCTCTTGTTGGGCCCTCTATATAGAATGTCAGCCCCATCCCAATCCTCCAGATAAACCCCTCAACTGCCCCCAGGGCCTGCAAGCAGAGAGCAATCAGTATGTCCTGAATGGGTGCAGCAGACGCAGTGCACCAGATTTGACTGGCAAGGGAGGGGAAGACGACCCTTTCAGACTGGTGGTGGCCTTACGTCCTTCATCCCTTTTTACCCCCTGCTGAACTATAAACTCTCTGGTGGCAGGGACATTTTTCTTGTTTTTACATAATTTTTCCTGACATTGGGAGCTAGAATATCAATGTAAGAAAACCTTCATAGACAGGGGTGCTCAAAGCATTGGTGGTTCTGGCTCAATGGATTTTAGGCACACACGTTTTCATCTCCATTTGGCATTTTGAAGCTCCCAGGAGCTCCTAGATGGGTGATGGGTTTCTGAGGCTCGGCTGGTGTCCAGGGTCTCCTGGGATGGGGACAGAGCACACCACCTTGTGTCTCCACTGCTATACACCTGCTCCATCTCCCAGAGATGACCCCAGCTTCTGGAGGGCAGGCGCCTTCCTTGTCACCCCACCAGTTAGCTCGGTGGCTGGTGCATCTGTGGCCATGGCAGGCTCTATGTGATGGCGAGAGAGGCAGGGCAAGAGAGGCAGTGCGGGAGGTGCAGGGCAGGGGCCTTGGCGCTGCCTCCAGGTTTCTGTGATCAGCTAGGTTCCTAGCTTCTCTGGAGAGCAGACAGCCTGGGGGGTTGTTTCCTGAAAGGGAATCAGGTTCCCTGTTTGCTTTTTGACACTTTTTTTTTTTTTTGAGATGGAGTCTTGCTCTGTTGCCCAGGCTGGAGTGCAGTGGTGCAATCTCTGCTCACTGCAACCTCCGCCTCCCAGGTTCAAGGGATTCTCGTGCCTCAGCCTCCCGAGCAGCTGGGATTACAGGTGCCGGCCACCACGCCCGGCTAATTTTTATATTTTTAGTAGAGACAAAGTTTCACCATGTCGGCCGGGCTGGTCTCTAAGTCCTGATCCACTTGCCTCGGCCTCCCAAAGTGCTGGGATTACAGGCATGAGCCACCATGCCCAGCCGACACTTTTTTATTAGGCAGGGATAGCAGATACTATCGGTGCCCCTTGGCAGCCACTCACCACTCAGGGTGAGGCTTCCTCACACCAGCATCCACGACTCTGCCTGGGTGTGTCCTTCGTCACTGGTGTGTGTCTAGTCTGTCATGGGGGCAAGCACACGTGCCAGGGAGTTAACACCTCTGGAGCACCCCTCAGTCGATGGGGATGGGGACTGGTGGGTAGGCAGCGGTCTCCTCTCTCCCTGGATGGAGCAGCGTGGGGGAGTCCCGCTCAGGGTCTTAAGAGTTCCCGGTTGGACTCAGGCCTGGTGCCCTCAGTGCAGTGCACTTTTTAGCCTGCTGTGCACAGGCCTCCTTTCTTTCCCCACCTCCCCACTATCCCCTGGCATTTTCTGGGACTACCTCCTGCACAAACTTTCGCACAAACTTCCTGCACAAACCGCCCGCATTTGCATCTTCATCTCAGGCCTTCCTCTGAGAAAACGGCGCAGACGAAGGCCAGTTCAATGGAGCTCGAACCATTGGAGCCGGGCTCACACACAATCTGATGGATCCTTCTTAAGGCCAGGTCCCTTAGGCTTTCTCATTTGAGCCTTCCAGAAGCCTTTGATGGGAGGGAGCTGAAGTTGTTATCCCATTCTCCTGCAAGGAAAGCTGAGGTCCAGAGACTTTGCAGAGCTAGAATCCAACTTCCTGCCCAGCTCCTGCCCTCCTAACTTCACTGATTCAACAAGGGGGAGCCTGGGCCTGGACCTCTGCGGGGGCCAACCACTGCCTGTCCCCAGCTAAATGGGAGGGAGTTAGTGAGTTATGTGACCCAGAGCCGGCTGCTCTGGGGGCAGTTGGGGCCAGCAGGTGAGGTGACCTGGTAGGGTCCCTGAGCAGTGCTTTGCTCCTATTAAGTCCAGGAGGAAAGCGGTGAGGGGAGAGGGCTGTGGCTATGTGCTAGAAAGGATGAAAGCCTGGGGCTCACAGAACTGCCCCACGTGGACCACTCAGCCTGCAGGCTCTTAGCCGCTGCAGGCACCATCTGGGGGAAATGATGGACGGTGGACCAGCCCAAGTTCTCATGATTGGGCTGGAGAGAAGTTCTAGGGGCAAAGCATATTTGCATCTTCCTGACAGTTTGCAAAGATGCCTCTGTCAGAGGAGTGCCTGTTCTTAGGAGGAGACTGCTTGGGGCAGACATCTCTTTTCCCAGCTCATTTGCTCCTCTGAAGTTCTGCAGAATTAAGAGCCCAAGGGAGTAGCCCAGAGAGGAGTAGGAGGGCTGAAGCTTGGAAGGCAGGAGGCTGAGGGTTTTGCTTTCCATTAGTTCCAGGGCCTGAGGCTGCATTTTCTCTTGTCTGGGCCTTGGTTTTCCCAAATGGACTGGACAGTGTGAGTTCCCCACTGTAGTTGAGTAGTTGAGGAAGCTCATATAGAGTTTGGGCTAGGGGATCACCTGCCAGGAGTGAGCTTGTGCAGGGGCAAGAGTGGGTGCAAGAGAGACCGTGGGAAGGGAGGGGAGCTAGTGTCCTCGCTTGACCCTCAACCCATTCCTGACTGGCTCAGTTTCCCCAATTGTACAAAACAAGGAAGGAAAATGCACACTTCACTGTGTATGGGGAGGGGTGGAAAGTATTCTGTTAATTGAGTCAAGTGCTTGGCAAATGGAGGTGTGATCTGAGCGGTGAGCAGCTGGGTATTTAATGTTCTTAGGAGAATCAGCTCAGGCTGCTCTGCAGTCCTGGCTTTAAGCCCCTGAGATAGCCCTGAGCCTCAGCCCCCTTCATCACTGAGAAGCTGCAGGGGTGGTTGTTTCAGCTTTGCCCTGGCACCAACATTGGAGGCTGAGAGTGTTTCTTGGGCCACAGTCTCTTGCCAAGGTTGGGTTCAGAGGGTGACCCCAGATCTGGGTTTGGGGTTTGGGGTTTGGGAGCCCACTGTTCAACACCTGAAGGACTCTTCTAGGCAGAATTGGGTGGGGGACCAAGGCAGGGATTGGGAGCCATCTGCCCTGGCCCCTGGTAGGCACTGGCTGGGCTTCGGCAGGAGGGGCCAGCGTGGGTGAGGAAAGGACTGTGCCATCAGGCGCCCTGTCCTCCCTCGGTCCACCCGCAGTGTAGAGCCTGGGCCAGGCATGGAGTGGATCCTCCCGACGTATTTAGTGATTTGATCTGACAGAGGGTCACATCGGTTTTTTTCCCCCCTCCAAATTTTAATATCAGATTCATTTATTATGCTGACTGCAACTGACAAATGTTCACATTATTCACCCATTTATTCATTTGCTCATGAAATCTGTGTTGAGTAATTGTTTTGCCTTATTGGCAGTTTTAATTCTACACTCCTTTTTTTTTCAAAAGGTCAGTGGCTTGCTAGCTGACCAGGCCAGTGTGTGCATTCCCTGGAGAGAATTTTTTTTTTTTTTTTTTTGTAAAGAGATGCTTGTTTACACTGGTCAGACTTCAGCTTTGAGTTTCTCTCTTCTTTTGTTGCCTTGGATCAATACCTTGGAATTCCCAGGACTCAGTAAGGCTCTTGTCTTATCTCTCTGTCACCCTATTTCCTGGCTGAATATCTGAGCCATCTCACCCCACAGTCAGATTATTCTCTTTTCTCTGCTTATTCATGTCAAGCTAAGATCTACAGACACACCAATATCAAAATGTATGTGTATGTCTTGGGTTTGTAACACACTTACCTCTAACACGTTGATAGAGCTAATGAAAGCTGTCAAGTTTGAAATGTCTCTGGATTTGCTTTTGGCTTTTGCCTGAAAGTACATGAGATTCAAGGGGAATATTTCACCTGCGACTTTGATTTGGAAAATTGAAAAGTTGGTTATAAGTTTGTTTGAGAAAGAAGGCGAAAATGTTCTGGAAAATATAGTTCCAGTAAAGTTACTTCTGAGCTGAAACATTCAAAATGCAGAGATCTATAGTCTGGTATGTTATTTTATGGTAACTTTCTGTATGCAGCTGTGTTTGCTGTGAAAACTCACATTTCTGTATGGAACACTGAATGAAATATGAATGTGCTTTTTACAATTTAGTACTTTTAATAAAAGATTTGTGAGCAAAAAGCTTAAGTGTAAGAGCCACAAAACATATAGATAAAAATATAGCCATAATCACACATCAAACCCTAGAAAATTCAGTATGTAAAGAACATCAGTAATTGAGAGAAGTTGAGGGAACCGACAGAAAAAATTATATTTTTATATATATATATCTCTCCAGAATTCTAAAGGCATGAATCCTTTTAGCTGGGATCAGGGCTTCTGAGTTCTCTGGAGTGGGTGTTTTATTACAGTGGATGCTTTACTTAGAAGGATGTAATTTATTATCTCGAATTCGCATGGCAACATGAATTTGGATTTGGGTTTCTGGGAGAAGTTTACAATTAGTCCCCTCACATATATTTATAACTTTGAAAAAACACTTGATGTTAAAATAACTTAAATACCTCCCCCCCCTTTTTTGATTGATATGTGAAATATTGCCTTTTTTAAAAAGAAATGAAAAACTAGTCACTGCTAAATGAGGCGTGGCCACTGTGTTCAGGGGGAACGGTGATTAGGTGGGCACTGTTCCCAGGGCCAGAGGACGTGCAAAAAAAAAAAAAAATCTGTTCTGCACCTGCTTTGGCTTTACATGAGGGATGCTTTTAATTTTTCTAGCTTTTCATTGTTTCCTCATTGGAAACTCCTCTCTTCTAAGGAGAGCTCTAACAGAGGGTATGAGGAAGATGTGCCTTTTTTTTCCTCTGTTCCTGGTCTGCCACATTCACCCAAGAGTCACCCTAACCGTTCATTCTGCTGAGAGCCCCTTCTCCTGATACGTCCCTCCTGCTTCATAACATTCTCAGTGGGCTGTGATTGCTACCGTTTTTCTTTTTCTATTAAAATACAGTCCGAACTTGATTATGTGTTTCAGTATTTCTCAGCCTGACCCACAAGTAAAACCGGCGACAATGATTTAGTTATTGGCTCGTGTTTATTGCCAATGCAATAAGGTTGTGGTGCCTGACATTTTCTTCTCACTGTGTTGAAGCTTTTAGCGAGTTGCTCTTCTTACCCAGAAAGCAGCGTAACTTGGCCTCTCTTTGCAGATGGGTTACACATTCCTTTAACACTGGCATGCTCCTCTAACCTTCCTGGGTGGCTTTCGATGACTTAAACACAGTAATTGGCATGGAGGTCTGAAGCTTTATTTTATGATATTAAATCATTCTTTTCTGGAACAGAAATCTGCAAAGTATACCATTCATTATGCTAAGGCCTGTATTAACAAGGGCTCTGGCTGATGGCTGGTGACATCTTGGAGAACTTATGTAGCACATCTCAAGGGAGGTGTCAGCCCTCACCTGTGGAGGTGAGCATTAGAACCAAGAGCAGAATCCAGGATTCCATCTGCTGTGTTTCAGGGACAGAAGTGTATGGTTTGTCATTGTGAGCTTGGTGCATAAAGGGTAACATTACCCTAAAAATACTCACAATGTGGACTGAGATGAACTTGATTGCTGTGGCATTATTTTAGGGGGACTTGGCGCTTTCTCCATGTAATCTTGTGAACATTTTTTTTTTCATGTGAACCATGATTTTCTTGAAACAAAGAGGATTATCAGTCATAAGTTCTGAAGACTGAAATGGGGTGGGAGAAAGGTTTAGAAGGAGAAGATTTTTTAAAGGACTTGCAAAGCTGGCACTCAACTCTAGCTGGAGAGAAATTCTTGAGTTGGGCGCCATCTTGGTTTTGTTGCTCCAGGGCAGTGAGGGAGGGGATGGGAGATTTTCAGGTCCTCAGAGTCCTCATGTGTTCCATAAAAATGGGTTCCTGTAGCCCATAGACAGCTACTAGAGGGAGTTAAGGCCTGCTAGGAAAGCCAGTGAGAGTTCTCTAAGGCTCCAAGTTCTAAGGGTTGCTCCTCTCCAGACAGCTTGGGAACTGCAAGCCACTGGAAGTCACTCTGTGGTCGCACAGAGCTCTGCTTCGAGTCCAGCAGTCTGTGTTTTGTGCGGTCTCACTCTAGGCTATGTTCCCAAGTGGAGCACCATGATTTCCTGTGAAGGGTCCATGAGATAGATCTTTGGTGATGAGGCCAGCTTGGAGAAAATGGCGCTTGAGAATTTCTTATGATGCTATTCAATGACAGTGTGATTCGTGGCGTCCCCCCAGCCCTGTCCCCTGCCCAACTTAACCACACTTGGCAAGATCTCTGAGGAGTCCTGAGAAGAAGAGTCCTCAGGCAACAGCAAGACTTTCCCACCCTGGTCTAGGAAAAAAGTTCTGGAAAAGACAAGAAGTCCATCAGACACAAAAGAAGACATGTAAGGGGAATCAAAACAAACAAAAAAGCTATGAAAATGCAGAGACTCAAGAGGTCGCCAAGCGAATGAAATGACTTAAGGAGTGATATGTTTGCTTCATCTTTCTGGTTGCTCTCTGAATGGTCTCTGATAACACATTTTAGCTGTAGAAATGGGGAAAGGGGGCAAAGACAAAGTTCCGGGAAGGTTGCAAGAGATAACTGGTTATCTAACTGGTATCCCGGGGGCCAGTGTGGACTCGCTTCTATGTCTAAAAATGATTTTGTTAGTATGTAGGTCACATTACTGTGCTGTCTGGTTATTGGACGTTGCCTCAGATAACTGTTTGTGGAGTATTAAATGGTTCTGCTGCCTCAGCACACTTTTTCACTGGTATTTTTCACACAGTTGTGCGGCTGAAAAGGCGCACTGCTGCAGCAAAAATCAATTTATCTTTCCCTCTGCTACTTGTGTGCTGTGAGTTCTTGTAGTGTTTTACCATTTGATTAATTGATATTCTTTGTGTCGGACATCATTTGTAACACTGCTGTCCAACTTTGGGTGTCTTAAAAACTTTCGTAAGAACACATTATTTATGTGAGACCTCCTCATGACAAAGTACAATAGTGAGATGCAGAAAGAAAAATTAGATCGAAATGCTCTTGGCTTATAAGTTTATTAAGGGTGGAACAATGTTTCCATTCACGTCTCCCTCCTCCCTTCTGCATCCCTGTCGCAGGGTGACTTCGACGGCTTTGCTCGAAAAGTTTGGTGATGAAAGTTTTTCCTTCCTTGGCTTTTTCTGGGTGGTGGTCTTTTGGGATTAGAGGGGCTTCTGATTGCCTTTCAGATGAGAAAAGTGGGTGGGGAGGGGCAGGGACAAGTGGGAAGGGTAGGCGTGGCGTGGAATGAATGCAGAGGCTGCCCCATCAGAGTCCTGGGGTTCGAGAGCTGGGAGCAGGAGAGAGCTCCTTCTCCATAGGTCTCTCCCAGGGCCTTGCTAGATGGTTTTAGTATAACGTGTTTGCATGCATTTCACATGGTGCTGGTCTTTCCGTGGGTATTATTAATATCTATTTTTGGAGCAAAGACTGTGTCAAATGAAGGTACGCCAGCCCCGCGTTATAAAAACAGAACAATACTGTTGCTTCCCCGTTTCATTATAAAGTTTCTTTGACCCTGTGGTTTATTTTCAAACATTCAAGTTATTTGTTCTGGTGTATTCTTAAACAGGGGTTGTTTTTCTCCCTTTCAGAAAATGAGCACAGATGGTGATGGATTCTTCAAGTGCTGACATCCCTGCTTGAGAAAATGTTCCCACCTTCTTTGTGCCGAACAAGTCAGGCAAACTAACATGATGATGCGATCATCGGTTTCATGCAGACATGCAGAATTGATTGACAGGGGAAAATTTAACATAAACCACACATTCTTTCAGTGCCTTCAATTTCTTAATGATGTTTATTTGTTGGATATTAGCAGCGGCAGGAATTTCATTTAAGGCGAAAAGTGGGGAGAAAGGAGAAGACGGAGCAAGGGGAGAGAACTTGTTCCAGGCAAGCAGGTTTAAGAGGAAATTTACTGCTCTGGTAGAATCTCCATCAAAACAATTTGTAACCGCTCCTCGGAGCCAGCTTGGAGCTGAGGCTGTCAGCGGCTAACCAGCCATTCTCAGACCATTGCTTCTGTTTGCGTGACTAAATACAGACAATTAACGCCGAGCACTTTCTTCTCTATGAACTCATTGTTATCCAGGGTTCAAGTGCTCGGATAATGGGCCACAGGGACCATGGGCTGTGGCGGAGGGCTACTTTGTAAAACCCATTCCTCATTATCTGATGTGAGCCCTCCTGGGCGACTCAGGGCCCCGGCTCCCTTGCCCGTGGGTTTTTGTAAGGTTGGTTCAGGAGATCCATCGTTCCCTGATGAGCCTGGCCTGACGCTTGGATCCTGAGGGAGCCCTTGGTCCCTAGGGCCTGGAGGTGACAGGCGTGGGGACCTTGTACAGGGCATGGAGAGTGACCACTGGCGCTGCTCATGCCTCCAGTGACTGCCTGCCTCTAGAGGGGCCTCTCTGTGCTTCCTGGGGCTGTGTCTGTCTTTCCTAATGCTCTGGGCAGAGGTGGAGGGAGATCAGGAGCCCATCTGTCCCTGAGCTCCTGACCATGGTGGCCCTTCCTACTGAGGACTGGTTATAAGGGCCCTGCACCCCAAAAAGGCAGGTGCCCTTTTGCCACCCCTGTGTGCAGTTCAGATAAAAAACAATATGAAGCTGTAGCATTAAGTGTGGCGAAGTAGAAGAAAGTTCTGAGATTTAATATTTTCTCCCAAAGCATCACATTGTTTCAAATATTTTTTCTCAACTTTGTGGGGCCTGCACTGCTCTGGTGCCCTAGGCAGGTGCTTAGCCTGCTCACTGGATAATCTGCACCTCATTTACTCCCCATATGGTCTTCGTGTATTTCCTTTTGCCATATCCATACCCTCCTATTATTTGTTTAATATTTTCATTGAAGCAGCTTTACATCAACTTCTCTCTCTCTCTCTCTTCCCCCACCCCCACTCTCTCATTCCCCAGCCTGATACCTGCCCAACTTAGTTAGCCTAGTCCTAATGTTGCTGTGAGATCATGGGTTGAAGGTGCTAGTTATGTTTCCCTGAGTCACATTAAAGTAAATGCAAGTGGACTATTAAAATTTTAAGGCTAAGCGTGGTGGCTCACACCTGTATTCCCAGTGCTTTGGGAGGCCAAGGCAGGAGGATCACTTGAGGCCAGGAGTTCGAGACCAGCCTGGGAAACATAGTGAGACCTCATCTCTACGAAAAGTTAAAAAAAAATTAGTTGAGGTGGTGTGCACCTGTCAGCCCAGCTACTTAGGAGGCTGAGATGGAAGGATCACTTGAGCCCGGGAGTTGGAGGCTGCAGTGAGCTCTGATCGCACCACTGCACTTTGGCCAGGGTGACAGAGCAAGACCCTGTTGCAAGAAAAACATTAAATTAAATTAAATTTGAATGAGTGAGTCTCACTTCCCATCACTGGTGCCCGTGCCACGGTTTTGGACACCTGGGTACAGTTTGCACTTGCCATTTTGCAGGTGGAGAGAGGCGGTGCATGAGAGAAGATGAGCCTTTCCAGGATGGCGAGGTGCATGTGACCTTAACTGTGGGGAGAAGAGAAGGTCTGTGGGCACCCCAGGATGAACAGAGGGGGCGGGGATGGAAGGGAAGAGGGGGACGCGCCACAACTTTCCCGGAGAAAGCCTGTCTCAGAGAGTGGAATGGTGGTCCTGCCTCCTCCACTTCCTTCTCTCCAACCCTTGCTGGCCCGAGCGCACAGAGCTTCCCATGCTCACATTTGGCTTCCAAAGCAACTTCCAAAAACAAGCTTCTGGGATTCCTTGCGATCTTTTTTCTAGTTAAGTCAGATCAATGGAGTTTTTGCTAAAGTGATTATTTTTCTTTTTGTATTAAACTAGTTTAAAATACAAATAAAAATCATAAAATTTACAAAGTATTTTCTGTCTTTGAAAGATTCCCACAGTCACCTGCATGGGGGGACCAGGTGTCCAGAACCCATCTGAAGGAGGGTGTGGACCACCCCCACTGCTCATGGTCAGAGTGGCTCCCTCTTGCTTAGGGTGAAGGATGTGTGCTATGCAGTTGTATAATAGGGTATGGTCTTCGGACTGTGCCTCGGGCGGCCTAGTGGGCTGGGATGTGCATTGCACAGAGAGCCAGGAGCCTGGGTTTTCCCACGAACGCCTCTGTGACCTCAGGCAGCCTCCCTCCTTTGCTGGGACCGTTTCCTCTTTTGCAAAATGGGTACAGTAGCATTTGCTCTGGCCCTTTGCAGGGCAGGGCCTGCTTCAGTCCCCAGACATCATGATGGCCACACTTCCCATACTTCTCTCCTTCCTATCAAAGTGAAAGGCCAGGGACTTCCAGATCCCGCTGGGGTGAGCCTCAGAGCAGACATGCCAGGCATCATCCCTGGGTCTCTGTGATGGCTTAGCGAGGTGACAAGGCCGTGGCAGACACAGAGCCCGGGGCACTCACAAGGATCTTGCCTTAGCAGGTGACACAGTCTCTGCAGCCCGAGGCTTGGACAGAGCCTGGGCTGCCCAGATAGCGGGGTGGAGGTTTGCTTGCAGGTAGCTCCCTGTCCAGGCGCCTTGTACAGTGAGCTTTCGGGTCAAACCTTTCCTGACACAGCTGGCCCTGCCTGGGCCTTCTGCTGGTGCCAAATAACCTTAAGTGGTAAGAACCCCTAGAAAATCTACTAGTGGTGGCTGACTTCTGCTTAGGTCCCCTGCCTTGTCTCCTCCCCACTGTGTCAGTCAGAGCAGGTTGATCTCAGCCTGGCCACACACAGCCCTGTTTCCCAGGGGTCCTGGGGAAGCCCACCCACTCCGCACTCTCCACAGGGAGCCCATTCTCTGAGCAAAACCCCAAGCTCTGCTACCTGCCACCCCCTGCAACTCTCACCCTCACCCCATGACCTCCAAAGCCTCCCAGGGCCAGAGATCCCTGTCCAAGGTGGGGCTTGAAAGGACTGGGCAGGAGGGAGAGCCTCACAGCCTGCTGTCCCCACACTGCCCACCCCGACTGTGGTTTCCAGCATCCCTGAGAAGCCCAGGCCAAGAGTGGCCTCTGGGGGTCCTCAGTTCAGTGTGGCATCCTGAGTACAGGTGGGTTCCCCGTTAAGGAAAAGTGGTGTATGAAATTTGAGTCTCCCAACCTGAAGGCCTTCTCATGGGACCAGAGGAAGACCCTGGAAGCCTGGGCTCCGAGAATAGATGGCCCTGTCCCTCGCTCCGCACTATGCGGACTTCAGAGTAAAGAATAGAGGTTAGGCCATAACACAGATGTAAGGAAGTTCATCAAAGTCCTGCTGCCTCCCATGGCAACTACTCCAACGCTCCTTTGGGACTGTCAACTCCAGCTCTTATTCCCAATGTACTCAGCTTTGAGGTGGCCCTGCATGGCTGGTGTGCTAAGCAAATGCTTGCTTTGCTTATTGGAGGCCCCTGCTGTCTCCTGGGGCTGCAAATTGGCAGAGGGCTCTGCTCACCTGCTGTGCAGAGAACATTAGAGTGAAGGGCCTGGGGGCCCCGGGGACCCCTCTGGGGCAGGGCAGCAGTCCTGAGCTGCAGGTGCACCATGGTGTCCCTGGGAATGGAGTCTCGAGCGGGGCGGTGCGGGCTGGACTATCATTCGTGCAGGCTGTGGTGTAGACAGGGCTCCTGCAGGTTATGCCTTCTGGGGCCCTGGTTCCGAGACTCTGCCCCTCGTCGAGACAGCTCCTTTGTGAGTTAGCTGCAGCTCTCAGGTGCCCTTGGTACCTGCTGCCAGGTGCCACACATCTCGAGGGTCCACTTATCAGGTCTCAGCTCTGCTGTCCTCCACCCTTGTGGCTGCCCTCATAGAGAAAAGAGCCACACCGTGTTCCCAGAGCCTTGTAGGCGCAGCACCAGCTCCCAGGATCTGGGAGGCAGAGCTCAGCTGTTGGACTCATGTTGTCAGGGTTATCTTTGCACTTTGACCTAAGTAGCTTTCCCTGTGGGCCTGTGCTCTGATCCCGGCTCGCTGGGGAGGTCCCTTCTCTCCCTCACTCCAGGGGCCTGGGCAAGGTGTTGGGTAGGTGGTCCAGGGCTCTTATTGGTCTGATAGGAGGAATGTGCCTGTGGCAATGAGCAAGAGGCAGGCTAAGGTGGGTGATCGCACCCAACCCCTCCCCTTTCTCTGGGTGGAGCTATTTGTTTGCTTGTCTACACAGGTGGTTCCTGAGCTCCTGCAGGGTACCCAGCCCCGATCCCCCACCCACTGGCCCCACTCTCCCTGCTGGCTCTCTACCTGCAGGCCTTGGCCTAAATGGCATGTCTCAGCGAGGCCTTTGTGGCCCACCGGGTCCTCCTCCCCACCACGCCTACTAGTTTCTCTTCCATGCTTCTCTCCCCTTGGCACTTCTGCTTATTCTTCTTATTTCACTGTTTTCTTCTGTCCCAGATTATCAGCTCCTTGAGGGCAGGAATCTCATGCCTTTTGTTCTCTGCTGTATTTTCAGCACCTAGAAGCTTGCTCAGCACATAATAGGTGCTCAACAAATATGCATTGATGGGGAGAATGAAGAGGCATGGTCCTTCTCTTGTGAAGTGTACTGTCCAATGTGAGTCACACTTAAGGAGTAAGGGATGGGTCATAACAGTTTATAGGGCATAGTGAAAGGAGTTATTGAGAGTAGGGAGGCGAAGGCTTCCTGGAGGAGGCAGTCAGGGAAGACTTCCTGGAGGAGGTGGCCTGGAAAATTGAGTCAGAGTTTTATATGCAGAGGTAAGAAAAGGAAGGAAGGATGATGGTGGGGCATGAGCCACCCCCCTCTGGGCCCTCTGTAGCAGGGTCTGGTTTGAGAAGGTCAACAGGGGCCCGATAGGAAGGTCCTGAGTCCAGTGAAGGATCCTTGTCTTGGTACTGGAGGAGGAGGGGCAGCCTGAAGGGTTTCGTGTTTCAGTGTAGTTGATTTCACTGAATTACGAAAGTTCTGTGGGTTCACTATTAAGATTCAAACAACACAGATTTCTGTAACGTGAAATCTAAAAGACCCCTTTCAACTCTACTTCCAAATCCTTCTCCCATCGATGGAGAAAATTCCTATAATGCATTTTGGTTTGGTAAACAGCACCTGCTGGACTGGTGTATATATACATCATGTGTAGGGTGAATATTCACAAAAAGAAAATCATGCATATGTATTTTACATAAAATTGACATTGAAGCCTACATAATGAGATCTTACTATACATATTGTCCTGAGACTTACTTTTTTTAAAAAAAACAGTATTGTTTTTAGATCAAAACATCAGATACATAGGAGGTGCACACATTTTTTAACTTCTGTGTAATTCTGTGTGGTATGGCATATTCATATTCATGTACCCATATGTTGGATATGAGGGAGGTTTCCATTTTCTTTTCGACATTACGCTTAAAATGCTGCAGTAAACACTGTATCACGGTAAACAAGTTTGGGTATTTCTGTAGGATAGATTCCTAGAAGTAGCATTGCAGAATCAGTAGGTATATATTCTAATTCTTTAATAGACGCCACCAAATTTCCTTCCAAGTAATGTTGTTTGTGTACATTGTATACATGTCTACCAATATTGTATGCATAGTACTTACCTGCCAAAACCTCACCAATACTGAATGTTATTGCTCCTTTAAATGTTTGCCAGTATGAAGGAGGAAGGCTGGTATCATCTACTTGTATGTCCCTCATTCAGAGTACAACTAGCTATCTTTTCATATCTGTATTGCCCACTCTAATGACTTCTATAAATTGCTTGTTAATATGTTTTCCTATTTTTCTATTTTTTAAATTGATTTTCAAGAGCTCTTTACATATGTTGGACATTACCCCTTTGTTATACATATTTTAAACATTTTTGGGGGGCTGCTGTAGAGCAAGGGAAGGACATAATCAGGGAAGGCTTAGAAAGACTGCTCAGGATGGATAGGGTAGGGGAGGGTTGGCTACAAAGACGAGGTACCAGGCAGTAGTCTGGGCATGAGAGGGTGAGGCCTCATCCTGTTACATTACAGAGCATTTGCTTTGCTCTTCATTCCATGGGTGCCATTCCAGGTGTGTGCTGAAGACTTTTGGGAAGGTCTTCAACAGGTGGTTTCTGGGGCCACCTGAGGGCTGGTACATAAAGCCTACATGATTTGCCTTTCCTGGCCTGTGCAGGCCGTGGAATCCCGTGCTGAGCCTGGTCCAGGTGGGATGCTAAGATACCCGCCCTGCCGTGGCATGTAGCATAAAGCCCTGTGAAGCCTGGCTGTGGACCCTGAGGAGCCTAGGGACATGGGGAGGGGGACACAGCTTGCAGGACAGCAGAGTATGGGCACTCAGGTCAAAGCGTGGGCTTGGCAAGGCCTCCCTTTGCTCCTGATAGAGAGGGGGTTAGCCCTCATTATTCTTAAGGTGCCCAAAGCTCTGATAGCCTGTAGTTCAATAACTTAAAATTGAAAATGTAGGTTAAAATACTGTTATAAACACCTACAGCCACCCCACAGTGAAGACAGCCACTACACCTTGAACCCAGCCCTGTCTGGGGTCCTAGCTCCCCTCTCCCAGAAGACAGGTGTAATTATGCTGTTTTTCCACAAGAAACTGAGGGGCAGGGGGCTTACTGTCTTGTCTGAGGTTACCCAGCTGGGTCCTGTCAGAGCAGGGACATATTCTTAGCCACCCATGATCTCAAGCCACCCCCCAGGCATTAGGAGAGCCCCTTGCAGGTGCCTCTGAGTTCAGGGCAGACACATGGTAGGTGACATGTCTCTTTAGGTCTTGCACCTACACCCTGGTTTTACACCTGTTCCCAGATGTGGAGATGGCCTGGCTGGAAGTCCAGCGGCCCGAGGAGTGGGTGCCTCTGTTTTCTCACCCCATCCTTCCAGGGGTCTGTGCTCCAGAAGGCGTAGGCCATGTGCGTTTGAACCCAGCCCTCACGGAGGTTGCTGGCAATGTGTCTTGGGCAGACCATTTGCGCCTGGCTGCTGGAGCGGGGCTGGGCATTCCTTCTGGAGGGGGAGATGAGTTTCAATGACCTCTGACCATTGTCTTTGGAGGGTTTACCTTGTAATGGAGTGTTGAGTCAACATTCAGAATTAAGAGCAGAAAGGTAACATTTTAAGGCATTTCATCAATTCTTCTGAGACGCCCACACATCTTGTTTTCCCTCTTCACCACTTAGGCAGCAATTTCTTTTCTTGTTTCTAACAGCTACCTATAGAAAACACTTGAATGCAGATCATATCTTGATGGTATTTACTAATATAAATATTTGCTTTCTAGAAGCAATGTTACGCAAAATGCCTACGCTGCAGGCTAAGCGACCGAGTGCTTGAGGTAAGAAATGCCACCTCTGTGGACTGGAGTTGGTGTCTAGCCGTCTCCACAGTGGCACGCAGGATACTGGCAGAACGGCCAAGTGTCGGCACATCCGGCCTGCCCTTTCCAAGGTCCTTGTGATCACATTTTTTAAAATGATAAAACCATCTTGGCCAGTTTCCCCCAGGACCCCTTGAGCTGATGGAGCCCTCTCCCAACACTGCATGAGGTTCAGTTGCATATTTGCCCAGAACTGTGCTGTGCCCAGAACTGTGTATGACAGCCTTCAAGGAGCTTACAATGCATGAAGATGGGGTGATATCAAACCTCATATCAGTTACATTTATATTTAACTGGTGTAATATCCAAGAACAAGGAAGGAACCGGGCAAACCACACGTAGGTCTGAAAAGAGCCAATGAAATGATGCAGACCAAGGCTAGGGCGGGCAGATGCCTTTGCAATGGAATTAGAGTAGTTTTAAATATGGGCTAATTTCAAGCAATTTTAAATATCACAAGATTCCACTAGAGCGAAAGACTGCAGAGAGGCCTTGGAGTTTGAGAAAACAGGGTTTGCTGAGCTTCAGTCTTTGTATCCACCTCTGACTCTGTGTGCAGGCTACAGCATGGGGCATTGGGCTAACAAGAGGCACATTAGGTGTGTGTGTGTGCGCATGAGTCTGTGCATACACGTGTGTTTGCATGTGTGTGCATGGCGCACATGTGTGCGCTTGCATGTATATGTCTCTCTTCTCTTAGGGTGAGGATCTGTAGAAAATTCACTGCAATGTACCCGCAGCCCTGGGTCGTCGTGTCCTGTTCTCTGTGGGCCAGTAAGCTTCTCTTCTAAGGTCAGCTTTCTTCACCCAGGGCCACTCCATTTTCAGATAGACTGGATTTGGAGAGTGCCTTTGGGGCAGTTTGCTCCCTTCTTTTATATTTGATATTATTACAGTTTTTGTAACCCAAATGGCATTGGTTTTAACAAATAAACAAATGCTAACTGCCAACTTCTTTGGCTGGATGGACATGAATCGGCTTTAGCAAGTGAATAGATGACATATCAAAGAATATGTTGACTAATCCCTTCCCTGTCTGAGAGCGTTTTCCAGATCGTAGACAAATACACTGCAGGCATTTAAAATAGAAGTCCGGGCATGGCCACAAGTGTATTCTGGGAGTTACAGGGTCCGCACGCTCTACGCAGGTGAGTATTTCTAGGAGATGCCGGGAAGTTGGGGACACCCGGAGGCACCCTCCGATGTTCAGATGATCGTGGCAGGAACATGCTGGAATGATATTCTGCCTTTATTTATTATTTGCTACCAATGTGACTATCTTTTAATTTTTTTAAAACAAATAATTTAGTCGTAAAGGCTCAGACTGATGTTTTTTTTTTGCGAAATAGTTCTAGTGAGCTAATTTATTTTTCAACTTTAAAACATCAGCATTTTATAGATCTGAATTTCACAATGTGAGGATGATTGCTACGTACAATTTGCAAAATTGTGATTAGCCAGCCCTTGCTTTGAGTTAGTTCTCCCTAATTCACAAAGGCTTCCAAGAATAGTCTGCACAAAATTCAGTTTGCAAATTGCAGGGCAGATTTTTAGAGGGCAGTTTAAAGAATGAAGTCCTAAGGGTTTTATCTATATTTATATCTCTTGTTAAACCAAACTCTTATGTAAATGTTACAATCTGTAAATAACTAGCAGGGCTGCCTTCTTAAAGGCAAGATTGCATCTCCATTTTTGAGATTTAGCAAAATTATTAAATGGCAGAATTGACTAAGATGCAAGTATATTTGGAACGAGCTAATAAACATTAATCAATATCATCAGCTGTATTTGTGTAGCTATTTCAGGGTTTAAAAGTAAAGGTTTTTGTTGAATTTCTCATAAATTAAAACAATTAAAATATAAAAGTCATTACCCTTAGTGATGTTTTGGGGAAAAAAATGGAGATAGCTTTGTGTGCTCTTACTTTTTATAGCCATTAATGTTTCAGTAAACCTTGCATGACTGTATGCAATTTAGATTATTTTTTCATCCTTTTGCCATTGGACAGGAAGGAAATTACTGGCTCCCATCAGTGTTACTGGCAATCCCCATGTTCTGACATCTGTTCCTCTCTAAACATTTTACCAACCTTGATGAAATGTAGTTTGGTGTCAGAAGCTGACTTGAAGAAAAAAATCACATGATTAAAAAAAACATTGATTAAACACCAGAAGTCACTTCCCAATAACTGTCAATATTTTGATGGTCACTGTCATTTATTTTTTTCTTAAATCCTGATAAATCGTATAGAAATGTTAATCATGTTTAATATTTGAATTAAACTGAATTAATGGCATGTCATTTTTAAATAGAAGTGTAGTGGATTCATTCTAGTCCATTTTAATCAGGGTCTTTGGGCTACGATTCATCAGGAATGTTTTCAGTCTTTCTCAGAGAAACCATGTAACGCACTTTCTTTGAGCAAATTAGACTTCCTCAATTCTTTGTCCTCTTTATCTCCTGGTTTTCAGGGAAAAACACACAGCATCTTGGGGGTCAGGACCTGCCAGAATGAGGAACTGGGGTGGAGCAGAGGGGCAAGGGGTTCTCTGGGCTGGATGTCCACGCAGCCCACGGAGCCCCCGTCAGAGAGCCCTCTGGGAGGCCTTGCAGATGGAACGGTGTGGAGCGTACGTGGTATTTGGGAAGTTTGGGCCCAGGGAAGGGTAAAACGCTCCCCTCCCCGACCTGGATTATCCAAACGATTTCCAGATTTATTTTCTCCGTGAAACGCCATTTGGAGCTCTCCTCTTCTTGGCTCCCGGGAGAATCAGGGCCTTAAATTCAGTGTGTAAGCAGGAGAAGGCCCACTGTGCGCCGGACGTGTCACAAAAACAGAGGCACATTCCACAGAGGCATATTTCAATCCATTAACCCACAGAATACGTATTGAATGGTTAGTGTGTGTCATGCTTTGGGAGTGCAGCGACAAACACACAGAAATAACCTTGTCCTCCTGCGCCTCTATTCCAGTGACACAGAAAAATGCATCTCACCATCTCCGTCCCTTGGGCGTGGGGCCCCCTCGCAGGCTCTGGCTCCAGGGTCAGGTGTGGTTTCAGGAAATCAGCTCCAGCTGTGTGACGCTGCAACCCCGACCTCCCAGCCCTCTCTTCTGCAAATCCACCTGCCCCAGGCTCATCTCCTTTTCTCTGCAAACTCTTCTCTGAACTCTGAGAAAACTTGGCTCTGGCCCTACAACTGCCCTCACCATGCTCATAGTTTAAAATGGTAGAAAGGGGCCGGTGCGATGGCTCACGCCTGTAATCCCAGCACTTTAGGCGGCCGAGGTGGGAGGATCACTTGAAGTCAGGAGTTTGAGACCAGCCTGGCCATCACGTTGAAACCCCGTCTCTACTGAAAATATGAAAAATTAGCCAGGCATGGTGACATGTGCCTGTAGTCCCAGCTACTCAGGGGACTGAGGCAGGAGAGTCACTTGAGCCTGGGAGGTGGAGGTTGCAGTGGGCCGAGACCACGCCACTGCACGCCAGCCTGGATGACAGAGCGAGACTCTGTCTTAAAAAAATAAATAAATAAAATGATAAAAGAAATCTTCATTCGGTACCACAAATTTAGAAAACAGATGCATGGGAATCAAAGTGCCCTTAATTACCCCTGTTCCAACACAAACCAGATGCTAACCTCTAGGTAAACTTCCTTTTCATCTTCCTCTTTTTTTTTTTTAATTAGTCTACCTGGCTAATTTAATTTTTGTTTTCTTTTTTCTTTTTTTTCTTTCTTTCTTTTTTTTTTTTCTGAGACAGAGTCTCATTCTGCTGGCCAGGCCAGAATGCAGTGGTGCAATCTCAGCTCACAGCAACCTCCGCCTCCAAGGTTCAATCAATTCTCCGCCTCAGCTTCTTGAGTAACTGGAATTATAGGCGTGCACCACCATGCCCGGCTAATTTTTGTATTTTCATTAGAGACAAGGTTTCACCAGTTGGCCAGGCAGGTCTCGAACTCCTGATCTCGTGATCCGCCTGCCTTGGCCTCCCAAAGTGCTGGGATTACAGGCGTGAGCCACCATGTCTGGCCTCATCTTCCCTTGTTCATCCACATTTTTCCATATATATAATCAGAAAAATTGTACCACTAGCTTTCAGTCTTTTCCTCAGGCATCACGTGATTTGTATTTTGCCAAATTCCCATTGAGTTTGGGACCATCATTTGTAATAGCTGCCGTTTTTCATTGAATAGATGTGCCATAATTTATATCATAATTCTTTTATTATTGGCTTTGAGTTATTTCCAGTAGTTTTTCTATATAAAAAAATACTATGATGATCATCTTTGTATGAAGAAGACAATTTTTCCCCCTCATTTTGGGTGATTTCCTTAAGCCAGATGCCCACAGGGGAAATTCCTGGCTCAGAGGACTCCACTGTGCTTGTCCATCCTGCTTCACAAACCCATCTCTGTTTCTGCGGGACTTGGTCCTGTCGCCCTAAGGACTCTGCAGGCGCCTTCTTGGGAGGGCTGCGTGTGTTACATGCTTGCTTCTGGGGTCCCTTTAAATCCTGCCCCCCTGGCCAGGCCCACAGGAAGCCAGCCCAGTCTTCCTAAGGAACCATCCTTTTCCCGAATTTCCCTTCCTATTCCATCTCATCAATGCTTTGTAGCTGAAACAATGCATGTTTTGGAGCTCACAGTAAGTTTCTGGAACTTCCCATTGCCCATCACCTGGGCTGGCCATGAACTCTTCATGAGCCCTCCATTCACAGCCCTCCTGCCCACCGAGCCCCTTACTCTCACTCCTAGTGGGGGCCTCAGATGGCCTGCGGTCCTGCCTCATGGAGACCACTCTGGCCTGGCGCTTCCCACCTCATGTGACTTCCTGGATTCCTCCTGGAAAGGCTGGGCACCTAATGGGAGAGATTTGCTGAGGCTCAAAGCATGATAGTTCCTTAGGGGAAGCACACCATGTTGGCAGAGGTACTGGGTCAGATGTCTTGCCATCCCATTGACTGGAAGACCCAGTCCTGAGAAGCAAAGCCAAGACCCTGGGGCCCTGGAGGCTCCCACACCTTCCTGAGCCCAGGACTAAGACTCCATGATTTTCCTAATAAACCAGATCACTCCCCAGGGCCAGGGAGCTTCTAAAGGGGCCTCCTGGCCTTCCCACCTGGGCTGGGCTTTGCTGGTAGAATCCAAACCTCCAATGCCTGCTGAACGTGAAGGCAAACTCTCGGCTCCACTCAGCTCAGTGTGGCAGAAACGAAATGCCTCCTTTTCCCCTAGCCCTTTATCCCTTCCTTTCTTACTTTCCTGTATCCCCCACATTGACTACCCTTTCTCCTCGGGCACTTAACACCAGTCCAGCGACATCTCCTACCTCCCGTTTGCTCCTGGGTCTTTCTTGAATTTTTAATTCACCCACAATCAATAATTTTATTCTTTTAAAGAAATTACAGAATATTTCTAAGTGTATGCAGGGAGAGGGGAAAAGCACAGTGTGTGTCAGTTTAGACTTGATGTATTCTGGATTTAGAAGTGCTGAATAATTCATTCCTGTTTAAAAAATAAACATACTATCTCTATCAGAACTTGACTGGGGTTGCTTCATGATGAATCAGATCCAGGGCTGCAGGGTTCTTGGGTTGGGCAGCATGGGAAAGAAGGCAGGTGCTGTCTAGAGGAAGCCATCCTCCTTCTCATGGTTGGGATGTCCAGATGGTCTGGGCCATGATTAGAGGTGGCATTGCTGGTTCTTGGAGATTTCACCTTCCCTTTGAGAGTTTCTATCCCTCTGCTAGTGCTCAGTTTTGCAACCTATCCATCCTACCATTATTCTACTCACTTCTTTCTCTATTTGTCCTGCTCCTCTGCTCAACCACTCCTGTCTTCCCCTCAGTCAACCTGACCATCCCTCTTTCCCATTTTCTCTCCCTCCATCCATCTGTCCATCCCTTTTCACCTTTATTTACTCATCCACTCAATCAACTACCCCCTTATTCACCTGTACTCACCCATCATCCCATCCATCCATCCACCCACCCATCCTCCATCCATCTATCCATGTATCTACTTATTCATCATCATCCATCATCTATTCATCCATCTATCATCCATCATCATCCATCTGTCCATCCATCTACCCATGCATCATCCATCCATCCATCCACCCATCCATTCATCATCATCCATTATCTATTCATCCAATCTATCATATATCCATCATCATCTGTCTAGCCATCCATCCACCCATCCATCCATCCCATCCATCATCCATCAATCATCCATCATCAATTTTTTTATCCTTCCACACATCCATCTATCTATCCATCCATTGTGTTTTGGGAATCTGCATGGTGCAAAGTTCCACACTCCAGAGTGTCTTCCCTGGTATTCTTTCTTTTTTATTTCAGGTAGGATCTCGCTCTGTTGCCCAGGCTGGAGTGCACTGGCACTATCATGGCTCTCTGCAGTCTTGACCTCCCAGGCTCAGACAGTCCTCCCACTTCAGCTTCCCCAGTAGCTGAGACCACAGGCACATGCCGCCATGCCTGGTTAGTTTTAATTTTTTAAAATTTTTTTGTAGAGACGGGGTCTCACTACATTAATCAGGCTGGTCTTGAACTCCTGGGCTCAAGTAATCCTCTTACCTTGGTCTCCCAAAGTGTTGGGATTACAGGCATGAGCCACTCCGTCTGACTTTCCTTGTGTTCTAATGAGAGATTCAGACAAGGAGATCACCAACAATGATACAAGGTGGCCATTTTTAATTTACTTCACTATGCCCTCATCCCTACCCCATGAAGTCAGAGCCGATCTCCCCTGATATTTATATACATCATGTCTCCTTAAAAGCCCCTCTCTTCTTCCAGTCCTTCCTGAAGACTGCTGAGCTGGCTCTCCCTAGGGCACTAGTGGCGAACAACAGTCCTGTGTGACACCTTCTAAACCGTTTGTTGTACCTAGGGAAAGGAGGCCCAGGGAAGAAAGCACCCTCACCCAAAGTCATACAATGGGTGTGAGTGCTCTTGTTCTAGAACCATCCACGTTTGCTCCTTGGCCTGGGGAGCCTTGCAGAGACACCTGTTCTGGAGTCAGGTTCATGTCTTCCTCATGCCCAGGGAGGAATGATAGCCAGGCTGGAAAGGGCTTTGTGGAGGGGTTGGTGTCAAGTGCACAGACGCCCGTCTAGGTCCTCCGCACTTTGCCTTCTGGGGGCTCCAGCACCAGGCTGCAACTGAGGGACAGAAGATGGCTCTAGTTAGAGGCGATTTGCCTGTGACTCTCACCCCCACCCTTGGGGCCAGTTCTCCCCCTCAGCCTGGAAGCCTCAGTGGCATGTCGGATCTGGGAGGCAAGGCAGCCGGTGTGGTGGCTGCAACCCAGGGCTGCAAGTCAGCAGGCCATCATCAAGCTGCTCCCTTTTGGTGGTGGGCTTCTCTGAGCCCAGTTTCTTCACATGTAAATGGAAAATGGGGTGCTCACATGTGTTTTGTCAGTGTCTGGGGGCTGTTTTGGGGCTCCAGTGACAGCCTGTGCATGGAGAGCTGTGAAAGGCTGAGGGCAGCGGAGAGGGCCCTTCCCTGAGGCTCAAGTCTGGTTCCTCAGACTCTGAAGTTTCTTGCATCTGTCCTTTTGCCACAGAGCACTTAGGGGTGGCTGAGGGGAGCACAGAACCTTAGATATGCCAAGTCTGGCATTGCGCATGGTGTCCAATCTGTGGACCATGACCCCAGTGAAAGTGTGGCCCTGACACCAAATCCTGGCACAAAATCAACCCAGATGTCACTGCTGAGTACCTCCAGATGTGCCCACTGTTGGAGCAAGCTGCACCTTGGTCACAGGCACTGGGCTGCCCGGCTGTGCCACCTATCCTCCATGTGGCTGTGGGGGTGTCGCCTCTCCTCTAACTGTGACGGGAGGGGCTGCCTCTCTACTGTGGAGCCCCTCCCACACCCGCAGATGTGCATCACATACCTTGTCTCCTCTCTGCTAAATCACAAACAGAAATTGAACTTGGGGTCATGCATGAAGTCATGAGTGTAAGTTTATTTTCTACATGTGGAGTGTTCTTTATTTACAGTCAAAATCCCCTGAAGATTAAACTTTAAAAAGATTTAATAGTGCTGGGGTCAGATGGTAACCCTTGCTGTGCTCCAGGCAAGCAGGCAGAACTCAGAAATAGCAACCACTTTGAAGAGGCTTGGCAAAGAGGGCCGTCCCCATTGCCAGGGACATGTCCCAGTGGTCAGCCCGGGCTTGGCGTCGCTCTGCCAATGCTGTTGGGGGAGGCCTGGGATCCTTGGGAGTCTGCCCCACGGGGCGAAGAGGGGAACAGTGGGCTCAGAAAGTCTGGCATCCAGAGCAGTGCAGGGAGAAAAGGGTGCGGGAGACAGGGTGCTAATTTGGGGCTGAGTGTCCTGTCGAAGCCAGAGCTCTTTAAACAGCAATGTCCTCTTTTTGTTCGTGGTAGGGAACAAGTGTCCTCCAGGCAGCCGGACAAGTCACTTTGGCTTTTTCTAGAGAATCCTCTTAAAGTTGGTCACTGACAACTTTCTGAGGAGAGGGCCAGGGGATGGTGACTGCCCCCGACGCATAGGTGGGTGTGGAGGAAATGAAAACGTATGTGAAGCGCCCAGCACAGTGTGAAGCTTTCAGTGTGTGAGACGGCTTTCGATGCGGGAGGCACGAATGTGCCTCCCCATCTCTGGCACAAAGAAGAGAAGGATTTGCTGTACAAATGGCCCTGGAAAGACACGCGATGATTTTTTTTTAACTGGGAGATTTTTTTTATAAAAAGCTTTTTTTTTTTTTTTTTTTTTTTTTTTGTTTTCTAGTTGGGCGCAGTAGCCCATGCCTGTAATCCCAGTGTTTTGGGAGGCTGAGGCGGGAGGATCACTTGAGCCCAGGAGTTTGAGACCAGTCTGGGCAACATAGGGAGACACCATCTCTACAAAAAATTAAAAAGTAACCAGGTATAATGGCACACACCTATAGTCCCAGCTACTCAGGCGCGGTCTTATTGATTTGGGTGTTGTTGCTTCAGCCCAGCAATAACTGGAGGCTGCAGTGAGCCTTGATTGCACCACTGCACTCCAGTCTGGGCAACAGAGAAAAACCCTGCCTCTAAAAATAAATAAGTTAATTCATTAATAAAAATAAAAAGCCTTTTTTCCCCCTTATGCAATTTAATCTCCTGTTTGCTTACAGCCTTTTGTTAAAGGACACAGCATTGTTGAAATTAATCCAGGAGGAGTGCATATTTCCTCGGGCTTGGGGTTCAGACCTCGGGCTCAGGGCCCCAGAATTTACACCAGCTTTGAATGACTGAGGTCTGACTGAACCCTGCCCCATCCAGAGAGGTCCATCCCATCCCGGACTTCCTCTGAGAATCCAGGCTCTTCTCTGTGAACAGTTATTTTATGAGGAAAGTGGGGTGTTTTCTAGGCCTGTGTTTGATTTTCACTTATAATTATCTCCACATAAGACTTCAATTTTGGATTTTGAATTGGAGACACATGAACCCAGCTTTGCATGTTGAAAGATCAGTGACAAAAGTCACATGACATTTGCATGCCGTAATTGTTCCTGCGAACCCTTCAGCAGGCTTTGTTTGGAAGTTCTGGAAACCTGCATGAAGCAGCCATGCACCCTTCATTTGGGAGGTGTCTTTCATGCATTTAGCTTGGGTTTGGGTTTCTGTGTTCACATCTCAGTCCTTCCAAGTGAAGGAAGCTCTTTTTCAGTTCTTCTCAGATCACACTCTTGGATCTCCTAAGACCCTGGTGTTCATCCCTCTCACCTCTGCGGCCTGAGCTGTGGAATTGTTATCCTTTGGGCAATGTCTTTGTCCTCTGATGAGTGGAGTTAGGAACGATGATGACTTTTAAGGTTGGAGAACGGGGTTATATTACCCAGTCAGTAGAATGAGCAGGCGGGATCAGCCTGGGCTCCTGGAGCCACCATTACTAGTGGGGACAGGTCAGACTCTGTGCCCGTTTCCTCTTCTCTCAGATAGGGTGGAACCTGCTTTGTAAGGTGGGTGTGGATGAAATGAAATAATTCACATCAAATGCTTGGCAGAGGGCAGAAACCCTCGATTCACAACTCTGATGATGATCATGACTCTCATATTGGTTTATCAATGAACATGTGAACATGAAGGTGCCTTGTGTGTGTTCAGCTCTGCAGAACTCCCCAGGGGAGGTGGGGAGGCATTGCCCAGCTCCAGTGACCATGATGGCTGAAGAAGTGAGCAGAGAAAGACTTGGGCCTCCAGGAGCTCCTTGAGAAATAAACCGAGACTTCGGTGGAGGCCACACTTGGCCACAGCTACCCAAGGGCAACTTTGATTCTCATTCGAGCTCATGTCCCTATCACAGCAAAAGCTCTGCAGCCCCTGACAAGGCAGAAGAGGAACTCATGGGCCTCTGTGTAACCTGCTCTTGGGGCTCTCTGCTGCCCTTGATCTTCACTCAGAACTCCATGGTTCTCCATCATGGCCAGAGGGGAAGACTTGGCTCTTAATAATTGCGTATTCAATAAATGGTGATGCATTGTTCTGGCTGTCCACGTAGCCCTAACTAATCACTCAAGTTCCATTGGAATCATTTTGTAATGCAAATAGTTATTTGTACCACTTGTGTGTTTCAGAAATGAAGGTCTGATGTGATGATTCCACCCTATAGGAGGGAGAGATTTGCTGGACCCAATATCCACATGGCTCTCTCTGGAAAGATCGTGGCATGTTCATAGATGTGAATTGGGGTTCCTTTTGGATTTTCCTGCTGATCTTGAAGCTGGCGTTGCCAGGGGCTTGGTGTACTTGGACCTAGTTTGGTGGCTTTTAGACATTAGAGACCATCAAGAGGTACTTAGAAATATTGGCTGCTTTCATTTTGTTCTCGATTTCTCTCTCTCACTTTTCTACTCCTCCCTTTCCCCCTGCAACAATAGAATTTTGCGGCATCATCAGAGTGAGAGATGGGAATTAGCACTGTAGAGAGGGATACCCTCATGCAAGGGAGCTCTGTTGGGTTTTGTTCAAACGGATCTTCTTTGAGGGGTTGCTTTGCAAATGTCGGTGTGTCAAGAAGGCCAACAGCTATCTAAGAGAGGCCTCTTAGCCCTCAAGAGTCCCTCTCGGGCTCTCAGTAGACAAACACCTGTCCTAAGCCACCTCTGAGAACATGGGCCACACAACAGCAAGTGAACAGAACAGAGCCTTTATTGAGACAGGTCCGAAAGGACTGGAGCAATCAGCTTACAGGGAACATTTTTGCTTCGTAGGAATGCGGTCCTGCTTGCTGAAAACATATCCTTTGTACAGAGAACACACATAATCCTAGGTCAACTTTGCCCTTTGAAGAAAAATATGCTCAGCTGGAATTTTGGAGGTGGGGGGCTGGGGAATGGGAGGTGGGGAGGAATCTATTCTACAGAATATCTGTTCTACAGAATATCTGCTTAGAGCTAGAACCTTCAAAGGAGTTAAGTTTTTGGAGTTCTGTTCTATAAAGTGTGTGGGATCAACCAATACAATGCAACAGCCATGAAAGTGATGATGAAATTTTATTTAAGAGAACATCTAAATTATGTTTAAAGTTCTTGTTGGAACTATCTTTTGCAAAGATAGTTCCAGACCTTGGAAAGCCCAGGCGTGATACAGACAAAAGTTTATCAGGCCCCTCTCCCTCTCTGCACCCAGCTGTACTATTTGGTGGTGCTATGTGTTCTTAAGGTCATGTCAATATTTCCATTAAAACACACATTTTTAAAATGGAGATTTATTACTCTGACAGGATAGTTTGCTCTGGGGCATAAGTTAACTTACTGGGTCTACACTTGGTGGGGGGATACTTTCTCTACCAAATTTCTGAGGAAAAATCAGAATTGATTTGGGAATTATTGTACTGTGCTACTTGATTTTCAAAAAATATCCATTGAGCAGAATGGACTAAAATATTGCAAAGTAATATGGTTTAGGTGATAATTTATAATCTTATGATTTAAATGAGATGCTGTATTTGAAAGCACTTATTTTCATGCCTGGTATACAGTAGGCATTCAATAAATACTACTTTGGTCCTATGATTACTACTATGATTACTCCCGTCACCACCACCACCACTACTAATTTCTTTGAGTTGGGTTAATATGGAGTAATAGATCACATACTTTATTCATCAGAAAGCTGGGAGGCGCCAGGTGCCCACATGTTAAATATTAACTGTGCTAAATTCGATCATGTAGAAGTTTGTGGCCAATAGTATTATATTAAAATAAATTTGGTACTGTAAGCAACTTGGACAAAAGTTGTGGAACCGAGGCAGAAACTCACTCTTGAGTGGTCAGTTTCTTGCACACTGGGTTATGTGTCACTGGCATTTTAGGGCATTTTCACTTTACATCTGCCTTTGTTTGGTGAGAAACTTTGCAGTTTTCTGGGCTGCAGGGGGCATTGGAGGGACTGAGAGGACACTCGACTTTGGAGCTGGGGATGGGGAGGCCTCGTTACAAGCCTTGCTTTGCTACCAGTGGATTTAGAAAAGGTTACATTGCCACTCTGGGCCTCAGGCTCCCATTTCTAGGAGGTAAAGTAGTCTATGGCTGTCTTACTCTGACGTTTGGGCTCTCCCAGGCCATATCTGTGAAGCAACAGCTGGTGGTCTGGCTTCACTGACCCTCCTGCTCTCAAGACATGGCCATTGTAGACATGTACTCATTCGGGATCAGAAAGGAATGGAAGCAGGTGGCCAGGGAACTTCGAGGCATTGAAGTGGAGTCCATTTTTCGGTCCTGAGGGCTCCTAGCCTGAGAAAGCTTGACCTGTGGGTCAGTGAAGCCCTTGCTTGAGCCAGCAGAGAGTTAGGACCTCTGATTCTCAAAACATAACTTCACTGCTCCGCTCACACAATTGCAGTCAAGGAATTGAGGACTAGAGGTTTCAGTCCCTACTGCACTTCCAGCAATGGACTGGGAAAATCAGGCTCAAGTCATTGATACTGGTAAATAAAAGGGCCTTATTTCACCTGTAATCCCAGCAATTTGGGAGGTCAAGGCAGGAGGATCGCTTGAGGCCAGGAGTTCAAGGTCAGTCTGGGCAACATAGCAAAACCTCATCTCTACAAAAAATTTAAAAAATTTAGCCAGGCATGGTGGCATACACCTGGGGTCTCAGCTGCTTGGGAGGCTGAGGCAGGAGGATTGCTTGAGCCCAGGAGTTTGAGACTGCAGTGAGCTATGATCACACCACTGCACTCCACACTCCAGCCTGGGGAACAGAGTAAGACCCTGTATCTTAAAAAAAAAAAAAAAAAAAAAAAAAAAAAGAATATTATTTGTCTTTATGACAGATGACCATTTCTTACTAGATAATTACTGAATACTATAAATCTTAGATCTCTTCTGTCTCTGCAGTGGTCATGCTGATTCCCCATCAGATTTGTTTGCCAAGTGACTTGAGGAGATCTCTTGTAAGGAGGTCACCAATGTCCTTGATTCTGGTGTCACCGTCTCCTGAGGTGTGTGTTCACTCCGAGTTTCTGCAGGTCTGTTGGCCAGTGACATTGACCAAGAATGTCAAGGTCATGCATCCAACAGGCTGGACTTTGCTTCCTTGACCTTCTCAGCTCAGTAACTTTTCTTCCACTTGACCTTAGCCATCCATTTCAGATCCACACCCAGGCTTGACAGTGACCAACACCTGAGCTCCTCTGAAATCTGGTCTTCACCCATCCTATGATGAGTCCATCACTGCCTTTCCCTCCAAATCACTGTTTGTGATGCCTCCACTGTCAATCATTGGTGTGCTCACCCAGGGACCCTTCAGCTTCCTCCCTGTCCCCTGCAGGGGACCTTGTCTTCCCGCTGCCCTTCACCCAGTGGGGAGATCATGGTCCATCATTTTCATCACTTCCTTGCACCCATTATCAGCTCTTAGCTCTGTGGCATGTTTTCTTTTTGTCTCATGCACCTGATGAATCTTCAGTCCCGGGTGAACTCAGATATCTCCCTTTTCCATGCCAGTTCCTTGCACCCCAGCTCTCCAGGAGAAAACCATGCAGCTGAGCTGATAGGTGTCACTCAGAATCCATGGCCACGGGCATCAAATGGGCCCTCAGCATGCCATGTGCCAACTGCATCTCTCCTGGGCTTGCTTTTCAAATTGGCCACACTGGCTTTTCTCCTCTTTGCCCCCCGGCCTCAGCTACTGATCTCATCTCCATTAAAATGCAGAAGTCTTGTAGGATCTTCCTCACTCTCCCTCCACCAATCTGCCACTTTTCTGGCCCTTGTCTTCTCTTCTCTGACCTGCTCTTCCCAGAGATCCTCACCTCTGGGGCCCCAGTGGCCCCAGCCTTTGTCTCCTTCTTGGAGAGGTGGTTCCCTGGGAGCATGCACCTGGCACCCTTATGTATGCACCCAGGCACCCTCAGTGGGCGTCCAGGCATCCTCTCTGCCCATGCGTGTCCTCCTGCTCCTCCGTCAGAACTGCCCTTCCCTCCATCCTTTGCAGCTGGCTTGTTCTCCTCTGCCAGGCCCTGTCTCAAATATCCCCTCCTCAGAAAGCCGTTGTTCCACCTCCCTATATAAAATCAGACTTCCCCAGTTGCTGGCTGGATCTCACCCTGCTTACTCACTTCATCATAACCTGTAATTATCCAAATTATTTAACTACTTCTTGTCTTTCCCTTCCCTTGAACTTAAAGCCTATGTGGGAAAGGGCCAAACCTACCTTGCTCCTTGCTGTGACCTAGCACCCAGTACGATGCCTGATTCATAAAAAGCACTTTATAAATTTCTGCTGCCCTGGTGTGGTGCCTCATGCCTGTAATCCCAGCACTTTGGAAGGCCAAGATGGGAGGATTACTTGAGCCCAGGAGCTCTAGACCAGCTTGGGCAATATGGTGAAACCCATGTCTCTACAAAAAATACAAAAATTAGTCAGGCATGGTGGCATGCACCTGTGGTCCCAGCTACTCGGGAGGCTGAGGCGGGAGGATAGCTTGAGCCCAGGGGGTCGAGGCTGTAGTGAGCTTCCTGCATGCCTTCCTGGTAGAAATCCTAGGGCAGCGTCCCATTTTCGACCTTCTGCCATTGCCCATGGCAGATCACGTCACTGCACTCCAGCCTGCATGATGGAGTGAGACCCTGTCTTCAACAAATAAATTAATAAGTAAGTAAGTAAATAAATAAATAAATAAGGAAATAATATTTGCTGAAAGAGAGCACAGTTCCATGACCATGAGGCCCTGGTAGAGGGACCTCTTCTGTGGCCACAGTCCCAGCTTCATCTCTGAAGGACTGTGGATCCCAGACACAGAGACGTCCGGGAGTTGCAAGGGAGCACCACCTGATTCTGTCCTCTCTGTCCCTCTTGAGAAGTGTCGCCCATGCTTCTGCCATGAGGCGAGCTGGGTGGAGAATGAATGCCCACACTGAACATTCAGGTGGGTTGTGGTTTCTGAGAGCTACGTGGCCATGAGGCCGCTGGTCAAGAGATTCCTCCTCTTCATCTTCACCTTCCTGCCTGCGGCTGTCTTTGTCTGGGGCTTCCTGCAGGCCTTCCTGGTAGAAATCTGCTTGCTGCTGCTGGCCTGCCTGAGGCCCAGGGCAGTGTCCCAGTGTCTACCTTCTGCCATTGCCCATCAGTAGCTTCCACCTGGCCTGACCTCACTCACACCTTGAGCCCTACCTGCAAAAAGTGACCTTGGACTGTGACCTAGGAACACCCGTGCACCAGCCGGACCCCACGGAGACTAACCAAAGACAAACCACCCCACAAATTAGTGGGCTGTGCCTGTGTTGACACATCTATTCTCGCCCTAATGATATGTTTATTTAACTGATGACTGCTGTCCTCATTAGGGGCTCATTGTTGAGCCCGGAATAGTGATTATTTTTGCTGATATTCCTTTTCTGCAAAGATGATTTTTTTAAAAAATCACTCTTTTGGTGTGCTATGAATCCTTAATGAGGATAGTTAAATTTAAAAGAAACCCCCAAACCACCCTTCAGGTTGAAAATAGAAGTGTCTGCAAAAGCAAGCTGCTAATTTGCTGATTATTGATTGACATGATTGGTGACAGACCCAAAACTTTCAATAAAATGAAAGCTCCCATCACTGGAGCATGGTAGCAAAAAGAAACAGAAGCAGTTTCGCCAATGGGAAATGAGTGCTTGGGGTTCTAGAACATTCTCTTTCCTGCATGTAGAAAGAGTCATGATTCTGGAAGTTTGAATGTTGGTAATGGCCTCCAAATTGGACCCAAAGCTATGCGATTCTTGGGGATGGATGGAGAAAGATGTTTGTAAAAGCTTATTAGCTGAATACTCAGAGTCAATTAATGAACTTACCAACCCCTGAAACTCATCTTTCTCCTTTAGAATTCTAATCGAATTCCTGTGTGGCAGGTGAGTATTAACCTCCTGCTTCTCAGACAAGGAGAGTAAGACCCCAAGAAACAGAATCTTGGCTAAGATTGGGGCTAGGGTTGGTATTAGGACGTCTGGTTAAGACAAACGTTTTCTCCACCCATCGCTGGGAGCCCACATTTTCCCTCCATGACACAATTTGAAGACTGGTTCTACAAATACTGGCCCGTTCCCCTTTACTTGAATATATCCAAATACATAAGGACTGTGATCATGCTGTGAGGAGTATGACACGGTGGGTTGATCATGGAGATGTTATTCATGATGAAAATTCTATGGCCTCAGCTCAATGCCCAGCCTTTACAGCAGTTTCCAACCATTTTGGCACCGGGGATCTGTTTCATGGAAAACAATTTTTTCATGGATGGAGTGGATGGATGGTTTCAGGATGAAACTGTTCCACCTCAGATCGTCAAGCATTAGATTCTCATAAGGAGCACACAACCTAGATCCCTTGCATGCGCAGTTCACAAGGGGGTCTGGGCTCCTGTGAGAATCTAATGGCCCTGCTGATCTGGCAGGAGATGGGGCTCAGGCGGGAATGCTCGCTCACTCTCTGCTCACCTCCTGCTCTGCGGCCCAGTTCCTAACAAGACACGGACTGTCAGTGGACTGAGGGTTGGGGGCCCCTGCTTTAAAGATCTCCGTACAGCATCTGGGGCTGGCGGAACAGGGATGGGGACACAGAGGAGTCACGCAGGAGGCAGACGTGGCCAGAGCATGGAGGATTTGGCACCAGCCAGGAAGGAACAAGCCTGAGAGCCTGGCTGTGTATCGCTCCCACCCTGCCACCTATGAACAGTGTGACCTTGGGAGAGCCATTTAACCTCTCGGAACCTTAGTTTCCTCACCTCTGTAATAGGGCTGTTGGGGCATCAAATAAAATAACCGTGCATATGAGAGGCTCGGTTACATCTTTAATCTCGATGATGGAAGCTGCTGCCACTGCCACCACAGCCACCCCCAGCCTGGTACACATCCCATCCTGTCTCACGAGCATGTCATCTCCTTTTCCCACGTGGTCTGTGTGTTTTGGGAGGCCTGGCACGCCCACCCCTCTTCCCAGCAGAGCCCAGCATTGCACCAGACACGTGTTCAGCAGGTGCTGAGCTACGCGGTGGGTGTCTGGTCTCCTGAACTGACCCAGTCCCGGCCCCTTTCCCAGTGCCTGGCACATCTCCTCCCTGGCACATCTTAGCTCCTGCTCTCTAGGGCTGTCCCTTCTCTTCTCAGCCAACCCGGGTGGAGAAGCTGCGAGTGCCACTTCCTCCATAGCTCCCTGATCTGCCCTTGTGCACGGATAGAATCTTCCTCGCCAGGGCTGCCCTCAGATCCTAGCCTTGAAACTATTTCTACTTGTTCATGAGCCACCTGGACTGGGTCCCCTTCAGCTGCTGCAACTCACAGCTCAATACTGGGCTGTCCAGGAGCCACCAAGAACCAGCAGGTGGATGGGAGGTGGTCAAGGAGTGGCCCTGGCTCAGATGACCATCCCCACTGAATGGATTCCTCCTAAATGAATAGTAACCTCCCATTCCTCAGATGTGAGACCCCAAGAAGCAGCATCTTGGCAAAGACTGGGGTGAGGGTGTGATATCAGGACCTCAGGTTAAATTCGGTTCAGTTCTAGAGGGAGAGCTACAGGTAAACAAGGGAGGAGGTGACCCCGCCCAGGCTGGTCAGTGCCTACTGAGCGCAGACTGTATGTCCTATGCTGGTTTAGGTTCCAGCATGAGAGTAAGGCAGAACCTGCTTGATCACGGGGGACTTGAGTCCAGCTGGAAAGATCTATTACATATTTACTGGTGTCTTCATCATTGGTTCCTTCTAGAAGTTGCCCTCCAGGAAGGCAGAAACCATGTCTGATGGCTCACTTTTGTTTCTCCAGCGCCTGGCACATAGTAGGTGCTCAGTGAACATGTGCCGAATGAGCGGATGAATGAACAGGACACCTCCACGTGGAATGCAAATGCTGTTGGACAGGACAAGGGGAAGGACAGCGCAGGGCAGCACACCATGCCTTGCCAGAGGGATTGCATAAACAATTGCTATAGAAGCTTACAGGCTGGCGGAGGTCCCTTCAGGCTTGGGCTGTTGAAGGCTTATTAGGAGAGAGTGTGCTCAAACTGATCTTTGAATCCTGGCTGGCACTTGGAGGCAGAGAGGACAGAGAAAAGCATGCCTGGAAGGTAGGTGAGATGGGCCAAGGTGTGCAGGTAGGACCAGAGAGGGAAGGTGTGTCTGGGGGCAGGAGGGAGGGTACATGCCTGGAAAGCATTGGAGAACATCTCGGAGAGGTCAGTACAGGCCAGAATGCATAGGCCCAGGCTGCAGAGTTCAGCTGTGACCCCTGATGTTATTTTAAGGTGGTGGTTTTTTCATATTCAATTATGAATGAAATTGCATTTGAGGATGGCAGCTGATGATGGCGTGTGGTTATGCTGTGTGGGCTGCTTTCAAAATAGCTCACCCCAAACTTCATTAGTGATTAGTTCGAGGAAAGTGCAGCCTGACCCACTGGCAATTTTTGTATCATCTGGGTTGGGTCTCAGCCGTGAGAACTCAGGAAAAGGCAGCTGGTGGCTTTGCAGGTCTCCTGCAACATGGGCTATCTCTTGCAGGTCTTGTTCTTGGGAGGCCTGTTCCTTCTTGGTGGTGGTCAGATTGTTACTCCTTTCTGATTCTCCTTTACCCCGGAGTTAGTCACTTTCCTACTACTCAAACTTGGATCACCCTCAAGGGAGACTGATGGAAACCCCTGCTGAGGCTCTCAGGGCTAGGAAAGCCAAGGCTGGCACTGGACGCTCCCAGCCCGGCTGCCTGGCCCACAGAGTGGGGTTGCTGAGCAGATGGCTGGCGTCCGCAATCTCCCAACTTCTGCTAAATATGGTCAGTGTTTGTAGTAGCTCCCACCACCGTCTGTGTCCGCATGAACTGTAGATTTTAGCTTGGCCACCCCTTTAGTCAGGCCTTTCCTGGCCACCTTCCCTTTGCCGAACTTAGGATAAACCCTCATTATAATCGAGATTAGCCTTAGTGAGAAGAACACATGGGTTGGCAACAATGACAAAGCCCAAGCAGCCTCCCTGTACTTTCCTGGGCACCACAAACCAGTGCCAGTCCCGTTTCCTCTATGGAAAGCCCACTCCTGATACTAGCTGATGAGACAGCTCACAGCCCATGGTGGGTCCCTAGATGAGGCCTTCCTTATCTCCCTCACAGGGGCCAGAGACATGGCTATTAAATGGGGATGCTTGGGGTTGCTTAAGGCTCTGCTGGTACTAACTGACCTTCAGTAAATTGCATAACCTTTCTGAGCCTCAGTTTCCTAGTGTCTGTATAGTGAGGATAAAGCGAATAGCAGAAATGAAATGTAATAACGCATGGAAGTTGAAGAACTTAACACGGCTCTGGGCTCCTAGCAAGAGCTCAGTAAGTGTTAACTGTACTCCTCAATAAGTGATGATGGTGGTGATGATGATGATGATGACAATGGTGATGATAATGTTGATATGATGATAATGGTGATCGTGATGGTGATGATTGTGATTATGATGATGATGATGATGGTGATTGTGATGATGATGATGGTGGTGGATTATGATGACAGTGGTGATGATGGTGGTGATGATGGTGATGATAATGATGATATGATGATAATGGTGATCGTGATGGTGATTGTGATTATGATGATGATGATGGTGATGATGGTGATGATTGTGATGATTGTGATGATGATGATAGTGGTGATGATGGTGATGGTGGTGATGATGTTGATGGTGGTGGTGATTATAACAATGTTAATGGTGATTATGACAATGATGATGATAAAGATGATTGATGATGATGGTGATGACAATGATAATATGATGATGACAATGATAATATGATGATGATGATGACAATGTTGATAGTAATGATGGTGGTGATGGCGATGATGGTGATAATAATGGTGGTGATGATGGTGGTGATGATGACAGTAATGATGATGAAGATGATTTGATGATGATGGCGATGACAATGATGATATGGTGATGATGATGACAATGATGATAGTGATGATGATGATGATGATGATGATGATGATGGTGCTGCTACTGCTGATGATGGTGATAGACCTTGTGGTATAGTGGCTAAAAGAATGGAGCCAGGTAGTCTGGGACTGGATCCTAGTGCTATCACTTCCTGGTTACTTAACCTGGGAGAAACTACTTGACCTCCTTTTGCCCCAGTTCCCTCATATCTGCAGGGGGGCAATGCTAATAGCATTTCACAGGGTTGTTGTAAGGATTTGAACTTGGACCCCACCAAGGAGGGGCTGGCATATGGTAAGCATGATTAACATGCTAACTAGTGAGTATTAGTTCTTATTGGTTATTATATGATTGTTGTCTTATTATTTTAGTAGCTGTGCAATCTTGGGCATGCTAGTTAACCTCTTTGAGCATCAGTTTCCCTATGGATGAAGTGGGGACACAGTGCCTGCTGCAGAAGGCCATTCTGTTGCTGGTGGCATGTGTGAGAGTGCAGCACCTGCCAGCCCAGGTTGCCTGCTCTTCCCTCCATGTCAGCTTGGTCCCTCCTCTTCCTTCCCTCCCCCGGGCTGTAAAGTTCCGTAGCTAAGTAACCCTGGCTGATGTGTGGCTTTTGGCGGTGGTGCTTACGGGAGAGCTGCATGTGCCGCCGCCTCCTTTGGGTGACAGCTGTTCCTAGGCAGATGCCTCCCCCATGTTCTGGAGCAGTGAAAAAAGGGGAGAGCGTCCCAGATTTAAATTTGGAATCCGCACGGAATTGTGCCAGCCTGCCTCGGAGTCCACAGGGCCCATGGGCCAGGTGCTCTTTGGGGTGACTGCTCTCTGGACACTGGCATATTGGTCACATGGCTGGGTCTAAGTTGGGTCCTTGAAGCCCTGAGCACAGTGGGAGTCCCAGAACAGCTTCTAGGGCTGTGGAGCAGCCACTGACCCCACCCGAGGAGCCTCTCACTCATCTGCTGGGTGAGGTGCAGGTGGGAATACTGCTGGGAAAGGTGTGCAGGCAGCAGGAGTGAGCAAGTGAGCAAGAGTGGGACCATTGATGCCCTTGGTCTCAGGGTGTGGCACACACAGGGCTTGCCTACCCTCGGGCAGAGCTCTGCCCACTGCTGTGCCAGCCTTCCAGGGATCTAGGATGGTCCCTGGGCTGGGATGGGTTTCCCAGATGGACACCTCCACCTCGAGGGTGAGGGTTGCCCTCTGGGGGCTGGAGGTTGGTGACATTGCCAAATCTCTGCACCATAGGGAGACAAGAGGGGCTGCTACAGCCCTGGAGTGTGGAGGAAAGGTTGGAGAGGGAGGTGGGGAGGCCAGCAGCCACGTTCTGAGCAGGCAGGTGCTGTGGCTGCGTGGTTGCTGTCGACTTGGAGGCTGCCTTCTTCTGGAAGCAGGGTGGGCTCCTCTGGAATCTCCAGCCCTAAATGTTCTCCTTCTGCCCCAGATATCTGTGTTTGCCTCTGGCCTGGGGGTATCCTGCAAGGGTGAGCTGGGTGGACCCTCCTCAAGGAGGACCAGTGGGCACTCTTCATCCTAGGGAAGGCAGGTGGACTCCCCATGAATCCTGTCCTGGGCCCGGGCAGGCCGCCATCCCCTGCACCCCCTCTTCCCGCCCGTCCCAGCTCCAGGAGTGTCTGCTGTCTAAGGGACAGTGGTGGGGACAGGGTAACAGGTCAAACCTGGTCTCGTGGGCTGACTTGCAGAGTCTCCCTAGCTCTGAGGTGTCAGAGATGGCCTTAACCCCAATGGCCATGTCTCTGGGGGAACACCGGCCAGGTAGCCTGCACAAGAAGCCCAAATCCAATGGTCACACTGGCTGTCATTCCTCAGAGGTGGTTTCAGGGGACAAGATGATGGGTGTCAGCAGGACCCTTAGGAAATGTCAGTCAGTCGGGTCCCGGAGGGGAGACCGCACTGGGCCCAGCCCAGCCCCTGGACTCCCCCTACAGTGCTCCCTGCTTTGGGTGTCAATATCCCCTAAGAACAGGGCTTGGACTCGATGCATAATCCATTTTAATCTCTCCCCTTCTTACTTGACTTTTTATATATATCTCAGAGGCAAACATTCCTAGTGAAGGGTTGTTTTCTTCTTGCACCTTGGAGGGGTCTTTTCATCTGCTCAGGCACCTTCGCATCCCCGTGGATCAGGGCTCAGAGCAGAGGAGAGTCAGCAGTCTCTAAATTATCATCATCTCCTACCTGCACATGTACACAAAAATAAGCCTGAATGCTTTTTCTTAGTATGCAATTTGCTGTCTATTTTTAACTTGTACACAGAGGGCCAAAAAGAAAATTCCATGAGGACATGAGAGTGCATTGAGGTTGCAGGTATACAGTCACCAAAGAACCTGAAATAATTGCCGGAATGATATCCTCTAAAAGATGTGAGCCTCTCAGAGAGAGAGAGAGAGGGTTCCTCTTGCAACAGGCATCGTGTGTGTGTTTTATGTCCCTTCTCTTCTGCTGCTGTGCACTTAATTCGGTTCCAGCCGTGTCAGGGAGACTCGAGAAAAAAATCCCACCATTAAAGACATGCTCTTTGTTTTTTCAATCTGTGACCCCAGCAATCTCTTTAGCAAGCCATGGTTCAGTGAACTGGCACACAGCAGCCGTTCGGCAGTGGAAAAAATCATAAAACAGATGGAAGCTTTACATTTTTGTTTAGTTTTTAAGAGCAGTTTTTATAACATCGCTTAAGACCATTCTGATGCATCATACTGTTTACACTCAAAGCTTTGTAGCTAAGATGTTTACAGTATGGAGAATGTTTTAAGATATTTTATAGTTTTGATATTTAGATAATTGGCAAGGAAAAAAATAGTTTGTTGAGATTGCAGTGATGTTGGGAACCGTGAAGTAACTTATGAGTCTCAATAAATATGTCCAGTTCGGTGGAAAGTACAAACTCAGTTAAAACAAAACAACACAAGAGGGAATATCTTTTTAGTGAAATCATTTCCTTTTCTTAATCAAAAGATGACAGGCAGGGCCTTAGAACTTCCATCTGTGCCACACCACACCACACTCTGTGCCTGCTGCTTCTCCTCTCGTGATTGATAGCTGCACCCCATTGGTCCCTTGCTATTCTGCATGAGTTCATGCAGACACCAAAGTTAATAAAGTTCAGTTTTAGGAGACCACCTTGAAATAAACCCAGGGCAGCCCCCCTCATCTCTTTGTGCAGTAGAACTTGCAGAGATTTTTTTTTCAATGTCAAAGAATTTATGCAGAGCTGGGATTTGGAACTCTTTTTTTTTTTAACTGCCCCAAAATGGCATTAATCAAAAACAATAACTCCTTTTAACTTTTCTAAGTGCTCTAAAGGAAAGTATGAAATAATCTGTGTGTGGGCCACAAATGTGGAGAATGCAAACATTTCACAATAAACATGTTGAAATG
The DNA here is from genome assembly GCF_000001405.40 of Homo sapiens. Lineage (NCBI taxonomy): Eukaryota > Metazoa > Chordata > Mammalia > Primates > Hominidae > Homo > Homo sapiens. Next base: position 30,341,858 of record NC_000019.10, read on the forward strand.
AAAGTCCCTGGCAAGATAGTCTGAAAGATAGTACATGCTGGGTTAATTAATGCATACTCATAAAAATAAACCTCACTTTTAAGATTTGACCAATAAAAATCATTAGCATATTTGGATCAGATGACTTTATGTATACATTGAACTTCTCCATGCAAATTGTCCTTGGAAAAGCCTGGAAACAGATTTCAGTTTAAAGTCAAAACTCCTCTTCTGTCTTCTCTTTGTGTTTCCAGTACAGTGATATGATGATTTATTCTGGTTTCATCTGTTATACCTGCAATTGATCTACTGGTGATGGGATTAAATTTATCATTTTAGATGTATAAGTCATAGTTAGATAGCCAGAAAAATGTTTAGTTGCATAAAAATTCCCATTGTTTGCTTTCGACACACAGTGTTTGATTTTTGCCGTAGTCAAATTGCTGTAGTGCATTATTTTTACTCCAAGATGTTTATTTATTTATATATTTATTTATTTTGCTATCTTAAATGGAATCATTTTGGCCCATTCACAACTGCTATCTTTAAAAAGATATTTTCTTGAGATCATGTATTCAAACAAATGTGGACTTGGGGTTGTGGACTCTGCTATGTGCTGAGGTTCTGCTGAATTAGACATCACATAATTTTCTAAGTCTAATTACAGTATGGAAGATTCCAGTTTTATGTTACGCTTTTTGTACAGGAAAAGACAAACTGCTACAAAGACCTCTTCAGTATGAAGCTAACAGTAAAACCAAACTCATTTTAAAAGAACTGAAATTGAAATTCATAAACTCAGTGGAAGTTAAGTTGTAACTACCCAGCCTGGGAAATTCTGAACCTAAGATAATGCTGCATTTTGAATCCTTATGAAAATAAAAACAACCCAACAACAATTATTGAGGAAAAAAACTCTAGCATGAGTTTAATTTTATCCAACTTTATTGGCAGCTTATTTTGAACTAATGTGCAATAAAGTTGCCAAGCACAGCAATTGAAAGAAGTAAGAAAAAAACATTTTTGGTTGTTTTCTTACACTGGTTTGTTCTAATAAAGGCGGTAGAGAGGTCAACACCTGAACAGATAATTTGGGTGTCTGTCTCAATCATGCCTGGCTTAGTGCTTTAGGTCTTATCAGTGCTGTCATTAGCCACTTCCACTAAAGGCCAGGTGATGGTCTGGCTGCTGCAGGGTGTTCCAGGGTCTGCAGTCTCTGGGTCTCTTGTCTCCCCCACCCTCGGCCCGGTGGGGACAGCCTTGGGCCCCTGGATAAGCCCTTCTATGGTAGCATCCTCCAAGCTTGCCTGGGAACAGGACAAGTACCCCTTCCTAAGAAAGAGGCTTTCACATGAATGTTTCTGGAAAAAGGGCTTGCAAGTTTGAGGGTTCCAGCAGATTATAAACAGTGTCGGCTTCATACCCTCATTTTGTGCCAGAGACTCAACATTGCCTATTTTAGAGACTGTGTGTTTACGCCTCCAAAACAAACCTCTGCATGTGTGTATATTTGTCCAAAAGCCACACCTAGTGATTCCTGGGGTGGGGGAGCATCTCTTCATAATATGTATCACAAGTGCTACTTACTGATGTTAGCAAGCTTCTCAGCTCCCTGCTCCATCTCCAGTTGAGGGGCCTTGACCTGGGTGAGGCTCCGACTTAAGGGAAACCTAGAAAAATCCTGTGCCCAGGTGGAGATGAAGGGGAGGAAGAGGTGTTCCAGGGCTACTAACTGGTAGTCCCTGGAGAACCCTATGACATCCACGCAGTGAAATTAAAAGCTGAAGATGTATATAGCATGTGCGTGATTTTCATCATACAGAAGTCCCATAGTTTCCACCTGATTTTTGAGGGCGTTCCTTTCTTGTCTGTAGCTGAGAAACAGATAAACTTTTGCAAGTGGACCTTTCGATGCGAAACACTAGGAGATGGTAACCTATGCCTGGATAAACTGGGTGCTGCTTCAGGACAAAGATACACATTTCTGCCCCTGAAGAAGTCTCACCCACAGAATGCTGGGTTGGATGGAGGGAAAACAGCAAGAGGTTGGCCAACTCTGAGTGCATCCTGAAAGCGTCCCTGTTTCAGTCCTTAAAAAAAAACTTATTTCAGTCCTTTTTAAGGTAATAGCTTGGTGTAACAGTCAAGATGGCCATGCGAAAGTGTCAGAGGGAGCAAGCCATGGCCTGTGGTGAGACCCAGGGAAGGTAGTTGAAGGGGCCCCTGTCAGAACCCCACCATGGGGTGCTGGGTTTCAGGGGCACCCCTGTTTTGGCCCTGTGGTTTCCCACCCCTAGGGCCTGCCCCCAGTTGGCAGACAAGGACAGCCAGTGGCCCACACCTATAATCCCAGCAACTTTGGGAGGGTGAGGCAGGTGGATCACCTGAGGTCAGGAGTTCGCGACCAGCCTGGCCAACATGGTGAAACCCTGTCTCTACTAAAAATACACACACACACACAAATATATTGGCGGCCTCCTATAATCCCAGCTACTCGGGAGGCTGAGACAGGAAAATCACTTGAACCCGGGAGGCGGAGGTTGTAGAGAGCAGAGATCACACCATTGCATTCCAGCCTGGGCAACAAGAGTGAAACTCCATCTCAAAAAAAAAAAAAAAAAAAAAGACAAGGATGCTGTCACCCATATCTCAGACTCCATACTTGGGACATGATGCATCCGTCACCTTCATTCCCTTCTCCGAGTCAGCACTGGATCTTGTGCCTTGGGAATTATCAGCTCTTGGGTCTCCCCTGTCCAACGCTGGGCCTGGCCTGCCACACCTTAAAAGCCCTCACTGAGCGAGTCCCTCGCTTGGGCTGGAGCAGAGCAGGCAGGCCATTTTTTTTTAAAGGCTGGGCCCATGGTGGCCTCGGGGATTCAGGTTCCCCATGGGCAGAAGGCTCTTTGGAGACCCCTGCATTCATCCCCTCATTTCACAGTTGGGAAAGTCAAGGCTAGGGAAGAGAAGGGACTCCCAAGGTCAGACAGCGAGACAGTGACTTAGTGACCAGACCCAGGCTCCTAGTTCTTGGCCCTGTGATCTTGTCACTACGTGATACTGCTTGTCTAGTGAATGGCACATGAGTCAGCCTTCTGTGGGAGACACAGATTGGATGCTACTTTCTGTAAGATTTCTGCCTCCTGCTGGCTTATCTTTTAATATAGCATCAACAACAGCAACAGCAACACAATAGCAGCTACTAACTCGGTACCAGGCATATTATTTTTCTAAATTAATTAATACTAATTCATGATCTCCTTTAGTTTAATTCGTTCTTGCAACAACCTTACGTGGTAGGTACTACCATCATCCCTATTTTGCAGATGAGGAAACTGGGGCCGGAGAGGTTGTCAGATGCCCCAGGTCCACAGTCAGTAGTGGGGGAGGACCACGCCCCGGGGGCTCCCCCCAGCATGAGTGCACTCAGCTCCTTTCTCTGTTCCTGTCCCCAGCCCTGTGAGAAGACTCCAGGTTTGACAGAGCTGAGCATTTTCCTCTTTGAACCAGCTATGTCTCTGTTTTATGTACATAGATGGGCAAGAAGTACTGGCTTTTATTTATGGCACTGGGATATAAAATTTCCACTGGACACACATTGATTTAAGGAAATCTGTGGTCAGTTTCAAGAAGTGTCTTCACCAGTTTATGGTAAAGGTATAAGCAGATGTGGTAATAGCATGAAGGTGGCAGGCAACGTGGTTGGAATTTGGTCAGCACTGTCCCATGTCTACTTAAGGTAGAAGAAAAGAAAAAAATGTAGTGACTCCACTTTTAGAAATTTCAAATGAGTCCTTATCTGCCTTCTGGGAGAGAGAAGCCCCAGTGACATCTTATGACCAGGTCATTGAAGGCAGAGAGTCTCGGATGCTTAGTTTTCCTACATGCATCTAAGGGAGCCATGCTCGACCCACCAGCGGGAGCCACAGATCCATGAAGTCTGCAGTCTTCATCCAGTGTCATCCCGGGGACTAGGTCGGCCTACCTGAAAGGGGACTGGCCTCTGGCTTGGAATCAGTGGCAGAGCTGGAGGCAGAAGGAAGGAGGAGGTGGCAAATTGGGACCGGGAGGCATCAGTCGGGAGGGCTGGAGAGTGTCTCATTCAAACTCCCGTGTACAGCACTTGTGCTTTGTTGCCTAGTGTGACCAGGTTGATGACTGTAGCTGGCATGCACCCCAGATGACTACCAGACATTCAGGATAAGTCTTCCATGCCACTATGATGCTGCCACAGTGTTACAGATTCACTGCCATCGGAAAGGCTGTAGGACAGTGGTTCTCAAACTGGCTTCCAAGGGACCCCAAGGGTTTCCAAGGAGACACCTTGGGAGCCAGGAGAAGGGAAGGGCTCAGGGTTCTTCTCCGCAGCTATGGGCAAAGCAACTGTGCTATTATCAGCTCATATGGGAGAAGATTTCCTCGGGAAAAGGATTCTGCTACTAGGAAACGCTGACAAATCATATATTTAGACCAAATTTTATTCTTTTTCTAAAATTTTATTTATTTATAACTTTTGTTTTAAGTTCAGGGGTACCTGTGCAGGTTTGTTACATAGGTAAACTTGTGTTCTGGAAGTTTGTTGTATAGATTAGTTGTCACCCAGGTATTTAGGTTACTACCCATTAGATGTTTTTCCTGATCCTCTCCCTCCTCCCACCCTCCACCCTCTGAGAGGCCCCAGTGTGTTTTGTTCCCCTCTCTGTGTCCATGTGTTCTCATCATTTAGTTCCCACTTATAAGTGAGTGAGAACATGCAGTATTTGGTTTTCTATTCCTGTGTGAGTTTGCTAAGGATAATGGCTTCCAGCTCCATCCTTATTCCTTCAAAGGACATGATCTTGTTCTTTTTTATGGCTGCATAGTATTCCATGGTGTGTATGTACCACATTTTCTTTATCCAGTGTACCATTGATGAGCATTTAGGTTGATTCCATGAGTTTGCTATTGTAAATAATGCTGCAATGAACATACGCATACATGTCTCTCTTTATAACAGAACAATTTATGTTCCTTTGGGTATATACCCAGTAATGGGATTGCTAGGTCAAATGGTATTTCTGTTTTTAGGTCTTTGAGGAATCAACACAGTCTTCCACAATGGTGGAAGTAGTTTACACTTCCACCAGCAGTGTGTAAGCATTCCTTTTTCTCCACAACCTAGCCAGCATCTGTTATTTTTTGACGTTTTAATAGCCATTCTGATTGGTGTGAGATGGTATTTCACTGTGGTTTTGATTTGCATTTCTCTAATGATCAGCGATGTTGAAGGGCTTTTTTTTTTTTTATATGATTCTTGGCCGCATGTATGCCTTCTTTTGAAAAGTTAGACCAAATTCTTGATTCTGCAGATGGGAAACCAAATTCCTCAGAAGATCAAAGGATTACAAAGATCAACTCTGTACAGTCATTTAAAATAGAGAATGTCTTTATTCAAGCATATCGGTGGAGCTTTGGTAGAAGAAATAAAACATACTCTGAAAGGTGACACGAGGGTTCCTCTGGTCTAGCCGCCTGCTTTTTGGGCAGCCTGGCAGCTAGAACATTTGATAGAGGTGGATATCTGCCTGGGACCAAGCTTTCCGCCACAGGGGGCCCAGAGCCTGCAAGACAGAACTGCTCATCGTATCCACCCATGATGGCTGGAAGTTGAGTATTTATGGGGTGCCAGGGCCATGAGCCAAGCTCTTTCATTTATGATCTCCATTCTACAGATGAAGAAATGGAGGCTCGGGGTCAGGATGTGACTTATCAGCAGGAGCCTACTGGGCTCTGGTCCAGGGTCTGTGCTCTCAGCCACTGCGGCCCCTGCTCCCGGGAAGAATGTCTTGGTGTCTAGTAGGATTGCACTGAGGTATACAGGGCCAGGGGTCTCATTGTCAGAAACACCCAGAACGAATCCTCCCCTCTTGAAGATTCAGACAGAAGAAATAGGAATATTCCTATCTCCCCTTTCCTGACACTGCAAGGGTTTTTGCAAAATGCTCCTAGCTGCCCCACAGGGTTTCTAGAAGTCTGTGTGCTTTGAAACATTGGAGGGGAGACAAAGATGGGTGACCAAACCCCTAAACAGCAAACAGGCAGGGGCCCTACTTAGGATGTCTTCTCCTATGTCTTACTTCAACCCGCCACGTGGGCATGCTGGAGACGCCCATGTGTGTACTTGTTGATGACAAGATTCCAATGATGTTCTTTCATCCATTCATGAAGTATTTTTGATTTACATGTGTTTATGCATTTACCCATTAATTCATGCATTTATTACTTTTTACATTCCTTCAATCATCTTTCTATTTCTCCATCCATCCATTTATACATGCCCTTATGCATTCATTCACCTCTTCATACATTTGTTCATGTATGCATTTGTTAGTTCCTTCCTTCATTCAACAAATAAAACACGAAGAAATGAATTAAAGCTTCTGGAGGAATCTGTAATGGTTTAACTGCACCCAGGGTAGATTCTGGGCATCTTTCATATGATTGGATGCAGAGGCTCACTAAGTTGAATAAACAGTGTCAGGGTACCTAAGAGGCATTTTTTTGTGGCCTGGGAGAGGTGCAGGCTAAACTCATCCACCGTGACTGTAGAATTCAAATGTCCCTTACGTGCTGAGGTCCTTGAGCCTCCCTCTCTACTTTTTCTCCATGGACTGATAATTTGTGGGCACCCCTGTGGGTCCCCTCAACAAGTCTTCCTGTGACCCTGGGACATCCTTGGGTTGCTCCTGAGTCCTGAGGACTGGCAGAATCCTCCATGGGGATGCAATGGATGGTTGAGTCCAAGATCCAGGGCTGGGACATGAAAGGGCAAGGAGAGGTTATCTGTCTTGAGTCTCATGAGGGATGCACACAGAGCAGGGCAGGAGCTGCAGTGGAGGGCATGGAGGCAATACAAAAGTACCAAGTGCCATGCAGACCAAGGTTTCCTTCTCTTCTTTCACCAAAGAGTTTCCATCCATTTTCTTTTTTTTTCTTTTCTTTTTTTTTTTTTATTTTCACGTGATCCCTGAGAGGCCAGCAGAATGAATGCCAGTGCACCTGTTTCACAGGTTGAGAACCCATATTTGAAAGCACAAATGATTGTGTATGAATCAAACACAATCCAAAGATAAGGTAGAATTCCTGGCAATCGTAATAATCTTGAGTGCAAGCCAGGCTAAGAATGACACAAAGGGAAGGGCCTTCTGCCTCCACCAAATGAGTGAGGATGAAACATACTGTGTCTTCTGCCTCAAGTGCTGAGTTGGTGCCCTGGAGCTAGGTTGATTGTTAAGATGGCTTCAGTCCAGACTTCTTTTGGTTTAGTGAGATGATATTTTGTTTTCACACTCAACTTTACTTACTGCATAGGGCTCCAAATGCATCTATGTGCCCTTTCTGCTTTGCAGACAGTGTTCCAAGTATCTGGCTGCAAAGATTGGGTAAGTAGAGCATTCATAATGGCTTTCACACATGCAGGCTGGCCTGGGGCACCTGTTGGTTCCAGATGTTTATGGCCTTGACCCCGGTGTGAATGTCATCCCTCCCTGCAGTGAAGGCCGAATGAGTGGTCAGGTGGAAAATGTTCCTGCCTTCCTTATACTGGAGTTAACTTCCAAGGTACAGTCCTTCCCCATGCATTCAGAAAGCCCCACTCCAAGAAGCCAAGCTCAGGTGTCCTGTTTCACCTATGCCTCGGAGTCCCACCCACATTGAACCTCAACTCATGGCCAATGAGAAGCGTTCTTGCTACACACTGGTTCCCTAGGTAACCGAGTGTACACTCGAGAAGAACTATAGAGAAAGGAAGAAGTGGTACCCCACACCCTCCTCTCCTTGGGGTCTGTGCTTTATCCACCTCAGCCCTCGACCCTGCCCTCACCAACTAGCCATCTTTTTGCCTGTTACTCTGCTTGATTTAAGATACACAGCCATAAACACTCAGGGCAGCCAGCAGCATGGCCGGATATAATATTAATTTCTTTTCTGGTTTATTTGTGAAGGAGTCAACCATGTAAATCACTTTAAGTCACTAAGACAGAAAGTGATATCGCATCTTCAAATGGAGAAGTATAGTATGTTACCATTAAAATCTAAGTAGAATATGTGATTCAACTGAGGTTGTTAATGTGGGTATACTTTTGTTAACCTTACTTTCGATTGTGTGAGATGCTCCGAAAGTTGTTTTTTTTTTCTATTCATTTTAGTGCAAACCAATGGATACCTATCTGAGGTATATCATTAGAAAGTCTGGTGTCTGCCGGACAATCTCCTTGCAATGCCATTTTTCATGACTTGTTTAATTAACAACCATTTTTGACCTAGACTTGTTATAAAAGTGTTGCTATTCTCTCCTGCTAAATTATGTCTAATGAACATATTTGCATGTTATCAGATACAGCAATATATCATTTCAAATTTCGGCGTTTAAGCCTGCATCACTCAAAACAGCTTTTGTGGATTAGTAAGCAGGTGAAATCAAAAATCTCATTTCATATCTGACATTAATAACTTTCAGGGGGAATGAGCATTGGCATTTATGTCTGGACCAGAATCGAGTCCAATGTCCTAGAAACACAAGGGCAGCAGACAAACCTACTCACCAGATAGGAAAATAAATCATGCATAATGCAGAATTTCTACCTTACATGTTAATTAATGTGTGCAATCAATTACTGATGTTACAATATGAGAAAGAAACTGGTGGGGAATGGGGTAATAAAAAATACCTATAGATTTATCTGCTTCTTTTTTCTATTTAAACAAATAGTCTTCAAGCCTGTGAATGCTGTGTTGAGACATGCTCTGAATAATAAGCATCATAAAATCTAATCAGATTTATAAGAGGAATTGATTGTTGTGGCAGGAGGAGAGGGTGGAAAATAAGCTGAAATTTAAGTGTTAATTTTTATGCTAATCCACAGTGGCTTCATATGAAGCAATTTTGTTCTGTGCCACAAATATAAAATTGTCCCTTGCAGAGAAATGTCAGCTTGCTAGACCTGAAAGCAGTAATTTATTAGGTATGTTTCTATTAGTATGTGTCACAGTTGTTAGCAGGCTATACACACAATGGTGCTTCATACTTATCCTCCAAGTCTCAGAATGTTTCAGCTCAGTGGCTGGAACGTGGGGCATTAATACATTATCATATGCGGGGTGGTCTGTGCCCTGTGGACAAAAGGCTATTTAATACAATTTAATGTCATTCTGAGAAGAAGTGGAAAAATAAAGACGGGGAATAAAATGGCATCTGTGTGTTTCACTGTGCACTCATGCACAAACCCTCAGTTTAAGAGGTATGACATTTCTGCCAAGAAAAAGAATAAAACTGGGGCATTTTTTTTATAACCTGTTCCCCACTGCAGTATTTTCTAAATGCTATTAAGTGATCGATTTACACGGCCACATGATGATGTCATCTATAAGAAGGGGAATGCAGATGACAGCAAAATACTAGTGACAGTGACCTTGTTTCAGAATCCTTGGAACCCTGTCAGCTTTGCTTCCAGTATATGGTTTCAAAGAATGCACTTTTTGGACAATATCTAGTTACTGGGTAGTGAATTAATAGAGTTAAGGGTTCTGATGCAATTCACATATAGGTCAATTACATGCGCCAACATCTGCTCTGTCACTATCATTTGCATATAGCATTCATATGTTAATGATGCCTCTTTTTACTCAAGTAATATATTTAAAAAACAAGATTTGCATATCAGTTTGGATCAGTATATTACAAGCAATTTATCATTTTCTCCTTCTTGTTATGATTTTAAGAACAATATCTTGAGTGATGGCTGCTATATTTGAGCACGGCTCTGATTTATACAAGAAACCCCTCAGTGGGAAAGCTTCCATTCTAAAGCTGCTTAAAGCCTTATAAATCAATAATGACACAGATGGACTGGTGATAATCTATTTAGAATGCCTGATAGCAAATATTGTTGTACAGATGATTAGAGTGGTAACTGTTTTAGCAGAAAGCCTGTCCTCTCTTGGTAAATGGTAAGTTTGAACAAAAAAGTGCTCGCACATGGACTTCATGTTAGGAAATCTTCTTGCTGGGTCTGGATTGCAAAGGGGAAAACATGGGGGAGAAGAACAAAGGGACTTCCCGCTCCTGCCAATATAATCATATCAATCCCTGTTTCTTTAACAAAACAGGACCTCTTAATGGAATTGTGTCTTCAGGTGTAAATAGCATTAAAAGCTGCTTCTCCTCTCCTCTTTGCCCTGATAGAGCACAAGGAGTGAGAAAATAAAGTGGAGGTTGTCAGAAGTGGCAGCTGCTTGGAATCCTGATAAATATAAGCTTTTATTGATCTGATGAAAATGAAAGATCCCAGTGCTAGGCAGTATTTAGCTTCTTGTCTACAGCACGTCACCGGTGGCCTTGCATGGGGATAGATTTCCATTCTCATACACCGGATTTGATTTCATCTTTAACCTTTTCCGTTGAATTTCCTTGACCTCTGCATATTGCTGTGATTTGGTGAATTTGTTACATTTCACTTTACATCATTTCTTTCTATATTTCCTTTTGTGATAGGGAACGGGGACGCCCCCTCTTGCAATCTGTCAGTGCCTGCACCAACTTTATCCTTTCTGGGGCATTTTCTCACCAGACTGACAGTCCTTAAGACAAGTATGCAGTTAAGCTGCTAAGGTAAGTCTTACGATATTAGAACTCCTTCTTCTTCCCAGACATACCTCATTTCCTTCTGCCTTGTTGCGTTGACCAAACACAAATCTAAACCAAATAGCTCCTCTGTCTCCTGCCCCCGGCCAGGGGCTTCCTTGTACCCTCTCCCCAACCCAGATAGGAGTCCCGTACCTGCCCAGTAAGCTCTCGGTGAGTGGTGGCTGGCAGGGCCTTTCCCCATGGGGGAGGTATTCCTTTGTGGTTTGGGTGTGTTTGGGGATGGGTGGGGAAGAGGCACAAAGAGATCGTGAAAAAATGTTATTTTCTCCTCTGTGGCTTAAGGCCTTTCTGAAGTTTTCTTCTGAGATAAAGATGGGGCTTCATTGCAAAATCCTGAGGTGCTGCTAACATATTCTGGTTCCAAGAAAGTGCTGCTGTTATTTTGAGTAGTTTTGATACAACCAAATCAAAGTGAAGATTTGAAATAGCTTTTCTGAAAGCCCAAGCTGAAGTCATAAATTATTCTGCACCATGATTCATTCTGATAGTAAAACCATACTTCTTTGCCTGACATCGCTGAAATGTGGAAAAGTGAAAGTTAAAAATAAAATGAAACATTTAAATCTTGGCTGTTGAGAACCTCAGGTAGACATCAAGGCCAGTCGATAAAAGCCTCTATCAATTAGGCTTCCACGGTTATCATCAGATATTGGTTTATTAGCAATTGCACAGGTGCCGGGTTCCGGTATTAAGAATCGGAAGGGATAAGAAAAATTCAGGGAAGTACCATAAATTGAGAAGCAAGGGTCTGGGGCTCCGAGGTGCACTTGAAGGCAGAGCACGAGACAGTGGTGGTGCTACGGCCTCGTGTAATATCGTAGGAGAAAAATATCTGCAGCGTAAGAGTGGGAAGTTTTCCTTTTTTTACCCCCTTTATTTGAGTTAGAAAGTGTTGATTTCACACTGTGGTGAGTGTTTTCCGTCAGTTTCTTGGTGGGTGTATTTCGTGTTAAGAAAAAGGAACAGCGAACACCAGCAGTGGTCGCTTCCATCAGTGGATGAGCAGCCCCCCCCTGGCACCGGTGACTTCTCAGAGCACTGGGTCTCCCCTAGGCATGGTGACAACCCACAGGCTTCCGGGCCCCGGGCTTCCAGACTGAGCTGTTTGGCTAGTTCCTTCCACAGCATATCGCCGGCAGGAGCAATTTTTGGTTCCATAGCTGTTTGGTTGGGAAAACAAGCCTGCAGTTGCCAGTAAGGTTTAGAATCTGCCTGCCAGATAAGGGAATGTCTGCGAAGACTATTTTCCCTCTTGGGAGGCAAAACACAGATGGAGGAGTTAGGAGCCTTACAATATTTAGCTGCTACATTGATGGTGAGGATTCTGCCACGCGGATGCTCACAGTTTTGGAAGGCCCAGTTTAGCATCCATGCCTCAGGCCTCAGGTAGGGGAGAAGGGTAAGACTGGCTTCCTCCGGGGGCAGTGAGTACATCAGTTTGTTCTGGAACATTCCACTCTGCTTGCCTCCCGAGATGGAGAAGGTGCTGAAAGCTGCCATTTCCCCTGATCCCAATCGGGATGGGTAGGGAAGAGAAGGATGAACTACCTGCCCAGGTGCCTGACAGGGTGGAGACCGAGGGGGAGGAGGAGAAGGGACATGTGTGTCCTCTGGGAATGAGACACAGATATCCTTTGGATGGGCTTCTTGGACTCTGTAGAATAAACAGTAGCTCCAGCCTCATCAGATTCTCTGACACAGAGAGCGGGAGGAGGAGAAGGGACATGTGTGTCCTCTGGGAATGAGACACAGATATCCTTTGGATGGGCTTCTTGGACTCTGTAGAATAGACAGTAGCTCCAGCCTCATCAGATTCCCTGACACAGAGGGATGCATTTTATTTTATTGATGTATTTATTTTCGTAGAGATGGGGTCTTGCTCTGTCACCCAGGCTGGAGGGCAGTGGTGCAGTCATGGCTCACTGCAGCCTTGACCTCCTGGGCTCAAGCAATCCTCCCTCCTTGGCGTCCCAACGTATTGGAATTACAGGCGTGATCTACTACACCTGATCATGGCATGCATTTTAAAAAATTAACTGCCCTGGCATGCTGTGGGCCTCCTAGAAGATAAAGAACAATTACGTGTTCTGTGGGATTGGCCACATAAAGGTAGGGAGATTTTCCCAGACTGGAAATATACATCCTGGAATAATTTCTGGGTCACATGAACTGGAAGGAGGATTGAGACTTTGTATCCAAAAATAAATTTTGTCCCCTGGAGACCAAGAAAGGGGGCAGGTATTAGAAACAGGCAGAGAACATGTGAGCACCATCCTCCCTGCCCCTCGCTGACTTTCAGGCTCTAGACCACAGGCTTCTTGGGCCCTGAAGTTGAATCCTGCCCCAGGTAGTCTGGACCTTGGATGAGCTGGTTAAGAATGGGTTGGAAGTAGGCTAATTCAGCCCCAGAGCCTTTTCTGGACTTTCAGAGTTTCCTGCTGGGACTCTTGGTGCTTCTCTTCATCAATGCCCTCCCGATTCTTTGCACTAGACACTTGTCCTTTTGGAGTCTTATGTATTAGGCCCTGTTTTTGATGCTGTAAAGAAATACCCAAGGCTGGGTGATTTATAAAGAAAGCAGGTGTATTTGGCTCATGGTTCTTCCGGCTGTACAAGCATGGCGCCAGCATCTGCTCAGCTTCTGCAACTGCATGATGGTGATGCATCATGGAGCTTTTACTCACGGTGGAAGGTGAAGGAGAAGCAGGAGCATCACAGGGTGAGAGAGGCGGCGAGGGAAGGGGTGGGGGAGGTCCCAGACTCTTTTAAACAACCAGATCTTGTGTGAACCAACTGAGTGAGAACTCACTCATCACCAATGGGATGGTGTTAAACCACTCACGAGGCAGGGTCTCGTTGTTTTATTTTATTTTACTTTTTCATTTGGAGACAGGGTCTCACTGTGTCACTCAGTTGGAGTGCAGTGGCGTGATTTTGGCTCACTGCAACCTCGACCTCCTGGGCTCATGCGATCCCCGTGCCTTAGCCTCCCAAGTAACTAGGACTACAAGTGCCTCCCACCGTGCCTCGCTAATTTTTGTATTTTTTTTGTATAGATGTGGTTTTGCCATTTTTCCCAGGCTGGTCTTGAACTCCTGGGCTTAAACCAGGGGTCCCCAGCCTCTGGGCCATGGGCTGGTACTGTCTGTGGCCTGTTGGTAATTGGGCTGTCAAGCAGGAGCTGAGCTGCAGGTGATTGAGTGTTACTGCCTGAGCTCCACCTCCTGTCAGTGGCTGCATTAGATTTTCATAGGATCCCAGGCCCTATTGTGAACTGCGAATGTGAGGGATCTAGGTTGCGTGCTCCTTATGAGAATCTAATGCCTGATGATCTAAAGTGGCACAGTTTCACCCGAAACTCTCACCGCCTCCCAATCCATGGAAAAGTTGTCTTCCACAAAACTGGTCCCTGATGCCAAAAAGCCTGCGGACAGCTGGCTTAAGCATCTACCTGCCTCTGCCTCCCAAAGTGCAGAGATTACACATGTAAGCCACTGTGCCTGGCCCAGAGTGCCACTCTTAAGCACTGATTACATAAACATTGAGGCAACCGTTGGTAACTAAATAAATCACACACATCAGACAATGATTTCATGTCCCACCACAATGTAGATTTCCAGAGAGCTCTTTGCAAAGATTGGAGGCAGAATTTCAGGGCATGGTTGTCCAGCCTTCTATAGCTTTATCCTTTAGAAAGACCTCATGTTCAGGTTGGGAGGCCCAGTGACTTCCAGAAGGAAAGGCACTCAGAGCCTATAGAACCCTCCTTTTATGTAACAGACAAACTGTGTCCCAGGCACTTGCAGGACTCTGGGGACCCTGGGCAGTCTGCACTTCAGGTGCTGATCCTGCGGTGGGCTGGGCTGTCCCGAGTCAGCCCCTCCGTCCTGGTACAGATGAGTGAGTCAACATCCTTCCTGCAGCAGTAATTACCTTAGTTAAATGCTGCAGGAGTGGTACTTTGGGAGCACAGAGGAGGGAGTGAATAATTGTAATTTCTATGTGATAATGATGATAAGCCATGCACATGTCTATGGGGCTTTGCATCATATTCGATCTTCACCATGAGATCTCTGGGCTTTTGGAAGAAAAGATCCCAGCAAACTCCTTTGTAGCTGCTGAATGAGATCGGTGTGTAAGGTCCCACGGTGGACACTTTCCCAGGGAGAAAACCAAAATCAGAGATAATTTTAACTCTAGAGAGAAGATAGAGTGGAGCTCATTCTCGCATGTGCATTTCTTGATATCATCTCAATTAATCCTCCCAAATCCCCTAGCAGGTAGTAGATAGTATGATTCATTCCATTTTCCAGATGTGGGATCTGAGGCCAGAGAAGTGGCCTGCCCCAAACCTGGGAGGGCCAGGTCTGAGCATAGCTCTTCCTGACCTCAGAGCCTGATCCCTTCTTCCTGCCTCAAACCTGGTGGTTCGAGCATGGTTCTTCCCAATTTTAGAGCCTGAACTCTTAGCTCTTGCACTGGGCACAATGTTGGACAAGACAGACAAGGGCCCTGTCCTCAGAGGACTGATAATATGGGCGTTGAGGGTGGGGAGCAGTAAACAAGGAAACCAGTGGATATGATGACATCACAGAGCAATAAATGCATAAGAAAATGAAGCAGGAGAATGGGTGGGGAAGGACAGGGGTAGTATCTGTACTTGAGAGAGGGTAGGTGGTCAGGGGAGGCCCCCCTAAGGAAGGGACGCTGGTAGCTAGAGGTCTGGAGGACATGGAGGGGCCAGAGCAGGGTGAAGTTCTGGGAAGAGCATTGGAGCAGAAAGAACAGCATGTGCAAAGGCCTCATGGCGGGGAAGAGCGTGGCATGTCTAAGGGACAGCGTGTAGGCCAGCGTGGCCAGACAGTGATCCCTGGGGAGAGGATGGGTGGGGTGGAGGGCCTTTATCAGGCGTGGCTTTGTAGGCCATGCTGATGAGTGTGAACTTTCATGTTTAACCAGAGGGAGTGTCTTGAGAAACCCTTTTCGGGTGCGGAGATGCTCCTAGGTGCCAGGAATGAGTGGCTTGGATTGGCTCTTGGTGGCCTTCGTTTTCCTCTGGAGGGATGAGCTGGTGATTTGTCCAAAGCTGGGAATTAGGGATTTCAGGCTCTTCGGTGCAAGAAAGATGGACAGCAGCACTGGGGATCCTGCTCTTGAAGCAGCAGGGCCCGGTAGCTCCTCAGGCCCTGGCATGAGCTTTCTGTGCAGCCCCGGGAGGCCTGAGCCTCCCAGCTGTGGGCGCCTGGGGAGAGTGACAGGCAGAGGGCTTCTGGAAGGTATCACAGGCCGCTTAACTTCTCTCACCTCAGGTCCCACATCAGCCCACAGAGTCCAGCTGTGCTGCCCTGCCCAACTATTGCTCACCTCTTCCTTGTACAGACTCTGCTTCTTCCTTTGATCAGGGAGGCTTGGTTTGGCTAAGTCTGTGCCCAGAAGAGAAGAGTGACCCTCAGGGAGTTGCAGACATCTCCTGTTCACTGCAGGGAAACTGGGTCATTATGGGTCATCATGGGTCATCATGCACGCAGGGTGAGTTTAAGGGTAAAGAGTCTTGGTGCTTATAGTTTAGGCCTCTTTCCCTTGGGCAGTGCAGGTATTATTGCCAAGTGGTACTGTCCTCCTGAATTCTAGATCATTCCTAGGCTTATGGAACCCTTGGGTTAGCAGAAACCTTTATGATCAAAGCCACCTTCCTTTTATGGGTGAGAAGGCCGGGGCTCAGAGAGGGTAAGGGACTGGCCCAGGATCATACAGCAAATCATTAGCAGAGCCAGAACCAGAACCCACGCATTTATGTTTATGTCCAGCTCAGTTCTCACCTGAACACAGTAGGCCCTCCTCACCTCCCCCGGGATGCCCAGGCAGATCCAGACAGTTTGGGGGCCACTTGTGGTAAACTGAGGCTCCAGCTTGTGTCTGGGTGGTGGGGTTTGTGTCTTCTCCATCTCAGTAGCTCTCACAGCCCCTAGGGCCGTTCCTGGCCCACTGAGTGGTTAGCAATCACTGTTGTGTTGATTGACTAGCCCCCTTGCTTCTGAAACTTGTAATCATTAGAACTTGTTGCATTGTGGTTTAAGCAAACCAAATATATGACAAATCCACATTTCTTTCTGAATTTTCTGATATGCAGGAATGGCAAGACCCAAGGTCTGTCCAAGTCTAACTTGTGCCAATACTCGGGATGCAATCAGGCCAGGACGCTGGCCCTGAGTTTCTGGTATCTGGACAGGTGATTTCGGATGCCCTTCAGGGATTCCAGCAGGCCCATTTTAGGGTCAGACCATGAAAGTTTTGGACAAAGACAATCAAGGCTGAAGCAGCTCAGGCTGGGGCACGTTTTGGACTCTGCTCCTGAATGTGTTCCTATGGCCCACCCTGTCACTGTGTGACCTGGGCAGGTCTCTTCACTCTTGGGGAGCTGTCATAGCCCCAAATTCAGAGTGCAATTGGCAAATGCATGGAGCTGAGTGTGCACACAGCAGCCTGGGGAAAGCCGGCCCATCAAAAGGGACCGCCACTACCACCTAGCTTCCATCCATTGCAGCCGCCTAGGAGTGTGGGCCGAGTTTGTCCAGGTTTTCGGAGTTTTAAAAGTCAGAAAAAAAGGAATCCAGTTCTTTTTAAAAATTTGTCTCTGTTGTTGGTAACAAATTCAAGTTTTCAAAACACTTTGTGTAAACACAAGTGTGTGTGTGGACTGGCTGGAGCTGGGGCCTGTATTTGGTGATTCCTGAGCACAGGGGCAGACACAGTGTGCATGGTGTGGGGAGGGCTCTCTGCAAGGAGTGGCCAGTGCGGCCCTGAGCTGCCCCCGGGACAGCCTGGTCTGGAGTGTATGAGGTGCAAATGGCTTGGAGCATTGCAGGTCCCTGGCCCCACGCTTCTCCTGGCCCTGAGTTCTCCTGCTGCTGAATATGGCTGCGCCACAGGGAGGCCAGCGACCGTTCCTGACTGCATGGGGTAAGGCCGTTGCTCAGATGTGGGCAGCAATGCAGAAGTCCCTATCTTCTGGGGGAGGCAGTCAGGATGCCCCTCTGCAGGCATCTGGTTCCACCTTCCTTCCTGTCTCCCCGGCACCTGAGTTACAGGGTGCCCACCCATCCTATCAATGTCGGCAGTGGGGATGAGGGAGGGGATGGCCAAGTTCCATCCTTGTGGGCAGTTGGACGACCCCTCCCCACACCACTTGGGTAAGGGCTGCTTGGGAAAACACTTCTGCCTCCTCTGAGTCTGATTCTGCCCTCACGTGTAGCTGATCCACTGACTTTTCTCCCCTTCATTTGGTGGAGGTCCTGATCCTTCACCATGCTGACTGAAGCTTTCTCTGGGCTGCAACTGGACAGGGGCAGTTGACCCAGGGCCTACACTGACCCTGGGACAGGCAGAAGGACAAGATGCTTTCTGTGGTATGAGGCCACCTGCTGAGTGAGAGAAAGTGTCAGGGCTGCCCTGCCCACCTATTGCTCACCTCTTCCTGGTCCAGACTCTTCTCCTTCCTCAAAGGGAGCCAAAGACCTCAGCTTCCCCCATATGAAGAGTCTGCGGGTCAGAGAGGCAAGCAGGTGGCCCAGCATCTTCAGAGCTGGGGGAGGAGATCGGGGCAGGCCCCCAGATAGCTGCTGAGCATTTCCTTCTACCGAAAGTACCACGCAGCGAGCTTGGGCGTAGTGAAAGTGCTTGGGAAGGGGTCGGCTCGGCTCTGGGCCTCACCTCCTGTTGGCCCCTGCCCGGCTCCCTTGATTTCTGTACTCTCCCTTCATCCTGTTCACATGCAACATGGAGTTTCTGTGTGTGTAATATTATTTGTTTTTATTTCTGTAATCCCTTTATTGTTTGCACAACTGCTGTCAGACTGTTGCCTGAAAGTATCACAGGATAATTGCAGAACGCCTGCATAAGTAATTTCTTATGAAATCGGGCCTTGTCTGCATATAAAATTGTTTTTTGTTGCTGCATGCATGGACTTTATTATATCGAGGCTGTTTACAGGGCTTGCACCTTTCCCACAGGCCACAGAGATGGGAGTGTCTGACGCCAGGAAATAATGAAACACGATCAGTATTCTTTTTTGGTCAGATGACATTTCTGGAAGGTGATAGTCGGTCTGACGCGGTCAGAAAGAGCCTGGCCTTGGAAGGAGGGAAGGCGTTTGCTGAAATGGGGACTCGGGGTCCGACTTCCCAGGATTCTGCTGGGGAAGACCACTGGCTAAGCCCGCCTTGCACTGGGCATTTCTTCTGACCACATTTCTGCGATATTAATGGTGTGTGGTAGTGAAAGAAATGTGTTTTATTCTCGAGTCTAACCCTGCTGTTATCAAAGTAACTTCCAGCTTATTAGCGACAAAGGACTTTTCTCCTCTCTGCTGCCCTGTTCGCCAGGGCTTCCTGAATTAAACTGCTGTTTCCTGTCCTTTATATGCATGACCACATCTGGGTAGCCTGCTCACAGCCCTGCTGCTTAATAACAATCACCTTCCCTTTCAGTCTCTGTTGATTGTTTCTAATTCACTCTGACAGATAGTGCCTGACAACTTGCCGGCTTTTCCCTCCCTCCGTGACCTGAAGTTACTCACAGCACTTATATAGTCTGTCATTTTTAATATTTGATTTCATTTTAAGTTATGTGTTTTACTGAGAAGATGAAACCAAAAAAAAAGGGGACTTGTAATGGAACATAAATTTAACCCTTCTTGCCATTCGGCACCCGACGGGAGAACTCTCCCTGTGTGCCTGGGCGACAGCTTCTCCTTTTCTGGAATCCTTGATGCTGCTACTGCTGCTGGATTTTCTTCTCTTTCCTTCCTTCTTTTTTTCTCTTCTTTTTCTTTTTTCTTTTCTTTTCTTTTTTTTTAAGCCTTCTTTTTTTCACTTCTGGAAACAAAAGCTTTATGTCATATTTTTTTCCCTTTAATGGGGCTTGATTACTTTATGGAGCTAATTATGGTGCTTTTTGCTTTGTAATGAGGGTCCAATTGTTAGAGATTTGGGGGGCTTTGCTATGGAGGGAGGGCATCCGGGGAGAGGCCTGGTGAAGTGGAAATGACTGGCTTCCATGAAGGCGTCAAACACGCGCCATGGACCCTTCTTTTTGGAGGTCTTTCTCTTTGTGCCAGCTGTTGGTGCAGAGAAATGCCACTTCTCTCTGGGCTTGGGATGTGCCACTCAGAGTAGGACCTTCCAAAGAGTGGGGACCAGGTGGGTGGTGGGGTTGAGCCTGGACGTAAATTTCTTCTGCCACGTTCACTCTGAATCTGCCCCTGCGGGCGGCCTGGCAAGGCAGGCGTCCTCCAGGGTGGGGTGGGTGGGGCGGGCATCCCACATCACTTCAGGGTCCACTCCGCTGTGACTTTGCCTTTTGTTTGACATAAGACAAAGGCTCCTGTGTCCCTCTTGGCCCTTCAGAGGTCGAGAGCTGTGAGGCCGTGCATTAGGTCAGCTTTGCAAATAGACACCACCAACTAAAAAAGGAGGCACATTAACCCATGACGCCTCACTGCTGCTGCTGGTCCTACTGTACTGCGGGTGTCTGTCTGTTTCGCACAGTGGGGCACGGGCAGTTGAGAAAGTGCAGGAAGAGAGATCTGGGTTGGATCTCAGTTTGAAACATTTCAACTTCACCATCGTCCATGGCCCAGCCTCCCTGGAACCAAAGCTCCTCTGAGTCTGGGAGCTGCCACTCTCAAGGCCCTGTCCAAGGGTTTTCAGATACTTGCAGTGGCAATTGTGCCAGGGGCAGAGGTGTGCTAGTCCTCCAGGCAGAGGCGGGCGGCTTTCCTAGTGAGCTCCGGAAGATGAGAGCCGCATCTCAACACTTTGTTGTAAAGGTAGTCAGCTGGGAACAGCATGATGCAGTCTGGTCCTCTAGGAGGCCACTTTGCAGAAAGTACTAGGCCTGGACTCCAAAGAAGCAAAGGGCCTCCAGGTAGGGCTGGCTCCACTGTCCATGGTGCAGACATTCTGGCCACTTCCCTGCTGTTCTACGACTCTTGGCTCCAGGCCTGTGGAAGGAAGTCGTGCAGGGGCAGCTACTCCTGTCTTGACCCAGCTACTCCCACCATGACTCATTTGCCTGGAGAGTTTCCTTTGCCAAGCCTACTCCTTCAAGAACCTTGGTCCTTGAAGGACTTCCTTCCACAGGCCTGGAATGTTTGAGGTTTAGCCTCCAGCAAGGCCAAATCAAGATTTTTTCTTTCTCCTCCCCACAAAGGACTGTTGGGCTTACCATTGGTTCTTGGTTCTTGTTTATGAGTGTGAGAGGCCAGGGGCAGTGGCTCACTCCTATAATCCCAGCACTTTGGGAGGCCGATGTGGGCAGATCACAAAGCTGGGAGTTTGAGACCAGCCTGGCCAATAAGGTAAAACCCCGTCTCTACTAAAAATACAAAAATTAGCCAGGCGTGATGGTGCGTGCCTGTAGTCTCAGCTACTTGGGAGGCTGAGGCCAGAGAATCGCTTGAACCCGGGAGGCAGAGGTTCCAGTGAGCCAAGATTGTGCCACTGCACTCCAGCCTGGGCAACGCAGCGAGACTCCATCTCAAAAAAAAAAAAGTGTGAGAGAAATTGGGGTTTGAAATTAAGGAAAAACTTTGACGTGGCTCTCGTGCAGCAGGTCTTTATGACGTGGTGGGCTGGGACAAGCTCCCTGGAACTCTAGGCTGACAAAAGGAGGGGGACACAGTATTTCCCGACCTATTCCCCACCTGCCCAGAGCGCTGCAATCCAGATCTTCTGTGCACCTAGCATCGGCAGCATGTATGTTCAGTTAGCACTGAAGTCTGGATGACCCTCGGTGGCACTGCTGTTGTGACCCCTTGAGTTTTCTCAGGAGGCAGCCTATCACCAGGGCTGTGGATTCGCGGGGACCTGAGAATTCATTGAAAACTGACAACTGAGCCTAAAAGGACGTTGCCTGTAGGGAAGTAAGGTGCGCACTTTTTCAGTACACTCTGAGCTGGCAGAAGCATACACAGAGCCTGGCTACTCTACCCGGAACCACCATCCTAGGCAATGATGGGCTACAGCTACAGACGGGAAGAACCTACACATCACAAACCACATCGCAAAGTAGAACACAACCAGTGCCACCTCCGAGATTCAATGGAGAGCCATGAATTCTCAGGCGAGATGGAGAGATCAGTTAATAAAAGCAATAAGAATAAATTGTTGACTGATAATAAAGGAGCTAATAATTGTTGTGCACTTCCTCTGTGCTCAGCACTGTGCAATCATTTAAAGAGAGGAAAAACTGGGCTAGTTTTGAGGCCAGGAAGAGCTTCATGGAAGGGCTGGCCTTGGAGCTGGACCTTGAGAGACCAGGAAAATATTCACCAATCGAGATGGGAGAAGGCAAGAGAGAAGCTTCTTGCAGAAGGCAGGGGTTTGTCAGATGCATTTGCAGATTTAGGAGGGGGAATTGAAGTGGTCATTCCCAGCAGATGCAAGAGAGGGGGAATCTGGAAAAACTGAGGGCAGATAGGTGTGTTGGAGAATGTTAAGCATCTCTGTTTCATTGGAACTTAGGATACAGGTGTGAGATGTATAGGATATAGCATAAGAGCAGGCAAGCGTGGAGGTGTAGGCTGGAGCCCCACGGTGAACAAAGCTGTGTGCCCAATTAAGGTATTTGTGACTCACTGGGATATAGCCAAGAATGGAGCCGCTAGAAAACCATTTGCTGAACTGACACAGGGAAAGTGGGAATGGGAGAAAGAGAGTCACCCTAGCCAGGCACAGAGGCTCATGTCTGTAATCCCAGCATTTTGGGAGGCTGAGGTGGGCAGATCACTTGAGCCTAGGAGTTCAAGACCAGCTTAGACAACATAGGGAGACCCCATCTCTACAAAAATATACAAAAATTAGCTGGGCATGGTGGCGTGCACCTGCAATCCTAGCTACTCGGGAGGCTGAGGTGGGAGGATGGCTTGAGCCCAGGGGTCAGTGAGCCAAGATCC
Source organism: Homo sapiens (assembly GCF_000001405.40). Taxonomy (NCBI): domain Eukaryota; kingdom Metazoa; phylum Chordata; class Mammalia; order Primates; family Hominidae; genus Homo; species Homo sapiens. The sequence goes on from NC_000019.10 coordinate 30,364,474, forward strand.
CACCATTGCATGCCAACTTGGATGACAGAGAAAGATCCTGTCTTAAAAAATAAAAATAAAAGAGAATCACTTCACCAGCCTCTTGCAGAACTTGCTGTTGCCTTTCTCTCGATTGAGGCTTATAGTGACTGCAGGAAGAAAGATGGAAATTGGGACAAGCTAAGTTTGGGGTGTCCAGAAAGTGTCCAGCCTGCACAGGGTGCATTGCAGGCAGTCCCAGCACGCTCTCAGGCCAGGGCATGAACTGTATACAAGCAACTTGGCCTTAAGGTAACAGCAAAAAGTGATGACTCTTTAGAAAAGAAAAACACCCTTTATATTCATCAGGGTCATATGCGTTTTTCTTTTCATATGTATACAAAAGAGGTACTTTGGGTGATACAAGGGGTATATGCCAATGTCAAGAGCAGGCAAGAACAATGGAAAAATTAGCAGATTCATCAGTTCTCCTGCTTATACTTCAGTTCCAAGAGTAAAATGTTAGTTTGTTCAACTCTGCGCTTTACGCCTTGATCACAGTGTGAAAAGTGTTGACTAAGCTTAGCTTCCTGGTCAGAGGGTCAAGACCCGTGGCTTTTAAACATGCTTATATGAAATCCAAACATTCATGGTCACTAGTGATCTGAAATCAAGGCACAACTTATGAAATGAACACGTAATTATCTTGTTTACTCAGGGTATAAATAGAGTTCATGCATTTTAAAATTTTTCTTCCTGAAAAGGACTTGCGCCAGCATTTGGTCTTTAGATAGGCATGTGCTCTCTCTCTCTCTCTGTCTCTCTGATGCTCTTGTTCTTTCTCTTCTTCATCTTTTTCCTCCTGTCCCTGTTCCTCCCCAAACTTTCCTTCTCCCCTCCCCTCTCTGTTGTCTTTCTCTCTTCCCTCTCTCTTCCTCCCCCTCTCTCTCCTTTAGAAGGGAAGGGACTTGCTAGTGCTTGTTGCCCCTGCAAGAGGCAGGAACAGCCATTGCAGTTCTTTCTAGGAGTATTTCCTGCTTCCCACACAGCTTTGGTGGGGGGAAGATGCTGCCCAGGGAATCCCTGGTGTGCTTGAACATAGCATTGCCACTTCTATGAATGCAGGCAAGGGCCACGAAGCCCACGTCTGCTTCAGACAACCCAGCTGACCACCAGGTCCCGTGTAGCAAGGACTCCCGTGGAGGTAACCTTCCCAGGCACTCCCTGTGAGGCTCTGCTTCTGCGGGGAATGAGAGGACTGACTCCTTAGCTCTAAGCTGGCCACTTCCAGCATTCCCACACCTAATTTTGGAGTTTTTCCAGAGTGAGAACCACCTGCTTGTGGACTTTAATAGTTTTTAAGTAGGCACACTTTTTCCCATAACATATTATATTTAGCTTTGTCCTGGATAATAATAGCTACGAAATCTCTGGTTGAATTTG